>NC_000015.10:94320066-94958492 GCF_000001405.40 Homo sapiens
CTTAATTGGGGAAATGACTGATCTGCTCTATTACAATCTTAGTGCTGTATTAGGAGGGAGAATAGTTTATTAATCTTTTTTTTTTTTTTTTTTTGAGATGGAGTCTCGCTCTGTCGCCCAGGCTGGAGTGCGGTGGCACAGACTCGGCTCACTGCAAGCTCCACCTCCTGGGTTCACGCCATTCTCCTGTCTCAGCCTCCCAAGTAGTTGGGACTACAGGCACCCGCCACCACGCCCAGCTAATTTTTGTATTTTTAGTAGAGACAGGGTTTCACCGTGTTAGCCAGGATGGTCTCGATCTCCTGACCTTGTGATCCACCCGCCTCGGCCTCCCAAAGTGCTGGGATTACAGCTGTGAGCCACTGCGCCTGGCCCTAGTTTATTAATCTTTGTATGCCCTCCTGTGCTATAACTGATGGTTTATACACAGAATATTTTTAATAAATTTTAGTTCTTCGTTGAAGAAATCCAACTTCAGTGCTGGACTTAAGGAGCATTGAGGCCTGTTATACAAGGGAAAGTACCTTTTCAGAATGAACAGTATTTAGTCACTTACTCCCTTATTCAACAAGCATGTCTTGGGTTTCCTCAGTGAAATGGGCACTACACTGGTGTTCTTCTGGGGCTTGGTGATGAAAGTCAGCAAAAAGGATTTATATGATTTCAGAGATGAAGATGACTTTCATATAGGTCACCTGGTCCAGCTGCTGATTTAATGGAAGCTTTAATTCAGGAAATGGAAGCACAAAAATTGAATGACTTATTGAGGGTCACGTTGGGAGGCAAGATTCAGAGCAGACTGGGTGGCTCAGTGGGACAAGAAGAGGATTTGGATTTGGTCTACTACTTGGCTTTGTGACCTCCTTGTACAACTTACATAACCTCTCTAAAATGGGTGTGATGTACCTTGCCTCATAATGTGATTGTAAGGACTGAAAAAAGTAAAACAATATGGATGAGGCTGGGGGACAAAATGTTAAGTAAAATAAGTCAGGCACAAAAAGACAAATATCCCATATTCTGACTCACGTGTGAGCTAGAAAGTTGATCCGTGGAGACAGAGAGGAGAATGCTTACTACCAGAGGCTGGGAAGGGTGGGAATGGGGAAAATGAAGAAGGGTTGGTTAAGGGGTACAAAAATACAGTAGAAAGAATAAGTTACAGTGTTCAATGGCTCAGTAGGGTGACTATACTTAATAATAATTTATTGTATATTTCAAAATAGAAGAGAAGATTTGGAATATTCCCAACACAAATGATGTGTTTGAGGTGATGCATATTTCAATTAGGCTGATTTGATCATTACACATTGTATGCATGTATCAAAATATTACGTGTACCCCATAAATATGTACTATTATTATTAATAAAGATGTATAGATGCCATAGTGGCCTACATTTAGAAAATAGGCAATAGATATGTTGTTATAGTAATTAATGAATAATCATAATGCAAGTTGGCCATGTTCTTGACTCCCAGTACAGAACTCATTGCTGTGTTCCATGTCAGCTCCCCCGTCATTGAATTAGATGCTTGGTCCCTAACTTGTGTCAGTTTGCCAATTTCTCTGTGCTCTCTCTATGATCTGTCTTTAGCATAGGGTTTTTAAAATACAGCTAATCAATAAACAATGCAGGAGGTTAGGGGTGCCAACCCCTCATGCAGTCAGAAACCCACATATAACTTTTGAATTCCCCAAAACACAACTACTAGTGGCCTACTGTTGACCAGAAGCCTTACTGATAACATAAACAGCCCGTTGGCATATATTTTGTATATGTATTATATACTGTATTCTTATAATAAGGTAAGCTAGAGAAGAAGTGTTAAGAAAATCATAAAAGAGAGAAAGTAGATTTATTATTCGTTAGGTGAAAGTGGATCATCATAAAAGCCTGCACCCTCATTGTCTTCACATCCAATTGGCTGAGGAGGAGGTGAAAGACCAGGGTTTGGTCTTGCTGTCTCAGGAGATGCAGAGGAGGACAAAAATTCTGTATAAGTGAACCCTTGCAGTTGTTCAAATGCATGTTTTCAAGAGTCACCTGTATTTTATTTTCCTATGTGGAATCATGTATTTAATTTTAAGTAAAAAACACGGATCTAATTAATCACATATTTTTTATTATGACAGAGGCTCCTTCAGAGTTATTCAAATGTGTTGCAACCTTGACCATGGAGGAGCAGCAGCTTTAGGGCCTTTAATTCCAATTGCACAGCCCCTGTTTTTGAATTTTTTTTTTTTTAGGGAGAAAAGCTATTTTGATGAATCACTCTCTGCTAAGGAAGGAGTTCTGCATTTTCTTCGGATTGTTACATAATCATTACTGTCTGTTACTTTCTGTCTAGAACATGGATTAGTAGACTTTTTATGGCTTTATGGGCTATAAGTGAAAATTAACTCTTGACATAGTGAGAAAGCAGCCATAGACAATAAACAAATGAACATAGCTGTTTTCCAATATAAATTTATTTACAAAAACAGGCAGTGGTCTGGATTTAACTGATGGGCCAAAGTTTGTTGACCTCTGCCTAGAATATCATGGTCTGATTTTTGGATTCTTGCTTTGAAAAACTGCTTTAAAAACATCTACAACAAAGATGGTATAATCTCATTAGGCAGTCATCAAGAGTTGAGGCTAATGCTTTCAGCGGAAGCATCTTGGAAATACGACATGAAATCATGCAGAAAAATCCGGAGATGTTGGGTAATAAAAAGTCATTTTCTTGCTATTTAACTCAGCAGTGGAGTGGAAGAATATGGTGTCTCCCTTAGGAAAAGACAGCTCACAAACCCCAAGAAAGGATGTTAGAAAGTGCTTAGAGGGTATGTGATTGAGCATAGGAAGTTTTTGGTGACTTTGCCCACGAGGAAACACATGCAGAAAAGGTCTCAGATACCAGAGTTCCCTGTCTCTGCTGTGATGCCGTCAGCGAGAGGCTGGGAAATAGGCTTCACTGGCATAAAGAGCTGTGAGGTTTTATCTAAATCACTCCCTTCCCTGGTTCAAACACAGAGCTGGTATGTTAAGCAGGTTATCAAGGTGGGATTTGGAGATTTTTCTGGGAGTTTTGGTGAAGATTGCTGAACTACACCATTGTTAATTGTTCTTTAGAAAGACTCACAAGGAAGTCTGGCTTCAGAACAATGGGCAGGTTTAGCAATGGTGTTGGGAAAGGGGTAATGTTGTATAGTTGCCACCAGGACACCTCAGGGTCTTTAGCTGTGGCCTCTCAGTGTGTGTATGTGTGCAGACTTAAAAAAACAAAAACCTATGGGTAATGAAAAATGAAGTTGGTGGGAGACTAAGAACTCCCTGTCTTAAGCATGCTTAATACCCATGAATAATCATGGGCACAGAAGACTATCATGGGAGGCTGAGAAGTTTGGATCAGGTAGCTCTGGAAGTGTGGCCACATTTAGAAGATTGTTCCTTGCAGGTGGTTTTCCAGTTCTTCAAGAATTTCCTTTGAATCTTTGGCATGTGGGCCTTCAGCCTTGACAATAGGAGGTCTGGTATTGGGGAGCTCAGGAGTAAACTAAGCAGCCCTGTTATTATTACTGTTATTATTTATTGTTGGATGACTTTGGCTGCTGTAGTGGTCTTTCTAAGAACGAGTCTTACTCTGATGCTGTCAATGGTCCAGGCATGGCATTGAGCTCACCTTCGTTAGCAATCCGCATAGGAAGAATGGCCGCCATCTTCCTGCATGTCTGCTGTCTCAGCCATTGCCTGTGTGTTGTGTTCATCTGACCCTCCCTGTCCCCTCTTCTATTTCTCTCATCTTTCTTTGCTCTTTCTACTCTCCTTTTCTTCATCCTAACGTTTTCCTTTTATTTCCTTATATTCCCCATTTCCTTTCCATTATTTTCCGGGATGTTATACAAGATGTATTGTTTTCGACCAAATAGGACTTACACTTGTTTTAAGTTCTCGATCTGAGTAGCTCTTGGCTGTCTTAAACTTTGAGACTGGTAAAGCAGAAGAAATATGTGAGCAATCGCCTTTAATTCCAACTGCTTCATGATTTGGTTGATGCATGGAGGAAACTGAACCCTGGGTCCATTTCCCATGGGAAGGAATGTGGCCGAGGAGGAGGTGTTCTGGCGTCTTAGAGCTGGTCTTATGCTCCAGGCCTGGCTTGAACTTCAGCCTTGCGATATGGGCAGGTCTCTCGTCCTGTGCAAAATGCTCAGCTCATACCCTGTTGGCTCGTAGAGCGCTAATACGTGGAAAACAATAGCCCTCGCTTTAAAACCCTGTGCTTTGCTGTAATGTTAGGCCGCTGTAGTAGTTTACCACTGTGGGCTGAGGGAATACTGTGTTGCTGGTGCCCTCTTGTGGCCACTCTGTAGCGTTGCAAAAGGAAAAGAAAAGTTAATGGAAGTTCGCTGTCACATTACTAGGGCCGTGAAAATCACTTCAGCTGTAGGTTGAGGTTTGATGGTCTTTTTTGATGCGAGTTTTAGTGGATGAAAATAAATGAACACTCATTCAGAAAACTGCTCTCTTTCTCAATTTCCAGCACAGGTAGATATCTGACGTTCGTTTCTAGAGCAATGGCAGCTTTATATGCAGATAATGGAAAAAAATGTGCTACATAAGTCAAGTTCATATTTAAAAGGAGTAGTTCAGAGAAAAAATTTAAAGATCTCTCGATACTGTGAGAATTATGCTATGTAATCGCTGTTACATAGCATAATTTTTACTATTATTAAATAATTGTTATCTTATTGTTTATTATATTATTATTCAATTATTGTTGTTTAATAAATTACTAAATTGTTACCAAAAAGTTAAAATGACTGATTTAAGTCCTGGTTTTCTTTTGCTATTTAGCAGGCTAATTTTTATGATGTTGCTAGAACTCTGTATTGTATACTGAGCAGCGGTGTAGCTTCCCAACAGGTGTGTTCTGAATGGGATGTACTGAAGTATTCATTCTGGCAGCCCTCTGGGCACCTCTGTTAGGCTTGGGCCACCATAAACCCTGCTGTGCCCTACAGACATCATTTTGTTTTGTGTCATGATGTGACGTGCTGAAGAGTGCTGGATGGTGGGTGAGGGTTATGCGTGGGCTTTGGACATGGACCACCGGAGTTTGGATTCTAGCTCAGACACGGTCTAGCCATGAGCCTGCTAGGCTTGCGGTAGGATTAACCTGGTGTGTGTGCTTGTGGAGACTTGGTGGTGGTCGTGGGGCGGGGCCGTGAGGTGGGTGGAGCTGAAACAGTCATATGCAATAAACATTAGCTGTTACTATTGCCGTGTGAATTGTCATAGTTATTCTTGGTATAGTTATTCTAGTTTGGGTTTTGTTTTTGCATTTCGCCTGTGGGAACAGGAATGACTTTGTGATTTCCCCATCCTTTTTATCGTGGGCTTATCTTCCCAGTTTCCTCATCAATTTTTGTACTTTTTGTGTATCTTTTTGCTCTTTTACTTCTTTTGAGATAAAAGTTCCTCCCCCTGCCGCCACCACCACCTCTAACCTGGGTGGTGTGAGGGTTGTGAAAGGTGTTTTCTTGAGGTCAGGTCTTATTTTCTGTGAAACAGGAGAAATGAGAGACTCTTTTAAAAGGCACCTTATTTGAATAAAGACTCTGTCGTGGATTGAGGTTTAATTTTCCCCATCATAAATTTGACCTAGAAAATGCCCCTTCATGAGTAAAACTGGTGTTGACGAAGGCACACCACTAGGCCTTACCGAAATTCTGAACCTACTCTACTCCATCGCTCCGATTTTTTTTTTTTTTTTTTTTTTTTTTGAGACGGAGTCTTGGTCTGTTGCCAGGCTGGAGTACAGTGGCGCGATCTCGGCTCACTGCAACCTCTGCCTCTCTGGTTCAAGTGATTCTCCTGCATCAGCCTCCCGAGTAGCTGGGATTACAGGCATGCGCCACCATGCCCAGCTAATTTTTGTATTTTTAGTAGTGATGGGGGTTTCACCATGTTGGCCAGGATGGTCTCGATCTCCTGACCTTGTGATCTGCCTGCCTCAGCCTCCCAAAGTGCTGGGATTACAGGCATGAGCCACCGTGGCTGGCCCGCCCCGATTTTTAAAATCTATTTTTCTTTCTAAAATGAAAGAGAATCTGGCTTTTAAATGTTTGGTTACCTGGTGTTTTCTCTCTACACATTTTTCTCTGTATTATAAAAACTTTATTTTGGAGAAGAAATTAAAAGCTTAGGGCACCATACTTTGTTCAGTCAACATTCTGAATTAAGTTTGTTCAAAATTTGTAACATTAGGAATAATGCCACAACAAACGTTCTTATACCTAAATCTGTGTGTACAGGTTACTTTTTCATATATTTGCAAGTGAGTTATTTATTCAGGTGGATTGCATTTTTTGTGTTATATGATCTGAGCATTTCAAGATTCTCATTAAAAAATTGCCAATTTACTCTTGAGAAAGACCTATTTGTTGACCTACTGGTGTGTGAAAGTGGGCCACTTTTTGTTTCTCACCTACCTTGTTATGTGGAATATTATTGTTACTTTTTTTTTTTTTGAGACTGAGTCTCGCTCTGTCACCCAGGCTGGAGTGCAGTGGCATGATCTCAGCTTCCTACAACTTCTGCCTCCTGGGTTCAAGCAATTCTCCTGCCTCAGCCTCCTGAGTAGCTGGGATTACAGGCATGGGCCACCACGCCTGGCTAATTTTTGTGTTTTTAGTAGAGATGGCGTTTCACCCTGTTGGCCAGGCTGGTCTCGAACTCTTGACCTCAGGTGATCCCCGCCCCACCCCCCCCCAACCTCGGCCTCCCAAAGTGCTGGGATTACAGGCATTAGCCACCGTGCCTAGCCATATCTTTGTTAATTTGATAGAAGGAAAGTGTTGTCTTGTTTTTTTCTTTAAATTGTTTTCATCAATTTGGACCTTTAAATATGTTTGGTTAATGAGATATTTGCTTCTCTGCATAGTCTGTTCCATGCATCACTTGTTCATTCTGTCTCCTGGGCATGTTCACATGCATTTTTTAAATTTGTCACTTGCCTTTAGATTGTGTTTATAAAGTTTTTGTTGCAAAAATATTTTTAATCTTACGATTCTTTTCTGGAAAGTGTCATTTTTTATCTAGAAAGCTTCTTGAGAGACACACACATTCACCTACATTTCTTCTCTTTTCTATCTAGTTTTACATTTTTTCATTTATTTCTTTGATCTCTGTCAAGTTTACTTAGTTTCTGGCCCAGAGTAGGAACTGAGTTTTACTTGAACCAAATGGCTATCTATCTAACTAGGACTAAATATTTCTTTTCGTAATGATGTGACGGTCACTTTTTAAGTATACATTAAATTGCAGCACATATTGGAGCCTGCTTCAACAATTTCTCTTTGATTCCTATTGATGTTGTTCTCTTGTTCGGCATCAGCTCCACACCAGAGTTTTATTGTATTGAAAATTCAGTCCTTTTTATTTTGCAACATTTGGGATTTGCTTCTCATTGGAGTACCTTCTCTGAACACCAGATGGCATGAGATCATTGGCCACATCTGGGCCAGTGTATCAGAAAAATTGTTGTTCAAGAGCAAATGTGAACCTTTCAAAGATGCAGACACCCATTCTGTAACACAGGAGTGGTTTTCCTTCACTCTTTGAGTTTTGGTAGCTTGTGGATGTCCTGCAGTAAGTGATTAGAGCTGAGTTTTAAAATGGTTTCTGTTTATTCCTTTGCCACTTGGTACATATCATCACCGGACATGTTTGTCCCAACAGTCTTTAATGTATTCCCACAACTGAACCATTTCCTCTGAAGATTTTTGTTGTATGGTTTTGTTTTGGGACTCTGTGCAGTCTTGTGGATTGATCAGAATGTCTTGATGCTTTGCTGCTTTATAGAGTCAGTTTATCTGTTTCTGTGGAACCCCATCTCAATTCCTATGAAATACCTTGGAGCAAAATTGGGATGTTTTCTATTCCTGCTGCGTGTAAGAAAATTGCCTTACACCCAACCAAACATCATTGGCTTGAATTAAATGTAGCATGTCTTCTATTTGCTTGATTGGGGCTTCTCTTGAGGGGGTGGTTTTTATCAAGTGTTTATTTCTTTTCTTTTTTTTTTTTTTGAGATGGGAGTTTTGCTCTGTCACCCAGGCTGGAGTGCAGTGGCGTGATCTCGGCTCACTGCAGGCTCTGCCTCCCGGGTTCATACCATTCTCCTGCCTCAGCCTCATGAGTAGCTGGGACTACAGGTGCCCGCCACCACGCCCGGCTAATTTTTTGTATTTTTAGTAGAGACGGGGTTTCACTGTGTTAGCCAGGATGGTCTTGATCTCCTGACCTCGTGATCCACCCGCCTTGGCCTCCCAAAGTGCTGGGATTCCAGGTGTGAGCCACCGCGCCCGGCCTATCAAGTGTTTATTTCTATACCACGATGATACTTGCTGTGTTTCAAGTCACTCTTTTAATGTATTTGTTTCATTGTCTGTAAAGTTGGTAAGAGATATTCTGCCTGTGCGCACGTTGATGTGTGTTGTGTATTCCCACATGTCCGTGATTTACTCATGTCTGAGTTTTGATTTCAGTGACAGTTAGTCCTATCACACCATCATTCCTTGCTGAGTTTGAGGCAGGGAGTGTGGCCTGTCATGGTGAAGGGTGTTATTCTTGAGACTCTCTCTATGTAACAAATTGCCTTGAATCTCAGTAGCAACCATGTGTTCGTGAATTCTGGGAGTGTAAGTTTGGACAAAGCCCAATGGAGTTGGCCTGTTTTTGCTGCATGCTGTCTGGGGCTTCACCTGGGAAGAGTTGAAGGTTGGGAGGACTTGGCTATTGGGGTCCTATCTTTGGAAGACTTGAAGGTTTGTTGATTCCCATATTGTGTGTGTGGAATCAGGTGTCTGGAAGATGAAGATGGTTCCACATGAGGCCTCCCCATGCAGCATGTCTTCCTCATGACATGGCAGCATCAGAGTCACTAAGCTTTTTATGTGGAAGCTCAGGGCTCCAGGCACAAGGGTCCCAGCACAAGGCAGAAGCTGCGTCATCTTTTATGATGCAGCCTTGGAAGGAACACTGCACCACAGTGGTTGAAGCAGTCACCCAATTCAAGAGGAATGGGGACAGATACCCTACTTTTTTATTAAGTACCACAGAATTTGGGGGCTATTTTGTAAAATTACTGTAGTTCTGAAGCCTTTAGAGTGAAAACAATCTGGGTTCAAGGCTCAGCTCTGAACTTTCTAACTTTCCTCATCCTTTAAAAAAAATTTTTTATTACATGTATTTAAGGCACAACATGATGTTTTGATATACATAGTGTATTAGTAGTCCGTTCTTGCATTGCTATAAATACCTGAGACTGGATAATTTATAAAGATAAAGAGCCGTCATTGACGCATGGTTCCACAGGCTGTACAGGAAGCATGATGCTGGCTTCTGAGGAGCTTAGAATCATGGCTTCCAGGGAGCAAGCATGTCACATGGTCAGAGCAGGAGCAAGAGAGAGAGAGCAGGGAGGTGCCACACACTTTTAAACAATCGGATCTCTTGAGAATTCGCTCACTGTCATGAAGACAGTACCAACAGGGATGATGCAGAGCCATTCATGAGAAATCCACCACCATGACCGGATGACCTCCCACCGGGCCCCACCTCCAACATTAGGGATTACACCTCAATATGAGGTGTGGATGGGGACACACATCCAAACCATATCACATAGTGAAATGCTTCCTACAGTGAAGCCAATTAACATATCCATCATCACATAGTTACTTATTTGTGTGTGGTAAGAGCACTTAAAATCTATTCTCTTAATACATTTTTAATATACAATACCCTTCCATTAACTAGAGTCCTCATCGTATGGTAGGTCTCCAGACTCACTCATCTTACATAACTGCACCTCAGTGCCATTGACCTACTTCACCCTATTTCTTTGCTCCCCTTCACTTGGAAAAAAGTCTTCTACTTTTTGTTTGTGTGTATTTGATTTCTTTTTAGATGCCACATATGAAAGACCACATGGCATGTTTTTTCTATGCCTGGCTTATTTCACTTAGCATAATGTCCTCCAGGTTTATTCATGTCATTGCAAATGGCAGGATCTCCTTTTATAAGGCTGAAAAGTATTCCTCATCCTTAAAGAAGCAGTGTAAAGCATGTCTATCTCCTTTTGTAGGATTAAAGGAGATCATTCCCATGTTAATGTTATTCTTGAATTTTGGTCCTGTTCTATTTTTTTCTATAAAGGCTGGTGTCTATTTTCTTAGACTTAGATTTGTGCTTAAATAGTGGCTTGGGTGGGGGATTATTTTTAGTAATTTTTAATAAGGAGAATGCGAGAGTATCAATAATCATGTATGCTTTGGTAATAATGGGTTTCTGGAACACAGATTACTAATATGCATATAGGTCTTGTAGATTTCACCCTTTATACAGATTCTAAGCAACTGTATTCATTGATTCTCTGGCTTACTCCTTTCTTATTTTTTTTTCTCCTCTAAACCTTTCTAGTCTCTTTTTATTGTAGTATTCTAGCTGCTGCCTCTCCTCTCCCTTTTTTCTATGTTGTCATTGCCTTCTTCTAACTTTACATGGGGCCCTCGTTTTTTGGTGTTACAGGGACAACCATGTATGAGGTTTCTAAGCCGAAGTTCACACCCTTATTGGGGTGACCAAGAATAGAGATGCAGGCATATGGGAGTGTTTGTTTGTTTGTTTGTTTTGAAACAGGGTCTCACTCTGTTGCCCAGGCTGGAGTGCAGTGGTACAATCTTGGCTCACTGCAACCTCTGCCTCCCAGGCTCAAGCAGTCCCCCGACTTTAGCCCCCCAAGTAGCTGGGACAAAAGCTGCGCACCACCATGACTGGCTAATTTCTGTATTTTTTGTAGAGGTTGGATTTTGCCATGTTGCCCAGGCTTGTCTTGAATTCTGAGCTCAAGCAATCCACCTGCCTCGGCCTCCCAAAGTGCTGGGATTACAGGCATGAGTCACCATGCCCAGCCCAGGCATATGTTTTTAATGACCACTTTGCCAAAAGCCAATTAGTTCAATCATCTATTCAACCAAATGACCAATTCACTGAAATTACTGAATTCATCATGTTAATATATTGACAGTGTTTTTCTTCTTCTATTTATAAAGTTATAGCTATTGATATTCATAAAAATATTGGATGGGGACTTTTAAAAATAGCTTTTGAAGGTCTCTGGCTCATCTTAGTTGATGGGTTATAAAGACAAAGCCAAAAGAGCATTTTAAACAATATTTAATTTGTGTCAAGCCAAAACAATAAATGATGGAAGAGACTGAATATGTCATAATTTAAGCTGCAGATCTACAAAGGGGAAGTGTAAGGACAGAAAAAGACAAGATGTTAGGGGAAGAGGTTGGGGAGGGACTGAGAGTAGGAGAAGGCAGGGGAGGCATGTGGAGGTCTGGGATGGTATGGGGTGGGGCTGAGGAAGTTCAGGGGGGCTGTGGTGCAGGGAAGAATCCGAAGACCCAGGAAGACCTCCTTCCCCAGTTCCCTAGACCTGCCTTATGTCTCATTGTTTATCCTCTATGAGTTGCTATAAACTTTATAAATAGTTAAACAAGTTTTAGTAACATTGAAAATTTCAGGTCACTGATTTCGCTGTATATTGGTCATTGGAAATTCTTCCAGTAAATTGGACTTTGGTAAATTGCTTGGAGCTATTACATCTCAGGGTCTGTCCATGGGCAGACCTTGCCCGAGGAGCCAATGAAATGTTATACATGGCAGGTCCATTTAGAGGAAGGAAGTCAATTGTATTTGGGAGAGAAGTTCAGGAATAGTTCAATCAGAGTGTGCTAAATGGCAAAACATGGACAGGAAGGCCAGTAGAAGACTGGGGAAGAAACTGTTCTGTGGTTGGTATCAAAAACAGCTGTGAGAAGCATGCGGCCCTTATCTGCAAAAGAAAGATGGGCCATGATAAGCCTGGGAATGTGCATGTTCTGTTTATTTTGGTGGATAAAACCACTGGCTTGGAATTCTGCTGCTTTGAATCTACCACTATCTGAAGTAATATAGATTTTTCTCTGCATGGGAGAAGTTCCTTCTTTCTCAGATGGCCGAGGAAAAATGTCCTGTAAATTTCCATAATGTCCATTAGGGTTTCTGAAGAGGTCAATTAAAAGAGCCGCACTAGAGCTGAGTAGCTCAGCTCTACTGTAAGAGGCCAGCAGCACCTGTTCAAAACTTAGAAACAACGTTTTTATTTTTATTTTTTCTGGTGTCAAAGTCAGAACTTACAGAGTCCATCTAAAAGAAGCTCAGGGCTGATTCTTTTCCCAACAAAAAGAGAAGATCCTAAATATGTGTGTATATTCAGAAGACTATAAATGTATGTGTGTAAATAGAATAGTCACTTATTACTCTTACCCTATTAGATAAAAAATTTAAAATATATACGTTTTATATGTTTCCAAATACTAGTTTTGTCATTGGGGTTTTATATATGTAGCTCAGTGTCCCTAAAGAGCTAGTAAATAATTGTTGACTTGAATTTGAAATCTTAAGCTCTCCCAAAGAAAGTTATCAGATATTCGAAAATGTGAACTTAGTGTAAAAATATGGTGATAATTTCCTTTCAGGAGCAAACAACTACTTTGGGAAATACATTTGATTAGAAAATTTTTCAAGCTAAAGACAACATTTCTTTTGGATAAATTGCATGGCTAAATTTTATAACTTGGCAAACCTGCTTTGCTGATAGCAAATAAGTAAGCTTTTCCTACAAATAATGCTTTTGTATTCAACACAGTGGATTTTTAGTCCAAATTAGGAATGCTAGTTTTTAGAAAATGTTACATGGTAAGTTTATATATATATATGCACAGACATACACATAAAGTGAACATTAAACTGAATCATAGAAATATATTTATGGGCTGGGTGTGGTTTTATATTTAAATTACATGCCTGTAATCCCAGCACTTTGGGATGCTGAGGCAGGCAGATTGCGAGGTCAGGAATCCGAGACCAGCCCGGCCAACGTGGTGAAACCTCGGCTCTACTAAAAATACAAAAATTAGCCGGGCCTGGTGGCGGGCATCTGTAATCCCAGCTACTTGGGAGTCTGAGGCAGGAGAATTGCTTGAACCCAGAAGGTGGAGTAGGTTGCAGTGAGCCGATATCATGCCACTGTACTCCAGCCTGAGCCACAGAGCAAGTCTCCGTCTTGGAGCAAGGCGTATAAGAATTCTGATGTCTTATTAATTGAAGAAAGCAGGTAAATAATACTGTATAAAGACTGATCCCTTTTTGTGATAAGTGTACATTTAAGCATATAAATTTGAAGTACATATCAGCTTATTAAGCTTTTCTAGATGGGAATATTTTTTCTTTTTTAAAAACTTTTTTTTAAAAACCATTGCCATGAGTTATATCAAAAAAAAAGCAAAGAGAAGTTGTTTGTAATTAGAGCTGCATTACAGGTTCATTTTATTTGCATATTAACAATTGTTCTTGAGCTGTTCAATGTGATATTGACTGTTTCTATTCACCATTTGTATTGGTACCAGCCATGTTCTTCAATAGCACTCTCAAGGTGGTAAGAGTTCCTAAAAATGATAAGTAAAATGAAGGGGAGAACAAAATCTTCAAATTCTATAGTTCTTGGTGACTCTTTCCTGATGATAGACTTGAGTTGCCATGGGTCCTTACTGAGCTGCCTGTTATTTTTATTAATTGTATCTCCAAAGTGGTCTGAAATCCTCAATGAATACAACAGTAGGTAAGGAAGCAGCCAGTCCTTATGAGGACTTAGTGATTTTTAGTTTTTATACAGCTCTTTCTTTCTAGGACAGCTCAGATTATTTTATAGAAATGTTCCCAAATCACACAGAATCCCTGCGAGAAGTAAGTAAGATAAGGAATTTTCTATCAAACCTAAGAGACGATGATATAAATTTCACACCTTTAGAGGTGGCAATAGAAGAAATACTATAGAAACAAATTAGTGTACATTAACTTGGAAAATCAAAGTAAAATAAATGAATATTTAATTACTGCTGCATGCATTGTCATACACTCTTCCCCTTTATAACTTCAGTAGTGATACTAAACATAGCATTCGTGAGGCATTCTCAGCAAATGACCGAAGCCTGCTATCATTGAAGTATATTGGATCATTCAGTTCTCAAAATGATCCCTTGAAGTTGATAGTTTTCTATCTCACAAGTGAAGATATTACGGCATAAGGAAGCTGAGTAAATGGCCCAAAGTTATATAGTTAGTAAAAGGAACGTCTGAGACTTTAATTCACCATGTACATCTAACTTCAAAATTTATTCATTCATTCATCACATAAGTATAATCCATCTACCAGGCATATTAGGCACCTCTGGGCATTAATCTTACCTTCCAAAGGAGCTTTGATTTGGAGAAATTTAATAATATACTCATAGGTGGTCCAAATAATGTTTTCTATATTTAAATACATTTGTAAAATATGGAGTAGAAAACTTTAAGGTGTTTTTTGATTTTGTTTGTTTAGAGAGACAGGGTCTTGCCCTGTTAGCCAGGTTATAGTGCAGTGGCATAATCCTAGCTCATGGTAAACTCTAAATCTTGGGCTCTAGCAATTCTCCTGCTTCAGCTTTCTGAGTAGCTGGGACCACAGGCACATGCAACCACAACCAGCTAATTTTTTGAAACTTTTTTTTTTTCGGTGGAGATGGGGGGTCTCACTGCGTCACTCAGGCTGGTCTCAAACTCCTGGCCTCAAGTGATCCTCCTGCCTTGACCTCTCAAAGTGCTGAGATTACAGGCGTGAGCCACTGTATCCAGCCTGTTATTTGTCTGTACTGCATTTCTTAACATAGTTTAATATTTTACTCTATATTATGAAAGTTCTAAGCTGGGAAATAGTAAGCAGCTTTTCTAAATGGTTTAGATCACATACCCTTTCCCATCCGTGGAGTGCCCCTCCCATGAAGTTCTATGGAAGTACTTTTTAGGGGACTTTCCGAAACCTTGAGTAGGTCCTTCTTGTGGTCTGGTGCCAGCTTTCTCCTCAGTCCTCAACTGTCTGTTGCTATATTTTCTCAACTACCAGGTTTCCTAGCTTTACCCTCTTTCTTCTTTCTTCTAAATTATAAGCTGCTGTCAGATTTATATTTCTAAACCTTGGCTCTGAACACTTTACCCTGCTGCTCGTGAGTGAACCTGAATTTCCTTCCCTCTTCGTATTAAAGTAATTCCAGATGAGCCAAAGGCTTAAGTGGTGTAAAAAAAGAAAAGAATATAAAATCAGTGGAAGAAAACATAGCTGAATTAATTTAAAATTTTGTACGACATTGCTTCTAAACAGGATGTTAACCTACAAAGCCGTAAATACAACTTAGGTAAATTTGATGAAATAAAAATGAAAGTCACTTATTGTCAGAAATAACGTAAGTCTAAACAAATTCTGACAAGACTTATAGTCAATGGCTGATTGATTTCCATAATAAAGGGGCTCATTTAATTCCATAAGCAAAAGACAAAACCATGGGCCCTTCATATTCATTTCTCCAGCAGTTTCATTGTTAAAATTTTCCTCTGCATATAATCACTTATGGACTCCAAAGATAATTATAGAAGGATGCCTATTGTAGTATTGTTTGTACTAGTTAATAAAATTGGAAAAGATATTAATATCCATTATTTAGTAACTAGTTACATAAACTAACACAATGCAATGAAAATATATTCAGTTAGTTTTTTAAAAAACAGTTGATCTACATTGCTGGTATGAGCAGAGCTCCAAGGAATGTTAATTGTGAAAGCGTGAGTCCACTAAAAACAATTCTATTTTTTTTCCTGTAAAATGCCCAAGAAACTATTTATGGTGGGTATATTAGACAAATGAGAATCCGCGAAGAGTACTAGAGGAGAGATTTTACTTTTCATCCCTTTCAGAGTTGTGTGCATGTATTACTTTTCTTAAAAATTAAAAAAAGGAGAAGAGGAAAATCACCTGTCTTTATTACAGATTATAAACTAAACTCCTTATTTTGCTTTTATAGGCTACTTGGGCCTCCGACTCATCTGTTTTTTACAACTTTATTTCTCATTATATGTTCTTCCCTTAATCTCTGGATAGATTGAAATGCATGCTCGGCACCACACCGCTCTAGTCATTTTGAGTCTCCTTCCCTCCTTCGCTGTTGGAGCACATGCCTCCTACTGGAATGACCTTCTCTGCCTGTTCTGATCCACCCATGTTTCAACTCCCATCTTCTTTATTGCAGCCTCCACTGGCACTCCAGCTGGAACTAATCTTTCCCACCTATGAGCCATCTTCATTCCCAGGTTCACTTCTGTTGGGACACTTCCTTCTTGGACTTTGTGTTATATTTCTGGGTTGCCTGCTGCCCCTTAGGTGAAGAAGAGCAGGATCTGGGATGGATGCACCATGTAACCTCCTGGAGTGCTCAGCATGGAGCCACACTCGGAAATGGCCGGAAGCTGTTTGTGGCACATTAGCATGCCTGACAGATGCAACATCGAGGCAGACATGATGACCCGTAGTGTCAGTGGGCAGGAGTAGAAACAAGGGCTGTCACATGGTCGTTAGGAAGGGAAGTGGGTGCAACATTTTTAGAGGACTGATGACTGGCTGTTAGTTTTGCTTAGCATATATATATATATATATGTATGTATGTGCATATATATGTATGTGTATATTTATGTGCATATATGTGTGTGTATATATATACACATATATATGTATATATGTACTGCTGTGTGTTTGGAATGGAGCAGGACACTCAGGCCATGAATGCTTAACATGTTGATAGTCTACGTCTGAGGCTGAGGGACTCCTTCAGGTCCCCATGGCAGAATTGGTGACGGCCCCAGAATGGAGGCACCGTCTCTGGACTCCTGGCTTCATTCTCCTCGCCGAGTACCACACTACTACAAGAGCCTCATTGTTTCTGAAGCTCCCAGTGAACAAGGTTAAAGTCCACCCATTCAGGTGTCATCTCATCATTTGTATAATCTGGGAGTTGCATTCCTGAGTGGCCGACCCCTTTTCAGAAGCTGCCTAGTTGAGATGTCACTTCCCTGACAGTGAGGCACTTAGGCTCAGAGAGAAAATCACAATGTGCTCCCCCTTCTCTCAAATTTTCCCTAACAATTAACGCGGCACTAACTTGACACCCTCTTTCCTTGTTTGGCTTTGTAAACCCCGGTCCCTTTTTCTATTAATTCCAGACATTAATATTTTCTTTCACGCAACTGCCGCCATTCACCCGTGAAACAGTTTGAACATTATGTAGCTGTCAAGATGCCTGGGGATTACCCAGTATGCCTTGCCTGTGAGAAACTGACACCACTGAGGCCTAGTTTTGAGATGTTTATTTTGAGAGTACGCTGACAAGCATGAAGGCCTGATCCCAGAGTGGCAATTTCATTTAATTAAAGGCCTCTTTTTATTATAGTTTTCCCCCACTTTTTTATATATATATATCAGAATGATTGTTAAAGTCTGCCTCGCCAGAGGTGTTCTCTTCTGCTGTAGGAGGGAGGGGGTGGGCGACTGTACTCTCACTAGTGAGCATTTCACTGAATGGCTGTGAATGCATTCATTTTTACTGTTCTTCTCAGAACTGGCCCGAACACGGTGTGTGTGTGTGTGTGTGCGCGCGCATGCACGCGCGTGTGCATGCCCAAGTTTAAAATAAAGACTGATGGGCTTCTACTCCTATGTTCTCAAACTTAAAATGTGAGATTTGACTATGTATATGTATCTATTTGCAGCTTATTTAATTTTTGTTTAAAGTTAGTACGCTTGCAGTACTGGAAGGCTGACTTCTCAAAATCATGCCTTACTTAATCTAGTAAGGCTTTTAAACCATGGCTGCTATTTTAGTTCGTAGTGATGTTAATGTCATTTCAAATAGCTGGGAAATGTAGTGCATTCCATTTTCAGTAATTTTTAGTACTGGAGCTAAATAGAAATATTAAAAGGAGCTGAAAAAGTAAAAGATTGAAGTAATGCATGATGGATATTAATGATTTGATAAATGTTATGATACAGTAGCCTAATTAATTTTTGATATAATAGTCCTAGACTATATTGGCTTGACGTTGCTATCAGCAATTCATTTCAATAAATATTCTGGGGGCCTATCTTGGGTACTGTCCAAGGCACAGGGGAGATACCAGTGAACAGACCGGGCTGTTGGTCTTTGTATGCTTATTCACTGTGCCGTGTTTCAAAATTAACTATAGTATTGTAACTCCCCAAATTAGATTTTCTTTCTTTGTAGCGTTATCAGCTGGCCTTCGTTTATCTCCTCATTGATTGCTCATTCATTTGTGCCTCCTCCTTCCACCGTTCACTAGGTAGTAATGAACAAGTGTATTCCAAGCATTGTATCATGCGACGCACATGCATGTAACACACGCACAATACATAATTCATGTATTATGTTTGCAGGCATTTTTTTTTTTTTTTTTTTTACTTCCATTGATCTGAAAAATGTGGAGGAGGGTCTGCCATCAGCCCTTCTTTTTGCTTTGGGCGGAGTGACTGGAGGGACATTATTCATTTCTTTTGGCGTCTGTTTCAAAGCTCCCAGGGAGGAGCCGGGCGGGTCAGCGGTGTCAGCACTGAGGCCAGCTGAGGGCCTGGCTGATGTGGAGTTCAGCTGCCCTGGCTGAGACAATGTTGGCTGCTTTAGTGCAGGTGCGGGGACGCAGCAAAGAATGGCAACTTTGTCAATTTAATCTCTACGCCTCCAGTTTCACTTGTAGCCCCATCGTGCCATCTTTTGAGCCAGTGATTCCAGAGATTTTATTTATTATGATTATATTTTCAAGTATAGGATTCTGTTGAATCAGCCATCTGGCTAAATGTTTGAAACTGATTTCTTTCACTTTTCACTGACTTGCTGCAGTTCCTAGGAGAGGGTGGGCTTCTCCCTAAGACTACTGACCCTGTTAGCTTGTGCTGGTAGATTTTACTTCTTGAATTTTTGCGAGTAGTATAGGAGTGACCTACCCACAATGAAAGAAAATAAAAATTACTCAAAGAGCCCATTTATATTCTACCACTAAAGGGAAAAAATCGTTCATTTACCCCAAATTCTTTCATATCTCCCTGTCTTCCATCTCCGAGCCCTTTAATCTCTGTGCAGGGAGACATTAGCCTGGGGAGTGGGGAAAGGATCTTTATTTAATGAAAGTCCCAGGCTTTTACATGTATTTTAAAATTCTGTCTTGTTTTCTTTTCCTTTTAAAGGCACAAGTGATCCTTATGTGAAATTTAAGCTGAATGGGAAGACGCTGTACAAAAGTAAAGTCATATATAAGAACTTGAACCCAGTATGGGATGAGATAGTTGTATTGCCAATCCAAAGCCTTGATCAAAAGCTACGTGTGAAGGTAATCACAGATAGCTTTCAAATCTGCTCCTTTATTAAAAACATTTCTCAGCAGTTTCTCATGTCCTCTTAGACGTGAACTTGCCAAAATTAATTCTTTTATTAGGACAGATTAAAAATAATAATATAGAAAAAATTCCTTATACTGTTTGTTGAAACTGTATGTTTCTCTTCAATCAATGAGATACACTCCAGTGAAAATAATATCTACATTGATTGCATTTCAGTCTACCAAATGTGGAAGAATTATTACTGGTACTGCAGTGGTGACAAGTACTAAAGCCTTTCTCATTAGGAATATCTTTATACTTAATAGAGCTTCAAGCTACCCCTTGTAAGCATCAATTGCTACAACATCTGGGTTAAAACTGCATGAGTTGAGTGCAGGATGAGATTGCTATAGAAAATTTAGCAAATTTCTATTTAATTGGCAGATCTGCTCACTGTGGAAAATACTAAATTTTAATGACAGACTATTTAAACTACAGAGAATGGTCCATTGTGCATAACATTTCAATGGATATAAATACTGCCTTAAAAGAAATTGTTGCTGTTATTTTGGTCATAGTAGGCAAAATGGGCAAGATTGAATAATTTTGTTCTCTGCATTGGCTTGACTAAATTTCTCTTTAACTATACTATGCAAAGTATTTCAAGATCTGAAAGACTGATTTCAGAATTTCCAACCTATTGCATTTGTTAATAATTTGAAAAACTCAGTTGGTTTACCATAATAATGTGTTAATTGACCTCTGTCCTCTTTGTAGGTATATGATCGAGATTTAACCACATCTGATTTCATGGGTTCTGCATTTGTCATTCTCAGTGATCTTGAGCTTAACAGGTACCGTATTTTTACATTTTAATTGTTATTGATGAGTTTTAGAGGGAACTTACGATAATGTTAAATGGTGCTTGTTGAGGTCAAATGACAAAAATAACATATCTGAACAAATGAAAGAGAGCTTTAAAGTGTTATAACTGTCAGTGTATTTTTAAGGATTTTTGCTTTCCAGGTGCCAAATATATTAGTCAGATGTTAAGTATTTTATAATGCATTCTAAAGTGTGTATTGGATTTCATACTTTGATTTGTTAATATTCAGTTTCATTAACATAACTTAAAATTAAAACAAGTGTTTACATTTTATTTGAGTGGTAGGGGAGGGGGATCAGTTAACCAACTGTTGAATTAAACAATGCCAAACAGTTTCTCTACTCTGAATATAACTGTTTTATTTTCACTAAATTTTGTGCTTTCTTAACATCATGTCTAATCCTTATTCAGAGGTAGGAGACTTTTACCATAAGCTCCTGATGCGTGTAGGTCAATACAGTCCTGTCAATAAGTGGTAGCATTATTTGTTGCTTTTTGCTTGTAGAACAACTGAACATATTTTAAAACTGGAAGATCCAAACAGTTTAGAAGATGACATGGGAGTGATCGTGTTAAATTTGAACCTAGTGGTAAAACAGGGTGATTTCAAGAGACACGTAAGTGGGACCTTCTATTCTTTTGAAACCTCTCATTTTGTCGTTTTGAAATGGCTCATTGCAATTGTCCCTTGATAGCTAGCAGATGACTGATGTTTTTGCAATTATTTTAGGGGGGGTGCAACATTTTATGGAGTCTTAAAATATCTGTTTTTTAATACAATGCTCTTCTTTGAGGAACCGGAAAGGAAATTTGTTAAGGAATTATTTCTTTTGTGTTATTAAGATGATCAGGCATACATTTGCAGCATTTTGGTTTCTTCTTTCTTCTTTTACTTTTAGCTACCAAGTTTTCCATTGGGAGTTCTTTTGGGAAGATACAAATTTTAATGTTCTCTAGTCTAGTACATGCAAATTTCTAGTTGATACAGTACCTATCAAAGATGTCTGTAACATCAGTGAAGCATTAGACTTTGTCACAATATGATTGGGACTCTTCTTTTGAGCAAAAATGTGGATACAAATCATAATCTTATTTTATTTGGGATTATATTTTATAATTCTAAGGCTATATTAGAACAAAAGCATCTTTGATGATGACTTATTTGAAAAGTATTTTTAAAGCCAATTGAAGTACCTGCTTTTTAAGATGTGTTATAATTTAGCATGTTTATAATCCAATATAAAAATATAAAGCCTATTTATAATTAGGTCTCCAGTAATGCTTCTTGAATTGAGGCAGTGGGGTGGGTGAGGAGAATATTTTTCTTTTGACATCACTTATGCTTCTAGTTGTAGCTTTTTATGATGAAAACCGTGATTGATTTACTAGTAAACTCAGAGAAGATAGCTTAAAGCAGTAGGAAAACTGTAGTGTGACTTTTCAGTTACCTTTTCAAAGATTCAACTAAATATCTGCTATTTTTAACTTGAGTTCCTTTTATTACTTCTTTTTAAAAAGTGGCCCTGTTGACACTTGTGACCTCAATAAAAGAGATATTTTAATGTTAAAATGTCTTAAATTAATGTTGAAAATAAAAGTATTTTTTCTCATCCCACCTAAAGAAGGAGGGATTTTCTTTAGCTTCTTCTTGATCTTGACAGCATTGCTGCTGCATCCGTGACTCTGGATTCAGTGTCAGTGATACAGTAGGTGACCGGTGACTTGAGCTGGGGGCTAGGTTATAGCATGCAATGTAAATAGTTATTTGTCACGTGGTTGACAACTTGCCAGCTGATATCGTCAAAAAATTTCTTATATATTCAAGTGGGGCTTGTAAAGGTAGTTGATTTCTCCATGAAAATAGCTGCATATTCAAATGACTGCCTTTGTGAAGTTTTCTATAGCATATTAGATTATGTTTAGCAGTAATATTGGCACTTAAAAGATATTTAATATTGTCAAAATTTAGAGTTTTAACATAATGCCATTTTAGTTTCAATTTATTTCAAATTGCAGAACAGTTAATACTAGACTCAGCTTGGAGCTGTTTTTGTAAAAGATCTCAAAGAGACTATGTTTTCAGGGCTCAAGAATAGCCATATTTCCTCTTAGTGTAGGCCTGGTTTCCTCTGACTCCCCACCTCCCATGTTGAAGACTTTGTCAGAATGTCTGTCCGCTCACTCATGTGCTTCCTTATTTTCTTTTGTCTTTGTCTGGCAGAAGCCTAGTGTACACTATATTGATTATATATACACACACAAATATATTTTTATCCCCATATATACACACACACACACATATATATTTATATATACACAAATATATATTTGTCTCCATATATACGCATATTTATCTCCATATATACACATATATTTATCTCCATATATATACACACATACATATATATCTCTATATATGCACATATATATTTATATATACACACACATATATATCTCCATATATATACACACACATACATATATATTTATCTCCATATCCATATTTATTCAAGTTGGGTTTGTAAAGGTAGTTGATTTCTCCATGAAAATAGCTGCATATTCAAATAGCTATCTTTGTGAATTTTTATATCCATATTTATGTATATGGAGATATATATGTATGTGTGTGTATATATATATGGATACATGTATATATACACATATATATGGATCCATATACATATATACACATATACACATATATGAATACCTATATATATATACATATGGAGATAAACATGTATATATATAACATATATATATATAATGGAAATATAGACAACTGCCTACTCTTATCTCTTCTGATTGGTAGTTTTTTTCCATTTATATATTTGATCAAAGAAAATTAATTGAGGAATAATTTATTCTGGGCCATGTGTGGTTATTCAGCTAACAGTGCATATTGGGAGCCTTGGGGTAAAATAGATTATCAGAATCTTTGTTCTTTTCATTGAGTTTGAGTTAATATTTAAAGAGATTTTTATATTGGGATTTTAAGTGGGAATAACTAGCACTTGGGACTGGAAATCAGTAGATTATTTGGGTGAGATAATTTGTTTATAAATTTCCATTTTAATTTAAACTCTGATGGAGAGATTTCAGTTTAAATTCTCAGTTTTTTACCCCTTTTTCTTCCAGTCATCTTTGAGGTAGCCTTTGTTGCTTTAGAACCAAGCTGACAAAAATCTCAGTATGTACAAAATGTTTATGAATTTACTCTTGTGTCCAGGGACTTAAATGTATATGAGAATGGTGCAGGCAGAAGGGAAGACACTGGCTGCAAGGCTGACAAACATACTCTGTGTTCTTTTTTTGTGGCAAAAAACAGGAAAAAAATAGTAGCTAAAATTAGGAGCTCTGTTCTCAGACTGCCTGGGTCTGAATCCTAGATCCACCAGTGGTCTGGTTAACTCAAAGAATTATTTAACCTCTCTAAGCTATAATTTCCTCATATGTGAAACAAGGATAAAAAGAGTGTCTGTTTTATAGGGTTGTGAAGATTGAAATTATCAAATATGGTGCTTGGAATTGGGTAGAGACACTCAATATATGGTAGTTGGTAGCATTGTAGGAAGTGAATAGTAATAGTCATTTTCCATTAATTTATTTACATGCTTTATCTTGTGTAATTGTTAAAAAATATCAAATGCGTTCCTATGTGTCAAAAGGCCTAAATAGCCCTGTGTACCTAAAAGATGGTAATTAATTTTGGTGGTTGGTTTGGGTGAAAATATCTGTCACTATTTCAGGAAAATACAAAAAAAAAAAACAAAACCCTGATATTAATATCCAGGTTATAGTACCTATAACTCTGTCATAGGCTGAATGTTGAACTCCCAATATCACTGGGGGACATGTAATTAATGAAGAATATTTTTCAGTCATTTCTGTACCAACATTTCTAGTTGCTGGTCAATGCAATGTAAGTGGATTTCCCCTGAAGATTATTAATTTTCTGGTTTCTAATGTATTGGGAAGACATATTGGCAAAGTGGATCGGTCATTTACCTAAAGGTATTTTTTTCTTAAGAAAAATAGTAAATGTGGTCTGCTCAATTAGGTTTATAATTGAGTTGTAACCTCCCAAATTTATCCAAGTTGTAACAACCAGTTAGCTTGTTAACCAGCCACAGTAGAGCTTTGCAGTACTGAATGGTGACAGGAGTGATGAGAGGGTTTTGCTTGGAGAGAATTTGTAGACCAAATTCAGCAGCCTTAGCATGACAGAGGAGAGATCAGAAGAGAACAGTGGTGAAGTTTCTTGCTATTTAGAAATTTTTTTCCTTTTCCTTAGATACTGCATTAGCACATTTTCTTAATTATGCAATAATTATTCATATTTTGTCTAGTGTTTTGAATACTGAGATTTACTTGAAGTAAATGGAATTATTTTTTTCTAGCATCTAAAACTATGGAAACCTAAACATCAACTATCAGTGGTCATGAATTTCTTAAACATTTTTATAATATCTGAGTATTTCAAGCAGAAGAAACCTTTCTGCTTTTTTAGAGAGAATAATATGGTGTTTTAAGATAATTTTTAAAAATGTACTTCTAAAGATTGAACAGTATTTTTATGTCATGGCTTTTTCATACTGAATACTTAGAGAAAATGATGTAACACAACCACATACATGTGACTCTTTGTTGTTGTTTCTATTTTCTTGCTCAAATATGCTTTCTCTATAACCTCAGAACTTGGATATTAATTATCTGAATGTAACCTGGACCATCTAACATAATATAATTACATTGATAATGATTCTATCTTCCTCTGTTTTATTTTGCCATTTTCACCATTCCGCGGACACAAATCTTTAGCGTTGGTCAAATCGGAAGCGATTAAGTGCCAGCAAGGTAAATATACTTTTTTTTCCTTTAGATCATTTGGTTAAAAACTTTGTCTTTGTAGCAAACAAAAATGACTGCATGATAGATATTACCCAATCTTTACATCAAACAGAATTCTTTTCCTCTTACTGCTGTTACGAATAAGAAAACAACCTTCCTTTAAAAATTTTATTTAATAAGGGTATTGCCAGATGTTTGAGCTGACTCTTGTTTTAGTGGTGGCATTTTATATGTACCGGCCATGTTAGAGTGTTACACTTCATTAAGCTTGGATTATTTAGAGTTTAGCATGGTTAGATTTAGTCCCTTTAGGAAGTTATTTGCCATGAGATGGAAACTAGCATTGGTGTTGTAGGGGCAATGTAAGGGTTGAAAGAAACATGTGGTACACTTTTTAAGTCTCTTTAATATCTTTTGAAAAAGCCATTTATAAATTTTTGGTAAAATTTCCTTTAAAGCTTTCTCATGAATTGCTGGTTATTTAGTTTTTACATTGATAGTATCTTTTTAAGCAATTATACATTTCTGTCTGATTTATAAAAGGCGCAAGAATGCATTATTAATTTATGAAGTTATTAAAGTAGCCAGTTGTAACATAAATGACTAAATGTGAAAATTAGTGTAAAAATAAACACAGCAAAAAAGTATTTGTAACTTAATTTATAAATTAAGGAGAAATTATACTTTGTAAGGAGAAATAACAACAAAATAATTCCTACGAAATGATGCAGTATTTGAGACTGTTCCTTCAGTTTCTGAATTGTGGTGGTGGTGGTGTGTGTGATCGGAAGATGTACAGATGATCTCGGTGAATGCCTGTATTTGCACACCCACATATATGTGCACATAAATACGCCAGCTCTGATTTCTAATGTCACTGTACCTCAGTTACTTATTTCTCTACATAATAAGGAGCTTGAAACTGGGGCCACTGCCAGCTCAAAGACTGGAGTTTGGATGCGGATGAGAGACCGAGAGAGCGAAAGAGAGAAACAGAGAATTTTAAACTGACTTTTACTAGTCACTTAAGAAGAAAGCAAACTTTCAAATCTTGCTTTTGAAAATACGAAGGAAACAGAGTTCTGACTCATACTTACTAAAAGATATACCCTTTGCATTATGAACACTTTAAAATAATTCTCATAAGGTGTCTTGTTACCGTATGAGTTCACTTGGTTCCCAAGACTCTGATTCTTTTTAGTAATAAAATTAATATTCAAGAAATAATAACACGGAGCCATCTCAAAAATTCCTTCAACATTTGCCTTATTCCTTTATAGTCACTAGAGGGTAGAAGAACATCATTTCTCACCACAGGACTAAGCCCAGCTCTCACTCTCCCATATTAAGAGTTTCTGTAACCACCCAAAGCAGTAAAGTTTCCCAGAATGCTTTGGGGAAGCCTGACAAAGCAGTATTTTCTCGTTTATTGATTCTGCTGCTGCACTAAAACACGGGTACTGTACATCAATAACCATCTTTAGTTAGGGAGCTTTGGTCTGTGGAAGAGCACTGGCAGTTTGTGGAAGAACATAAAGGCTAGAAAGAAAGATTGTGAGCCTGGGGAATATTGGAGTCTAGGGAGGACAGGAGAGGTTGTGGAAGAATGGCCAAACGAATGATGGGGAGTAGAAAAAATGTTGACGGCCTGGGTGAAGTTATCAAAAATATGAAGGAAACAGAAGATCCCGGAGAGCAGTATTTATATGTATACTTCAGAGTTGTGTCTTAGAACTGAGCTGTTTGTCTTTTTTTTGCTTTTTTCCCATCATGGTAGTTTCTCGAATTTGACTTCAGTGCACTGGGCTCAGGGATATAATACGCGCCCATCCCGAGTATACATGTTTAATAAAATCCTAGATAAATAAAGTTTACTTTATTAATTTTTGAAAGCTACTTATGCTCTTATTCAAGGCACACAAGTTATATTTTGCTGGGAAATTTCAATTATGTTGACTTTTTGCTTCTGAGAATGTACAGTTTTAAAGAGAAAAGTCAGGTAGTGTCTAATTTGGCTTATGGAAATTAGTCACATGGAGACTATAGACGCTTGATCAACAACCTGTAAAAGTAGTTAAAATACCCTGGTCGGCCTATTTTTTGGTATTTTTAAATTATCAGGTTCTATTTTAGGATTTCCACATTGTATTTAATATTATGTAATAATTTAACATAAAGAAGATTACTTAGCTCTGAGTATTAAAATTTTCACTAGTCCTAAGGAATGTATTACCTAAAAATATCATTAGCTTTTTCACCTGAATCTTTTTCTTATAATAACTTTATTCAGATAATTGCTTCTTAATGCCATAAATCTATAATTTTGCATCATCCAAAAGGTTCCTGAATGGCCTTTGTAGATTCTTTTTTTCAACTGTTTTCTTACTGTTCGGCCCTGGATTTCAATATAGTAAATACAATGAGATTGCCTTTAAAAATGGGCCTTCAAATAAGAATTGGGAATTTCATTTAATAGGGTTGAATTCGACACCTAGTTCTCTTTATGTATTTACTATATACAATCTTTGGTGTGACCAGATTTGTTTCCAAGCCTTATTTCCCGCTTTTCTAATTTGTATAACAATTCGAGAGCTAAAAAATATTAACAGTGGTTATTTACCTTACATCAAATAGTCTAATATAAAGACAAAAAAGCAATGATAAAAAATGGCTTTGACAAATTACTGATTGTGTTCAGAAACTGCACATATTCTGTCTCTCTCTCTCACACACACACAGACATACACACACACACACACATACACTCCCCACACCCCCTGCTATTATTTGGGTGTGTATAGGTGTTATGTCTGACTACAATGGCTATTTAGTTATGGATTATCTTTACTTTAGATGAATTTTTACCAAGATAAGTACATACTCTTACGTAGCCTCTCTTTTGACCCTCTGTTATATGTATTAATATGTCTGCTGTCTAAAGTAAGAAACATGACTTATACTAGTGTAATTTTTTTTTCTGTACGAAATTAATTGACTTCTAGTGCCAATTGTTGGCCTGTTTGGTTTTATATTCTTTTATTTTGGTTCCTCTCTGTTATTGCAAAGGCTGACCTCTGCAGGATACATTCTCTAGGCACTCCTATCAGCTGGCCTCCACCTGGCTACATACACTGAGAAGACAGTCATAGCATTTGGAGGGAATCAATCTCCCTTCCCCTCTCCCTCTCCTCTCTCACTCTCCATCCCCCTTCTCTCTCTCCCTCTCCGTTCCCCCTTCCCTCTCCATCCCCTCTCCCTCTCCCCCTCCCCATCTTCCTCCCCCTCCCCCCCTTCATTTCTCTCCTCTCCTTTCTCTCTCCTCTCTCTCTGTCTTCCTCTCTCTCTCAAATGAACTGCTCCGTGACCAGAGCCCAGGTGAGAACCAGGAGACGTTTTTTGATTGTTTGTAGTCATATATCTTTGGGTTGAAAAGGAGCTACTCAAAGATGCCACTTCTGTCATCTTCTAGGTGAATGCCCTCTCTCACTGTACCGCTTTCTCTAATTGAACTCACATGTCTTATTTCTGTGTTGGCCCAGGAAGTAGTACAAGTAAAACCCTCTTGCAGGAGGAAATATGGTCCATTTGAGGACTTAAAGGAAGTGTGTTGTACCTGGAATTATTCCCAAATTAATACAGTTTTTTTTGTTTGTTGTACTGTTTTTTTGTTTTCATGCATTCTTCACTGAATTCAAATGCCCACTCCTAGTAACACCTGTTACCTTTTTATTTTCTTGGTTAAACTCAAAGGATTGGAGAACTGAATACTCAAAACAGCCACATTTATCTATGTGCTTATTGTACACCTACCTCTATCTGCTTGTCTGTTTTCCATCTATGATCTAATTTAGCTCATCTATCTAATTTATCTACCCGTCTCTATCTGTCTTCTATCTCTATTTCATCTGTCAATCAATCAATCTAAATGTCACACTGCACTGACCCACTGCTGAATGTCGTAACCCTGATGCTTCTGATGCCTTATTATGAAGTCTAGGTCAGTATTAACCTGGACAGAATGACTTCTAGAGGCTTTCCTCCTCCCTGGAAGCTGTAGCCTTGTTTAGGTGAAGCTATCAATTTATCAGAACTTTCAAAGCTTGTATGTACTCCACACCAGAGGGACAGAGGGACTGTCTTCCTTAACATCTCATCAAATCTCTCCTCTCAGTGATGTTTGACTCAGTTTGCCCCAAAACCTCTCACTGAGCACATACACTTGCGGTAGAACCTGTCCTTGGATACAGGGTGAATTAGACTCAGTCATCAGAATTGATGAGCAGGTAAGAGAAATGAGAATTAGTGACGGAGGTATTCAAAGGGTGCAGTGAGACCATTATCCTGGCCTTTCAGGTGGGTGGAGTGGGTTGGACGCTGGTCTCTGTGTTGGGCTCAGGAAAGCCCTCAGATAAAAAAAGACTGGAGGCTGAGGCGGGCGGATCACGAGGTCAGGAGATCGAGACCATCCTGGTTAACATGGTGAAACCCCGTCTCTACTAAAAATACAAAAAATTAGCCGGGCGTGGTGGCATGCGCCTGTAGTCCCAGCTACTCTGGAGGCTGAGGCAGGAGAATGGTGTGAACCTGGGAGGTGGAGCTTGCAGTGAGCCGAGATCGCAGCACTGCACTCCAGCCTGGGCAACACAGCGGGACTCTGTCTGAAAAAAAAAAAAAAAAAGACTGGAATGAATCTCATCAGTTGAGAAAGAGGATGAAATGAATGGAAACATTTCAGGATAAAATAATGTGGCATATGGTAAGATCTCCAAACTATTTATTGTAGGACTCTAAACAGCTTGCTTTTCGGTGTGTCCCCTGGACCAGCCGCAGCTGGTAATGGTTAGAAATCCAACTTCCTGGCTCCCATCTTAGACTTCTTCAATCAGCAACTCTGGAAATGAGGTGCAGCCATCTTTGAACAAGTCCTCCAGGTGACTGTCAAGCACCTTCAAGTTTGAGAAGCCCTGGGAAGGACTAGAGTATAAAGAAAGATGCTGGGAACTGTAGGAGAAAAAGCAGGAGATGTAAGGAAGGGCAGGCCTTGGAGGCCATGGCTCTGGCTCCTAACCATAAGGTGATGGAGGTAGGCTGGGATTAAGGTGAGGCAAGAGAGGTGCTCTGGGTGCAAAACATAAAATGGCATCCGGGGCTGGGCACGGTGGCTCATGCCTGTAATCCCAGCACTTTGGGAGGCCGAGTCAGGTGGATCACTTGAGGTCAGGAGTTCAAGACCAGCCTCGCCAACATGGTGAAACCCTGTCTCTACTAAAAATACAAAAAATACTCCTGTAGTCCAAGCTACTTGGGAGGCTGAGGCAGGAGAATTGCTTGAACCTGGGAGGCAGATGTCGCAGTGAGCTGAGATCACATCACTGCACCCCAGCCTGAGTGACAGAGCGAGACTCCGTCTCAAAATAAAATAAGACATCCAGGCTGATGCACCAGCCCTGCACTTGCAGAACCTGGAGCATGAGCTGTGTACCTCACTGCTTCACACTACTCCCAGCCCTCGGTAGGGTTGCTTATAAAGTATTTTAAGTAAGAAATATAGAACAATAGAGAAGTGAAGGGTAGCAGGATTATACAAGTAAATCAAGAAATACAAGACGATTAATACTATTGCACATGAGCCCAACATATAACTTGAGCTTCCTACAGGTCAGGGCAAAAAGAAAATCTTGTTGAATCACATGGCCCTTGTTGTTGTGTTGTTTTATCTCTTCATTTTTTTTTTTAAATAGTAGGAAATGCATTAGAAGCATTTCGCTGGTCCTAAAATCTGAGAGTCACTGGGTATGTGCAGTCTTTAACTATTTTTTTAAATCTTCTCTTAATCTATTTTTATTTTTAAGTACAAAAATTGAGTGACAATTTTATCTTATAATTTAAAAATATTAAATTTAATGCAAAGCTTTTATAGCTAATGTATTTGTACACAGATTATTCATATCTCTGGAACTGATACCATTTTTATCTACAAGTATAAATTGCAACTTCTGTGGACTTTTACATGTGGGAAATTTAAAAGGTTTTCTTTTTATTCTCATGCAAGGATTTCTGTGTAGTTCTAGGAGAATTTATGGGTCCAGTATCCTCTTCAGATGATAGAGAGGAGCTGCAGAGAAGAATTTTCCCTGGGAGCCTGTTCCATGGATGTATGGATCTTCTCATGTCATGCAATAAAAGCTGTTGACAAGGAACAGTAGTTTTACATGTTGAAAAAGCTTGAAAGGAATATTTCAGTGAAACATTTTATAGGCTCAATGTTTTCTCTTTAGTTTTCAAAGCAGTGGTCAACATAGTTGGAATCTGACTTTACTACTCATTTTTCTTACGAAGTTGATTTTTTTAATGCATTTGTTTCCATTGACTACTTACTTTCCCATAATGACTTAGGAAAAACAATTAATGACAGTCAAAATGGGATTTATTGGCACCACGAGAACACTGATATGTTTATCCTTCTGTCTCTGAGACTATGTATGGAGTACCAGTACATTATTTGGCACCTGGCAGGTATGCTCTGGTCAGTGCCTTTTCTTACTTCTCTCTTTGTTGGTTGGCTGATTGGTATTGTGTTATATGCAAGAGAGTATTTTGGAGAATTATCCCGTGGGTATTGCTTGGCATCGTCAGTTCTGGAGTGCCACCTAGTTGAATGTAATCTTGCTTTAGATGGCCGTAGGCTGTGGCTCCAGCTCCTGACTTCATGCCCTCCTTTTAGGATTTCTTTCCTCCTGACCTCTCTGCCACTCTTCCTGGCCTGGGACAGATAAGAGGCACCACCTGGCCTCGGACAGATAAGAGGCACCAAGCTGACCTGTCCATCCTTCCTCAGTTTCCTCTGCAGCCATGCCAAGGAAAAGGGATACTGGAATTCACATCACTATCTCCCCAGCTTGTCCCCAGGCCCAAAACATCAAATAATGTATGCCACCAAACTGTAGTCCATTTCATGTATTCCAGCAATGACAGTACATTCCCTGTTTTAGAGTCTAGTCCTAGATCAGAAACTTATGAGGATTCCCTACCTGTTTGAATCTGCTGGGTATAATTTTAGTCCCACCGCAAAGTTTCTCCCCTTCCTGCCTCGGGATGGTCTTGAACGAGAAGTAAATTAGTGTTTTCAAAGCTCTTTTACAGAAGTTAATATGTTTCTAACTGGCACAGCACACCTTGTTTTCACTATTAATAACTAGCCAGTGTGCCTTAAGTGGAAGTCACCTTTTCTGTTTTAGAAAAATGGGTGGGGATTTGGTGAGGTGGGGGCTGAGAAAGACAGAGCAGATGAATGAATCAACATAGGAATAGCGAAAGGTCTGATCCTTTGGGAGGAAGGAGAAAAATAACAAAACCCTGATGTACTGTATTGTATCCATTATGTCTGCTGAGAAATTAGGGTCAGGGGCCCGAAACTTTTCACTATCTCTTGGCGTCTGTTTCAGTTCAGGTGGGGTGGCTTTCCCCTGTGATGGGTCATTTCCTTCTCTCCTTTCACATTCCAGGCTGCATTAAGATGACAAATTTCACGTATAGGTTCGGGCACAGGCATGAAAACCTAAGCTATTCAGCTGAGTGAGTGCAGATGAGTTGATTTATTGTGAGGGAAAAAAGGGGTGTTTGAAGAGCACAAAAGACTTTTGCGAGCCCAGCTCTGCAAGAAAGCACACAATAGATGGCCCAGGCCCTACCCTGAACCCCAGACTCCCTGGTCTGAGGCCTCATCAAACCTATCAAGTATGGAAGAGAAATGTTAAAGTAATTAAGAGACGTCTTTAAAGTACACCTCCTCCAGCATGTGTGGATCACAGATGAAACTTTATTTGAAAAATAACCTTATAGTGGTTTGCAGAAATATTTGGGGTATAATAAGTAGAATAAAGGTCTTGTGTTCTTTTCTATCTGTGAACTCTGCAATAAATACTTCTCCTGCCCTCCCTTTAGGAGGGGTAGAAAAAATCCTGGACAGCAGAGAGCAAGTCCATCAGATCAAACATGACTGCGTTAAATACTAAAATGTTCAAAGTCCGACTGAGATAGATAAAAGCTTTGATGGAAAGTGGATATTTCCCAGGGACATTACAAGCAATAATCCAGATGTTATGGTGTAATGCAGCGAGTGTCCATGGATAGATCAGGAGCTCCAGCCAAGTCGCGCCTGCTACAGTCCTCAGCCTTGCCCTCCCATGCTGTTCCGCCATATGGAACCGATCTCTAGGCCCCCTTAATAACCAGCTTTGGATTCCATTTTCACAGAGCTCATAGAGCTAAGTGGAGCTGTTTTATGGACAAGTTAGATAGAAGCCTTTCCAAGATAAACATCCAATTTGAAATTAGGACATACCAAGCCGCAAAATTATTTTAGGGCATATTTCATGGAAGTGCTGCCATTTTTCTTAAGCAATTGCCAGACTGTAGGATGCCCTTTGATCCTTTGTGGACATTACTCCCTTTTTTATAAAAAGGATTTTGAAATAGATGCAGTGTTTAGGGAGGAATATATCTGTCGGAACTTTGAAGCATGGCCGTGGGACAGGTCATGCTTTAGCTTGTTGGTTGGCAAGTCAAACTTTAAGAAGAAAAAAAGCAAAAGGAGGAATTGCAGCAGGATATATGAATCAAAATCTCATTTTTGTTTTAAAGGTAGAAGTTTTTAGCCCATGTACTTAATAAGCTAGAAAATGTATTCAGTATATCGATATCTATATAAACATCTATAGATATATGTGCATATATGCAGATACATCTATTTATATATTGTGATGGTGTCTGTTTATGACCAATACAAAAATCACTTAATATTAACTGTTTCATAAACCTTTATTGAGTATATCTGGAATATGTTATTTTTATATATAATAATAACAATAATAATAATCATATATTATTCCGGATGGAACATATTCAATAATAAAGGTTTATGAAATAGTTAAAATATTCCTATACATATATTCCCATATATATATATGAAGTAAGAAGGAATTACTTATGTTCACCAGAGAAGAGGATAGTTCTTTCTTTTTAAAATTCTTTCCTCATTTGCCCCTTCTGTTCTGTCTCAGCACCTGCAGAACCTATGTGTGTGTGTGTGTCTGTGTGTTTTAAGAGAAAAGTCACATGGATATTGATATGGTTAGACTTTGTGTCCCCACCCAAATCTCATCTTGAATTGTAATCCCCATAATCCCCACTTGTCAAGGGAAAGACCAGGTGGAAGTAACTGAATTATGGGGGTGGTTTCCCCCATGCTGTTCTCATGATAGATTCTCATGAGTTCTCTTGAGATCTGATGGCTTTATAAGGGGATCTTTCCACTTCACTCGGCACTTCTCCTTCCTGCCGCCTTGTGAAGAAGGTGCCTTGCTTCCCCTTCACCTTCCATGGTGATTAAGTTTCCTGAGGCCTCCCCAGCCACGCTGCACTGAGTCAATTAAACCTCTTTCCTTTGTAAATTACCCGCCAGGCAGTTCTTTATAGCAGTGTGATAACGGAGTAATACAGATAGGAAGTTTGGGAATATGTGTTTTCTTGAATGTATTTTGTTTAAGATTGTCATAAATGATCAAAATACCTAGTGTGGCATTGTTGCGTCACTTATTAAGAGTGGTGGAGTGGCCTGGGTTCGATGAGGTAAGCTGGGCTATAATGACTATGGTACTGACATACCATTTGTTGTGATAAATTGTGACTAACTGCTGTCCGAGCAAATTGGTGTCTAAATGATCTGGAAGATATAGCGAGCGATGACAGGAATGAATATATAGTGTTAGAAATTCATTGCTCGACGATGATGCTCAGCACCATTTACATTCTTCAGCCCATTTATTTCTCCTTCAATAAAGAAGCCTATGCTTGTGTTATTTCACTTACTGAACGGACAACGTAAATGAACTCTGCTAACTAAATGCAGCGTGTGGATCATGTGGGGATCCCGACTCAGACAAACTAGCCATAAAAAGGCATGGTTGAGACCATCAGGGAAATGTGAATATGCACTGTGTATTTAATATGCTAGACAACTTATGGTTAACGCCATTGAGTGTGATCATAGCAGGATTTTTATGTAAAAACAAATGTGGATTTTGCTTTAAGATATTTCAACCAGAAAGGAATGAAAGCATAGGTAAAATAAGATTTGCCAGACAGTGAATCTGGTAATTAAGTACATGGAGATTTATTATACTCTTCTCTTTACCTTTGTGTATGTTTGAAAATTTACATAGTGGAAATTAAAAAATGAAGTGTGACTACTCTATTTACAACTTATAACAGGACATTTGCCTTTTTCCTCCAAGGTATGTATGAGTGTGAGTAATATAATTTAGCAAAGGAAATAAGAGTTAAGTTATTGAACCCCTCCTGGGTCCCAGGTGCAGTGAGATGTGCTTTATACGCCCCCTTCCCTCCCACCCCCACTCCAGGTCTGCAAAGCTCATTTGGCCAGCTAGGCCACTGGAGGCTCTATTTGGACTAGTGAATCTTACATGGTATAGGGCTTTTGGTAGTATCCCAAGGAATAAAGAGAAGTGGAGACAGATTCAAATGTGAAGGATAAATTCAAAGTCATTATTTCTGAATGCCCAGAGATATTTTGCTTCCTTGCAAGGCAATGCCTTGTTCTGGTATAATATCTCTGTTGCCCAGAATGTCTTTCTTCCTCTCACACTATTAAAATAGCTAAAGGCCCAGTTGAAGGAGTCCCACCAAAGAGCGCATCTGGGTGGGAGTACCGGCCAGTGCCAAGTCAAAGTGTTGCATATACTCATCCTTCACTATATTATTACCACTCCAAAGCTTGAGAAGGAAGTCACATAACTGTGACAGCAGGTTTGCAAAACCAATGAAAAAAACAGTTTTCCCCAGGCAGGGAGGAATTTTTTTTATAATTAAATACTGAAAGTTGGAATTCCTATGATCATCAAAGTCACTCTCAGGAATTAGAAGCAAGTTTACATGTCATCTTTATTTTTTGCTTTAGTCCTCTTTGATACGCAACCTACGGCTCTCTGAGTCCTTGAAAAAGAACCAACTCTGGAACGGGATTATAAGTATAACTTTGTTGGAAGGGAAGAATGTCTCAGGAGGAAGCATGACAGAGATGTTTGTCCAGTTAAAACTGGGAGATCAGAGGTATAAAAGTAAGGTAAGTTCCATCTTTTCCATAAGGAGAACAGTATCTTTAAAATAAAAAAAAATTAAAAATTGTTTCCCACTTTAAATTTTACAAAAGTAGAAGTAATTTATGTTCAGCCCGCCTAACTATATTAAAGAGCAGAAAACAAAATAATTGTATAGATGCAGTCAATTAATGTGGGTATTGTTTTAATTGCTTAGTACAGTTTAATTTAGTAACTCAGAGCTAGAGAAACCTTATTAAATCATAGATTTGAATGTCTGACTTATTTTCAATTTGAAAATAAGCAAACTATGTTTCATAGAATGTGGGAAAAGGATAAGTAAAAGTTTTCAAAATGCTACAAAAATAGAATAGCATAATACGTGATATTTGGGTTAAAATATGTGAGATAATTAAAAATATTTGCTTTCTCTTGCTTGCTAGTCTTCACGCCAAAAATAGTATCTAGTGCTGCTGTTTTTTGCTGGGATTAAAAATAATAAACTATCCAAAGTATGAAAAGTGATTTATTTTAAACAAACATAATGGCATTTTAACTGTCTTTGAAAATAATTCATCTTATTCTGCTGATCCAAATTCCGTTTAATTTTTAATCTTAGTAATTTGGTGTGGATTTTATTTCAAAAACTATAGTCCCTAAAGCGTGATAATTAATTAGTTTTACATAACTGTCAGACAGGAATATTTCCTATGTTTTATGGATTGAAGGAGCTCTGGGGTACTTGAAACTTAAATCACTTGCCAAAAGCCACACAGGAAAAAAAAAATCAGTGGACGATTTTGAAAATATAACCGAGGATATTTCTAGCATCAAGGATGCAGCAGATACAGACAAGTTGGAAAATGATTTAGGGAGGCAAGAGGTTGTGCGCACTGCACAATTTTCAGTACAGAATCAAATATTACATGTCATCTACTCTAGCACAAAGTAGAGAATTGAAGCTCATGTTGAAGAATAGTTTATAAAAAATGTGAAAATTGAGGGTGTATTAAGACAGAAGTATGCAGATAATTATTTTAACCAGGTAATTTCAGGCTTTGCCTCACAGTGAGGGTATCCAGGATAACCATATCTCTCTACTAAGATTCCTTTAGCTTGCCAGGGTCAGGCTAAGGATTTAGGAAAAATTATTCATCACTAAGCACACTTAGCCATTTGGACTAAGGTGAAGTGTAGAATTAGTTCAGTATCTGCTACATTCACCCTTGGGGAATACTGCATTTAATTTGTGGTCTAACAGGGCTTTTCTTGTTTTTTTTTTTGTTTTTGTTTTTTTCCCAACCTGGTTTCTAAATTCTGTGATCCAATATATTAAGCCTGATGTGAAAAACAGCTGAAATGATTTTACATGACATTGGCTACAGCCGAGGTCTGAGTTCTCTATGTTTTTCTGATGCAAGAATAGTTAGTACGGGGATTTAATACCTCACACTGCACCCCTAGAGCCTAATACTCTGGGACCAACATTCTTGCTCACTTTGTATTCACATATTTAATCTCTATATAAAGGAAACAAAAATGAAAATCCTGCCAATAAACCAAACGTAGAAGCAGTTTGAATCACTTTTGAAGAACACAGAAACACTTGTGGAGTTTTCAAGTCACTCTCGTTAATTTTTAGGTTTGGCTGCAGTGGAATTTCCTAGTCTTTCTCCAATCCTAGTAACTGGATTCACTAACTTTGGATTTAAAAATAGGTAGCAATATACAAGTCGTGGGTTTCTCATTTAATGCAGCTGACAGATGTTAATTAAGACCCTAAACTGTTAATTTATATAGTTAGTAAGCTAGCATTGAATGGATATGCCAACAAAACTGTTACTTGCATTCAATTAAGCAATTAGTGTGATGTCCTATAAGACAGACAATTGTAAGATGTCTGCTGATATATGTCCACTGTGTATGTGTGTGTATATATAATTTATGGTTTCCTGTGAGGTAACAGTACTCTTTGTAACTTGGTGGATAAATTATTGGATCTGGGGGGCAGCTAAGATAGTAGTAATGTTTTGCCAGTTCTTGAACCCACCAAGTCCCTTTCATTCTAAAAAAAGAAGTTTACCTTTATAAGGGGTGAGGTCCATCATCTTGACCCTCTGCAGTTTAATGATGAAATTAATGTGTAGCTTCTGTAGCAATGAATGACATTTTAAGAAAATAAATATTATAACTGCATGTTTTCTAGACACTGTGTAAGAGTGCAAATCCGCAGTGGCAGGAACAGTTTGACTTTCACTACTTCTCTGACAGGATGGGCATTTTGGACATTGAAGTGTGGGGAAAGGACAACAAAAAGCATGAGGAACGTCTGGGCACGTGAGTCCCCTCTGCTTTCCAGTGGCGGGAGCATGTTTCTGCATGGGGCTGGTTCTGAGAGGTGATCTTTATCTGTTAGGGCTGAGGGCACTACCTTGCATCCCTCACCCCAGAGTGCCATCAGTGAGCTGGATGGCCAGTCCTAACTGGGGGAAAGTTTGCTTTTCATTTTTGTTTGTTTAATTGGGAAATGTCATTCAGTATTGATTAAAATAGTGTGTGTAAGGAATTATCTAAATAAAGTTAAGCTGCCATCTCAGACTATTCAAAACATTTTATATAAATTTCCAATATACGCTATAATTTTGGTTTTGCTACCTAGCGAAATGTTATATAATTTAGTAAAGGTCTAAGGCTAGGTGTTCCCATGATGGAAGCATTTCGCTGTCCTTGATGTACTTTATAGCACACCAAGGAATGGAGTTTGAGGCCAAATCTATTTTATTTTATTTCTTTACTTTTGGACCCTCTCAACTGAGACACTCACATGTGTAATGAACAATAATATCAATATTATTGCTTCTTCCTAGGGTTGTAGTGAAAAATACAATGAAATGAGGCAGCATAGGTGCTGTAACCCGCGTACAGTAAGCAAAAAGGAGATGCTGGCAGAAGCACAGATCATCTCTGAGCTTCAGAAAAGCCCTTTGAGTTACTGGTATCATGCTCATTCTATAGATGATGAAATGGAACTTCAGAAGTTTACACATTACTTAGTCATGAGCTCCAGAGTCAGGATTTTGTGTTTTCAAACACCAAGTAGTTTTCTCCATCAAATCACTTGCCTTGTGTTCATTCTGTATACATATTATTTGTACACAGATCTTAAATTTAAACACAGATGTTGAAAGGGATCCCAACCACTACGGGGTGTCTTTTCCGAAGCTGGATCTTGGGTTCAGGGAGATGCCTTAAGGTCACCCCTTGAGGAATGGGAGGGCCTCCTTGCACCTCTCCTCTGTGGCCAGAGCATCTCAGCTTTTGCCTGTGCTCTGTATTGGGATTCCATTTGCAGAAAGGGTTTTGTTGCTGAAAACTAAAGATTGAAAACCACTTTTCTAGTAAAAACCCCTTCATTTTACAGACAAGGAAATGCAGAGGCCCAAGGAAGTGAAATTTTTTTTCATCAGTAAGGTGTTTAGAGGCATAAACAGATTGAGACCCAGCTAACCCAATACCTGTGCAGGGCTTTTTCTCAGTAAAATGCTTAGCACAGTGTTTGACTGCTTCTTGTCATTGCCTCATCCCACCTCAGAATCCTGAGATAGATGCGTGAGGAGTTCAGTACCTGTGGAATGTTGCTCCGGTGTCTCTCAATATGGGTACCCTGTTGCATGGGACTGTCTGGCATGTTGCAGGATGTTTAGCAAACCTGGCTCTCACCTGCCTGATACCAGTAACTTTCCTTGATTATTGTGTGGAAAACACACAAGCATATGTGTGCACACACATGCACACACAGCATCCCTTTTTTTCATCACACGTGTCCAAACACCCCTAGGGGACCAGCACTGCCCCCACTTGAGACCTCTCACCTCACCCTCCACATCTCTGGTTGCATTACTTTGCACCATCTGCACATCCCCAATTCTATGCTTGTCTGTTAGATTGCAATCGTTTCTTCCCTGGCCGTCTCCCAGCCAGGTTTGCATTTAGGAGAAAACCCACTTCCTGTGGTCCTGTGGTCCAGTCTTCTACAGACATGGCCTGTCGGATGACTTCTGTGACCTTGTCTCTCACTTCTCCACACATACAGGGTGACTGAGATAGCTCAGGCTCAGGTACTTCTCAGTGTGTCTGACGTTGTCACTGCTGTGATATACCAGGACCCTGCCAATACGGATGGTAGTAGGATTTGAAATTTTGTGCTAGCCGAAAGAGCAAAGATCAATTACGCAAATTCAGAGAACTCTGTGTCCCAAAGTGTTATCTGAACAGTGGGAACAGGGGCCTCCTGTGATGAATGGCCAGCGTGTTGTTTTAGTAGGTGCAAAGAATAATGCCCCTGCATTTCACAAGTCATTGTGCTGTCATGCTTCCTTCACATAATAGGAAACGCTTTTCCAAATGAGTGTTGGGTTGCTTCACAGAGACAAAAAAAGTAATTTAAGATGTCTCTTGTAATCCATGTTTTGTCATTTGGGTGTTCATTTATTATTTTAGCTATTTCCTGTTTATAACCGAGACATATACCTGTCTTGGTGGTCATTCTGTTCTTCCTCTTTATGAATTTTAAAGAATTTTTTTTTTTTGGTATCCTTTTCCTTTTTCCTCTCCTGTAGTACAAAAGATAACAAAAGTATCTCTTGGGAGCTGGTGCTACTGCTTTACCCTGCCTCGAGCTTGCAGGTGGGGGAAATCTACGGTAAAATATCGACTGCTTCTCAGACTGAAAGATTGTGCTAGCATATGTACATCACTGACATGCTACTTATGGTTCCTTCTTCCTGGCTATTGTTTAAATATTTCAAGTTTTTTTTTTTTTTTTTTTTTTTTTTTTTTTTTAACACATTTGCTTTTCTTTGTGATCTTCATTCTAAGGCCCAGCTATTTTCCAACTGTTGGGAAAAACCTTTTTGCATCAGGAGGCTCTCTGCTGGTGCAAATGTATCGTAACTCTCCTCTCCAAAGCCTGTCTCATGCTTTGTTTTTGGATAAAACCTTGATATTCATAATTGAACATTACAGTTAAAAATCTAGATGGACTCTCTGGGGAAATTCTCTTCAGGGAAGCTGTGTAGGCAGTTCAGTGGGAGGGAAGGAACATCAGCTCTGGGGTCACACATCCTGAGCTTGCTGATAATCACACTGTCTGCTAATTGTGGGACTTGGACAGTGATTCCCTGTGGAGTCTGGCTCTGTATCTGTATAATGGGCTCACTCGCCAACTGGCAGGGTCATCATGGCTAACAGTAACAACATCTACTTGACACTGTTTATTCCCTTGCGCACTCTGATGGTAGGTATTACTTATTATTAATTTTGAGATTTTTCTGCACGTAAACTGTAGGTCCTCACAACTTGGCAACTCAAATTATGCAATTTAAGAAAATAAGATATGACTAGTAAAATTCAATGTATTTTTTTCCTCCAAAACAGCATAGAATTTTTTGATATTTTTTGGTAAAAGTGGGCAGTGACCATCGTCAAGGACATGGTAGGAGGGGCATCCATTGATGGAAGGATTGGGCAGTGTAGGTCAGCCTGAACAATACTGAAGTTTTATAACCAGGTATGATAAGGCTGGGGTAGTGGTTGCTTATGTGTAGAGAAATCACATTGGCATGGGTAGGTTGTTAGCTTGGTGATGGTTAAAACATGGACCTGCCCCGTAGGCCCCTCCTCCAGGCTCTCCTGAGTCATGTGGAACTTGCTGACTTCCCCTTTTTCCATAGTCCACCGACCTGCAGATTCCCCCTGAGCCACAAGTAACTCCTAAAAACACTGGGGTTGGTGAGATGAAGGTGCTTGGGTAAGATCAACCATCGCCTGAAACTGTGTTGCCTACCGACTCCAGTGTTTGTTCATGGGCAAAACAAGCAAAAAAGCATCTGATCTTAGATAGAAACAGTGAGCTTTTAGGGAAGAGTAAGACATAAAGCTAAGTTTAACCGGCTCCAACTTTTAAACATAATGTCAAGAGTATGAATATAGAGTAATATAGATTATTCCATTTTGAGCCATTTCAAAGTAATCATACCAATTTCTTAAAGTATATTTTATATTTCAAGGGGATTCTACAGATTAACTCATTATAGAATTTTCTAGACTTAATTTAGTTTGGAAAGGTTGAGAATGGGAACCCACAAGGCCATTTGGACTAGCCTGCCTCAGAGTCCCTCCTCAGTCCCAGATGGTGCTGTATAAAGCAGCTCTGACATTCTACCAGTTTATTAGCGGCTCTGAGGCAGCGAAAAATCTGGGCTGGAGTATTTCTCTGGACAAATTGCACCCCATGTCGTTGATCTGCTTTTACAGCCAGGCTTGACACATTCACCATTTTCCTCCTGTTCCCTGGCTTCCTTAGCCTCTGAGATTTACAGCTTTTAAAACTCTAGCACTCTTTTCTGCCCCTTGCCTTTGAGTTAAAAGCTGACCAGTCTGTAATATAAAACATAGAATTATGGTAATGAATAAGAGGTTAAAAGCTATCATGGCAAGTAAAACTTGAGCAGGTTTGTCTGACTGATATGGTAAAATTATGTGTTGAATTAAAACATTAAAACGCTGTGGGATTAATGGAGAAAGACAAGAATGGGAGGTCAGAAACAATGCTAAATCAGCACATTAACTGCCTGTGGGCTAGAGAGGCTGGCTTTAATATATGCCTTTTGCAGGAAAGGGAAAAAAAAGTAATTTAGTCTGTTTTCTTCAGGTGAGTAGAACAATGGCATTTTAAATCTAAGAGGCACCTAGTAAATACATTTATTTCAATTCCTTTCCTACATAGGGGAAGAAACAGAGGCTGCAAAAGATTTAGTTAGTTCAAGAAAAAACAGTATAATTTGGAGTTTTTGACTTTGTGAGTTTTGTTACGGCGCTGACATTCATTCTTTTGTGCGTTCAGTGTATTCAAATCTTCAAATCTAGAGCACATTGTATGCTGGGCAGAAGGCACAGTACTTGAGGATTCAGTGGACAGTGATACAGAAAAGGCTGCTGTCCTTGGGCACTGATGAGCCTCGGGCTACTACAAGTAAGCAGGCAGTGGCAGTAGGTGGAATGAGGGCTGCAGGTCCTGGCATCATGGATACCAATTTGGGCTTAGAATGGAAGCGGAGGCTTCCTTGAAGAACAGCGGTCTAAGCTGAGACTTGTAGGAATAGTGGTAATTAACAAGCAGACAGGAAGAAGAGCTTTCCAGGAAGACAGCAAAACATAGGCAAAGGTCTGGAGAGGAGAGAGAGCACATTCTCTCCGAAAACCTTGATGGAGTGGAAAAATCAGTGGTGTCACATGATAAGGCTAGAGATGAGGGCAGGGGTGAAGGCACAAAGCCACTGGATTCCATGTCTTGCAGATGAGCTATGGGAGTTCCTTCCTAGACACTAACACAGCAGTGACTTGGCTATTTTGATTTCCATCGTGTAAATCTTGTTGTTGCAGTGGAGCTCCTATTGATTACATTTTTAAAAAGCTGATGTTGGAATAAAAATTTCCTGGTCACCTAAGGGCTCGGTGTGTTGCACCTTCTGAACGACTGTCCAAAGACATTTAGTCTCCTTGTGTGTGAAGTCATATGTGATGCCACCGGAACAGACCTAATTGGTTCATGCTCATTAATTGAATTCCTTATATAGATGCCCTGCGTGTGTGTTTTCCATATTGTTTCTATCAGACAGAAGAGAGCAATTTTTATAGGTTTTATTGCTTTATCCATTTTTATTAACTAACAGATCATTGGATATTTTGACCAGCGTTTCTTGAGCTGTCGTGAGTTAAAAAAATTTACATTAAAAAAAAAAAGACGTGTAATTCACCACCACTAAATTACAAGTATTTCTGTAGTTCAGGGGTCAGCAAACCAGGGCTTGTAGGTGAAATCCATATGGCTGCCCGTTTTTGTAAATAAAGGTTTTTTTTGGGAAAAAACCTTCATTTGTTTACATTGTCTGTTACTGCTTTTATGGTACAAGGGCTGATTTTAGTAGTTGCTACAGAAAACTTATGGCCCACAAACCAAAAATATTTAATTATTAGCCCCTCACACCTGCCCATAACAGGGAAAGGCTAATCCTGTACCCTACCCATAAGACATAGCCAAAGAGAGGACAGAAAAGAGCAAGATTTTACTGGTCTTCAGCAGTGACTAGAAAGACATAAGAGCCCAACCAGATTATTTAGTATTTTTTGCAAGAAGAATCCATTACACTAATGAAAAAGAAGAAGTCTAGATTCTTCTTTTGAGATTTTTCGTGTTAAAGGTGTCTTTGATTAATGTATTATAGAATGTTTACGTCTTAAAGACTTTAAATTTTAGTCCATTTGTCTTTGAACCTAAGAAAAAAACACAAAAAGCCATTTTGGTCATTTGATATTTCTCTTTTGGGAGGTTGGATGAATATTTTGGTTAACATTATTTGCAATTTGAGGGAAAAAAGCCTTTCTTGTTAAAAAAAATTCTGTTGCTTTTCTGATAATGCAGTAACCTCTTACTAGGTTGGGGTTAATGAAAATAATTCTCCCAGTCTCTGGCTAATGTCCAGAGCTTCTGGTTCTCCTTCAAACTTTATGACAAAACTGGAGCAGTGTGAGCTGGAGTTGAAATAGGTTAAATATGAGGCCTGAAGAAGGTTTTGTATGAAATACATTTTTTCTGTCTCCCGTCTTTCCTCCTTCTTCCAGAATGTGGAAATAAATGGGGACACCAGGTGGGTAGAAGAGTTACAGAATGTTTATAAAAAGTCATCATTAAAGGGGGCCTACTATGGTAGCTTTAAATTAATTCTGAACATACTGGTTCATGTGGTGGGTCAGGACCTCTAAGAGGCTGGGTCATAACCCATGTCCAGAAAGACTAAGTTTTAATTTTGATTGATATGATGCTAATATCATGATGCTAATATATCAGTTTAACTTGTTCCTTCTAGTCACTGAGAAAGTACAAGTAAATATTTGGCTGGATTCACTCGTTAGTTATCAAAGACTGTAAAATCCATTAAGCTGCTGCCTAAATCTTCAACCTGTTGCTCAAAGGACTCTAATATCTAAACTACAAATGGCTATTTTTCATGAAAGTGTTCATTCTAGTGAAGGGACTGATTTTTTTGTAATAACGTAAGTGTAAAACATTCACAGTAGACAGAAATGAGTGAAAAGCTTGTGAAAATGTGTAATTTTGAGAAGAAACCCAATATTTACTTTGCATTTCATCTGGTATGTGGTTCAGCTTTTACTTAAAATTGACAAACTGCTCTGTTCCAATAAGTTGAGCACTTAAACAGTCGCTAGGAAAATTTTCACAGTTATTCCAATTATGGTAATACTGCTCACAGCGTTACTAGAGTACTCTAGAATTAATATCAGGTTCATTTTGAATTATCCAAGAAAAATTTTAGTAGCACTTACTTATATATTATTTTTAACCTTCAAACATTATTAGCTGTCAGAGCACTTGTATCTAAATAAATTTTGGCTGCTCAAAGAACCAACAAAACCACCATCCCAAAGGCAGATGTTTAAAGGACAAAAATAAATTGCCATTATTAATGGTATTAAAAAGAATGTGCCATCAATAGGCTATTGTTAATTTGTAACATTGTGATTAGCAGAGAAAACTTCTACAAATTTGGATTATTTACCTTTCCATAAGAAAGAGCTTTACTAAATGAAAGTGTATATAACAGTGTAAAATAATGCTTAGCAAAGTATTCCGAAGTAGAAATATTACTGCAATATTGCTCAAGAATTTGTGGGGACCTACTTTTCTAGAAATAAATGGTTTAAGGCAATAGACATTTCTTTCTTTCCAAGCAAATTTGATTTCCCACTTACATCATGCTTATGAAATAAAAATATTTATTAACCTATATTTTCATAGATAGTAATGCAATTTAACTTTAAAAGCTTCCCTATTGATACAGAAAAATTGTTTTGATTCAAATCAGAGGATTATTTAAAAATACTTTTTTTGTAATTTGTCTCCCATAGAAATATTTGATGAATTTATTACATGCAAAAGCTCTAATGGCCACTCCCACCTGTAATTGGGGTCACTTTTGATAAATAGGAAATAAATGCCCAGTTAAGTTAATTATATGGACACATATTGGTATGTAAAATATTTTAAAATCTTGTAATAAAGTCTAGTAGAGTCTTTTAATGTCATATTTATTTGGAAAAGTGATTGCTAGCTTTCTCTTAAATTTCTTAAAGTGGAAGTTTTCATCCACATAGCCATGTGGCTCAAAATTGCCATTGCTTTATATAGTATGTAAGTTAACCTATTTGTAATTAACTGCAAATGTACAAAGTCCATTGACAGCTTAGGGTAAGAATCTATCCTTATTGTTCTCTCTGGGGAGCAGTGCTTCCATCCTTTTCTGAAGTCTTGAATATTCATCTTATTCTATAATTATGGAGGGTAAAGGAGAATGTAAAAAAAAATGACGTCTGGGAATACCATGCCCCACTTTACTCAACCCCACCTACTTCACCCACCTGCATACATAAACAGAGCAGGTGTGGTCCAGGCAAACCCAGAGTTGTCAGTGTTAAGGCAAATAAATGGCTTAGCACCTCAGTCCCCCTTTTTGGTGTTTGCTTCTGTATTTAAATGTGTTTGAGGTTTTCAACATCCCCAGAACATTGGCTGTTAAGAGGCGGAAAACATGCAATTTATAGCAGATGGGTACAGCCTTTCCTGGCAGAGCTGCTGAAATGGGATCAATCAACAGCACTTCATGCTCCATTTGTCCAAAAGAAACCCACCTGGGGAAACCCTGTGGCACTGTGCCTATTAGGAAAACACCTTAACGTGTTTTTTAAAATAAAAATTCGCCAGTTGGCATTAATCAGGAAGAAAACGATTTCTCCATTAACCCTCTCCCACTTGCCTTTCTCTTATCTTTTTTTTTCCTTCATGTTTTGAGCCATGATCCTTTATTCTCTTTACTCATAAAAGGCACAGCCCACGGAAGCCATACAGCATGCTTACTCATAAGGCTTAAACTTTCAAACTTTTTCTTTCTAATTTTTGATCTTATCTTTCTGCAGACCTTATTTGGCAAGGATCCACTCCTCTCTTTTCATTTTCCATCTGCCGATGCTGCCTTCTTTTTGATTTTCTGGACCTCTTCCTCTCCTTAATTTTAGAGTGTGTTAGGCTGGGGGTGAGCATTATGAATTAGGGCAACCTTTGCTGCTCAATAAACCTAAGACCAGACAGAGTGAGTTTTGGGGGATGATGAAATCAAAGCCAGGTGCTTTGGAGGTACTGCAGTGGCCTTGAATTAATCACTTTTCTCTCTCTTGATTCCTGAAACTTTTCTAGGTGTAAAGTGGATATCTCGGCACTCCCTCTGAAGCAAGCCAACTGCCTGGAGCTGCCACTGGACAGCTGTCTGGGGGCTCTCCTTATGTTGGTCACACTTACACCCTGTGCGGGGGTCTCCGTCTCTGATCTGTGTGTCTGCCCCTTAGCAGACCTCAGCGAAAGAAAGCAGATTACCCAGCGATATGTGAGTGTTTTTCCTTATTGTACACTCCCCCTCCTCCCACCTTCTCTTTTAAAACAAAGTCTTTATTGAAACAAAGTCTCTGAATTGAAAAACTACATCAAAAGAGATCTTTGTCCCAAGTTTCCTTGTACGTCATAAAACAAGACATCAGACTTAGGGGTTAATGCATTAGTGAAAAGGTGACAGTAGAATTAAGAGTTGGTTTTGCTATTTTGAAAGGCAAAAAGAGATTCTGAATTTTTAGCGTTTAGCAAGTCTTTGGGGAATGTTGAAATCCCCAGGGAAGCAGACTCCTGCTTAGGCTGTGTGTGTGTGTAAATAGGACTTTTAATATGAGTTCACAAATAACTTTACCAGCCATTAATGGTTGCAATGTTATGGATACCTTTGCAGAACTTCTTAGGATCAAGTGAGAACCTGCTCATGCCTTGTAAAGCAATAACACTAGCTGGACATGAAGAACCGCTGTTCTGAACTAGTCTGGATGATAAGAGCAGTGTGTGATTTCTCCCTAAGTAGTTGCAATGAGCTTAACAGTCCACTCAGCATTTTTAAATGAAATGGCTGTGTCCTCTTCATTTATTTTTTGTACTCTGGCTTTCTAGGTGCCTTTATTTGCATTCTGCTTTTATCCTATCTTCTGTATAAATCAATATGTTTATTTTAGTGCCACACAGGGAAAGCACGTTTTAGGGAAGTGGCATGAAAATGAAGCAAAGATGAATCCCTATTCAATGGCACTATCATTCTCAGCATAAACTTTAGTGTCTCCAGGATCCTTCACTGTGTAGATGTATTGATTAATTGAATAATTCTGTATCTTCGGGAGTACAAGACCTAGCCACATAGCTCATTGTCAATGCAGAGTGCGCATGTGAGGCTGGCATACTGTGAAGAAGGTTTGACACAACTATTAACATTCTCTCTGATTAGGTAAGCAAATGAAAATTAATGGTGAAGAATAAAACCTTTCCCCAAGCTTTCCAATGGATAAGTTGACAAATTTACCAAATTCATGAGGAGTTTTGTGTGTTTATAAAGGAACATTAGATACCATCATAATGCCTGCTTTGAATAATACTTTAGGATTTGAGGAGTAGTAATCGAAAAGAGGTTTGAAGAGGCTATGGTCAAAGTAGAAATAGTGAGTGCTTCTTCAGCTAGCAAGCTAGCCAGCACATTAGAGGGAACGAATGCTGTTTCAAAGCACAAGTTACAGCCCCCTGGATTTGTTTTTTAAGTTATGAGGACAGATCCTCTTTAAAGGCATTTCCACTTCTAAATTGTAAAAGCATTTCATTTCAAATGCGTTCTCTTAGTTTAAAAACTAATTGTTTTGTTTGTTTAGGTTGAAAATATAGAGGAGAAACAACTTTCAAATGTTTTTAGGAATGATGCATATTAAGTTAGGCAAACTGTTATTAAGCTTGTGTTATTCTACCTGAAATGCCTAAATAGCAAGTATTTTAATAGCCTTTCGTAAATCCTTGAGGTCTGTTTATCACAGGTTTTTAGCTATCTAATGATGACAGAAATAGCATGTCCAGAGGTTTTGAGGCAGTATCTTTTTCAGTAGGTGTGTTCTGGAGGCAGGAGAAGAGAGTTTATCTGCCGGCCTCTTTCATGCACAATTTCTTAAGGATGCCATGTATATAAACACCCAAATATTGCTATATGTGCTTAAGAATGAGCAGTAGATACATTCAGACTTTGGCTGGTACAAACTCAAGGCTAAAGTAAATATGAATCTAGGGTGGTACTAGATACTTAATCTCTAATTCAATGAGCTAGCTAAAACAGACCAGAAAATTCACTGTTTCTGCCCCAACTCTCTTTAGAGTGGTGATAAGTATCTCTGATGGGTCCAAGTTTAGTCCTCTGGAATCCATAAAGTTTGTACTAACTAGGTCAGAATAATGTTGTGTTTCAGAGTGATTTAACAGTTGCATTAATGAGAAAGAAGGGGGAAAAAGAGCATCAATGTAATTCTACCCACACGTTTTCCTGGTGGGATATCTATGCCATCACCAGGGGCGATGTTAAAAGTAGATTCGATGTGCTTCTAATTGGTTTATTTTAAAGCTGTCGTTAACTAATTCTCAGTCACTTTTCTTTTAATCTGGCTGCTATAAGTGCCTAACCGTCCTGTTATATAATATATTTTTGGGGATTTTTTTTTAAAGATTTCATGAGAAAAAGGAAGATAAATCTAGGATGCACTTCCTATAGGACTTTATGACATTAAGTAGTATATTAAAAAGCTGTTTTCACTTGTATCACCTTTTCAACCCTCAGTGCTTACAGAACTCCCTGAAAGATGTGAAAGACGTCGGCATTCTACAAGTGAAGGTTTTAAAGGCAGCAGATCTCTTAGCGGCAGATTTCTCAGGTACAGGACATTTTCATTTTCTAATTTATCTTTATTTATTTCCTGCTTTGAAACAATCTCCTGGCAAAGCAAAATGCTTAATAAGCAGAAGTATGACTATAACAGTCATGCTCCTTCAAATAGAGTCATAGCAAAAAAGAGGCAGACTTGAGCAATTTCTTTCACATAAAGCACCTATTTACACAATTATTTCTTTCAAATGATTTTATGCTGATTCAGTAATATTCAAATCTATTGAGCTTCAAAAACATTTGTGGAGTATGAGTCACGACTTCTTTATTTGTTAAATTAAGTTGTTGGTCAAGCTTTTCTATGTAACCTCAAATGACAGCGATTCGACTTCTCGCCTTTTGCTGCTCTCTGTGCTGAATGGTTCACATGGTTCATAAATCTGAGCTTGAAGTCAGATCTGGCTGGCACCTCATCGTAATAATGACCAGAGCCTAGGCCCTGGGATCACTTTGCAGTTGACATTGTCTTATAGGAAGTTTCTCTTGGTGCTTCTGTAACTTGAACTTTTAGAAAGAGGCCAAAGCAGACATGCTTTGTGCTGGATTATGCTCTGCTGCACGTAGAGTAATCCAGACACGCCAGTGTCTGACAGCGACTCCGCACTCATTGCCAAATTACCCCCTTCTGCTGACTAACAATTTAGCCGCCTACATGACAGATGCTATTTACCAAGTAAATTGATGAATACAAAGAGTATTCTACAGCATGGTTCTATCTATTGATTCAGGATTGCATGGTTTTTAAAAATATATATCTCATATTTTTAGAATGTGGGCTACTCTTTTTCTTCCTTTCAGACAGGAACAATTTCACTATATTCGTACAGCCTCTAAATTTCTGAGACTGAGTTTGAGGAAGTTCAACCATTGGAAAAGAGAACTTTAGTTTTCAGCGCATTATATTACAGAAATTTTAGGAAATATAAACTTAGTTGAAAAAAAAAAAAGTTCTCCTCACCCTGCTCAAAAATGAAGCAATAGAAATGACTACCCTATAAGATGATCCTGACTAGTGAGAAGATCCAAAAATGGTTTTTGGGCCAAATAGAAGATACAATTTTTGAGGCTTGTAGGTGAAGTACTCAGATGATTGCTCTTAATATTCACTAGTATTATTGCAAATGTTTGTAATCTCATGTTAATTAAGACATTTTTCTTTTTACTTATATTTTATGAAAACAGTCAACATTTCACATGTGCCTTTGACATTAGTGGTTCTGTCATCCCTAAAGCACATTTAGAATTGCCTATGAATTTTCCAGAGAAAATTATTTTTAATTCCATGTAATTGTTTACATGCAGCGCTTTTCGAATGCACTGTTGTTTTTCTCTCAGGAAATGTCTCCAGCCCCAAGAACTCATTTATGCCTTCCAGCATTTAAAAAAATTCTTTCTGTAAGTTGCATATATATATATTTTAATCTCCAGTGACTGATTATAATGCAGTAAGAGTATTTTTTGAAGGCTTGTTTACAACAACATCCATATGTGGAAACCCTTTGTTTTTTTTAACCCGCGATGGAGTCCTGCTCTGTCGCCCAGGCTGGAGTACAATGGCGCCATCTTGGCTCACTGCAACCTCCGCCTACTGGCTTCAAGCAATTCTCCTGCCTCAGTCTCCCCAGTAGCTGAGATTACAGATGCCTGCCACCACACCTGGCTAAGGGAAACGCTTTTGAAAAACTTAATTTATTTAGCCTGTTCTATCAAGTAACCTCCATAAAGCCCCCAAAACTAGTTTTTATAAAGATTGTTTCAGGCCAGTGTATCATCTCCAAAGAGTATTTTGACTATTAAAATAGAGTGAATAGGAGAGGATACCTGAAGAAAGAGTCTTTGTAAAGACCCTCTCTATGGAAGAATAATTTTGGGAGAAATGTTTTCATCTTGTTGTTTTATGTTCAAGGTATTCAGTAGATAGTTTTGGAGTGCATGAAGGTAAGTACCAACAAATTCCAATAACGATAGCAGTAGTTAGAAATGAAATAATGCTGTGTGGTTCGACTAAATGCCCTGGTGTTTCACTATTTCTGTATTTATGAGAAAATTCTTGCTATAGTGAATTGAGGAAAAGTGATTTGTCATTAGCTAAACATGTGTTTAGACCATAATGGTCTTCGTTTTTAGAACTAAGTCTCACAGTCTATGTTTATACGTTGTCAGGCTCCTGTATGAATCCTCCAGAGTGTTGTTCCCACCAAGGCACTGCTTTAGGGCTACAAAGTGGACTTATTCCAGATAGTTGTAATTTAACTTTTCTATGTGAAAAAAGAAATGGATTCACATTACCGTGAGGTAGCAATGAATACCTCTAAGAGGTCAGCGATCGTGGCCTACGGTGGGGATCAGGCATTACTGCTGTTATCATTATTGTTACCAATTCAAAGTATGTAGTAAAAAAATAAAACAGACCTCAACAGTGTCATTGGATCAGGATCAGAAAAGCCAACCATTTTTGTCAGTGCCAGGAACATTTAAGAAATAAGTATTTCTACTCTATGCCTTCCATTTTCCAGTCATCTTACTTTATAAATGAGCGTTCATTTATTGCAGTTGCTAGGGGAGTAAAGCATTCACCCACAAATTAAAAAAAAAAGCATTTACTCCGGATAACCAGGGACATTCTCTAAAGAATGATGGTCATTTTAGACATGGTGCAAAAGGGAACCTTTCGTTCTTTCTGCTTTTCTTTTATCATATGTTTTTATTTTGTGGTAATTGCATGTTTCTAAGAACAACATGAAGTAACCACAATAAATGATGCTTCAGTTTAGTTTCACCTAAAGTTCAGGAATCCTGATAAAGCAAAAGTCCATAGGGATTAGTCTTGGCAGTAGTCCATACGGAGGTTATAGTTACCGTTTTGGGGGCAAAGGGACCACACATCCTGGAGGAGGAGTGAATGCATATGGTAAACTCTGTGGTCAGTAGTTTCCTAATTTTAAAGACGTCCACCTCTTTTCGAATAACCATTAGAAAAAGAAAATATAGGTCATTCAAGCCACGGGAATCAAATTAGAAGGATATTCCCTGTGAGTTGTTATTGATGTTATGATTATGTAGTCATAAGAAATTAAACTTTGGAAAAATTGAATACTCATTACTATGTTAGTATTTTAGAACATTAGAATAAAATATACTAAGGTGAATTTATTTCTCATAAAGTTGTTTTATCTATAAAGGAAAATAGTGTATACATTTTCAAATGTGTTGAAAGACATGAATAAGCCTAAATCTGTGTATATTACCAGGATTATATTTACAAATGGTAAAGTCTTTAATTCTGTAATGTATAAAAAGGTATATTTACTGTTTTTAAATTATGCCTTTTTTAATAAATATGCTATTTGATTGTGGTTGAAGCTACCTGTTAATACATTTAAATGTATATTTATCTTGGCATTTTTTAGAGTTTCTGACATTTGTGTACAAGAGAGAAGACTTTATTCAAAGAATCTTAAGTAATCTATCTTCTTTGGAGCCTGTCTCTCTAAAATTGGTAAAAGCTATTTTTTCTCAGGTCTATGCCAACGTTAGACGTGGATAGCCATAAGCAGTTATTCTAGTAGAAAAGCCTGTCAAATGTTTTTTAAAGAATTTGCTTCACAAATTCCTTAGGCCCAGTGTAACCTAACATTTTTAAGTAATAGGTGATGCAGCCTGATGTCATTACTTTTGTAGTAAACCAGGCCACAGCCTTGATTCATGAAACAAATGATAAATTGTACTTGGAGGCTCAAGGTGAATAGCTGTGTGTAGTGTTTGACAAGACCAACATACTTCACTCAGCTACTGCTAGTCTTAAAATGCAGGTATTTTAAGAAGAAAACAACTCGCGTTCTAATGATTAACTGAAAAAGAGAAACATTTTATTCTGGACAATGCTGAGAAATGGACAGTATAGCAGGTTTCATACCTACAGTAGAGGCCCAGACAGAAAATTGTGGTATATGCTGCCCAGGGGCACATCTGATCATAAATTAATACTGTCGAAAGAAAATACAAAGTTAATCTCATAAACTGTAAAAAGAGAATATAGTAAACAATGGGTTAATGGGAAAATTGTTAGAGAATTGAAATGTTTTTCAGTCCAGATTATGTTACCTTTCAGTACACATGACAACACCTATGTTACCCATTGAGAGAGATCAGCCAATGAAGAGTAGGAAACTATATTGGTTTGCTCAGCACATGTGTGCAGATTATTCAGGATAGCCTTATTATAGTTGACAGTATGCTGCTGAGAAGCTGCCAGGATTGTAATGTGTTGGGGTTAATTCAGCACTAGGAATTGAAACCATCATGGCCACCACTGGCATGATGCATATGCCAAGATTCCACACCAAATCAGTGATTCTTCCTTAGCATTCTTAGAATCAAAAAGTGGGTTCATATAGCTACCTTCCTGTTACTTAAGCTTTCTCTTTATTAGTTTTATTCTCTAAAATAATTATTGTAAGAGACTTCCTTCCCCATAAAGGATGTTCCAAAGGCAAGAGGCCATTCTTCAGTCTCCCTCTGTTTCACACTCATGGCCCTTACCCTGTTCCTCCCAGGATGCCCCTTACCCACTCAGAATCCTACATAATAGGGGAACTGGAAACTTAGGGGAGTTTACTTTAACTCACCATGCCAAGAGTAGCAACAAAGCAATCAGAGCAGCCCTCCACGCCTAGCTCGGTGGGGGAGGATATGAAGTGACATAACAGCACAACAGAAAATGCAGTATAGGCTTCAATATCCTCTCTTTTTATAGCACAATCCCATTGTTCAATCCGTTTTCACATTGCCATAAAGAAATTCCTGTGACTGGATTATTTATAAAACAAGAGGTTTAATTGGCTCATGGTTCTGCAGGCCGTACAAGAAGCATGACAGCTTCTGCTTCTTGGGAAGTCTCAGGGAGCTTTTACTCTTGATGGAAGGCAAAGCAAGAGCAGTGGAGCAGGAGTCTTACATGGCAGGAGCAGGACCAATGGATAGGGGATGCTACACACTTTTAAATAACCAGATCTCTTGAGAACTCTATCAGGAGATAGCACCAAGAGGATAGCGCTAAACCATTCATGAAGGATCCACACCTGTGATCTAATCACCTCCTGCTGGGCCCCACCTCCACCATTGGGGATTACACCTGGACCTGAGATTTGGGTAGGGACATAGATCCAAACCATATCACTCATCTTCATTTTTCATGTTTCCATTATTCTAATAGTCTATATGTTATGAAGAGAAGCTAGGGAATTATCAGGAGGCAATGGAGGGACAAAACTGGAAATATCATCTTGACTCACAATTTGGAGTTGCTTGCCTTCCAGAATTCTCCTGGGGATTTTTATTTCACCCTTGAGACTTTTTGGCACCCTTTGCCATTAAAAACAAACAAACAAACAAATAAAACCCAGCCATCAATCATGAAAAGTTTCCAAAATATATCTGGATCCTCTTGATATCTTGGTAATAAAGGTGTCACTTGGACCCTTTTCTCTTTCCGTTGTTAATAAAGGAAATAACTCCCAAATTAGCATAATCTCAAAATATCTATCAGAGGAAAAATAAATATGTTTCCAGACGAGAAATCTAGGTTATTATAAAGTATCCTTATTTGATAAATAGGCATGTTAGGGGACCATAACAATTGCCTGATCCAGGAGAATAAAGATACATTTAATTACAGAACCACTGTTTCTTTCCAGAGAACCCAATATAGCTTCCTCGACCACTTTTTAAGTATTTCTCAACTTCAGGAAAGTCAGCTTGGGGGCAGTTCTGGTAATCGACCACAGATATTCATTGAGCACCACACTTGGTTAACAGACACACCCTTAGGGAGCTTGTGATCCCTAAGAGAAGGCTCAATCTTCACTCTGCCTTCACTCCTCTACTGCAGGACATGAGGTGTAGGAGGTGGTGTGTACCTTTGAAACAGATGGAGACCTTCTTCAAAATCAGGGGGTTGCATTTCCAGTTCACTGGTTCCTTGGCTATGCCATTAGGAGGAGCTCTTGGTCTGTCCCCCACACAGATTTGAGCCGTAACTGCAGTAAAATATTCCATTCCTTGGGTAAGTGCATGAGCCTTTTCCATGGGCCCTGGATTCAGCCTTAACTAAACCAGTGTCCAGTTCAATGATTTATTCACTGAAGATAAAAATTAGTGCCCATGTTTTTGCCTTTTGTTTGTATGATAGCTGTCTCTCATTTTAATCCCTATGTCTAATGACATGGGAGATATACAGAAGCAGAGACCCATGTGTTAATCTCAGTTCTCCCACATACTGGCCTTAGGCTCCCTCTAAGCCTCCATGTCCTCATGGGTATTTTAAGGGTTAAATCAAATCCTAAATGAACGTGCCTGATATATATTTTGTGCTTAATAAATGTATTTCCCATTCCTTATTAAATGCATTTTATTAGAGTATATTTGATACGTGAAGAACTGTATAGGTTGTTTTGTTCACATATTGTTTATAATTTCCCTAATTTTAGATCATGTTAGACATATAAGCTGATAACCACTTTTATCTCTTCAGCCACTTTTAGAAATCTAGTTACCACTCTAAGATGTTTCTTTTTGTTTCTATTTCTATTGAGTGCTTAAAAAGAAGGCAAAAAAATATGCTTCATGGTAGAGAAATTCTCATACTGAACTACTTTTGTGCTTGAATTTTACATTTTGATAATGTGGATAATAGTTTTATTAGTATAAAATAGCTTGGCGTGTTCATCTTTTTGTTGTTGTTGTTATACAAAAAAGTGCTATTGTCAAACTGTTGACCAAAATAGGGCACTTAGACCCCACATTATAGAGTAAAAATGTTTCTGCCTTGTACTATGATACTGACTTTTGAGTTGTTTCTGGAAATTATAATAGTGACTACAAGTTTTTTTATATTGCTGTTTTTGTTTTGAAACGTTAAGACTGCTTGTGTCAGAAGAGGAATAGTCTCATGGTTATTGTTCACTGAGTTTTCAACCACATGCCCATATTATGGTTTCATTTAATTGTCTGTCTCTTGAAGCTGTATCCATAGCAATACTTCGTCTCTTAAAGATGCCCTATTTTCAAAGGGATGGCTATAATTGCAGTTTCTAGAAAGCTCAGTAGTCGTGATTGAACGTTTTTAATTTTCAAGAGATCTTCATGGATAGCTAAGCCCAAATCAAGACCAACTTTTGAAAAACACATTAAAAACTACATAAATCTGCCTCTGGCAGGCCGTCTGCTTCAACTGCCTTCCAGAGAACATGGACTGTAGCCATTGCAAAGTTTGGGAGTATATGGATGACTTAGTGGTTTATAACTTAGAGGCACCGTGAGGGTGAATGAATTCAGCTCATTTGTGACATTCCATGAATTAACAGAGGAATCGCTTCCATATTAATGGGTGGGTTCTTAGTAACGTTTAAATTTATTTAGCAAATATACCTTTTCTATTCTCTGTGATGCCTTATGATTTTTCCTGGTGATATGGTAGAAAGGAGGAATTGGTCCCTGACCTCATGTGAAGTGACTGATTTAACCAGTGACTGTCTAATTTCAATTACTGCTAAGGTCAAGAACGTGGTGTTAATTCTTATGGAAGGGATGCCTGACTGCAGATACCGCAGGAAGTGATGTTCTAGCAGCGATGTCAAATAGAGACATGAGAGAGAGTTGGCACCGCAGAGAAGAAGGAAAGGCACTTGAAAATGAGGAAACAGCAATGTTCCAGGGCCCGCCCAGCTTTTTCAGAGGTCTGGAAGAAAGCAAGCAGGACGAGAAGACAGAAAGCAAAAGAAACCTCTCAGGGGAGAGGATGTTCATGTCTTAGGTGGGACTGGATGACATAGGAGCTTCTGGGCCAGGTGAAGAAATTTGGAAAACTATTAAGGGAATGATATGATCCGATATAAACTAACAAAAGTTTATTCTGGCAGCTGTGAGGAGCAAGGATTTTGAGAGGAGAATGAAAATGGGAAGATGTTAGACAAGATCAGTGAATGATGATATTGTTGAGGGGCTTGAGAAGTAGCAGGGAAGTGGAGGTAGAAGAAGAAAATATTTAGGGCCAAGCGCAGTGACTCGCACCCATAATTTCAACACTTTAAGAGGACAAGGAGGGAGGATTGCTTGAGCCCAGGGGTTCCAGACCAGACTGGTCAACATGATGAAACCTGATGTCTACCAAAAAAAAAAAAATTAACCAGGTATGGTGGCATGTCCTTGTAGTCCTAGCTAGTCATAGAGGCTGAGGCAGGAGGATTGCTTGAGCCCAGGAATTCAAAGTTACAGTACCATGAGCTATGATTGCACCATTGCACTCCAACCTGGGTGACAGAGTGAGACCTTGTCTGTATTTAAAAAATACAAATAAAAAGGAAACTTTCTTATGTCACTCATCTTGTTTGCTCTAGGTGTTAGAATATAGGATTATCAGAAATTAAGATAAATAACATTTTAGCAAGGTGAAGTCCTATTTTTCCTTTACTGTTCTTGCAGTCCTAGTATGGACCTGTCTGCCCCTTGTTCTAGACATCTGTCACAGCAAGGTGAGCAGGTCTTTGCCTGTGTGATGCTGAGGAAGTCATTATTTGTCCTAGAGAAGGCCAGGACCCATCTGGAAAGGCTGGACGTACATGAAAAGTTAGGCCTAGAAGAACAGAGATCAACATTTCATTTTCTTTTAAAGGCCCCCTCAGCTCCTAGCACAGTGCTTTGCACATTCTGAGGATCATTAAGCAGTTGTTGAATATATGAACAGGTACATCATACAGCAGGCATTATAATGTCCAAACTCATTATCATAGGAGTCTGGGGTCTCCCTGGAGGTTGCAGAGAAAGTGCCACAAAGAAGGCAAGGTTAAACTAGGCCTGAGAAGTTAGTTTTTTGTTTTTTGTTTTTTTTTTTAATGTTTTCCTTTTTTGGAGAGCAAGGAGATTGGAAGGGCACAGAGGGACAACCTATTCCCCGTGCAAAGTAGGAAGCAGAAATGAGCCCTGTTACTCTGTGTGCAGGACCGGATAGGGCAGCCTAGTGAAGTTAGGAGTGGAGGAAAGAGACACCAACCTTGCTGAAGAGTTGGTGAACAGTGGGTAGATAAGGATGGGTTATGTGGGGTAAACAGAGAGAAAATATAGATTTCCAGAACTGATCAATTAAAATGTGCTCCAATATCTGATAGTAAGGTTTGTAAACAAATGGTTGGAAATAAGACATGAAAATAGAGTTTTAGAAATTTTCATCTGGAATGGCTCTGCTGTCCTCCCACGTCCCCCAAGCCTCTCTGAGCTAAAATGCTCCATATTTAGTTTCAGGAATTGTGTTGGTCCAGAAGTGCTTTCTTCCAACTCTACCCCTTGTATTGTATTGACAGTCTAGGGTGGTTCCTGGCTCCTGGATGAGTAGAATGAAATGAAAACTACTGGTCATGGTCTTCAAGCCAATCTTAGTACCTATCCACCTGTATCTTACATTACCTGATTATCGCTATTTGCCTCTCTCTCTCATATATATACAAAATGTAAATATCATATATATGATATATAATATATAATGTGTAATATAATATATGATATATAATATATATAATATATGATATGTAATATATAATTATATATGATATGTAATATATAATTATATGACATAATTATATATGACATATAATTATATATGATATATATATAATATATGACATATAATCTATACTTATATATAATATATATGATATATAATGTATAATATAATATATATAATATATATATCCTCCTAATAAATTTGATGCTTTGACCTGTCCCGTCTCCACAAGAAGGACTTATCCATTTCTGCTCATCAAACACTTCCCTTGTAAACCTCAATTAAGAATCGCCTCCACTAAGAAATCTTTCTGAACTTTTCTGAACTGAATTACATTTCTCTGAACTTTCATGCTCTCGTCTGCATTTCACTGCTGCCCTCTGTCCCTAGGCCGTAGCACTGTTCTTGGGGGATGGTAAGAGCATACATATATTGGGTGTGCCTGCATCAGGACCCTTAAGTGAATATGCATGCTGACTGTGGAGTGGAAATTTACAAATGTGGGATATAAGAGTAGTAACAGCAATATACAATTGGAGATCTGAAATGGAAACAACTCAGTTTGCTGTGGGATGAGAATGAGGAATCTTTTCTTGGAAGGGGCAGCATTTTCAGAATAGCAGAGACCATTATGAGAGTCCCTTGCAGATAATTGCTTAGGTGGTCATTGTATTTCAGGGTCAGTTTAGTGCTAGGAACATTTATTAAGCTATATGCTTAATAAACGGTTATCAAATGGGCTGGGCATGGTGGCTCATGCCTGTAATCCCAGCACTTTGGGAGGCTGAGGTGGGTGGATCACATGAGGTCAGGAATTTGAGACCAGCCTGGCCAACATGGTGAAACCCTGTCTCCACTAAAAATACAAAAATTAGCTGGGCGTGGTGGCACGTGCCTATAATCCCAGCTACCTGAGAGGCTGAGGAGGGAGAATTGCTGGAACCCAGGAGGCAGAGGCTGCAGTGAACCAAAATCACACCACTTCACTCTAGCCTAGGCAACAGAGTGAGACTCCGTCTCAAAAAAAAAAAAGGGGGGGTTATCAAATGAATGATATGACAATTGTAACACATTTATTATTTGTCATTCAGCTTCTATAATTGATACAAAGGTAAAACTGTTTAAGTGAACCCCCCCCTTACTTGCCATTCAAGAAATACAAATAAATTTTAAAGCAATGTTGGAAAATAGCAAAGGCTATTGAGTGCAAAGTGCTAAACCTCAATGTGAAACTGAATTGTCAGTGGCATAAATGTGTCAAGGTGATGTGGCTTCTGGACACAGAGGAGGTCTTCTAGATGTTATTCCTGTGAAATGGGTGGTACAAAGAGGAAAAGCACGGCCTCAAATGTATGTATGTCAGTCTCCCTTGTCCTTTTCTCTCAGTACCATTGGTGAGCATTTGGACATTTCATTTATTATGAGAGATACTTGTTATCTCAAATAAGAATATTTGTTATTGAAATTTTACTCAAAGTCCCCATATATCTGAAACTTTTTAAGAGAAATCAATCCATAAAATGTGCATAAATTATTCTATAAATATTTTAATGTCTTTGTTTCTTCTTGCTTCTCTCTGTTTATACTGTAAAATTAATAAATGCAGCATTTTAATGAGCTTTGACTGAATTATCTTCAGAGAGTTGGTACAATGTGTTCCTTGGAGACACATAACTGAAGTTCCTGGTTTCTGGAGGAAAGTCTGTTCCTCATTAGCTGGGACAGCTAAGAGCGTGCTTGCTTGAGAGAGCGGGAGCCACAGAACGAGCCCACCTGTGCCTCAACAGGACCAGGCAGCATCTCTGCCCTGCTGTGGAGTAACCCCAGGGTTTTCATTAAAAGTGTCAGACGGTTTCCCTGGAGCAACTGCTGATGGCGTGTCATGCTGGCGTCTCTGGAGGAGCAGCGCTGACACCTACTAATAGTCTGACAAACGGTTAAGTAGCTGTTTCAGCCTGGGTGGAGAAATCAAGCATGGTATACCTGAGCATTAAGCCAAAAGTATGTGGTCTCTTCTTGTTCACAGTTGCTGAAGAGGAAATGGTGTTGTTCTATGTTGGTAGGCTTTTCCCCAGCTAACTCCAGCCTCTTCCCCTGCAAACCACATGGCCAGCGTAAACTGTCTTTAAATAAATAAGACTTTTTGTGGGTGCAGATGGATTTTTATGTTAGTTTGATTTTGACTCCCCAGCATCTAAAATCCCTTCCGTGTTTGAATCATTTCCCATTGTATATTTTGAAGAAGAGGTCAGAGCCCACTTTCATTCACAGAAGCTACAAAGTCAGTATTCCCTTTATGAGTTCTGGCCTTTCAGGCCTGGGTACTTGGCTGTGTAAGACAGGCCCCGGAGGCCCTTGCATCGGTCTTGAGTGAGGCAAAGAAGCAGGAGTAGAGAATTCATATTGGAAGTGAATTGTGAGGGCAATATTCTGGGGAAGCAGAGGCCACAACAGACTTTTCCTGGTATGAGATATGGGCTGAGTTTCTTGTGCTTAAGTATTCTTTGGTTTATAGTGATATTTTTTAGCCCGATTCTCCAGCCTTTGTAGGAATTCTGAATGCTGTTTGATATTATTTTAATAAATTTCTTTTCCGCTATATGTAGACAGGGACCATTTCCATTGTTTGCAATTGAAAACCCTCACTCCTTCCTTTATGTCTGTGGCTTGATCATTGTCTACTGGCAACTGAAATAGTAGCATTGACTTAAAAGCTTTGGCGAGGAATCTAAGTGTCCAGGCCACTAGTCAGTTGAGTGGAATCTCCTGTTTAATACTATTCATCGCCCATGCGTCTGCTCTTCTCCTCCTCCCTTTTTAAACAATAATCTTCATACAGGCTCCTGCAAGTATCAGTATCTCTATTGATGTGCTGTACCTCAGAGCGCCTGGTTATTAAGCGAATTAGATGGAGGTTCAGTGACCCGAATGGTAGGCCAGCAGGTCAAGAGGCCTGAGCACTCTCTGGCTTAGGCCCTGGCCTGGGACTCCTTGGCCATTTGTTGGAACAGCGTCTGTCCTTGTGCCCCCAATTAATTTAGCAAGCGCTGCTTTGTAAAGTGCCAGTGTGCTGCAGACGCCGGCAATGCGTTAATGTCCTACGGACATTACGGAGCCATTCGTTCTTTCCCTGACAGTTCCAAATCCAGATCCTTCCGCCAAACACAGCAAAAGGGAAGTGAGTTTTTTGCTTGGTAACACTGTAGGTCTAACTTTGGATCTGGAAATTTCTTAGGTTTTTTGGTGTGCAAATATGGGAGATAGCGTAGAAAGAGGAGAGGTGAGAAGTGAAAGATGAGCTTAATTTTTTTTTGTTAAGTTAAAAACTCTGACCTTTATTGAGTTATACTTTTTTTGTTTGTTTTATGACACCAGAAATGTAGCTCGTGTATTCTCATAACGTACTGAGTATACAGGATCATGAGTGTTTGTGACCATTTGCTCAGGAGCAGAGCTTAACTCCTAAAGAGCCATTTTTACACTTTTTCTCACTTCCTCTTACAGCCATGTAGAAGCCTGTAAGTTACAGGTTTCCAGTTATAGAATAGTAATTATGCAGATTGACTTAGAATTTAGGAAGGAAACAGAGATGAACTTCATTTTAAAAACAAAGAAATGGGCTCTCATGCCAAATGGATTCCCACTCCTGTGAAATGTGTATGTGTGGCCGCTGGCTTTCAAGGCCTGGTCTTGGGTGGTGTGTTAGTCTCTTTTCACGTTGCTGATAAATACATACCTGAGGCTGGGTAATTTATAAAAGAGGGTTAATGGACTCACAGTTCCACGTGGCTGGGGAGGCCTCACAATCGTAGCAGAAGGCGAGTCACGTCTTACACGGCATCAGGCAAAAGAGAATGAGAGCCAAGTGAAAGAAAAACCACTTATAAAACCATCAGATCTCATGAGACTTATTCTCTACCATGAGAACAGTATGGGGGAAACCGCCCCCATGATTCAATTATCTCCCACCAGGTCCTTCCCACGACACATGGGAATTATGGGAGCTACAATTCAAGATGATATTTGGGTGGGGACACAACCAGACCGTATCAGGCGGTGTGTTTGTTCTAACCCGTTGAGTATTGCTAAAGGTACAACACTTGTAGCCTCTGCCTGTCTCCTGGATTCCCACACAGGGCCTCCATGACTCATTGGAAAAGCAGTCTTGCCTTCCCTCTTTCAGCAAGCACAACTTTATCTGACTCTTGTTCACATTGCCCTTGTCCCTTTCGAGATTCACTTGTCTTTGACCGATGTGTATGTTATCTTTCCAGGGAAGAGTGACCCATTTTGCTTGTTGGAGTTAGGCAATGACCGACTTCAGACGCATACCGTCTACAAAAACCTCAACCCTGAATGGAACAAAGTTTTTACATTGTAAGTGCTTTAGCCTCTGGAATTATTTCTGCTGTGCTTGGAAGGTAGTCTGGGGCTCTTGAGTGGAATTTTCTGTCCATTTTTATGGGCAAAGAGTAAATTTTATTGTTTTTTTCTTTTGAAAACCTTGTATCCTTTCATTTTTATAGAGTGTGGTGTTAATAATAGAAGAGACCATTTGGAACTGCAAGGGACTTTTATAGGAGGCATTTGTAAAGTAGATCTTTTAGTGACTAAATTAATCTATGAATAAATGGAAGCTTCCATATTTCTAGGTTAATTCATTCGTGGGTTAAGGAAATGGAGACCTGCCTTAAATTCAGTGATCTTATGTGTTCTAAGATCTGCCAAAATCTTTAGGAAAATACAGATTATCTGTGACTCCTTAGAGACCCCCAAAGGCTCCTTATATTCCAGTTTATCTGAGCGACCCATCCCATAGTGATTCTCTGCCCACACTATCAAACCTGGGCATTTAGGAGGCTGGATAGATTTAAGATCTTAGTTTGCTTCAGATTTCAAGGCACCTGAACATTGAGGGGAGGCCCTGTTGAATTTGGGTAAAATGGTGACATACTGTCCCTACGAAGCTAAATCAATGCTCTGTCTGTGCTTATAAGTGAAAAAATAAAGTTCATTTTGAGTAGAGTTAATGCTATTAGCAGAAAGTTCCCAAGGATCTATGAAAAGTGGATTAACTCTGCTAAACACTTTTGCCAATGGCCAGATATAAGAGTCTCTTGTTTCCCTAACACGTTGCCAATGGCCATGGCTCCATTTTTCATTGTCCCTGGTATCTGGCTTCTGGTCAATATTAAAATATGTATATTTTTAGTATTTTGTGTTTCAACAACAGAGGGTTTCTAAGCATTTCAGGAAATAGTGATTTTTCACCACCATTTTATTTTAAAGGTAATTCTTAATTTTAAAAAATGTTAACTCCTTTCATTTGGAAGCTTTTTAAAAATTACTTTGGTTGGACACTCTGCTAATGCTTTCTCCCTATCTCCTTCTTTATTTTGTTTCTTTGAAAGTCCTACCCTTGAGTGCAGGTATACTGTTTGAAAAATGTCATAGTAAAAAAGTTGACTTCTTTTTTTCATATGGATGTCTGAATCTTCTATGATGGAAGGTTTGGGAATACAGTCAGTTTGATTTAATTTTTGGAATTTAATTAAATGGTAGGTTTATACTCTAAGGACATACAGACTTAATTAGTGAAACAGTGTTTCCAGATCTTCATGGAACAGACTTCACTTGTGTGTTTTTGTGTATAATACATGGTATTTTTGTTACAGTCCCATTAAAGATATCCATGATGTTTTGGAAGTGACAGTGTTTGATGAAGATGGAGATAAACCCCCAGATTTTCTTGGAAAAGTTGCCATTCCCTTGCTGTCCGTAAGTTTCCTTTATTAATAAACAATTTGTGAGTCATTTTATAGTTGATGAGTTTCTATGGTCTAGAGTTGCTTTATCTTTGTCAACCTGGGGGAAAAAAATCCTCCTAACTATAGCAGGAAACGACTGTTTTATTCCTCATTCTTTTCCGGTATTTTCAGTAGTTTCAGATATAAAGGGATGTAATTTTTTTCTGTTTCAGTCCAATATTGACGTAACCAACCAAAACATTTTGACCAGTTTTTCAATTCATTTTCAGTCTTCCCAACTTAAGATAGGAATTTGTCTTTGGTTACAAGGAATATAGATGAATGACTGATTTTCTATTTATTAATGAAAAACACACATGTATTTCTTTATAGCTCCTTACTGTACATTTCTTCAAAGATTAATTGTTGGTAACTGCACATTTGTTCTCAATTCTTTTAAAGACCATTTTCCCAAAAGTTCTATTTGTCTTTTTAGCAGTCATGTTTGCTTTTGGTCTCAAAATTTAAAAATGCTTTGTGGAAGAAAGCAGAGGGCCTTTCTTGGAGAAGGAAAAGAGTTTTCGCAGTCCAGCTATAAGATAATGCACCAGGGTCCGTGAAGGAAAAAATACTTACAAAATTCAGAAGAGAAAGCACCAAAGAATGCCTTTACATGGGTCGGGGGGAAGCTGGGGAGTGAATTCATCTCTTAATTAGACAGTGATATATGTACCAAACATACTCTTTGAGAAGAGAGAATTCCAGTTTTTCATCCAACCATTAACACAGTTTGTTTTAGGCTTATTATGGCTTTATCAGCCAATGAGACTTTATTCTTCCCAAAGACTTATTTTTTCCAAGCTATCTGTGGATTTTTGTGGATGGAGCACTCCGTAATTTAACCATGAGATTAGCCTAACTCACTTGATGTTTACAGAGGGAGGAATGCCGTACTTCTTACTATCTTTTCTTCTGTGTTTGTGCACTTGGATAATTTCTCCCCGAGTTCTCATATCCCTGATGTTACTCGGAGAGCCTGTCTGCAGCATCTGCTCCCTGGTACGGCTGGCTCCTGCCACATGCTCTGAGCCATCGGCACCAGCCGAGCAGCTCTCAGAGAGGAGATGGCAATTTGGGATTTCCCCCCCTTTTTTTTTCATTACAACTTTGTCAGTTATTCCCATGAGAATACATGTAACCAGAATGTGGGGGACACTTTAGAGAGGTCTGGGGGACTCAAAGCAAAGACTCTCCTTGACAGTTTTCTCATTTCACTTTTTTTATTCCTTGCTTGGTGAACATGACTTAAAAACAAAACAAAACAAAACAAAACAACTCCCCTCTGTTTTGTACCTAAAAGTTTTGTGTGTTTGGTCTTTCTGTACTACCAACAACTGACTTAGCTCGCCTGCCTGCCTTCCTTTCCCCAAACCCTTACCCGATTCTGTCTTTCTCTTCTTCCCTCCTTGTAGCCAACCTAAAAAAAAGTCAAAGTGTGTGGTGGCTGGCATTTAAAGTAGGCTTTCCCAAAACATTCTACCTCGTATTTTGAAGGATCTGGTTTGTGAAAAGCATTAGCATAGGTTACTGGTTCTTCCTTTTTCTCTCCTTCCTCTCCTCCCTTCCTCCTTCCTCCTTCCTCCTTCCCCCCTTCCTCCTTTCCTTCCTCCCTCTCTCCTTCCTTCCCTAGAAGATCTAAGAAGTTACCTCCAGCTTAATCAGGGTTTCTCAGTCTTGGCACTATTGATATTTGGGGCCAGGACATTCTTTGTCATATGGAGCTGCCCTGTGCATCGTAGCATGTCCAGCCGTCTCCCTGACCTCTACACACTAGATAACAGTAACGCCTGCCCACATCCCTGCTGTGACAGCCAAATATGTATGTGGATGTTGCCAGATATTCTGAGGGGGTAGAGATCACTTCCAGTCAAGAACCGCTGACCTAAACTAATGCATTTTTCAAAACATATCTTTCAAAATACAAGGTAGAATGTCTCAGGAATGACCTGGCTTAAATGCAAGGAGTCCTCGATTGGGACTTTTTTCAGATTGGTCATAAGCTGCCTTATGATCTGTTGTTCATTCGTTTGTTCCACAAATATTCATCAAGTGTCCACTTGGTGCCAGGCAGTGCTTTAGGTGATAGAGCTCTAACAATGACCAGAGGGAGGCTCCCTCCTCTCTTGGAGCTTTTGTTATAGTAGCAGGAAACAATGCATAAACAAAACAAAAGCAATATACAGAATGTTAGATGGTGAAAAGTAAAGAGGGAGAGGGTTGCTGGGAATATGTGTGGGGAAGGGCACTTTTTTCCAGCTGCTAGCCAGGGAGGGCCTCATGGAAAAAGGGGCATTTGAGTGGGAACGTAAGGAGGTGAGGGAGAGAGCCATGTGGATATCTGAGAAATCCCTCCCAGGCAGGAAATTCTCAAGTTCAAGGGCTGTGAGGCAGGACCTTGACTGTCAAATTCCAGCAATGGCCGGGCAGCCAGTATAGATTGATCAAGTGTGCCTGTGGCGAACAGGAAAGGACACAGAGGTAGGGTGGAGCTGGAGAGGACCCTGGAGGATGTGAAAGTGAAAAAGGTTGAAGTACTTTGGCATTTTCATCGTGGGGGATGGGAAACCACGAAGAGTTTCAGGCCAGGAAGTGCTTGATTTGTTCCACATTATGTGTTTGTTTCTAATATAAAAGTGCTGTGTACATCCAGGAATAACCCCTGATCTGCAAGGTCTCTACCTTGTAAAATAGCACAGCCTGGGCCATTCCTTTCAGGGACTTCGGGGGACCCTGGCATGGTGCACTCAGTAAGATGCTTCGGCTGCTGCTGTTCACTCTGTTTCAATCCAGATTCATTTCCAATTCCTGACTGATAAATTGGGGAAGTGATCATATCTTCTAGTGCATCTGTGTGGGCTCTCCCTGAAATTCAGTGGTCCACCTGCAACATTCCCTCTCCAAATGAATTGATTCTCTATCTAATATTAGATATAAATATGATCTTAAAATTGCTGTAACCCTCAATTTAACTGGCAAAGTATAAGCTGTAAGTTGTTTCATGGATCATTCTATTTTCAAATAATTCTAACTTGTGATTTAGAGGATGTGTTTTAACCTACTTATTTAGATCTAGTTTTTTTTTCTTTAATCTCTCTTGAGTGATGCTTACAATAGAATAGTGAACTAGCAAGTTCTGTGCCTTACACTTGGCATGTGCTGAACCATCAGTTCTCTAAGGACTGGATGAGGCAGCCTTTATTATTATGCCCATTTACAAATAAGGATACTGAAGCACCGAAAGGATCCTGTAGCTAGTAAGTAATAGAGACAGGATTTGAATTTAGGTGGTCTCATACTAAAGCCTGAGCTCCTAAGAGTTTGTTATATTGCCACAGTGAGTAATTATTAAGTATATATCATCTCCAAAGCAAGAATCAAGAGGCTATTTTGTGTAACCACTGTGCTATGTGCCGTCAGGGTCGGGGTTGGGGGGTGGCAGGAGGGACACAGACTTGAAGAGTTGGGTAACTTGCAGGAAGGCACCTGTGCAATAAACACGTAAGACCCAAATAAACATATAAGTCTCACAGGAACGAGAAAGGGCAGTGGGAAGTAGGACGGATGGGTTTAAGTTTAGGAAGACTTAGGAAGTGTAGGGAGTTTGAGCTGGGTCAGGGGTGAGTGGCGTGTTGATAGTGTGTGGCAGGTGAAGTGAAGAATGAAGGACATTCCAAACAGAGGGTCCAGGAATGAGGGGAGCAGAGGTGTAGGGGAAAGGCCGTGTCTGGGAATGAGGAGGGGCCTGGCTTCTGGGAGCTCAGGGTGGGCATGGAGGGGAAGTGGGACACACTGAGGGCAGCCCAGGAAAGGTTGAGGGAGGTCTCGGTTACTGTTTTAGCAGGGAGCCACTGAAGATTTTTGACCTGGAGGTAGAGATATTGGAGCAGTTGACTAGGAAGAAAGTTTCGGCTCTAGTATGAAGCAAATTAGTGAGAGAGAAGACTCTTCCCAGAAGACTTGGTTCAAATTCTGAGAATTAAGCATCAAAGGACACCCTTAGATTTCATATTGTGTGCTTCTTTAGGAGAAGGACTTGTTTCTCTGTTTTTTTGTTTTGTTTTGTTTTTTAACGTGAGCAAGAATCATAAAAATTGATTTGTTGGTGTTTCTCTCTGATCTTTATAGGCAGTGGAGCCATAATAATACCTTATTTTAGGTTTAAAAACAGAAAAAACAGAAATTGTATTTCTTGAAGAGGAATGTGAATAATTTTTTTGAGAATTCATTTTCTCTAATCAAGTTATAAACCGTAACTTGATTTACACTTTTAGAGAAAATGCAAACTATATTTTTAAATGTCTAAGTATAAAGTATGGAATATACTTCAACTTTTAATCTCACTCAAAATGGTAATGTGCTAAGTGCATTTAAGCCTGTTAAATGAAGAGCCTGTTCCAAATTCACTATATCTTTTTAATCAAGGTGAATGTGCTGACTACTGACTCATTTAAAATCCATATAAATATATTCATTATTGATGGTGAATGTTCAAGGCATATATATATATATATATATATATATATATATATATATATGTATATATATATATATATATATATGTATATATATATATATATACTTAGATGTTTATCATAATTGAAAGAATACAGGCCAATGGGCTATCCTTCCATATATTTCATTTGTCTTCAATCTTTTTCAGAAAAATAGTTCTTTATATAGATATAGAATACTTTTTAATAAAATATTCATGGTTAAAAACAGTAGAAAATTGAGATTGGAATGCGTTATAATCTGAAGACTTCTAATATTTGCTCATTTTCACATTGCTCCTTTAATCTTCTAATCAGTAACACAATAAGTGTGCATTGGAAAACTCTAAGCACACTTCAGAGTCTTAAAACATGTCAGGCAGTAGACACGATCTTCTGATAATTCACTGACTCAATAGACTTATTTAATATTTTTATCCTTAATTAAGTGATCTTAATTCTGTCCTGAAAATCAGGCTGGATTCTTCTCCAGGCCATTCCTTTTTATTGAATCACACATTTACCCTTTCAAAATTACCCAATGGACCCATTTCAGAAGACTGAAAATCAGCTTTCATGGTAATCTGTAAAACAGGAAAAGCATGCATATATTGGTATTTCCTAATAACAAATAAGAAGTCATCTGCAGTTTGATGAAGACCTGCAATTTCTTTTCTTTTCTTTTTTTTTTTTTTTTTTTTTTGGGATGGAGTCTTGCTCTGTTGCCTGGGCTGGAGTGCAGTGGCTTGATCTTGGCTCACTGCAACCTCCACCTCCCAGGCTCAAGCAATTCTCCTGCCTCAGTCTCCTGAATAACTGGGATTACAGGCACCCACCACCATGCCTGGCTAATTTTTGTATTTTTAGTAGAGACAAGGTTTCACCATGTTGGCCAGGCTGGTCTCAAACTACTGACCTCAGGTGTTCTGCCCACCTCAGCCTCCCAAAGTGCTGGGATTACAGGCGTGAGCCACCATGCCCTGCCAAAGACCTGCATTTTGAATCAGATGTGAGTCCTTCTGTGTGAGCCAGGCCAATGTCACAAATGACTGTATAATCAGAAGCATGGGTCTTTATACTGTCCTTCTAAATTCCCAGTGTTCTCGGTGAATCCATGTACACCCGATAGCTGGCTGCACCAATAACAGCTTCACTTAATTGATTTACTGGGACAAATTTTCTATAATGGCTTGTACCAAATAAATGCCATGTGTATCTCCATTTGCATTTTCAATTAACTCTATTGCCCAAGTTTCACCTGTGATGGGTTTGTGCTTTGAAATGGACTTGAACAGTCATAGGTTGTTTTAGGTTAATACAGAAATTTTTGCCCATTAAAGTAAATAATATTGATTTATAATTAAGCTTTAAAAAAAGTAAATCTGTTGCCAAGGTTTGGTTTTCCAGGGCATAGATTTGGTTGGCAAATTCCATGTAAGTCAAGTTGGTGCCGTAGGGTAGAGGGGCAGTGTGCATAGGTGAAAAGGAGAGAGGGATGTATCACCTGGGAAATTATTTGATAAACACAAAACTTGAGTCCCAAGTGGGGCGAAAATGGTCACTTTGAACGGAAATTTCACCTCTTCTCATTGTCTACTCCTGGTCCAATGTAACCATTGAAATAAATAAATGAAGACAAAATAACGCAAATTTCCTATTGGTTCTAGAAACTAGGAAAGAATACCTTTAACATGCTGGAGAGATCCTGAACCCCATGTAGTAGACAGTCTAGGTGTTTGATTAGAACAGACAGGCTAAGAGAGAAAGAATGACTGTAGGAGTCTCCTGATGGCAAGTAGAAAGCTGGGTGAATCACACGTGGTAGATGTTAAATCAGTTCAACTTTTCTATTAAGTGGAAAAACCTCTTACATGGATTCAAAGAGTAAAATCTAATTGCTGCTTCTTTGAGACACCTAAAACACAGTAATACACAAACGGATGAACAAAAGTATCCTACACAAATGTAAGTAAAAGGTAGGTCAGAAACTCGATACAGGTTTTAGGGGTAAAAAAAAGATTGAATTAACAATAAGGTTATTATAAGGCCAGGCGCGGTGGCTCATGCCTGTAATCCCAGCACTTTGGGAGGCTGAGGTGGGCGGATCACGAGGTTAGGAGATCGAGACTATACTGGCTAACCCGGTGAAACCCTGTCTCCACTAAAAAATACAAAAAATTAGCCGGGTGTGGAGGCAGGTGCCTGTAGTCCCAGCTACTCAGGAGGCTGAAGCAGGAGAATGGCGTGAACCCGGGTGGCGGAGGTTGCAGTGAGCAGAGATAATGCCACTGCACTCCAGCCTGTGTGACCAAGCGAGACTCCATCTCAAAAAAAAAAATAGTAATAGTAAGGTTATTATAAATATGAACCTTTAAGGGGATAACTTTTCATACAAATATATGTGCATATTAAAACAGGGAAAAATAATAAAACTAGAATTGTCAAATGATATATATTATGTATTCAGCATTTTAAAAAATCAGAAACAGGCTGGGTGTGGTGGCTCACACCTGTAATCCCAGCACTTTGGGAGGCCGAGCCAGGTGGATCACAAGGTCAGGAGTTCGAGACCAGCCTGACCAACATGGTGAAACCCTGTTTTCTACTAAGAATGCAAAAAAATTAGCTGGGCATGGTGGCATGCGCCTGTAATCCCAGCTACTCAGGAGGCTGGGGCAGGAGAATCGCCTGAACCTGGGAGACGGAGGTTGCAGTGAGCCAAGATCACGCCACTGCACTCCAGCCTGGGTGACAGAGCGAGACTTCATCTCAAAAAACAAACAAACAAACAAACAAAAAAAAACAAAAAACTTGGAGAAAAAATAGAGCTATTCCCTCTATTTTCTCATCTTTAAATTGATAATAGTTCCTATTGCATAGGATTGTTTGGAAAATCTAATGAGCTTCTATGTTTATGAATTAACAATTAAAAATTAAGCCTTTTATGTCCGTTTTGAGCAATACAAAATTGTAACAAATATGAAATTATGCACATTTTAATAAAGGAAATATTTGCAAATACTATCTGATAATATATTATCTTTGAATAATAATATGTATTATCTATGAACATAAAGAAAATTCATAGAAAACATTTTGGAGTGACTAAAATGTCAGTAAGATCAACATTATGAAAATAAGATTCGTGACTATACACAACAGGAAAACATTTTTAAAAAGTGAAAAAGAATCCAAGACTGTAACACAAAACAAAACAAAAAATGATAATGTCTAAGATTTATGTGAAGAAATTCTAGGACTGTACTGAAGGGCTTGAGAGAGGACTAATTGGAAATCACTTAATTTATAATAAACTTGAAGGATGAAGTCATTGAGGAAATGATAAACTACTTAAGTAATTCTGGTAATTTGGTTGCTTACCATCGGGGAAAATGTGTCGGTGTATTACAGCAAACACAACAATTTCAAGATAAGTTAAAGATCAAACACTTGTAACAAACTTCATTAAAAATGTCAAAATAGTGGGGAAATCCTATGTAAGTAAACTGAGAAGCAGGAATAATAAGAGAAAAAAAATCTTAAGATATCAGTATGGCCAAAACAAAAATCGCCATCAGATATTGAAGACAAAGGATAGACTGGTAAAAAATACTGGCAGTATCTAAACAAATGGATAATATCACTAGTACAGTATATACATTTTCTTTAATCAATAAGGAAAATACAAGTCAACCTAGCAGAAAACTTAAAGAAGTCAAAATCAGCCAGTCACGGTGGCTCACACCTGTAATCCTAGCACTTTGGGAGGCCAAGGTGGGTGGATCACCTGAGGTCAGGAGTTTGAGGCCAGCCTGGGCAACATGGTGAAACCTTGTCTCTACTAAAAATACAAAAATTAGCTGGGCGTGGTGGCGTGCTTCTGTAATCCCAGCTACTCAGGAGGCTGAGGCAGGACAATCACTTGAACTCAGGAGGCGGAGGTTGTGGTGAGCCAAGACTGCACCATGGCACTCCAGCCTGGGCAATAGAGCAGAACTCCATCTCAAAAAAAAAAAAAAAAAAAAAAATGTAAAAAACGTGGTAGCTGAACACGTATGAATGGCTCATGATTTATTCAATTATGATCATGATGGTCGAGAATGTAAATGCTATAGCCAGACCACCTAGGTTGACACCCTGACTCCCCCTTTAAACTGGCTGTGTGATTTTTAACATTACTTAACTTATCTTATCTGTCTGCATTTCTTTGTTGCTGAAGTGAAGATAAGTATCCTTCTGCTTGTATTGGAGGTGTATGGTGAAGATCAGAGTTGTTAAGTATGAGGTGGGCACAACATTCCCCGGCACACAGTGAGCACTTATAGTGTAAGCTGGCATTATTTTCATCTGCATTGTTTTAGCAATTGAAATGATCAAATACGAATATGCCTTAAAAACTTCATATGAGTGTTTGTTTAAAAATGTTACATTAACATTGTGACTGGGTGCAGTGGCTCACACCTGTAATCACAGCACTTTGGGAGGCTGAGGCGGGTGGATCACGAGGTCAGGAGATCGAGACCATCCTGGCTAACATGGTGAAACCCTGTTTCTACTAAAAATACAAAAAATTAGCTAGGTGTGGTGGCATGTGCCTGTAGTCCTAGCTACTCAGGAGGCTGAGGCAGCAGAATCACTTGAACCTGGGAGGCAGAGGTTGCAGTGAACCAAGATCACGCCACTGCACTCCAGCCTGGGCGACAGGGTGAGACTCCATCTCAAAGAAAGAAAAAAAAAAGTTATATTAACATTGTGTTTTTTCTATTAAACACTTTTTATAAATTGTACACAACTTTTGGAATGAATATATATTGCTTTTGTAGGAGCAGCTTATATTTTAGGGATAGTTGGTTTGGGTTTCAGGCAGTGGATGAATGGATTGTCTCAAAAAGGAAGAAGTGAGGTAGAAATGGAGGCGGTCTAGGGTGATGAATTCCATGCTGCCTCTACTGGCTGGTAGCTGAGCTTCTGTGCAGCAAACAGTGACCTAGTAGATCTCTCTCTAGGTGCTGTTTGTATAACTCACATCATGGGAATAAGGCCTGATTCCAAGTGGTGACAAGAATGTGAATGGATACCGAGTAAAGTGTATTGATTTTCCTCTTGCCCAGCCACATGTCTGTCCTCGTCACATTTTATTGGAGAGCCACTTTCCATGTGCATCAGCTGGAACCAACTAATATGTCATGGTATTGTCACGTTATTTTCCCTTTTATGCAGAGTGAATAAGAGTGAATAACGGCTGAAAGAGCAATGCTATTTATACGCAACATCCTCAGTTTCTAACTGGAAGGTCAAACAATGGGGAATCAGTATGACCCTTTAGTTTGGATTTTGATCTTAAGTGTGTATCTTTCCTCTCTAAAGCCATTGATGGTTTTATTCCTTCATATTGATTCTGATGAACTTTGCTATTGAATGAGTTGGCAATTCATTGCATCAAAGATCTTTATAGGAAAGCATAATAATGATAATTTTTTTAAAAAGAGTTCAAGATGAGAAGTTTTTTTCCTCTGTTCTCACATGCTCACCTCTGTTATATGCTGATTATAAAATAGTTTAGTTTTTTAATATAATGAGTGTACCATTTATTTGACTCAAAAATTAGTTTTACCAACCAACTTCTAAAAACTGGTTATATTTACTGTGCTTACTGCTTGGTAAATATATTTAATATTCTTTTATATAGAAAAAAGTTAAATAGCTTAAGCATGACTCTGGGTCAAATTAAAAATTTTCAGCAAGACTGTCTTCAGTGACTTGGCTCTGGTTCCAAAGTCCTGAATCATTACTCAGAAACAGACTTCTTGTACTTTTATTTACTGACCGATTGAACCAGGGATCAGCTGTTAGCATGCTCTATAAAAGCTTTGTGATATATTTCTGAAAATAATATAAGGGACATGAAAGTGTCAATTTTCCTGATGAGGGGTGTTTGCATTCTCAAGTTAAATCTGTTATTACTGTCCTGCATAGATGGTTTCTTCAGCTTATTGCCTAATATTATGCACTATTTGGCCATGAAAAGGCAAGTATACAAAAATGTGTAGTAAGTCAATTTGAAGAGTTTATCCTGGAAAACTGAAGTTAAAGACATCATTATTTTATCCAAGACTCATATTTGAGTGAAGTGAAGTCCTCCCAAATGTCAGCTCAGGAAATCTCTCCAAATGAATTGCCTTGTCTTTTTGTCATAAATTGAAAGCTGTATTTTTCCTTTTTGCCTTTGCTGACGGAGATCTCAAAATTAATGAAAAGTATATATAGATTCTCTCCTCTAAATTTTCTTTTTAATTATGTCTGTTTAATTATTTAATAGAAGCTTTAAGGTTATAAATGTAGAAATAATTTTCAGACTTTTAAATATAAATAATAAATTTTGTTTAGACGTGGAATTGTGTGTGTGTGTATATATATATGTTTGGTTTTCATCTATTATATAAATGCTCTCATGTAGGAGTTTGGCAAGTTGGATGATACAGAACTTTTTATCTGATATTCTTGTTTTAGAAGTTCAATTATATAATCAGGGAGGAAAATATTTTTAAAAGTAGTCTCTTCTGTTACTATCTCAATGTTAATTATAACACTATTCAAATGTGTTCACCTGTTCTTAACCCAAACATATTCCAAATACTAACTAGCATTTCTTCTTTCCTTTAGCTTTTATCTTTTCTCTAAAGATATTCCTTGTAGCAGACAAACTAGAAAAGTGGAAGCAACTAAATGTTCATCAATAGGAGAATGAATAAATTATAGTTTATTCACTTTTTAAAGATTATATAGCAGTATAAAAAATGAACCAGACCTAGATACTAATATAAACAGATTACCAAGTCATATTGATAGATACAAAACAAAATTGCAAAATACACACAATTTGTCACTTAGGCAAAGAATTTTAAATACATTTGTCTGTCAAGACTATTTTTATGAATATAAAATCTCAATAAAATTTAGAAAGGATGCCTGCCAAATTCCTGTCTAATTTATGTTTAGGGGAAGGAATTTGGTGTTTGTGGAAGTTCAAAGGGACTTCAGTTTTTTCTGCAATTTTTAAACTTTTTACAGTTTTTAAACTTATATTCTATTTTTTAAGATAGTTAAGTCCCAAACATGCATGGGTTTAATTCTATCTCAGGCTTTGATGCCTGCTTTCATGTCCTTAGGTGGGTTCTGATTTTGCTGACACAATGTGAGGGACATTAGGAAACAGGAAATGGTCATTTACCAAATTAAAAAATCCCTTTGCTATAAAATATTTCTCTTTATTCTGATACCTCTTGTTCTTCTGTTATTCTTTGCCAACCCTTAAGAAATCATGGAAATTTTAAGATAACAGTACAATGACTGTGCGTTGAAGCAAAGCTAAACTGGACCCAAGTCAGCTTGGCAAATTGTCAGGCTGTTTTTGTATTTATTTCTTTCAACTTTAACATCCACAATTTATTAAGTGAGACTGTGTATCAAGGCGGAAGCTCAGAATCCTGTTTGGACACCGTTTAGGAAGGAAACCAGGTCTTTATGGGGCACCCCCTTCCTCTTAGCTGCTGGCCAGGAAGACCATCCTTCTGTATCAAGCCTATTCAATCAGAGAGAGGTGGGGTGACTTTGGGAAGGAAGATGACCTCTCCCTTGTAAAGTGGAATTGCTGTTTCCCCCCATGACTTATACAACTCATTTCTACCACTGTTTATAAGAACACTTGTGTGAATGCTTGTAGTGACAGCAATAGTCATTTAAAATATGGCTCAAATTTCATGCTGTTAGATTTCCTATGCTATTGAAATTTTTGATCATTACAATCTCAAATAGAGCTTTTGATTAACTGGAGTTTTGCTGAGGCCCTTTTAGAGTTAATAGGTATGCTTCTTAAAAGCCCAAAGTTTAATCAGTTACATATACTACTACTATGTAAAATCATGACTGCTATCAAATCTGAAAAGAGAATGATGAAATCAAGCTAATTAACTTGTCTTTCATGGGAGCCAATCAGTTTCCAAAATCATACTGAAAATGTTTTACTTAGATAACTTATATGTGGGGTCCACAGGTAGACTACTGTATGGAACTGATGCAACATGCCAGCCAAGAGAGGACAGCAGAGAAACTTGTTTATTTTGAAGATTTGTTGGCACTTTGTGCATTTTGAGTGTTTTTGGATTTTGACCTCAACCTTAAGCTGATTTATTTACTTAATTTGCATTGTTTCCTGGCTTGTAAAGCACCATTAAAACCAGCTCCTTTATTCATTTCTGTTAAAAATAACATTTTGGGGGGAATACTTTTAGATTTACAGAGAAGTTCAAAGAGAATACAGGGTTCCCCATACATACCTTATCCAGTTTATTCTAATGTTGACGTTATATACTACCATAATACATTTGTTAAAACTGAAAAGAACTAACATTGTTACCTTGTGATTAAACTCTGATCCCTATTTGGATTTCACCGGTTTTTGCACCAATATCTTTTTTCTGTTCAAGGACCCAATCCAGAATACCACATTGCATTTAATCATCTTATCTCCTTAGACTCTTCTAATCTGTGACAGTTTCCTAGTCTTTCCTTTTTCCCGTGACCTTTACAGTCTTGAAGAGTATTGGCCAGGAATTTTGTAGAATATTCATCATTTTTGAGTAAATGGAAATATGTAACTTATGATTTGCACCAATATTTTTCATCCACACACCAGTTTCAGCCTAGTGATCATCACTTTATCTTCCTATCTAGAGCTTGTTATAACAGCACTCTAAAAGTAAAAGGCGATTTATGGTGGATTTAATATTTCTTTAATGTTTGCTTCACCTGTGATCATTGTGCATCCCCAATTTTGCCAAAGTTAGTTTTGGTTATTTACTTTAAACCACATAGTAATTTTGCACCAATGTGTATTTTGTCTTTTGTTTGTGACAGATTAGAGATGGACAACCGAATTGTTATGTACTAAAGAATAAAGATTTAGAACAAGCTTTTAAAGGAGTTATTTACTTAGAGATGGACCTTATATATAATCCGGTAAGTCTAGCTGGGTCATACTTCCCGGCTTTCCCGTACCTAAAATAGAAGGTGACCAGCCTTTGGAGGCTCAAATCAATGTAAGATGTTTCAGAATTTTTGCAGCTACAGAGAGGAAAGAATAGTGTTTTAAAGCTGTGCATTTTATAAGCAGGTTACCCTCATCTCCTGCTTTCTTCTGGAAAACGTTTGTGTATAGAGTATGTATACTGGTAAAACCTGAGTTTAATGGAAAAGTGGAATACAGGCTTGAAGAGAAAATATTTCGGTTAAGGAATTTTACAGTTCGTGTGATGTGGAGAAGGACTTGAATCTGATTCTTTGGGGTCTTACTCAGTCTGGTGGTTTGAACAAGTGCTAAGTCCCTCTGACCCTCAGTTTATTCCCTGTAAAATGGGGCTAAAATGGCTCATTGACTTATTTTTCCGGGTCATTGAAAGGAAATAAAATTCTCTGTGAAAAGTGTCTTTTCATAAACTGGAAATTGTTATTCACATGCAGACATTTTTGGTAGAAGCTTAACTCAAAAGGATTTCAGAAGGAAGTTTTATCTTTTACGGACGTTAGTTTGAAAAATTCATGAACCTCAATCTCTGCAGTGGTTGAAAATACCCCCAAGGAATGAGCAAAGTGGAGACAGTACCCTTCTAGACTCAATCTGACCCATGCCAGGGACTCTTATCAAATGAGACCTCCAGAAACATGTACAGGGCACAGGGGTGTCCACCATTTCTTTGCTCCCTGCTAAGGTCAGAGTCAGAAGCTATTGGTCTGCACGATTTTCCCAGTCATTAAGAAAACTAGGTGGATGAAGTCCCTATACATGCTGCCCTTTTTTAACAAGGATGTCTTTTCTAGGTGAAAGCAAGTATTAGGACTTTTACTCCCCGGGAAAAGCGCTTTGTTGAAGACAGCCGCAAGCTGTCCAAAAAGGTGGGTCGCTACAGTAGGTGGCTTGTTGATTGGTACACTCAGCACCCAGCAGCTGAAGTATTAACACTTGCCTGTAATTTCTTCCTTGAAACTTTTCCTCCCTCTTACTCCTCCTCTCTCCCTCTTGCCCCATCTCTCCACTTATTTCTCCTTGTCCCCTTCTCTCCTAAAATAAGGAGGTCAGTCAGCTCCCATAAGAAGGGCAAGACTTAAAACATAATTCTTGGGTGAAACAGAAGGTCTCAGGCCCCCATTATTCTCCTGATTCATTGTATAAACAAAAATTCCTAGCATCAAGACTGTCAGTGTCTTGTCCTGCCTATCCGTCCTTTAATCACAGCCATTTTGTCCTCTGCCCTTTGAAGTTTCAGGGAGGTGCAGTGTGTGGAGTCAATCACAGAATTAACCCAGCAGATCTTCAGAGACTTCTAGCCTGGGTTTCGCTCATGACTGCTCCTACCACTTCGGCGTGGTCTAAATTTGGGATGTGTTGGCATTTCACCCCATACTGAATGCAAGTTCTCTCCCTCTGCCTATTGCCCTTAACTCCTTTCTCATTCAGTTCAACAAAAGGTGAAGTTCAGGGTCTGGTAGGGGAAGTTTCACTTTTTTTTTTTTTTTTTTCCGTGACCTTTACATTCCTTTTTCAGAGTCCCTCCCTGTTGTACTCTCCGCAGCTCAGGATTTCACTTTGTACCTATCGTCCCTCTTCAATTGTATAACAAAGAACAAAGTGTCCCCTTTTTCAAGAGTTTATTACTTCCACCACTTCCTTTGGGGTGAGCAGCTGTGGATTACATAAAGCAGTTAAATATAAAGACGTCTTATCATCCTTTTGTTTCCCATGAACTTCTGGGCATACTTGGGAAAGGCCTTAAACGTCTTCTGAGGGGAAGCCTCCAAATATTTCATTTTGGTCTGCCGTAACATTGAGTGTAATATTTATTTTGTGTAATCTGAGTAAATGTCTTATTTTATTATTGTTATTATTGCCTTTTGCTCTGTTTACTTGAAAGTTAAAACCTGGGTTGAGGTGGGTGGGGTAGCTGCTTTGCAAGCACATTGAAATGAATCTGCCTGCAACTGGGAGAGAGACATTTCCTTTGCAAAACAAGACCTCCACGTGGGGTGGCTTTGGGCTCTCAGAGCACTGGGGAACTTGGGGCTGAAATCCTAGGGTATGCTAGGACCCTCCGCACGTGCCTCTTGCTACTTAGTCCCCCCAAATTTTGATAAACTGGAAACGTTTCCTTAGGATATAAATGCTTGAAAGCACTTACTATGTGACAGGCACTTTTCTAAGCTTTTTCATTCTCTCAACACCTTGTAAGATTAGCACTAATATCAACCCTATTTTGTAAAAGAGAAGTTAAGTAACTTGCCCAAGGTGAACTCCAATCCCTTCCCAGAACTCTGTAGACCTCTGGACTAGATAAGCTATAATACTTGCATGTTTTAATTGTAAATCTATTCATTTGCTTCCAAACTAAACAACATAGACACTCATTCTGTGTCTGTATCTCTCTTTATCTCTCTCTCTCTGTCTTTCTCTTTCTAGTTCTCTCTCTCTCTCTGCCTCTGCATGTGTCTTTCTCACACAAATTCACCAACATTAAATACCTGGCTTCTGCAGTTTCACCAGTTCCATTTTTGTGCTGAACATTGTTGAAACAGGCTATTCTTTTTCAGATGAGCGCTAAAATGCATTTGATTCTCATTTCCTCTATGGATGATCATATTTTAAAAAGACTTTTAGAAGTGTCAGGTCTTCTCCTTTCTATTATTATCATATTTTAAAATTGGGATCTATACAAAATATAATTTAAATGATCAGGGTACCTGATCTAGATGGAATATTTGTAGTATTTAAATCTAGTTTCCTGTTTGTCATTTTTTAAAATCAGATCTTATCAAGAGATGTGGACCGTGTGAAAAGAATCACTATGGCAATATGGAATACAATGCAGTTCCTTAAAAGCTGCTTCCAGTGGGAATCCACATTAAGAAGTACAATAGCATTCGCGGTAAGCTTCCTTTCTTATGTTCAAACTATTTGCTTCTTATTTGCATCTATTCATCTTTCTGAAATATATTACAGCGTAGGTGATTACGTGGGGGTTGTCTTTCTAAGACAGTACTTAGGTCAAATTTACCTGGGAAACCCCTTAAATTACCCAAATCTTAGTCATATATGGTCTCTTGGTAAATTTAAGAGCACTACTGTTGTATATATATGTTTAAATGTTTCTCCAGTTGTTGTTACAGCTACATTTGTATAGCCCTGCATTGTGTGTATTTTTTTTCTTTCTGTGCCAGTGACCGCCCATAATTTCTGAAAAATGGCATCTGAAAAATCACAGGACTAAATAATAACTGAATTGTTCAATTTACATTTTAAGTAAATTATTCCCAAACTTTGATATTAAAGATGTTTATTCATTTCAAGCCAGTTGGGACATACTGATCATTACACATTGCAATTTCATTCAGCACCGCAAAGAGGAACCACCCCTGTCTATGAAATGTACCCTTTTCTCTGGTGACATTGGCCCATCCTTATGAGCATAATAAAATCGCAGAATCAAAGCGCTGCAAGAGATCTTAAAACCACCTAAGTCTACCACTGAGAGCCCAAGAATCTTGGAAGGACTTCACAGCTGGCCTCATGCCTTCACTTTATATCTCAGGGCATTTTCTCTCATTTGTAAAGGGACTTGTCCTTGATCAAATTGGTAATGTCAGCCATGGGAGGAGAAATCAAGTCTCCCGACTGCAAATCTTTGTATATTTGGTATCATGCCATTCATTTCTGTCCTGTGCAAAGATCACTATAAAAACTAATACGAGGTATGAGTGGTCTAAGAGTGTGAATATCAGTCATGATCATTGGTGAATCTGATTTCTGAATGTTATGTGGTTCTGCTTCTGTTTTCTACTGCCAATATATGCTGAATGTTCTCTCTTAGCCAACAGGCATAGCCTCATATAAAAAATGGGGGAAAAAAAACATTTATTAGCCCAAGAAGCCAATGGGTTCAAGGTCACTCCCAACATTTTTATGCCATCAAGTATATCAGCTCCAAAAGAGGCTTTTCCTTTGCCATTGGGGGGTATTTTGTTTGCTGTCGTTTATTTTAGTTCTCCACTGCTTCGGTGTAGAGGACCTATGCTGCCTGTAGGCTTGACCTTTCCTATACTTTTTCTGCTGTCTGAAGTTGCTAAAACATTTGGCCTTAATAAAAACACTAATAAAGGTTTTATTAATCTGTATCCGTCATTGTCTCAGCATTTGTTTATCCACTTCCCTTTCTCACGTTCTCCTCAGCTGGTGGCTTCATGCGTTGAGTTCCCCTTCAACCTCCCCAGCTCCACTTCCCACCCGAATTCCCTTTCAAAACTTTCCATGGAATGTTCTATGCAATTCTGGGCAAAAGAGGAAAGTGAACACAATTGGTGGCTTCTTCCAGTCAGCACCCAGACAGCCACTGTGAGGAGGAGAGGATTTCCTCTTTCTCGAGTTTAGTTTCTGGCACTGTGATTTTAGAAAAACAGAGATCTGTTGCCCTGGATTCTGTAGGGAGATGACAGAAATGATTAATGGGCTGCTGGCTTGATCTGAAGAAAGATTAGAACAGATGAATAGAAATAGGTTGTCTAATAGAGGGGACTTCTAAACAGGAAGGGAGGCTTAGAAATGGAGCCACTTCTCCACGGCCTTTTCTCTGAGGGATTCCTCACTGCTGAGCTTCATGCCTCGGAGCAGAGCCCGCCCCCACGCTGGAGAATGCAGGCTGCCATGTTGTACTCTCAGATCTCTGAGGCCCACAGCAAGGAAGATCAAGGTGGTGTTCTCCTTGCTGGTTTTCCAAAGTATGATTTTGCAAGGATCCATGGGTATATGCGACTGTGTGTATAGGGACATTTCTCATTGGACACCATTGAAAAAAATGCAGAGCCAGTTAGATACGCTATATACCTACAGCCTATCATTTGGTTGTCCTGAAAGTACTGGAATAAAAGTGCTCACTTAAACTCGTTTTCAGTTTTAATTTAAAACTCTACTTCCAAAAATTTAGACCATGTGTATGTTGACTGGCCTTGGTGATTCTCAGAAATACCGCAGCCATAACGTGGTGGATAATTCCCCTCCCTAAGTTGATGAAGTGTAATTTTATTAAAAGTTGTTTTTTTATTCCTATTATGATTATTCCAAAACCATTTCTGCTATTAAAATGAGAGGCTATACAGAAAATGCTTTCTTGAGACAGAATAATAAATGTATTTCAGTTTCATCTCTTATTTTTTATTGTTTTTTTTTTTTTTTGTGACAGAGTCTGACTCTGTCACCCAGGCTGGAGTGCAGAGGCACGATCTTGGCTCACTGCAACCCCTGCCTCCCGGGTTCAAGCGATTCTTCTCCCTCAGCCTCCCAAGTAACTGAGACTACAGGCACGCACCACCATGCCCGGCTAATTTTTGTATTTTTAGTAGAGACGGGGTTTCGTCATATTGGCCAGGCTGGTCTTGAACCTCGACCTTGTGATCCACCCATCTCGGCCTCCCAAAGTGCTAGGATTACAGGCTTGAGCCACCGCACCTGGCCTCCGTTTCATCTTCTTTCATTCTTCTTTTGGTAAGATTATGGGTAGCCAAGCTTTCATGTCCTTTTCTTTGAAAACGCCTTCATTTATGTACCTTGCCTGTAGACCTGTTAGCTGTCTGTAGGGGACTGGATTGGCGGGGCGGGTTGCACACCTAGGGGGCTGCCCTGGCTGTAGTGCTGTGTCCCCGAGTCTGTGGGGCTTCATGATGGGTTGTCTTTCTGCAAAATGTTGGATCCTCAAGCCCAGGCTCTCCTCTGCCTTTCTTCACTATGCAACTGCCATATCTGTCAGGGGTGACACACACTGACGGATGTTCTCCTGTGATCTGTTGACAGAATGCTGCTTGGTGTCTTTATTCGTCATTGTGACACTTTGTTCATGTTCCAACTGCTCGCCTTGGCATGACAGGGCAGAACAGAGGCGCTGTCTGAAGCAAGGTTTTAAGCCAAGGATTTATTAAATGACCCGTAGTCAGGTCCTCTAATTGAAATTAGCGAATGTGATAGTTGAGGGTTTGCTACACAGGTGTGAAAGGAGCTATTTTAGTTGAACCAGTCCCTGGTGGGGCTTTTCTTCTTGTGACAGTACAGGAAGTGATGCTAACACAACAAACTAAGGGCAGAACTGAAGGGATGTGTTTTTCTTCTGTTTTTTGAGAAAACATAAAATATTAACTTTATGTTCTAGACTCTAGCTCCAGGTGATACAAACATGAACATTGCAGAATCATGTTTAATCTATTCTCAATGTCAATTTTAAGACTTTATGAAAGCAAACCATACGTTTTCCATGGATGCCTATGTACATGTGCATGAACATAATCGTATCTTGTTGAAAGCAGCAGTTAAAGAAAAGCAGGCTCTTAAGATCTAGGTCCGCATGGTGTCTCGTCAGAAGTGGATGGACAAACGTGAGAGAACTCACCTTGCTAGATGACCCAAGCATCACCTTCCTCTACCATGCGATTTATCACTGCTACACTTACAGGAGTGGTTGTATTCCCAACATGAGAGAAGAAAGTTATCAGTAATGCACCTGCTATGTTAATGTTGCTGCATAGTGTTGAATTTATTGTTATCATAAGAAATTAAACATGGGCATTTGTAGGGTGGTCAGACCATTCCAAGTCAAGTTTCTATAGACTCAGTTCTTCTTGTTAGGATGAACATTGAAAATCTTTCTCATTTTGTCTTCTGGGTCTTTCTCTTTCCCCTATGTTTTTCAGATATTTTGGTATCTTGCCTTTTCTAAGGTTTACTTAGTTATATTAAATTAAGGATATATTTTTTCTTTTTTCTTCCTTCAGAAAGTAACATTCTTGACTTTCCCATTTGAAAAACAAATTAATATGAGATGTTGACTTAGTGAATGAGGCCAAATAGAACTGAAATATTTTGCCTTGAAGTAAGTGCACCTGTATATTTCCCTATGAATAGATTTGTAAATATATGTGGTATTTTATACACATGTATATACATTTATATACATACACAAGACGTGTACATGGCCATTCCCACACAGATTTTGACTATTTGAACTATTATTCATAGTTCATGTTATTTCAGTGCTTAGACACTGTCCCAAGGATTTTATAAATTTAGTTCTCACAACAACCTGCTGATGTAGGTGGTGATTACTATCTTCTTTTTACAGATGAGAAAAATAAGCCTATAGAGGTCAAGTACAGTGACAGAGCTCATGTGTGTGTATGAGGTAGAGGTGGAATTGAAACCCAGGCCATCTTGCTTTAGTCTGTGCAGGCTTAACCCTTCAGCTATTCTGCCTCTCACTGATGCCCAGGATGCAATGTTTGTTGTCCTTGTATTTACATAGTGACACCGGGACCAACCATACTGATTGTTTCAGATCTGTATTTAGATATTATGTGTGGGGATTAAGCCTGTTCCAAGCTGTGATGCTATACAGGAAAGAAACCCTCATTACATGGGCGAGAATAATTCTTTAGCTCAGTTATTTTATTCACAAGTGATGATGAGACCAAAATTAAAGAAGCCAAACATGGAAATGCCCAGCCCCTGGGCATCACATGCATTTGGCATCCTTGGAATCCAGCTGGATAATTTGAAAAACCCTAGAGCCTTGGTTCTAGACTGAGTCCCAAATTACAGTCTGACTTGTTTTTCCCCACCTTTGAGGAATGCTTTTAGATGATGTAGAGGGATTTTCAAGGGGAGAAGAAAGTAAAAACAGAAAACAACTAGTGGAAGGGATCATGGAAGGCATTGGACTTTTCAGTTGTTTTTTTTTTTTTTTTTTAAGTATTCCAAGTTGTTCAGAAAAGGGATGGGGTAGAAGAGAATAACCACCCCTTATGTTCCTTTAAAATATCTTGAAATAATAGCTATAAAAGAGATAGGCCCATATGTCTAGTGGGGATCTCTATTTTATATACCCAGTGTCTCAGTGCAAATACATTATTTGATCATAATAAAGATAAATTTGTTCTCAAAAGATAACTTTGCATTGTGATATTTATATTGGTAGATCCAATCATGTATGGGTGTTTTGTTATGACATACTTATATTTTATAAACCCCAATGTTGTCTATTAAAAGTCCTAAAGTTATATTATTATATAAATGCATTTTTCATATGTTAAAATATTATTTACTTGACAGATGGCATCATCAGAAGGTGATTTTAAACAGCAAAGTTCTGATGCTTTTAACATAGAATTGCATTTATGCAGTTTCATTTTTCCACCGATATTTCAGGCACACACCTATTGTATCAAGGGAGGCAAGTTTGTGGGGCATTGATGGATTCTTTGCTTTATTAAATTTTTACTTGGATGTTTGATCTAAAAAGTAATCTAAATCTACCATATATCAACGAGTATCTTCATAAAGCTATGATTTTAACATCTGTGACTTTTTTCCGATTTTTTGAGTATAGGGAAATAAAGAATTTACTTTTCAGAGTTGACAAGGACTGAAATATGATACACAAATTAAAGCATCAATCAACCTCTCCCTCAATAAAGTTAAAAAATACAACTGTCCACTCGCTTGGTAATATCCCATATTTAACATATATAGAATTTTTAGCTTTTAGAGATCCTAGAATATTGAGAAAATGTGAAGTAATTTCACATAGAACTTAAAAACAACAGTAGCAGTAATAGAGCCAACCCTTCCAACACACATGTACTTGTGCACACACACACACACACACACACACACACACACACACACACATGCATGAACACGAAGAAGCAGAGGACATTTGGGAAATTAAAAGTTGCTCTGTTGAATGTTTTGTGAAAGCAGTTTAGTAAAAACCAAAGGCAAGGCCTTGAGGACTGCTGTTTTCCATGATTTCTCTGTGGACCGAAAAACATTCAGATTCATTTTGCTTTGGTACAAATGACAAATGCAACACTGTTTTGAGATTCGACTCATTAAATAATGCTGGTCAAATGTCTTTTTGATGCTTTCGATATTTATGTGTTAACTGTGTCTAAAAGATTTACTTTAAGTTCTGTCACCAGTTTACTCACAACGAAATGCACCTGCATTTCATTAAGCTCTTTCATTGGCTATGACATCCACCAGAAGTCACAACTGGATGTGCAGAGCAGACATCGCTGCCCATTTGCTAGGTGTGTGTGCAGTTGATGCTCAAAAATTAAAAGTATTTGTGTAAAGCTGGAAAAAAGAAATTTCAGTTACAATAACCAGAAGAAGAGGGGTTTTAGACATCTTAAAAGTGTGTATATATAAGTGCACACACAGAACCATATACACATATATGCAAAATATATAGGTATATTCAATGCTTAAAATATTTGGCATCTTATGGTTTTAACATATATAAGATAGTTTCCCTAGTCTTCCTTTTCATGAAGGACTACATAATATACTTTCAAAATGTTTTAAAGTTTTTTTCAGCACTTTTTTAAAATAGGAACAATCCATCATTGCATATTGTGAGCATAATTTTTACAACATAATTGCACCTTCTATTGGCAGGTTCTCAGGCATTAACTAATTATGCAATTTAATAAAATTACAGTAATCGCATTAAAAAGATTATCTGTTAAAAATTTAAAAGGACACTATTAACTATTTTAGCATATTTTCATGTTTATATTTTCAATTTTGTGAGTTGTGATTCCAGACAGAATCATAGCTAGATCGACTGAAATCACTTATTCTTTTGGAGCATTCCAATTTTGACTAGTAAACATTAGATCTCAATTATTGTAATCATAGCACAGCCATATTCACATAGCCTGGTAGATGTAAATGGTTAGCTCCCCCTTTTGTGTGTAGGTCCAGGCTCTGCGTGGGACCCTGTGTCACTACCACTGCCTTTTCTGAGCTTTCTGTTGGTGTGCACTTGCAAGCACATATTTTCTGCCTTCTCTGAATTTTCTTTTCAGGATTCTGTGATGGTGAATACTGAATGTCAGCTTGATTGGATTGAAGGATACAAAGTATTGATCCTGGGTGTGTCTGTGAGAGTGTTGCCAAAGGAGATTTGAGTCAGTGGGCTGGGAAAGGCAGACCCACCCTTAATCTGGGTGGGCACCATCTAATCAGCTGCCAGTGCAACTAGAATATAAGCAGGCAGAAAAATGTGAAAACAGAGACTGGCCTGGCCTCCCAGCCTACATCTTTCTCCCATGCTGGTTGCCTCCTGCCCTTGAACATCGGACTCCGAGTTCTTCAGTTGAGGAACTCGGACTGGCTCTCCTTGCTCCTCAGCCTGCAGATGGCCTATTGTGGGACCTTGTGATTGTGTGAGATAATACTTAATAAACTCATATATATTAACCACCAGATGCCAAGCAGAGCTCTACCTCAAGGCTATGATAATACTCAAATATGAATATATATATATTCCTATTCCATTAGTTCCATCTCTCTAGATAACCCTGACTAATACGGATTCCTTGTCTTTTACAGATCCCAAGTAGTGCAGTCTAATTCACTCTGCTTTCCAGAGATACCCTACTGAGCTTGATCCAGATTTTAGGATCTTCAATCTTAAAGAAAAGACTCCAGAGGTCGTGTAGCAACTTAATGCAGCTGATGTTTGACTACCACCTTCTTCAGGCTTGCTCCTTCTCCCGATCCTCCCTCTTTCCTCCTCTCTCTTCCCTCTTCTCCATCCCCTTCCCACAAGCAGTGATGGTTTCGAGTATCTAGTACACTGCTAGATATTGAAATGCAGGAATGAATTTTCATACTGAGCACTCGTAAGTCTATCAACCCTCCTCCCCTATTTTCCACTCACCCTTCCTTTCCCCCTCCCTTTCCCCCTCCCTCCCTCTCTCTCTCTCTCCTTCCTCCTCACCCCATTTATCCCCTCTACTCTGCCTCTCTCCAGAAGCCCTCCTCACCTCCTTAGTTTCCCTACTTTATTCCCCCAAGTTTCTTCTATCATCCTCCCTTATATTTGAAAACAAGCATATCATAAGAAAAAATGTGCTCTTTGGGAATTAAATTAGGTCATAAGCATGGAAATATTTTAAAAACATGGAATGGGTTACAAGTATGGGTAGGAATTACTGCTATCTGATATAACTATTGGTGGGTGATGGTATTCTTCAAATTCAGAGAAAGGCCTCGCTAAAACACACACACACACTCATGTGCTATTTCATTGCAAACTGTTTTTGTGGACCTGGACTTGTTGAGAACCTGTTCAATGACAGGGTGGAAATGCAAAGCTTGGTATTGTGTGCTGTGGTTGGTGTTCAGGAGTCAATCATTTCCAGGGCTACTTAATGTCTATTTAACCACCAGATGCCAAGCAGAGTTCTCCCTCAAGGCTATGATGATACTCTTCATGCTTGACCTAATAAATTCAGTTCATGTCAAAAATAGATGGCTTATGCCTATAGTTCCAGCACTTTCAGAGACAGAGGCGGAGTTTGAGTCCAGCCTGGGCAACAGAGTGAGACCCCGTCTCAAAAAAAGAAAAAAAAAAAGAAGAGGTATTTTATTTCAATGACTTAATACTTCCGGTTAATGTCATGTGTTATATAGTTATGCAGTGTAACACAGCCTCATGATTGAAGGATTGTTTTAGTATATTGCAAGCTGCAGAAAGGCAAAGGCCCAGTCTTTCATCTTTGTGCATATCCTTACTGCTTAGGATAATGTTGGGTACACAGTAGGCATCTAATCAATGCTTCTTGGAAGGGTGCTAGAACTAGTGAAAATCATCTGTTACCAGATGTTGCTTTCTTTTTATTCGTACACCTCCGTTGATCATAATAGCCTGTGGCCGCATCAGTAGCTAAAATCCAAAAACAACCTGGCAGCTTCATCATATTCTTGTCTGTTATGCATTTTTCTGGCTTTTTCTTGATCCTGCCCATCCAGGAATTGTGCTAACTAGTAGCAAAATGGCCAAAAGGCAGCCAGGAGGAGGAAGAGAGCTGGAAAATCTCTAACTGCCATCACAGCCCCTGAATCTGAGAAGATTCTATTTTTGATATTTTCAGAACTGAATGCCTTTTCTCCCCTTTCATTTGTTTCTGTATGTGACACCTGGATGTGCAAACATTTTGTGTGATGCAAAAACAGAAAAGAATATTTAGAAATAGGGGGACCTGGTGTGTGTGAAAACAGTTATAACCAATTCCTTATGTAGGTTTTGACCTGTTGAAGAACATGCTCAGCACTTAGATATCTGGCTAATTTGATATTGCTTTTTTTTTTTTTTTCTTTTTTTGCAGTCTGAGCTTTGTCATTTGTTTCTAAGCTGTCATTTTTATTAGTCTCTCTGGCTGATCTTTTGGGGCTCCCCATCAGGTGGCATGTGCTCGCCATTGTCTGGCTGTGCTTGGCAAGCGGAGGGCCCTTTTATTGCTGTGTGATGTGGGCGTGCTTGCTGGGGTAGCCTGTAATTAGACCCACCACAGGTGACAGTTACTAGAGAGCCCAGTAATCGTTCTAGCTGCCTGATCTGATGTTTATGGAGAGAAGCCTTCTTTGTGGTCTGGTCAGGGTTTACTACAGCGTGTTGTACTTTTGCCATTTGATTTATGATTTAGAAAGGTGTGTTTTGTTACTGCTCCCTTTATCTAGGGGTTGTGTCATTGGCTTTTTAAATAACAGATGTGTTTTAGAGGGAGATTTTTATTATAAAGCCTGATCATCCCCATCTCACGTATACAAAAAAAAAGATTTTGATATTTAATCAAAATCAGGTTCAATATGTAATCATCTAAGCCTTGCTCTTGCACAGTGTTTACTGACTGTTCTAGTCTCCCTGGGATTCTCTTATTACCTAAATCCATATTGGTTTTGGCCTTTTAAAATGACTTTTCTATTGCTTCCCAAGCTCTTTAAAATTTCTGTTTTAATTCATTGTCTGGGATGCTTCATTTTGTCAAGGAAAAAACCCAAAACAAAACAGAAATATACTTGTGGGCCCCATTGGTGTTAGGCAAGACCCAACAGCTGTTGTTTTTAATATAGGAAAGATGGAGCCACAGAATGAGGTAGGAGGGGCTTTCATGGTCAGTCTGAGGGGAAGAAGAAAGCTGCAGGCTTCAGAAAGTGATTTTCCCAAGGCCTCCTCATTTGTTTGAATAGAGGATTCTCAGTCCTACACTACTTTTACAATGCACGGCTTGTATAGTCATAAACTTTGAAATTACGGTTTTAGTTCTTGAGTACAAACTGCATATACACAGGATCCTTGGACTCTGCTTTTTTTTTTTTTAGGTACATTTTCCCTCAGGTCTTACATTTGAGTAAAAATAGTTTGTGAGTCTGTGGAGTTGCTATTCAGAGTGGTAACATGCCGTAGGGAGATGTAAATCTGTATTGCTACCTCGTGCTCACTTGACTGACTCTTCCGTTGGAACAGGTGAATTTTCCTCATCAAAATGTTGTGTCCATGGTGATGAGAGTAATGAAGATGATAACGATGATCACAATGATGACAAGGATGATGATGATGATGAACGGTGTTTTTGTGTTTGGGAGGTGTTTAAGTTTTGACTTCTGCTCTAAAACCTTGCTCTTTATTAGGCTTTAGCGATGCTGTTAGTGAAGCCTTGTCTTACATTGTCTTCTCTTTAAGGAATAGAGTATTGCTTCTTCAGCTAAGTATGCCTTTGTTAATAGCCACATTTCTTCTGCTCTGGGTTAAGCTAGGTACATGCAATTATAAACATTTTGTGTCCCATAGCAAGAGCAGTTTTCCTTGGAAATCACCGAGACCCTCAATTTTTTTTGCAAGGAAACTTTTATAGGCTAATTCATTACCCCCATCCCCAAATTCTACTTTTCACAATAGGAAAATGCATAGTGTGTTTAGCTGTGAAAAAAAATTAGCCGACTGTGGCCTCATTAACTGCACCTCTTTCGGCAAATTTGATTTTGCATTTCATTGGCGATTTTTACATTTTTGATAATCTACATGTTTTCAAAAAATTGATTTCCTGGAAATTTAATCAAAAACAGGGTTGGGGAATAAGAGGAGGGAGAGAAAAAAGGAAAAGGAAAGAAAAATAACAAATAGCTTGGCAATCGCTTGAGTTTACTTAAAGATAGTCCTGCAGGTGGCGATAGAAACTCATAAATGATAAAATCCTAAGGTAAATTTCTGTGGGCTACTTCTTGGGGATTTTAATTTCAGCAATTTATTTTTAATTTGATACAATCGTCTATAAGCAGAAATTATTACATTAGTAAAAAAAATTCAAATTTTCATGTTGTGTACTTTTCTGTTTTTATAATAATTTTCTTGAATATTCTGTAGCACATTCTTCCTTATGCAGAAGAAATAAGATCCAGATTACTGCCCAGTTGGTACAGATTTCATTAGGAAAATAACCATTTTAAGGCTTCTTTTTTTTTTAATTTCATTTTTACGTTCTTTAACCTGCAGCTAAAATTTGATGCTTATGTCATTGGCTAGGTTTCACTTCTATAAAGGCCTTTGCTCTTGGGTGTGACATGGCTTGCTTAGGCATGACGCTGAGTGTGTGTGTGTGTGTGTGTGTGTTCACAGAGACATTCCTTCATATCATAGTATCAAATCTAGTTGCTTCCAGAGGCCATTTCCTCCCTTAGTTAGGTGTTTCAAGTTAGTTTTAATGTGACTAGGATCACAAATTTCTTGAAAGCTATTTTATCTAGGGATAAAAACAAAACATAAATATGTATATTTTTAACATTAGACAATACATAGTGAATATGATAACATTTTTTCAATTCTTTTAGTTATTTTGGGCATGAGGCATTGTCAAAGCAAAGTGAAAGCATTTGGAAGACAGGAGATCTTTCTTTTCTGCTAGTTAAGGTTCAAGAGTTTTTAAATTGCTTTTTGTGACTATATATATTCATTTATGGTTTTTTAAGTTTGAATCTGAAAATGCAAACTCTAAAGGATAAAACTAATTTTCAACTTTCCTATTTTCTTGTAGTCTCATTTAGAAAACCTTTGCAGTGTACATTTTCAAGGTGGAGCTGCCTTGATTCTAAGAAAATGTAATTATTTTGGTTTAAACACTTTAGGCTTTAGATGTTGAGTGTCATCAACAGATAACTGTGATGGTCTTGAGCAAATTATGTGAATTGCAGTCTCTGCCTTTCTTCTGAACATTTCCCTAAGTCTTATGGTAAAGTTCAAACCAGTAATGTCTTATATGCTGTACCCTTGGATCCAGAATTTTTTTTATGATATAATAGAAGAGGCAGAAAAAGAAAGAAAAGAAACCTCTGGCCTTCTTATATTCTGTTTCAATTGTTCTTCCAATTACTCATGAGGGAGAGGAGTGGAATGCAAGTCAGACACTCTGAAAACCTATTTTGCAGCCTTCATATAAAAAATATTCAGTTCTCTGCTCTGTTAGCAGCTGACCAAAATCTAATCCGTTAAAAAATACATCGTGGTAAGCAGTTCTTGAAAATGTTTATAATAAATGGTAAAAGCCAAGCTTCCACTGTGAGATTAGCAGTTGGAACAGGACGTGTTCATCAGGAAATAGGTTATTGCCTGACTAGTGTGTCCTGCAGAGTAACCTGCAGGATAGATGAAGATTTAAAAGCTTGCAGTGCAAGGATTTTATTTGATTTTCCCCCTTTGCTTTCTTTTGCATATTCCAGTGTTGTTTATCACTCATGGTATTTTTCCCAATGACTCTCTTATGAAGTTCATTTTACAAACAAAAAGTGTGGCATGTTTTGGGGGTTGGTTCCATTCACGCCCCATGATCATCTAATGACCTATGGGTATTAATGTTGCTAATACACTTTTTTACATTACAGACTTCGTAGCTTAAAGATAAATGTGAAAGAATATTTTCCAGAGATCTGGACCTACCACCAGCTTCCATCTTAAAGATACAGGAAGTGCTGCAGAGAATTATGGTGTCTTTCCTGCTTTTTGCTTGACTGCAGTCCAGCCTGAGAGTCAGTGGACAGTAGTGCTCATGAATAATGCCTTCTATGTGGATGATACCTACAGTAACACAGGAGTGACTAAGAGATCAAATACACTGGCTAAAAAGCCTTAGGGAAGCATTATGTGTCTGAGGTCTGATCTATTGTCTGGGAGGTCGCAGAGTGTTAATGCACTCTGCAAAGATTACACTCCCTCTCTAATTGCTCAGACACTTCCTTAAAGGATTTAAACAGTCAGGAAAGGTGACGCTCCTTGTCAATTTTTGTCTTCTGCCTGCAGTTGAAGTTTATCTGTCTTTCCACTGAGACCACTAGATCAAGTAACCTAGACGGTGTCAAAGGCATAAACTCTGAATTAGGAGTGAAAGCAATAAGAGATGTTATTTACCGTACCGTTGTTACTTGCTCTTTAAATGCTCTGCATTCCATTTCTGGTGTTTACATAGTGAAAACGACAGCATCTCTGTGTTCCAAAGCGGGGCTTAAAAGGGTCCAAGGCTTCACTTTGACTTTTGATCAAATTTGTTTTCATAATCCTTTCGCAGTGCCATAACACCCCGTGCAGCATTCTCCTTTTAGGTTATTATTTCAGCTAAATATGTAGAAAATAGGTGAACTTTAGGATTCCCTCGGTGCGTCCCCCCAACCTCACCCCTCCCAACACACCCCCATTCTGAGATGTTTCCCCTGAATTAGGCATATGCAAGACCAACCCACATTTAGGACGTGATAACTTTGTCCAGACCATCATTGTAAACTTCAAATGATACACAGACACATTTGAAAAAAGATCTCCTCTCTGCATTGGAGAATCCTAACTCAATCTTGTGTGTCTGGAGAGCTGATATAGCAATTTTATCAGACTCTGTATCTCTTATATTGCTTTGATTATAACTCAGTGTTTCCTAAATGACACTGAAAAGCTTAAAGAAAGGTTTTACTAGTTCTTTCCCAATGGCAGTTTAGGAAATATCGGGGAGCTGTCTGTTTGTGAAGAGCATAATGAACTCCTTAAATTCATAGTCTGTGTTGCTGCTGTAGGAAGGAGTGGGGAGTGCAAGCTTGCATTCCACCTCGAGCATTTTCTACCCACTATGCACAGTTGCATCATTGAGAAGTAAGCATTCCTCTTAGATCAGTTCAAATTGCTAATATATGTGTCCTACAGCCTGCAATATAATATTTACGTAGCTTCCGAAAGAGACCTGCAAGGATTCCCTGTAATTCAAGATGGTAGTCTGACTGATGGGTGTAGAAGGATTTTTTTTTTTGTTTTAAAGAAATTCTTGTTTGTCCCATGAGATTTTCACACTTTTCGGCTGACGGCACTGTATTTTACTCATCCTGTATAAAGCTGTCAGTGTATTCATTATATGTGTGTCTTGAAGACTCTGAGCAGATGACGGGAACAATTGCTGGAGGGGGAAAACACATTTGAATCAAAATCTTCAGAAGAGCATTTCTGTAGTCTCTCCTGTTCCTGCTTCTGCGTGGACTGTCCCTCGCACTTTCTCTGATTGCATGTTATCTCACACTGTTGGTAGATTACACTGAATGTTTCATCTGTATATAAAAATTAAAAATTCAAACAAAAATCTGGCCCACATGAAGAACAGGCCCTTTGGGCATATGGTTCATTATGCATATTCGTTTAATTACTAAAACACTTGCGATGGCTTTAGTGCCCTTGCTTTCAACTTGCAAAGTTGGATCTCTTCTATTGCACAGAAAATATAGTGCAGAATTCTGTTATGAAGGAGGAAAAAAGAAAAGAAAAAAATAGAGCCTTTGAAGAAATTATTGGAATTCACCAAAAGGAGGTATGATTGTCAGTATGAAATAAATGGGAAAAGGGATTTCTCCCCTTCCTCGTCTTTGTCATCTCCTTCTCCCTCCCATTTCTACCACTACCCCGAAGGCTGTTTTTACTGTGGTTAGTTTATAAGTAATGTGAGACTAAGGATTTAGGTTTCAAACATGTTCCCTCTGAGCGCCTCAAGTCTCATGATGAAGCAAAGTTTTATTGTTTAGAAGGGGGCTGCTATGAAAGTGTGACTTTAATTGATTTTTCAGGGCAAACAGGTGGTGATGGTTTAGACATCTCCTGGCCTGAGTGCCACTCCTAATTTGGGTCTACACATATAATAGCTTTATTAAAATAAACAATCCCTTGGCTTTGGTTTTACCTGAACATCTGCCTCCTGGTTTTTAGAGGGCTTTTAAAAATATTTTCACTGTGTGCTTAACAGGATCTGATCCTAACATAGCTAAGAAAGACTTTATTTTCTATTTATGCCATCAAATTTTTTATTTTTATCTGATGTTAAAGACACTAAAATTTAGAAGCATCTTTAAATGGGATAATCAGTGCTTCAGTAGTTTTCTTTAGAGCACCTTCATTTACAGGATGCAACAGATTTTGAATGTAACAGGTCAAAAATTGAATTTGTAGTTGCTGGGTTTTGATTTGAACTTTTATTTTGGTGCACAAAAGATTGTTTGAGTGAGTACACGTACGTGTGTGTGTGCGCACATGTTTTAAGACCATATTTTGGATTTATTCCTGAGCGCTGGTGATGTTTCAGCATTGTAAGAAAGCTTCTTGGACTCCTCTTGATCAGAATAAATTCAAGACTCCTAACAGCATTTCTAAGGGAAAGGAGGATCCAAGCCTTGGCATCGTTCTTGTTTTTAGTGGCAAGTATGTGTGGCTCTGATACAAGCACAATTTTGCTTTTCAATTAAGCAAATAGGTAGTCTATCTGAGTAACGGGAGACCATCCAAGACATTCTTGATATGATTCCTAAAGGAATTGTACTTTGCTATAAATAGCATCACTCACTAATCACTATTGGAGGGTTCCTGAATTCGGGTACCTTAGTCGGTTTTAAACACATTGAATATGTACAGAGCTATTGCAGGCTTAATGTGAACTTACTGCAAGCCTGCTTCTTTTAGTGCCAGAAATAAAGCTGCAAGTGGAGTAACTTAATACAGCGAACTGCTTTACTCTATCACTGCACTAATGCTAATTAGATACACTTGCTTTATTACCCAGAGCATTTTTTTCTGTGTTCGTTCTGATCTAATCTTTCTATGAACATAAAGGAGTAAGTCATGAAGGAGTAAGTCGTAAGTGTTATGTTTAAGCTTTTAGTCACAATTGCAGCCTAATGTTCATGTGAGCAAAGTCAGAGAACACTCTTAGAGAATGCTTTGTCCACTTACAGTCCAATTAGAATCCCATTGGACTTCTCCCATGGAGGGCCCCACAGTGCCAAAAATTACGCTTCTGAAATGAGTAAGACACTTATCGATACATTTAATGGAATTTTGTTCTTGACCTCTTCATCTACCTACCTTTATGGAGAATAAATAAATGTGTGAAGATTTTTTCTCCCTTCCTTTAATCAGAGCAGAGAATTTGCTGATGGCTTTGAAAGATGTATTTACCAAAATCAGACTTTCAACTGCTCAATTACCACCTTCTGCAAAGACGTATAATGAGAAATTTATTGTCTGATTCTAGACCTGAAATTATGATCATTCTAGGGGGAAAAAGCCAATAGTGCAGCACATTAGATGCTTTTTCTCTTTCATTTAGTTCAGTGCTTTTCTACTTTTTAAACTACTTTTTCTGCCTTTATGAGCGGTGTGGGGATTTTTATTGGGGCATAGGTGATTGTTTGACTTTTCCATTTATATGAAATCATCACAAAATGTAGAATATAGTGTGGCCAGTAGCATGATGTAAACATTAAAGGGATGGAATTTTAATAAATGCTTCACATTTAAGAGAATAAAAACTAATAAGAAGTGAATGTATGATACAGGTTAGAAGCCTTCTTTTCCCCCTGTTTAAAAATGTCCATTAATGTATTCTAAAGAGGAAAATAAAAGTCAACAAAAACTTCATGTCTAGAGCAACGGAGTCTAAAAGCCTCTAATTTATATTTAATATTAAGATAATACATTTTATATGTACTTTCTTTAAAGTTAGAATGGATCAGCCATATTCTTCATAGAAATGTTCAGTATAGTTATACTGTGAAACTGACAGTTTGAAAATGATATGCATTGTTTATTTAAATAGTCATAGAGGATAATAAAAGCGAGAAACATATAATCGAGATGTCTGCCTACAAAAGCACTGGGAATAAATGGCCAGATGGGGTTATACCCACACCAAACTGGAACTACTGGATGGAAATGTGTCTTTAAGAGCCAGACACCAAGTCTGATATTCCCCTAATTAACTGACCAGGTCACTTTATGACACATAGAATTAGTCAAAGACAATGTCAAGTAAACACCAGAAATAGTACATTTCACTGCTCATGGATCTTAAGAAAACAAATGGTTAAAGAATTTTGATTTGGTAACCTTTCTTTATATTATGGTACCGAGAGCATGACTTAGAGGTATAAGTGGAAATATGAAGGTTTTATTAGAGGGCAGGGAAGGAAAGGGAGAGTCAGGGCAGGAAAGGACATTTTGATTCTGGAGCTTCATGAAGCTGAGATTTGCCAAGGCCATTCTTCCATTATTGGTGTCTCTTTCCCTTTCTCTAAATAGGACCTTGACTGGGAAGAACATGCCACCTCCTACACCCACTGATTTCTTCCGAAAGTGTAGAATTAGTTTTCTGGTCAGTCTAAATAGCCTTTCATAGTTGCCCTATGTATCTTCACCTCTTTTACATTATATAGGCAGGCATCCTTTTATCAGGCTTCACTTTATTGCACTTTGCACATACTGCTTATTTTTTTTTTTTTTACAAATCGAAAATTTGTGCAAACCTGCATCTAACAAGTTTATTGGCACCATTTCTACAAAAAAGCAAGTTATCCAGAAGTTCTAGCTGAGATAATTGATAAAGGTGGCTACACTAAACAACAGATTTTCAATGTAGAAGAAACAGTCTTCTGTTGGAAGAAGATGCCATCTAGGACTTCCATAGCTACAGAAAATGCTTTACTTTAAAGCTTCAAAGGACAGGCTGACTCTCTTGTTAGGGGTTAATGCAGCTGGTAACCTTAAATTGAAGCCAGTACTCATTTAGCATTTTAGAAATCCTAGGGCCCTTAAGAATTCTGCTAAATGTACTCTGCCTGTGCTCTATAAATGGAACAACAAAGCTTGGATGAGAGCACATCTGTTTGCAGCATCATTTACTGAATATTTTAAACCCACTGTTGAGATCTACTTCTCAGAAAAAAATGATTTTTTTCAAAATATCACTGCTCATCGAACATGTACCTAGCTGCTCAAGAGCTGTGATGGAGATATACAATGAGATTAATGTTGTTTTCATGCCTGCTAACATAACATCCATTCTGTAGCTGATGGATCAAGGACTAATTTCAACTTTCAGGTCTTATTAAAGAAATATATTTTGTAAAATGATAGCCGTCATTGATTGTGAATTTTTCTGATGGATCTGGACAAAATAAGAACCTTCTTGAAAGGATTCACCATTCTAGATGCCATTAAGAACATTTGTGATTCATGGGAGGAGGTTAAAATATCAACATTAACACGAGTTTAGAAGGAGTCGATTGCAGCCTTCACAGATGACTTGGAAGGGTGGAGTGGAAGAAGTAAGTTTAGATGTGGCAGAAATAGCAAGAATAGAATTAGAAGTAGAGCCTGAAAATGTGACTGAATTGCTATAATCTCATGATGAAACTTGAACATATGAAGTTTCTTCTTGTGGATGAGTCAGGAAAGTGGATTCTAGAGATGGAATCTACTCCTGGTGAAGATGCTATGAACATTGTTGAAATAACAAATGACTTAGAATATTCCATCTTGGTTGATAAAACAGTGGAAGGGTTTGAAAATGTTGACCCCAATTTTGAAAGAAGTTCTACTATGGGTAAGATGCTGTCAAAGAGCATCACATGCTACAGAGAAATCTTTTATGAAAGCAAGAGTCAATTGATGTGATAGACTTCATTGCTGTCTTATTGTAAGAAATTGCCACAGCCACCCCAGCCTTCAGCAACCACCACCCTGATCAGTCATCAGCCATCAACATTGAGGCAAAACCCTCCACCAGCAAAAAGGTTATGACTCACTGAAAGCTCGGATGATAGTATTTTTTTTTTTTTTTTAGCAATGAACTGTTTTTAATTAAAGTGTATTTACTTCACCTTTTTAGACATACGCTGTTGCATACTTAATGTTGCAACTTACCATTGCATATGTTGCTGTACACTGTACTAGACTGTAGCACAGTGTAAACATAATCTTTATTATGTACTGGGAAACCCAAAAAATTGTGTGACTCACTTTATTGTGATTTTTGCTTCGTTGTGGTTGTCTGGAACCAAACTCACAAGATCTCAGATGCATGCCTGTACAATTGTATTAATTTTCTTTTGCTGCTGTGACAAATTATCAAAGACATAAGTGGCTTAAGATGACACAAATGTATTATCTTACAGTGCTGGAGGTCAGAAGTCTAACCCTGGTCTCACTGGGCTAAAATTAAGGGAGGGCTCTTTTTCCATCTGGAGGATCTAGGGGAGAATCCCTTTCCTTTGCTTTTCAACTTCTGAAGGCTGCCCCCACATCCCTTGGCTCATGGGCCATTCCTCCATCTTCAGATCCAGCAAGGGAAGATCGTTGAGTTCTCCTGTCACATCACTCTGACCTTGTTTCTGCCCTCATGTCTTTTCTGGGCTTTCTTCTGCTTCCCTCTTCAACTTTTAAGAACCCTTGGGATTGTATTTGTCCCACTCAGGTAATTTGGGTCATCTACCTATTTTAAGGTCAGATGATTAGAAAACTTAGCTTCATCTGCAACCTTAACTCTCTTTGTCCCATAACATAACAGGTTCTGGGAAATAGGATGTGGGTGCCTATTTGGGATTCCATTATTCTGCCTACCACAATGAGGTCGTGCATTCCTGTCTTCCATTCATGTGGCTTCCTGAAGGATAAGGATTTCTAAAGCAAGCTCTGGTTTCTTGCATACAAAGTGTTTCAATGAGAGGCTTAAATTTGGGAAAAGGGAAGAGGTTATGTACTATAGACATTTTAAACTGAGAGTGGCTGGGAGGACAGCAATTAGAAATATGTAGAAGTCACATGTTGTGGGCAACATGAAAGATCTTTGATACTTGGTGTGTTCAGTCTCCTTTCCCCAAGGCTGCTAGTATACGGCTGGAGGGCAGGAAGTCTGGGAGGAAGCTGTGTACCTGTCCACAGCATGGGTCTTGGGCACGTGAGCTTTCATGGGGAGAGGAATGGATGGGCTAGTTCCAGGGGCCAATCAAAAGGGAAAGGAGAATAGAGAATAACTTGGAGGGTTGTGCGGGACTCAGAAATAATTCCTAGTTAGTGAGTGAGTGTAAGGGGCACTAAATCCATGGTGTTTCCCCACGTGACTCTACACAGTTAGTCAAACTTCAAGCTACATTTTGAAAGCAAGTAAAATCTTGTATTCTCTGTAAAACATCCTTTAGCATCCCAGGCAAAAGCGATCTTGCCCTTTCCCAGTGACTGTCAGAGTGAAACTCTTCCTAATTTTTTTCCAGTTTCCCATTTCCCTTGCCCACTTCCATAATTAAGGGTACCATGTCACCTGATGTATCTAAATATTTGATCATATCATTTCTTTGTTTAGAAATCCATTCTCATTTCAAATCACATTCTCAACTTCCCACTGTGACATACAGGATTTTCCATGAACTGGTCCCCACCAAGTTCTCCAACCTTATTGCCAGCCGTTGCTCTATGAACCAGCACTGTTGGATATTTTACCATCTCCAAGCATGTGAAGCCTTTTTAAATTTTTACCACTGTCATATCTTTTGCTTTTACTTCCTCCTTCCCACTAAACTATCAGTCATCGTCTTTTTTCTTTTTTCTTCTGTAAAGATGGGGTTTCCACTATGTTGCCCAGGCTGGCCTCTAACTCCAGGGCTCAAGGGATCCTCCTGCTTTGGCCTCCCAAAGTGCTGGGATTACAGGCTTGAGCCACGACACCTAGGCTAAGCTGTTAGTCTTACCTAAGCACTTTCATTGTTTAGCATTGAGCCTAACGCAAAGTAGTAACTGGGTATATGTCTTCTAATTGAACCAATGAATTATCTGAGTGCTTTTCTACAAAGATAATTAGTGAAATAGAGCCTAACAAACTTTGTCTTCCAAGTGATTTTCTTCTCGATTATACCTCTGTCCTTTCACTTGGATGTAACCACTTATCCAATTTATAAAAACATGATGGCAGCCATTCAAGTTCATCGTTGCATTTAATCCTCTCAAGAGCCCTTGAGGCAGATATTACCATTCCCATTTCACAGAAGAAAAATGTTTGATAATGTTTCCAAGATCACACAGCTAGTACGGTAGAGCCATGATTTAGATCCAAAGTGAATATTTTCTACACACCTGTAAATAAATATTTACTGTTAGAAAATTTAATTGCTTTAAAACTGTTGGAATTAACACAAAAGGGAAAAGTACAACAGAACAGTTAAGAGCATTTGACTCCATATTCAAACTCCCCCAAAGTCAAACAGTAATGATTTTATGTCGTTATTTAAAAAGAAATGTTCCTTTGACTACTGTGGAATCATACATAGTGAGGTACCCTGACATTTGTACTTAAAACTGTATTTAAATAAGGCAAAATGGGGGCTTGAATTTAGATATGTGTGTGCGCATAGGTGCATGTGCGTGTAAGAGTTCATATTGGCGGCTGCCAATGGTAGTGGCTGCTTGGGAACCCTGAAATCATGGCTTTTGAAAGCATTCCTAGGCCAGTGCAGAATCACACTCAGTGTTTCCAGTGGTACGTGATCTACTGTAAGGGAAAGCAAATGTAAAATATGTCACATGTACAAGGGAGTTTGTAAAACGATGTATGCACACATATATGCAGTTTAAAGAATGATGATAAGGTGAAACATCTGTGTACCTACTGCCCCACTTACAAACTGAACATTTTTTGAAGTTCTTTCTCTACTTCTTTGTAATTGAATCCTCCTTCCTGCTTTGTCCCCAGGAGTAATGGTAATACTAAATGTTGCATGTCACTCACTGTCAATTGTGGTTTTGCCATCTTTGTGTCTGTCTTTCAACAATGTGTTCAATTTTGTCTGATTTCTGAAGGTTTTAGAAATCATAAAAAAAATTTATATCTTATTCTGTGACTTGCATTTATTTACTTAGTATCGTTTTTGATATTCATCTATGTAGTTCATTTACATCCTGTATAGCGTATAGCTGTATGAGTAAATTATTTATCCATTCTATTCTAGATGGACCTTTGAATTGATTACATATTTGGATATTTTCATTTTGTTTTTTGGGTTTTTTTTTTCCATTATCAAAAGTACTCTTGTAAACATCATTATACGTATCACCTGGTGGACGCGTGTAAGAATTTAGAGCAATAGTTCCCAGTGAGGTGCCTGGAGGGCAGCATCTGAAAACTTTTCAGGAATGCAGTTTCTTGGGCCCCCCTCCAAATCTGCTGAATCAGGAACTCTGGGGATGGGACTTAGCAATCTTGTTTAAATAACGCCTCCAGGTGCTTCTCATACAGGCTCAAGTTTGAGATCTACTGCTCTAGGGTATATGCCTAGGAGTAGGACCACTAGGTTTTGGGATATACAGTTTCTGCTTCATTAGTTAATGCCAACCATTTCCCAAGTGATTATTGAACCATCAGCATCAAATGAAAGTTATGATTTTGCATCTTAGAAAACTCTTGGCGTTATCTGACTTCTTAATTTTGTCAGTCTGGTGTGTGAAGGGGTACTTTGGTGAGGTCTTAATTTGCATTTTTTATTATAATACTTACACGTTTCATATGGTTGGGGGCATTTGGATCCCTCCTTCTTTGCTCTATCTTTGCCTAATTTGCCTAATTTTCTTCTCCCCCTACATTTTTTTTTGTATAAGCATTTAATCTAGATACACATTCTTTGTACTTAAAATATCTTCTAGAGGTTTCTATTTTTTTCATGCTGTTTGTTTTACCTTTTGATGAACATAATCTTTAATATCAAAATTACCCAATTTTTCCTGTGGTTGGTGCATTTTGTGACATGTTTGAAAAATCCTTTCTTAAGCCCAAAGTCATAAAAATATTCTTTAATTTTGTTTAAATTTTAAATTACATCTTTAAATCTACTTGTGTTTTAATTTCATTTTTGTGTTCTGAGTAGTATCCAAATGACTTGGTATCACTTATTGAATATTCTGCCTTTTCTCAATGATCTGCAATTTCTACGAAGTCATAAATCAAGTTTACATACATAGATGGGCTTCTTCATTGGTCTCTTGTCTATTCCTGTACCAGTATCACACAAATATTTAGGTTTAGCACAGTTCTTCCCAATTTCCTTTTCTTCTTCAAGAATGTCTTGGTAAGAGAGCTCGGCTCTTTGTTCTTCCATATAAGAGGTAGAATTCACTTTTTGTGTTCCACAAAAACAGGACAAGACCAATATTGAAAGTAAGTCAGAGGCAAACTTATTAACTTTCAAAATCAATACATTATAAAAAAAACAGCAGAATGATACCAAGTTGATTAGCAGGAGTAAAAAAAAAGAACAAAAATCATGAGTAAAATCAAAAGAAAAAACAAAAATAAAAGTTATCTTTTTGAAACACTTAGAGAACTGATTATTCTTTTCTCAGCGTTTTCAATGTACAAAGAGAAAAGACACAAACAGGCATTGGAAGGGGAGATTATTCAGATGAGGCAGAGATTAAACATAACAGGGTATTATGACCAATTTTAAACTTAAAATGTTGAAACTACATGAAATGAATAAAGCTTATACAACAACTTATCAAAGTTGCAAAAGAGACTTAAACAGTACTAAATCCATTAAATAATTGCATCTATAATTTAATATCATCCCAGAAAGCTAAACCTAAGGCTCAGGCAACTTTAGAGGCAAGTTTTACCAAACATTAATGGATTAGGTAAATCTTATACAAACTGTTTCTTTTTTTTCTTCTGGCTATTAGTGTTTTTTGGACATGTCAATTGTCAATTTTATTATTGCTCCATGGAAGGCAAAGTGTCTTTTTTACTCCTGTGCCTGCCTTTCAAACTTGCTTTTGACCATTGATTATTTTCAGTTTTACTCTGAGATGCCAGAGAGAGAGAGAGAGAGATTGAGAGAGAGAGAGAGAGAGAGAGAGAGAGAGAATGTGTGTGTATGTTTCTCTAGTCATCCTATTTGGCATTCCTTAACTTTATGACTCCATGTCTTTTATAAATTTTGGAAGATTCTCATCCAGTATCACTTATAGCTTTTTCCTAGTCTCTCTTTTCTCTCTCTTTCTGGATATCAGATTTTTACATATAAAGTAAACCTTTCTCAGTGTGCCATACTTCTTATTATTCTATTTCTAGTTTTACCATATCTATCTCTACTTGAAGTGTAGATATTTTCTACTAATACTCCAAATTATTAATTTAATTCCCTACTCCAAATCACAAATTCTCTCTTTTGCTTGATCTGTTCCACTGTTAAATTCATTTATTGAGCTCTTCATTTTGTTTATGAAGTTCTAGGTGTTTATTTGACTCTTACAGATCTCAGTTCTCTGCTGGTATTGTTTTCATGAACATATGGATTATAATTATTTTAAAATCCATATCTTATGACTGTAATATCTAAATCACCCATCTATTCTGGTTATCTTTTTTCTTTTGATTTTTGGTCATTGTTTTTTCCTTCTGTCTATACCTGATTATTTTTACTAGAACATTTTAAAGGGGGCATGGACTATGTTATCTTCTACCAGAGAGGATATAGAGTAGGCATTTAGAATATAGCAAGTCACTCTGATCCCATCAGAGATGGAGATGATCCAAGGTAGGATTCCAGGCATCTTAAGGATTCATCTATTTCTAGTTTTACCCCATGCCTAGCCCTTTTTGGATTCTCAACAAAACCATGCAGTATTTACTAGGGCCCTTCTTTTTAAATTGTCCCTCATCTCTAATTTTTGTCTCCCAACTCTGTGACATTGCCAGAAGATTTTAGCAGCCACTTTCTGCTTGGTCTTAACCTTCATCCTAAGCATGCATGGCTTAAGAATTAGTAACTGTTTTAAGGAGAAATGAATGTAGAATGTCCAGCTTGACTGTCTGCTATTCTTTTTTTATCCTCTATGTTTTTGTCTTTTAAGTCCTAGCTGCTGCAGTTACCATGCATGCACTCCAATTTTTGCCTCCCCAGATTTTTAAGATTGAAGCAAACTCTATGTTAGTACTTTGTACTCTGTTGATTGCTGTGTTCTGTACAGTGAATTGACAAAAACAAGTGTATTAGTCCATTCTCACGCTGATATGAAGACATACCTGAGACTCAGTAATTTATGAAAACAAGAGGTTTAGTGAACTCACACTTCTGCAGACTTAACAGGAAGCATGACTGGGAGGCCTCAGGAAACTTACAATCATGATGGAAGGTGAAGGGGAAGCACCATGTCTTACCATGGTGGGGCTGGAGGGAGACAGCAAGGAAGAGAGAAGTGCCACACACTTTCTAACAACCAGATCTCATGAGAACTCACTCACTATCACGAGAACAGCAAGGGAGAGGTTCACCCGCATGATTTAATCACTTCCTGCCAGGCCCCTCCCCCGACACGTGGGGATTACAATTGGAGATGAGATTTGGGTGGGGACACAGAGCCAAACCATATCAACAAGGAAACAAACAAATAGGAATGAAACCAACCCTGAAAGACATGAAGCAGTAGCAAACTAAGGGAGTGCATTTGTTTTTGATCCTGTCTCCTCAGGTCCTAGAGGCCTTGATTATTCTCAGATATCTTCAAATTGTTTGTTTGTGTATATTAAGCAGATTTCACAGCTTTTTTTTTAAAGGAATATTGAGAAAAATCTTCTCCTTCATACTGAAAAGCTGAAGTTTATCTTGCACTTGACATGCTAGCTTAACAACAATAGTATCGGAATTCTTCAGATCAAACCATACCCCTCCCAATTTGTAGGCTTTTGCTTTTCTCTATTTAAATTCTGGACAGTCTCATTACAAATTATGCTTCACTCTCGTAAGTCAATGTTTATTTACACTGGCATGCACATTTACCATTGTTTTTGAGCACCATACATTTTTGCATTTTGCCTTTATACTTGGGGCAGTTGTCCTTCTGTTTGAAGTATATCTTTGATATTTAAGTTCATGAGGGTCTTCTGGTGAGAAGCACTACTAGCTCATGTTTTTCTGAAAATGTCTCTGCTTCACTCTCCTTTAAAGATAATTTGTGACATACAGGATTCTAAATTGAAAGACTGAAAGAATATATACGTTAAATTATTCTACTGTCGTCTTGCTTTCCCTGTTGCTTTGAGGAATAAAGTCACTCAAATTACTTTTCCTTTGTAGTTGAACTATTTTTTCTCTCTAGCTGCTTTTAAGTGTTCCTCTTTTCCCCAGTTGTTTTTTCAGTTCTACTATGACAGTTTTAGATATAGATTATTCTTAATTTATCCTGACAAGGAATTTTTAGGGGAAGGGGGGCTTCCTATATTAATCTTTCAGCATTTCTGGAAAATCCTCAGGCATTTTTTCTTTATATATTGCTTTTTCTCGGTTCTCTGTTTAACCCCTTTCTCCACCCCAGACACCTATCAGACCTTCTCATTTCTACCTTCCATGTGTCTTAACCTCACTTGTATATCTATAACCTTGTTTCTGTGGTCTGTGTCTTCAATAATTTCTTTGGAATTATCTCTCAATTTACTAATTTTCTGTTCAGCTGCTTTTAATCTGTTAATTAGTGTACCCATTGTGTTTACATTTTATTTTCTCTCCTTTATACCATTCCTCACCAATAACTCAGATCACATAGTCCATCTTTAAAAGAATTTCCTTGCCTTCTCTACTTTCATTAGACTTGATTAACAGAACCTCAGGTAAGCATGGCTCCAAAAAAAAATATTTAGTGCATCCTGACAATTGTATTACACTTCTATAATCCACTCTCCTTTTCACTCTTCTAGACAATTTCATAACTTCTCTTCTGCCTTGAACTTTTAATACTTCTTTTCCTCATCCTCACTCTCGTAGAATGACCATGATTGACATAAGTGCCCCCTCTACTGCTACCCTACCCCCTCTATATCTATCCCCCTACCGACGTCTATGCCTGTGTCATCTGCTTTTCCTTCTGTAGCTATGGATGACCTGAATTGTTGCTAAGACCAACACTCCATTTTACAGTGGATTCCACCCTTATCACTGATTCAAAGGTAGTGCTCCAACTGTTATTTCCCATCTCCTGCCTCATAATTTTATTTATCTCTCTCTCCTCATTTATTGCTACAGTCCCTTCCAGCTATCACCATATTTCTCTGCTCTTCATTGTAATAAACCCTTTCAAAGAGTTATGTCTCCTGTCTACAATTTTCCCCGTTCTCTCAAACTCACTCTTATCTCATTTTTGCCTCATCATTTTACTAAACTCTCATTTCAAGTCACCAATGACCACATCTCAGCATCTTACTTATAAATATATTGTGGCCATCCTCTTTAAAATACTTTATCTATTTTCAAGAATACAGCCATCTCCTAATGTATCTCTTTGTCTCTGGCATTTCCTCAGGCTCTTTTTCTGATCCCCTATCTTCTCAAACTCTAAATTTGGACTTTTGTAGAAATCAATTCTGGGCCATTTCTTTCTAGTTGCTTCCTTGCTAAGGTTATCCAGTCTGATATCTTTAAATGCTATCTGGAGTCTGATAATCCACAAATTTACGTATCTAACCATAACCTCTACCCTGAATTCCAAACCATATATCTAAGGTTTACTGTGTGTCTCCACGTGGACATCTAATTGGCACCTCATACTCCCCTCCCCAAACCTGCTCTTCCTACAGACTTTGTCTCAATGCATGGACAAATCCATTCATCTAAGTTTTTCAAGCTCTTAATCTTCAAATCATTCTCAATCATTCCCTTTTTATCTTCTCATCTAAACTATTTGCAACTCCTCTGTCCCTACTTTCTAACTAGTCAAAACATGGTCACTTCTCACTAATTCCACTGCCATCACCTTAATTCTAGGCCACAATTAACTCTAACCTGGTCTTTTCAATAGCTTTGTAGATGAAATATGTGTTGTCTCTTCATGATTTGTTCTCATTATGCAACCACAGTAATTCTTCTTAAATATGAGTCAAATCATGTTATTCTGCTTCCCGCCCTCTTGGCAGTCTAGCAACTCCCTTAGAATAAAAGGCAAGGACCTTACAGCCATCAACCAGGCCCCTTGTGGCCAACTCCTGTTCCTTTTTCACTTCTCTTTCCAATATTCTTGCTCACTCTGCTTCAGACACAAGGAGTCCATGCTGCCTTTTTAAAAAAAAACAAACAAAAAAAACCCAAAAACAATCACACACACACACACACACACACACACACACACACACACACACACACACACTGGAAGGCTGGGCATGGTGACTCATGCCTGTAATCCTAGCACATTGGGAGGGTGAGGTGGGAGGATAACTTGAGGTCAGGAGTTTGAAACCAGCCTGGCCAACATGGTGAAACCCCTTCTCTACTAAAAATACAAAAAAAAAAAAAAAAAAAAATTAGCTGGGCGTCGTGGTGGGCGCCTGTAATCGCAGCTACTTGGGAGGCTGAGGCAGGACAATCACTGGAACCTGGGAGGTGGAGGTTGCAGTGAGTGAGCTGAGGTTGTGCCACTGCCCTCTAGCCTTGGTGACAGAGTGAGACTACGTCTCAAAAATAAAAAATAAAAAAATAAACAAAACACTGGAAGAAGGCATACTCCCGATTCTGGGCCTTTGCATTTGCTCTTTCTTCTGCCTGGAAACATTATTCACCTAGATACCCACACCTCCTCCAAAGTCTTTGCTCACTTACTGCCCTCTCAGTGATTTCTTCCCTAATTACCTCACATGTAATTGCAAACCCAGCCCCACTGCCTGATACTCCTTCCCTTCCTTGTCTCTCTTTTGTTTTCTCATGGTGGATCCTTTTACCGCCTGATATATATAGTTTATTTTTTCTATCTCATCTTCAATCCTCATATACAATCTAAGCTACATAAAGGCTGCTTTTGGTTTGTTTTTGTTTACTCTTGTGTCTAAATCAATGTAGGTGTTTAACAAATCAGTACTGAAGAAAAAATGAGTAATAAACTTATCCAGGAAATAAAGTAGTGACAAGAAGATGAATTTAGTTTGAATGGCCCAGGGATAGAACATTATAAGTGAAGAAATAGTCAAGCAGTTGAGAAAATAGCTTTCTAAATGAGAGAAAGGTATGTTCAAAAGCAAAGTCCTGAACATCGTTTTATATCTTAAGGTTTGCAAATGGTGCGGTGTGATTAGGAACCTAGAATGTGTGGTGCAGTTGGATTATGACACACAACCAAGTCTGAGCCAGTTAATGAAAGGTCTTAACTGTTAAATCATGAAGTCTGAATGTCTTAATGTTGGCCAGGGAAAAATGGAATATTTTAATCAGTTCGATGCTGTTGATAAAACCTAGTGGTGTTTTGTTGTTGTTTTGCTTTGGTATAGTGATATGTAAGACATGTTTTTCCTGCTTTAACAAAAAAAGGCAGTTACAACTTCTTGAGAAGGGGCTACTTATTGATTTGTTACCTTAGAAATGAATGTATACCTGGTCAAATTATAATTTTTTTTAAAAATTTAACCCTGGATTTTTTTTGAACAGAATTAACACAGCTTTGTTTCACCTTTACCCAATATGTTTATTCTAAAATAATCATACTTATGTGTTTTCCCCCTCTAAATTATGCCCTATACAATAGGATGATTTTTCATAAAGATGGTATGATTATTTAAAGATACACTGTTTCAAATATCTAGATTTTATCTTTATTATGACAAATGAGTTGATGTACACAGTATTCTGAAAGTGTCTGTGTCTGTGTGTGTTTGCTGCCCTTTCTTATTTTCTTGTCTCAAAGACCACTCCAGTGGTTTTTAAAAGAGATTTAGAATCTTCTTTAGTACTTTTCAGATGAACCAGCTTCTAGCCCTCTTAAGTATTCATACAAAATCATTAGATTTTGAATGAGCAGTACCTTACACTAGAAGAAATCAACTAGCCCTTCCTTGGACTTCCTGAGATGTTGTTCTTGTTTCAGTTTTAACCCAGGAGTTTAGTAAGGTTGGAGAGTTTGGGTTGGTGGCAAGGAAGGTGGATGTTGGGCCTATCTATTCTTTTTCTTACATTTGGTTTGTGGTGTAGGAATGGGTAACACAACAGAAAGCAGATTTTTCATTAGCTGAAACTTAATTTATATGATGGCAAATATAGAGAACATATAGCATTCTCTTAACGATTTTCTACCACAAAAGAACACTTAATTTTATTATTATATATTTAATGTACTTATGTCATCTTAGGTGACTATAAAACAGAAGAGCAATTTAAGATCACCTGGTTACTTTGACCAATGTTGGGTCAAAGTTCTATTCTAAATAATGGCCATGTTGGCTAGATTCCCAAATGTCTGTGGCATGCCTAGCTATTTACAAAATACAAGTATAAAACAACCCATGATTTTGTATGAACAACCATAATGAAATATATTTATTCAAATGAGGCTCTTGATTTCATTGTTCAGTTTTTTTAAACACTACTTTCATGGACAGTGTGTAAGCCATAAGATGCAAACTCTAATCTCTATAATCATACTTTGCTTTGTTTCAACAAAAGCAATGTTTTTGAGAATTATTCAGAGACTCAGCTTCTTGTAATTTGGCTGTTTCCTAATCTCAAATTCACTCTTGAAGGACAAAAGGACAGAATCTTAAGATAATTTCAAATGAGGAGATCCCAGAGTACTTAGGCGAACAGCCATGTCATTCATTGAACTTGGTGTCTGAAGTTAACTACTTTTTAGTAGAGGCATTCTCTTGGATGTTTACAAGATAGTTAATGGCTTGGTTGATTACTTAATTGGTTACAGATCACTTCATCACCATTTCATCATGAAACCTGATAGACATGATAAATTTTTTTGTGACATGAGGTTACATCCTTCTCGTGTTATACTTAAAGAAACAATACATAGGGGATTTGTTAGATTTGTTCAAGTGTCTATGGCAATGCTAGCTAAGTTCTTCAGTCACAGCTAGCTTGGAACCATGGACTCTTGAAGGTATTTTTATCTTTAGGGTTTTCCTCAGGAAAAAATTAATCTTTTCATGAGTCATGTTCTCCTATCTGAGATTTAGCATGTATACATTTTCATAAAAACTATTGCAGATAAATTTTAGGATAGAAAGTGAAGAAATATTTGCAGCTGAAAATTTAAGGCGATTTTTTTGAAATTACACCTACTGGTCGCTGCTGCACCTATGTCATGGAACATATTGGGAAGACATGCATGGTAGAGTAAGAAGTTTCCTTGGTGCCAGAGAAACCAAGCTTCAAGCAATGGTCCTAACATACGTGATTTTTCTGTTGTGTTTCTGAGTATTGTTCTACTGTGTGGATATATTCACTTTTTTGTTGACATTTGGGCCATTTCCAGTTTTGTTATTTAGAATAATGCTGCTGTGCTATGAACATTTGTGGACAAGACTTTTGTGAGACATATTATACAGAAGTAGAAAAGCTGTGAATTATGGTAAATATATGTTCAATGTTTTGAGAAACTGCCATACAGTTTTTCAAATTGGATGTACCATTTTGTGTTTTTACCAAGGATGTGTGAGAGCTGCAGTTGCTCCACATTTTTGTCAACACTTTATATTACCAGTGTTTTAAATTTTAGCCCTTCTAATACATGTGAAATCAGATTTCACAGTGGTTTTAATTTGTGTTTTCCTAATGCATAATCATGTTGGATATCTTCCTATGTGTTTGTAGGTATTAATATGGCTTTTTTGTGTTTGAAGGATTTGGTCAAATATTTTGCACATTTATATTGAGTCGTCTTATTAAATTGTAATAATTTTTTATCTTCTGGAAACAAGATCCCTTTCAGTATATGTAGTGAAAATATTTTCTTCATTTTGCGACTTGCCCTTTCATTTCCTTTCAAAGAGCAAAAGGAGTATATTTTATATTTTGATGAAGTCTTTTTTTTTTATTTTTTTGTGGTGGGGGGTTGCTGTCTCACTCTGTCACCCAGGCTGGAGTACAGTGGTGCAGTCATGGGTCACTGCATCCTCTAGCCTCTAGGCTTGAGTGATTTCTTTGCCTCAGCCTCCCAAGTAGCTGAGACTTGCAGGCACATGCCATCACACCCAGCTCATTTTTGTGATGTTGCCCAGGCTGGTCTCAAACTCCTGGCTTCAAACAGACCTCCCACCTTGGCCTCACAAAGTGCTGAGATTACAGGGGTGAGCCACCACTCCCAGCCTATTTTTTTTTTTCTATTTTTCTATTACTCTTTATATTTTTTGTGTCCTAAGAAATCTTTGCCCACTCTAAGATGGCAAGATTTTCTCTTATCCTTTTTTCTTAGAAGTCTTAAAATTCTAGAATTTACATTCAGATGTATAATCCATTTAGAGTTAAATTTTGTATGTTATGTGGTAAGAGTAGGTGATTTTTTTTCCCCATACATATATCCAGTTGTTCTAGTGCCAGTGTTTAAAAAAAATACCATTTTTTCGATTGAATTACATTGGCAACTTTCTTAAAAATCAACCACTTTTATGTGGATCTATTTCTGGACTCTATCTTCTACTCCACTGATGTATAAGTCTGTCTTTTCACCAACACTACTACTACTTTGCTACAGCTTCATAATAACTTGTGAAGTCAGCTAGTGTGTTATTTGCTAAAATTGCTTTGACTATTGCATGCCATTTGCATTTTCTCTTTCTTTCTTTCTTTCTTTTTTTTTTTCTTTTTTTTTTGATGCAGTTTTGTTTGCTCCTTCACCCAGGCTAGAGTGAAGTGGCGCGATCTTAGCTCACTGCAACCTCCGCTCCTCGGGTTCAAGCGATTCTCCTGCCTTAGCCTCCCGAGTAGCTGGGATTACAGGCACATGCCACCATGCCTGGCTAATTTTTCTATTTTTAGTAGAGACAGGGTTTCACCATGTTGGCCAAGGCTGGTCCCAAACTCTTGACTTCAGGTGATCCACCTGTGTTGGCCTCCCAAAGTGCTAGGGTTACAGGCATGAGCCACCGTACCCAGCCTGCATTTTCATATAGTGTTTAGAATCAGGTTACCCATTTCTATAAAATAAAGATTGCTTGAATCTGTAGGTCAATTTGTGAATAACTGCCACCTTAACAATACCAAATCTTCCACTCCATGAACTAGGCATATTTATTTTCTTATTTACATATTCTGTAATGTTTCTTAATAATCTTTCATAGTTTCCAGTGAGGATATCTTGCTCATGTTTTATAAATTTTATTCTAAAATACTGTGTTGCTTTCATGGTGCTACTATAAATGGAAATTAAAAATTTTTATTTTTTAATGTTTTGCTGCTAGTATTAACATCTGAAAATGATTTCGATATTTTAATAATAACTTTATACCATGGACTTTGCTGAATTTAGTTGTCATTTCTAGGATTTGCTTTGTAGATTCCTTAGGATTTTGTACATTTAAAAAATCATGTCATCTGCTAAAAAAGTTGTACTTTTTTTATTCTTTTTTTTTTTTTTTTTTTTGAGACGGAGTCTCGCTCTGTCGCCCAGGCTGGAGTGCAGTGGCGCGATCTCGGCTCACTGCAAGCTCCGCCTCCCGGGTTCACGCCATTCTCCTGCCTCAGCCTCCCGAGTAGCTGGGATTACAGGCGCCCGCCACTACACCCGGCTAATTTTTTGTATTTTTAGTAGAGACGGGGTTTCACCGTTTTAGCCGGGATGGTCTCGATCTCCTGACCTCGTGATCCGCCCGCCTCGGCCTCCCAAAGTGCTGGGATTACAGGCGTGAGCCACCGCGCCCGGCCTATGCTATATTCTTCTAAACAAGTTTTTTTTAAGGCATTTAATTTTATTAGACTCAAAATGCAAACTTTGTCACATGTCTTAGGGTGATAGCTTTGATCTTAGACTGCTTGAGTGTGCTCTGCATGTATGCCAGCAACTTTAGCGGCATTCACATACTGAATGTGGGGTTTACCTTTGCTTACACTCTCCTTTCAGCGTACCTCTGCGCTCTGCAGTGGCTCTGGTTGTCCCTGAGTGCATTCCCGTTTCCTCCATTCAGAAGTAATGGTAAATTTTTCATTGGAGTTTTACTCAGCTGGTACCACCAGAGTGACTGCAGCTGCTCTTGGATCAAAGATACAAACATTTTTAATTAACTCCATGCAGATCTGATTCCTTCTTTCCAAGTTACAACTCTTTCTTTCTTTGAAGATGCTTAGATAATTAGACTTTTTTTCTAAAAAAAATATTTTTCTGGGGTTTATATTTGCTTTCCTTGAAAGATGTTTGTTAGGAAATCAGTTCTTTACTACAGAAATGGGAATTATGCATTGATTTAAAAAATATATATCTAAAGGCAATATGGTCTCACTGTAAAAGAGTTTTAGGCTATTTGAATGTGATATTTAAATATAACTCAATTTTTGTTGTAAAACATTTCTAGGATTGCTTAAGTATTCCCGATAGAGGCCAATGCTATAGCAAATGAGGTGTTTACCTAAAACAACCATCTCCTTAATACTGGTGGTTGTTCAAGTAATTTTTTCAAAGACATACATAGTTTTATAATGAAGAAAATAAACATGATGTGTCCTGATTTTTCTCCATAGCTTTATGTCAGCCTCTTCTTACTTGAAGTTACATTTAGTAATTTAAAATAATAATAAAATCCATTTACCCAGTAGACAGGCATTTAGAAACAACCACCATTGAGTATGCCGTTAAAACCCTTAATCCCCCCAAAAAACGTAACAATAGGGAAAGGGAAATAGGTAACAAACAGGAAAATCTCTAGCTTTACCTAATAAAGAAATTACTATTGGCTCTACTTTTTGCTATGTTTTATTTTATAAAAAAAGAAACATTTGAAAAGAAGAAAATTATAGGAACAGATTATATATTTGACATTATAAAACTTTAAATAAAGGAAAGTTGATGGAGCAAGCCACACTAGAGGAAATCAGTGTGGTTTGATTTTTTTCATTGATCCAAAAAGTATTTCAAAAATTTCACACTTACACATCCAAAAAAAAAAAAAAAAAAAAAAAGAGGTTTAGCACTAGGAGGAACGTAACATATAGAATGGAAGAAGGTGAAGGAAAATCGTCATGATTTGCAGTTGATATGATTTTCTACATCAGATCTACAAAAGAATGTATTTGCAGTCTCTTACAGCTAATAAGAGGTGAATGTGAATATATAAAAAAGAAAGAATGTGAATATATAAAAATTAGTGTTTCTGTACCCAGCATTAACAATTAAATGATAAACCTTAAAATTGTTCCGTTGCTATTTATAATAGTGTTAAACTCCAAGTTACTTAAAAAAAATGAAACATGGAAAATCAGTACAGTGAAAAAATATTTTGAGATACATAAAAAGTTCTGAATATAGAGAAATAATCATTATGAAATGTTAATATCAAGATACCAATTATCTTTAAATTATCAAGACAATCTCAGTCTTAATTTTTCTGAGTTGTATAGAAATTTATAAATTAATTCTGAAATACACGTGGAAGAGTAAAGGGTGAAAAAATATCCAAGATCATTTTGAGCGTGTAATAAGAGACTTGCCCACTCAGATATTGTATGGTTACGAAATTATAGTTTTTAAAATGTGGTCTTGGTAAAATATAGGAAAATATATCAATGGAGAACTGAGAGGGCTCAGAAACAATAGACACACTCATGTGGGAACTTGGTATATTGACAGAAGTAGCAATGTAGATGAAAGAGAAAAATGGGGATCATTACAGGAATTTAGCTGTAAAAGATGGCTGTAAGGAAAAAGTTCACATTGGATTGCCTGAGTTAAAAAAAAAAATTAAAAACAACAAAATTGAGACAGAATAAAGATCATACACAGTCATCTTTAGAAGAAAACACAAGGAAATAGCTGTATGAACTCAAGGTAGAATATGATTTCTTAAGTAGAACACTGAACATTAAAGGTAGAAATCCTAATGTAAAAGACTAATATATTTGATTACGTAAAACCACTATTTCAGCCCATGTTTGCATTGATGAGCGAGTATAGTCGTCAAATTGCAGAGCATTCATTTGAATGGGAACTATATTAGTTAAAATAAATGTACTTGATTTACGCATACACCGTGAAAAGAACTATAAAACATACTATTGGTTAAAATATTTGCAGAATGATAGGAACATTTTTATTTTGTTATTACTAATATATACCTAAGGTGCCCTGAGGTGGAAAAAATTCACATCAAATTTAGGACAAGGTTGTCTTTGGAAATGAGAGGAATAGGACTGAGGAAGGTTGACAAAAAGAACACGAGCGTCTATGCAAAACATCTTTAAGTGTTAGAAAATAAAATACAGCAATACGGGTTCACCTCAGTGAAGGAGTTTCTCCCAGAAATACAAGATTGCTTCAAATTATGAAATTACAAATACAATACTTCACCATATTGATGTCTTTAAATGAAAAGGATAAAACCATCCTTATCTCAGAAGATACTGAACGAACGGTTGGTTAGCTACCAACCATTCTTGATCTTAAAAATTATACCCTGTTAAAATTGCTGGACAAATTTTTGTTTAAAACATGTTTTTATTAGGTTTATAACAGATATGAAAGAGTATTTATAAAACATTTCAAAGATATAAAGAATAATGATCACCTATATGTAAATTTTCTGGTATTAAAAATGGTTTGTGTGTGTTCTTAATGTGGTATGATTTATCACTCTAGAAGTATTTTCATTAAAGCCACGAATTAAACAGTGATATCCTTCTGAACAGTTTAACAATTTTTTGTAGGAGTAATGAAATCAAGCAGGAAAAAAATTACAAATAGAAAAGAGGAAACAGAAGAGGATCCTTAATTGTAGATTATGTGACTATATTCTTAGAAGCCTCGCAGGAATGAAATAAACTATTTGATACAATAAAGAATATTCAGTAAGGCTGCTAATGTTAAAAATATATATGTAAATTATTTGCTTTTATATGTAAATAATGACAAGTTTGAAAAACATAATGGAAGAAGTGATTTTATTTACAATGGGCACCAAAAAATAAAAGCAATATATGATAATCACAAAGAGAAAATTTTTAAATGTTAGAAAAAGTTTTTAGCAATGAAACAGTATTGCTTTTGGAAAGGAAGATTTCATATTTAAGATGCAGTAATTTGCCTTTTCTAAGTTGATATGTTATAGCAGTGGTTTTTTTCAAGCACTTACAGACAGCTGATAACCACAAATTACCTTATTTCGTCTTCTAGACTACCGGTGAGTTTGAAACGAAAGTGAGACTCAAATTTTGAAGTAATTTACCCAAAATTTCACTCCTGCCTCATGTTATAATTAAAAGGTGTTCTCACCTTATTTATCCTAATTAGTGTGTTTCTTGGAGGTAGAACCATCTACCTGCATTCATGTCTCTAATAACCATTGTAGCATAGGCAGTTGGACTCAGTCTCAAATTCTCACTTGCCTTTCTATGTGAGGAGTCACAAATTTCAGAGGTTGACAGAAATTGGGCAGCTAAGGGCATACCTTTTCTGATGTAGACAATGCTAGCCAATCATTTTCTTGTGTCCATATAGTCTCGAAATTGGTAGATTTTAAGCACTTTAACAAAAGTTTGGAAATCCAAAGTCTTTCTCTGAAATATTTGGATTTTTCAATATTGGCAGCCAACTGAAAAAGTAGTGGCTCTTTCCTGTTCAAATAAACCTCACTTTTGGCAAAATTTGGTCTCTGGCCTGCGTCTTTGTGACCTTGGACTTTTTCCATACTACTTTCCATAAATTCTGGCACACTAAAATCCATGGGCTTTTCAGGTATGAAGCCACTGTATCTGTCTATTCCAGAGCGTGACTAATCAGCTCTTTCTATGCTACCAGTTCTAAAAATGAGTTGATCATTGTGTGTGTGCGTACCTGTTTGGAAATGTTTCTGAATGTGACTAGAAAGAGTCCAATTGAATCTCCTTACATCAATGAGTAGGAATTTGATTGCTCCCCTAGTGTTTTATCAAGCAGTCGTGTATTCTTATTTGTCTTTCAATCAGGTATTTTTGATCACTGTCTGGAATTTTGAACTATATATGATCCCCTTGGCATTGTTGCTGATCTTTGTCTACAATTTCATCAGACCTGTGAAAGGCAAGGTCAGCAGCATCCAGGACAGCCAGGTAAGCAAGGATTCGGAGTTCTGACATTTGACTGCCGAGAAATGTGTTAACAACAAACTACCACCACCACCAAATCATGGCCCAAGTCCATTTCGTTTGAGGTGTAAGGAGCAGCCCTGCAAAGGCACTCATTTTGCAGTGGAGGTCTTCTATCATGAATAATCTGGAGTCTTCTTTCTGTGGCATCTTACGTTCCTGAGTCTTGGCCTGCATGAAGGGAGCCTCTGGTTCATGGTTATCATTTCCATGCTGGTAGCACATGTCTGTGTGCTCATCTGATTCTCTGTAGAGTTCCTGTGAACAACCTCCTCAGTCACTAGCGAGAAACCTTTGCTGGCTCTGTGGGCCATTGCTGGGCATGCAGAGAGCTCTGCAGGGCTAACTCTGGCCTTTCCATGAAGGCACCTTATGCAATGTTCTCTCTGGCTTGAAGGCTCAGGAGATTCCCAGAGGCTTGTCAACTCCCAGGGCAATCAGAGAGTGGGTGGGCTTAGATCCATCTATTTGCAGGTGCCCACATTTGTCTGGAAATTCCCAAACTTCCTGTCCTGTTGAAGAAAGCAAGACCCTTTCTCAAAGACATCTCTCCGCATCTACTCATCTCACTTCCACTCTGACTCTCCTGCTCCTGGCCCCCTCATTGCACCCCATAAGATCTTTTTCTGCTCTGCTCTAGGTGGCCAGGAACTTGTATTTGTAGGCTTTTTTTTTATGATGTAATCTAGGCATTCCAGCTTCAAGAACCAAGTTTTTAAAACAAAAATCTAAAGTCCTAAGACTTGATTAATTTTCTTTCTAGATGGATCACCTTCACATTTGGTTTCCCAAGAGTCAATCAAACCCTGACTGTTTTTATTTTTCCTTATGTCCTCATAATGGATTTAAGGGAGGTTTCTGGTTTCACTTAGGAAGGAAGGTGGGAAAAATGAGTATTGTGGCAAGAGGAAAAACCTCAGGCAATTTCAAAATTCTATTCTGTTTGATTTTAATTATTTAATGCAATAGGCATGAACACATATCAGTGAGAAAATAGAACCAGCTAATAAATGAATGGCTTTAATAGATCCATTTAAGGACTAGGTTTCACAGAGTTATAGATAATGGAAATTTTTACAAAGAAACATCTCTGATATCTATGTTGTCAACTAACATTTTTACAATGTTTACGCAGGTTTTATGTTGCCCACTGTGTATATATGTTTATAGTATGTGCATATGTGTGCATGTGAGAGCATGTACATATACTGGCATACATGTGCATATTAATATACCTATATGCACATAAGTGTGTATGTATGTATAAAGCCTTTATTTATAAAACATTGAAAATAATTACCTAATTTAGTTCGATAACACAACTATGAGGGAGGCAAGAACTATTTTCATTTTATGTCTTATGAAACTACAGTGCATAGTGACGAAGTGATTTGCCTAAAGTCACAAAGCAAAAACTACTGGAACCATGTCCCAAGCTAAAGACTTCTCCCAATTATAGCGTTTTTTCCTCCCATAGCCTGTTTTCATTACCTTCCTGTTTATCCATTGGCTTTCATGAGACATGTTTGCTGCCAGTTGTGAATAGGTTAGTTCCCCAGAGGACCCATGAGTACCACACAAACTGCTAGCTGAATCTTGTGAGAATTCTAGGAGGTAGGGCTATACCGGCCCTGAAGAAATTTCTTGATGACTGCTCAGTGGTTTTATGGAATGTAGCAGAGTATTCTCTGGATACTTTAGAGTTACTCCCTTTTAAGAGCATGATATTGACAATTCTTTTTACTAGTGGAACAGTGACATCTGAACAGCGTGCCTGACCTTTGCAAGGTTAAGCAGAAATGCAAGTGTTCAAGCTGAAAATAGACCGTGTTGTCTAACACTGAGCTTTCTTTCCAAACTACTGACCCTATTTGATTATGTACCAACAGATATTAGTTTTTAAACATTGCAGTGCTATGATCAAACTCTGGCCATTAAATAGCCAAGATTTTTATATTCATCTAAACAAGGCCGTTAGCAGTACAGCTGGTGCTGTGGCACCTGAGCTAAAGCCAGGCACCCTTAAGTCCAGATCTGAGCCTTGAGTTTCCTTCCCTCACCTGCCCCTTCTAACCCTAAACCCAGGGCAAAATAATAATGCCACAGAGAAACCTGTAACTTATTCTTAAGATTGATTATATTCAGACTAATGCATTTTATACTGTCTGATGTTTCAGTAATGGCCCCAAAGGGAGAGAGCAGTCATTATAACAATGAGCCCAGCACTAGTGGAGTATGGTATTCTCAGCCTTAACGTAGCAGTTGGTTCATTTGTCAGAATAAGAACAACACTGTTTACAGAAAGTACAACTCAGCAATGCATTTTTAAAGCTGGATGCCTTCAAAGGGCACTGGCCTAATAGCTTTATTTATAGTCAATGGTTTTATGTAGATTATGCATATTGTTTAGAGTCCTGCCACAGTGTCCCTGAACTTTAAAAGAGTTATTGTTTAAGAGGTTGTAATGCATTTCAAAAATATAAATGCTTGAAGTCTGTAGGCAAGCTTTAAAATGTGTCTGAGTTTAATTTGCATTTGTTAATTTCGGTTGATGTTTCTATAAACACGTGGGATTTCCTTTCAGGAGAGCACAGACATAGATGACGAGGAGGATGAAGATGACAAGGTGCGTATGTTCAAGAAAGAACACACACAAAAAAACACTAGTGTTGTCAACAGATAGCATTCCTTCAGGTTGAGTCTCTCTCCTCTCTTTTTTTTTTTTTTTTTAATATGATAGAGTTACCAGTATAGTAATATTATTGTAACTTTTAAAAAGGATATCCCTTTTTAAGATTTTTAAAAATGAGGTTGAGAAGGGTAAAATAGAAGGAATAATTGAAATGTTATAAAAAGCATAACTATAGGAGGCCTTTCATTGGATACAAGCCAAGATTAGCCTTCCCCTTTATAGATAAAAGGTAGCCTGGGAAGTCAAAAGTAAATCAAGTGAAATTGCTGCTGCTTTAGGCTCATGTCTGCACTCTGTGGGGTGGTCACCCACTTCCGCGCCTGTCATTTTCCCAGCTGTTCCTGGCAGCGTTTTCAGCTATATGTCTGTGTACATCTGTCCTTTTCCTTCTCCTGGGAGAATCTCTCAAATCTGCTGCTTTTGTTGTCATTACGCTTTCAGACAAACCTTCTGGAATAAAATGAAACAAGTGAAATGCCAAATGAGATGCTACTAGCTTAATGGGCTTCCAGTCCCCTTCACCTGTGGGTATCTGGGGCGAGGGATGGTAACATGTAGGAAGCTTGTGCAGAGGAAAGGGTAAAAGGGGGAACCTTGAGAGTAAGTATCCAGTGTAAATGCCCATTGAATAGAAATGTATTCAAAGACACTGGCTCTGTGATACAAAGAGCCTTAGAATTAATTGAGTGGACCAGATGGTTTTGCCCATTTGAAGCAAATGGGGTGGATTACAAAGTAAATCTTATTTGTTGTGTTAAGAGGATCATTAATAGCAAAATAATAAAATCAAGTATAATACTTTTAGAGGAAAATGACCTTTTTCAGAAAAGGGTTCACACAGATGCAAGTTTCTTATTGATGTCTTGATGTTAGCTAGCGGTTTCTGAGTGATTAAGTCATTGAATATTGTCAAAGGGAAGCTAAGTTAATAAGGTTTATAATGGGATATTTTACCAAAAAAAAAAAAAAAAAAAAAAAAACAGAAGTATTAGTGAAATTATTTTAAACCTGTATGAGGTGATAACTGCAAGTCTAGGCCTCCTGTTCTTCAGACTGGCCAGCTATCAGGTGGGGGTTCCCACAACCCCTTTCTTGGATTCAACAAATTTCTAGAACGGCTCACAAAATTTAGGGAAATATTTTCTTATATTTACTGATTATTATAAAGGACACAATTCAGGAACAGCCAAATGGAAGAAATGCACAGGGCAACGGATGGGGGAATGGGTGTGGAACTTCCACGCCCTCTCTGGGCATACCCTAGAGCACCTCCATGTGTTCACCAACCCAGAAGCTTCCAGAAACGGTATTTTTGTTTCTATGAAGGTTTCATTACATAGGCATAATTGACTGAATGTTTGGGCATTGGTGTTTAAGTCAATCTCTGGCCCCCTCTTCCTTCCCTGCAGGTCAGGGCTGGGAGTACTGAAAGTTCTAACCTTCTAATCATGGGTGATTCTCCTGGCCACCAGCTCCCCCATCATCAGAGGCTTTCCAAAAGTCTCCTCATTAGCAGAAAGTCAGGTGTGGTTGAAAGGGGCTTGTTATGAATAGCCAAAAGATGCTCTTCTCATCTCTCTTGCTCTGGAGCTATTTTAGGAACTGAGGACCAAACCAAATATTATAGCAAAAGATGTTCGTATCTCTCTTATCACTTAGGAAACTCCAGGAATTTTAGGAGCTTTGTGCCAGGAACCAGGGACAAAGAACAAGCATACATTTCTTATTATATCATAACATCACATTAGGCAAAATTCTAAATATTTATAAACCAAGGCCTGGATGAAAGGAAGATTTCTTCCTGTTTGGCCAAGCCTGTTTAAATGAACCACCAGTAGAAGAGGATGTCCTCCCCGCTTTAGGAATAACGGTGACCATGTATCTTTGGCCCATCTAGTAAAGGAGAGTATCCAACAAGATGATGAATGGAAACATGGTATTCAGTGACTGGCAAGCAACAAAATCAGGTCATAGTCTAGACCAGTGGTTGTCAAGGTCTAGTCTACCACTGATGTACTTCAAGAGCTACCTGAAGGTCTGGAGAGACAGCCCTTTGGTCTGTGCTTTAAACCTTTCTGGGCAAGGATGACTGAAGAAAGAGTTGGAACAGCAGCATCCATAGGGATAAGCCTGGGAGCTGTTGCATTCATCTCAGCATGGCCCAAACCCATACCAGTTGTGCCAACCTGTCCCAAGTTGAGGGTGCTGGCATTAGGGTTCTCCTCCTTCCCTCCAGAGAAAGTTTATTCTTAACATGTTTTTATTATAGTATTTGAATAGCACTTTGTAATAGACAAATATAACCATGGTGGTTTTGCTTTCCCAATTTTATATTTCTATGAAATCTTCTAGAGGAATAAATCTAAAATGATATTTTGACTTCTGTTTATGCCTCTTCTGCTTAACACAACCCTTCTATTGTTAGGAAAGGCTGGTGAATTTTTCCATCCTTGTCCATCTCTTTTCATTCTTCCTTCTGTAAGGGATTTGTAAACTAAAGGGATCTTCAACTTTCAGACTTTTTGAGTGCACATACACATATGTATTACGACACTTGGTTTCTTCTCTGTGCAGATCAGCTTCTCCCACCGAGGTATGCTTGTCATAGACCAGGACATGCAGTCACTGGGTGGCTCCCCGTCATAGTGAGCTGGAAGAAAGGTCTACTCACTGAGCCCTTCTGGCTTCTGTTGTGTGTTAGACATGACAGACCATGCTTCTGGGAACTGTAACACACTCAGTGAGAGATGAACTGTTTACAAATTATAAACACACAGCCATTTTGTTCAAAACCAGAAGAGGAGAGAAACTTCTTTCTACCCAAACCATCCATCTTGAAGGTGACACTCTTTAATTGCCAGTGCTCCTTCCCACCACATACCATCACGGACGACTGTGGAAGATAAAAGCGTGCCGGGGCCTGTTGGCACAACTTCCTCAGGAGATGAATGCTTTGCCATGTTCTGCCTGTCTCTGATGCACAGACCAGGACACTGGGGTCTGTCATTCTTTTATTGTCTGGAACAGGGATTGTTGTAAAATGACATCACTGTAACCCCTTGTTCCTTAGCATTGTGAAAAGTTCATGGTAGTAACTTGTATTAGAAACCAGATTAGACTTCACAATTTTGCCTTTTCTTTTGCAGACTTTCAGGGATAACATAGAACTTTCAGGTAACTAGGTTTTTGCCTTGTAGGAGATGAAATGTACAAGCTAAACTTTGAAGAGAGGAAATCCTCCTTTCTAATACCTGACGGCTCATGTAAGAAATTGCTTGTTACAAGTCTAGTTTTCTAGAGACTCCAGAACAAACAGATAATAGCTAAGTTCAGCCAACAGCAATCAGTTGACATTTCCTATTTGTATTAGATTCCATATGTGGAATCCTTCCATGTGGACCTTATTTGTACGGATGGATTACAATGAAAATTGCATTAATTTTCTACACAGTAAAGGTCAGTAATTGAAGCATGAACCAAGAAACTATTGTGTAAAATGCTGTATCCCATACTTAGGAAAGGTCAAGCAAGACAATAATATCTTGTTTTCATTACAGAAGGTATAAATACTTGCACTAGAGTTTCTTTCTTTTTCCAGCCCAACAATCACTTACATAGAATATTTCAGCATTTTCTATTAACATCAGGAAGAAGGAATCATAAGGGCATGTAATAAAAGAAAAAAAGCCCTGCTTAATGCTATCAAAAAGAAACTGTGCTCCAAGGCTTGCATTGTGGGTTGGTTTGTTCATAACTAGGTTGTCAGAAACAGGACTTGAATGATCTGTCCTTTTAGCATCTTCAATGAGGTCACAATTGCCTGACAGTGTTTATGAAAAACAATATGACCCTTTTATATCAGTTGTAGATGAAAAACAGATATGGACATTTTCCTTTAAGAAAATAAGAAACATCTAATCCATTTTTGTTGATTGATTGAGGAGCATATTATAATGGAAGGATACAAATGGGTATTGTATCTATATTCTATTTTCACAAATTAGTTTGTCATCATTAAAATTTAAGTACAGTTTAAACCATTAATTTCAGTGTTTAAAATGATTTTCCATCCTCTAAATTGATTAGTCAGTCCCTTCCTCATTACCCAGACAGGGCCTTCTTAGTGGGAGAAGCACATGGCATGTATCTAGGAGTTCTCACTGTGAATTAACCTGTAGAGTGCTTTGGATGATGTGGTTAAGTCCACTGTGCCTCATTCCCTGTGTTTCCTTGTGCCAGAAAGAGAGAGGAGATGATCTATAATATCCTAACCAGAGAAAACTGATGTTCATAGAGGAGGTCTTCTTAACAATCTAACAATGAGAGTAGTTTTGTCTATAATTCATTTGTGTGTGTGTGTGTGTTGTGTTTGTTTGTTTGTTTTTTGAGACAGAGTTTCACTCTGTTGCCCGGGCAGGAGTGCAGTGGTGCCATTTCGGCTCAGTGCAATCTCTGCCTCCCAAGTTCAAGTGATTCTCGTGCCTCCGCCTCTGGAGTAGTTGAGACTACAGCCATGTGCCACCACACTGCATTAGAGATAGGGTTTTACCACGTCGGCCAGGCTGGTCTGAAACTCCTGGCCTCATGTGATCTGCCCACCATGGCCTCCCAAAGTTCTGGGATTACAGGCATGAGCCACCATGACCGGCCTGTTTGCGCTTTCTTAAGAATGTCTAAAACAGTAAATTGGTTAGATTAGTAATTTTTTAAACTATGACATAAGCAGTGATATTTAACAATGATAAAGTGTTGTATTTTTAAGAAAATAAAAAGCCAGAGAGTATCTTTGAATGGTTAACAATAGTTGCATGTGCACACACTCACCTTCAGGGATATACAATTTATACACAGGGCATATTGTAAAAGACCTGCTTATGGCTAACTTTCAGGGGAATAAAGTGCATGGGAATTCTAATTTAAGTCCTTTTAATTTGATTTAATATGGTTTTTAGTGATGAAGTGACTTAATTGCTAACATTTTTATCATACCATCTTTCAAGCCTTTTATAGTGAAGTGGATTCCAGCCAATTCTTAATTATCAGTTTATGCATGTTTTGGATGAGAGGGGGTTGCCTTCCCAATTTCCTGTAGTCCGCTGGCAAATCAACTTGCTTAAATATTCTTTTTAAAAATCAAACTCTCATTCTTAACAATGTTTTGACTTGATAACCTTTAGAAGTCATCCAGAAATAGTATCAGTCTGGCCTTCTGGAACCTTATTCAGAGCATCCTGCTTATTATCAAGCTCACTAATATTCCTAGTACAAGTAGATCTTTCTGATTTCTATTCTAAGGATTGTAGTATATTATTCTCAAATATTATGAAATGTGATATGCCAGACTCAATTAGATGAATTACCTGTCCTTCTCTTAGCGAATGTGCATTGCCTGACCAAATTTCGTCAGAGGCGCTGATTTTTTCGTAGTCTATATAGATTGAGTATCCCTAATCTAAATACTTGAAATCCAAAATGCCCCAGAATTTGAAACTTTTTGAGTGCTAATTATCAAAGGAAATGATCATTGGAGCATTTTGGGTTTCTGATTTTTAAATTAGGAATGATCAGCCAGCATGATGCACGTATTCCCAAATCCCAAAACAATCTGAAATCCAGAACACTTCTGGTCCCAAGCATTTTGGATAAAGGATACTCAACCTGTATTGCATCTAGATATTTCATTTCCCATTGCTTAGAATTGTCACATCATGAGAAGGTAGAAGACATTGGACATTGCATCCTGATTATCCACAAGTGATTGGTTTTCTGAAAATAGTAGCTATGTCTTTTGTATTTAAAAATAAATCTGATTGAGACCATCCTGGCCAACATGGTGAAACCCCATCTCTACTAAAAATACAAAAATTATCTGGGCATGGTGGCGCACACCTGTAGTCCCAGCTACTCGGGAGGCTGAGGCAGGAGAATTGCTTGAACTGGGAGGCAGAGGTTGCGGTGAGCCGAGATCGTGCCACTGAATTCCAGCCTGGCGACAGAGCGAGACTCCATCTCAAAATAAATAAATAAATCCCTGATCTGTTTTACTGTGACTCACCCAATTATCCAATGAGTTTATGAGATAATTGATAGAAAGGGGGGATACCACTTTTTTCTTCAAGGGAAAAGTAATCACTGGAATAAAGTATTAAACAAGAATAATAAATTAAAACAAGGCCATTTCAAGTAAGAATTATTTAAGCAATTAGATTTATGAAAATATTAATATTTTAATTTGCAGGCTGCTTTTATGTGCAGGAGCTCATTCAGTACTCAAAACAAAATATTAAGTTTCATAATATGTTCCCTTGTCTACAAATGAACAAACCAAGGCTAAGAGAACTTCCGTAACATATATGAGATTTCTCAGCCAGGATAGTGGCAACACTCAAACCCATCTCTTCTGGTCTAAATCTTATTTTTGACCATGCTCCGTTATTGTGAAGGAAACCTGTCATTAATTTATTGGTTCATTTTTCTGCATTATTTTGCCAATGTTTATTGATGTCTTTGTACCAAAGCCTCTATGAATACAAAAATTACAACCATAAACAAGGTGCTCATAGTAAACAACCCCAGTTCCCTAGGACTTCTGCTTTCATCAAGGTTTGTAATGTTGTTGTAGATGCTATGTTGGGAAACAGAGGAGAAATGCTAGGTGAGGCAGGACTGCTAAAAGGTGATGTTTGAGCTGAATCTTAATAATGATTTTTTAACTTGTTCCATTGCTGAATCACACAAATATTTTATCTTATACCCACTCCTTTATTGTACCTGGGAGAAAACTAAAGGATTCACACAGCTAAACCAGCAACTGCCACCCCTGGTATATTTATCTACAGTAGTTACAGTTATAGAAAACCATTAGCCTTGTTTACCTTGTGGTGGCTTGGTGTTCTGTCACTTAGTGCAGAGAGACTTTTAATGAAATCAATCTTTCAAGGGTCTAGGTTCCAAATATTTTTTTCCCTAATCTGTTGCCAATTTTTCAGTTGTATTTTGTGAGTATCTTCCTATTGAGCTGACTGTGTATTCCTTTTACTTTTTCAACCCTATTATTTGATACTAGATGATATTCATGTTGCAGGCCACAAAAAAAAGTGTTGGTAAATACCAGTACAGTAAGTGCTTTATGTAATGAACAGATAGAGCAATATAAAACCACTTAGAAATGATATTGATTCAAAATCCAAATACTATTTTATATTCATTTCCCAAAGCAAAAGAACTACTTGAGAAAGAAGTACACTCCAGAAAGAGTACAGATCTCCCCACTCCATTTTAATAGCACGAGCTGTGGCGTTGACTCCATGTGTGTGTGCGTGTGTGTGTGCACGCGCACGTGTGCGTCTGCATCCCTGCATGCCCACAAAATGCCTCATGGGAAGAATTTCTAAATGACAGCTCCTGGTGCATTGCTGGGATTCCCAAAGAATAATTTTTAATTTCATGTATCAGAAATATTGCTGCTTGTTCTTTGTTATGACAGATGCTAAGCTTTTTTTCATGCTAAATGCCACTCAATCTATTTCTAATGTTTATAATTCTTCAAGTTTTCAAATTATAGGCTTTTAATATTCAGTGGGATGAAACAGACCAAACATATTCTTATTTAAAGTCTAAAGGTATATTTTTGCATCTTTAGTCTAGATGATTGAAATTACTGGGAGGATTTTGAGATAAAAATTTTTGCATTAATCTCTTCTGAGAATTCTGTTCATCCTGTGACAAATACTACTCAGTTTTTAAGCATGTCAGAAGGATTTTTTCCTGACATGGTCAATTTTCAGGACTTTGTCTCCTGTTTTGCTTAGGGAATTAATAGAGAAATGAGAAGTTTTCTAAATCAGAACATGTAGGAGAGATTTAAAGTAACACCCTGATTGTGTAATTAATTCTTAGTTGTAAATTCATTTTGATGGTGTTAATTCTCTGCCTGAGGCTCGAAGCTAGTTTATTGCACCTATGGTGCTATACTCATTGGATACCCAACGCCAACAAGGCCTTAAGAAAGGAAAGATTTGCCCTGATTTTTAAAATTTTTTTTCTTTTTTAAAAAAGAACAATTGTGTTACAACACAGACACATTATTTGTTCTTAGTTCTGCTTACAAAAGTTAGCAAAAATACTCAATCCTTTTAACATTTTATAAATGAATAATGAAAAATGGTGGGCTTGTACTCATCTTCATATGATATATATTTTTAGGTTACCAAGTTAGTTTACTTTTCTCACAGTGAATGCTCTTCTTTTTTATTGTGTGTTTAAAAAAAACAAGGAAACCTTATGAAATTTGAAAAATTCCATGCTTTCATCTCTTCATTATTTGGTGATGCAGGCTTGCTCACAAAGTAGACCCCTAAAGCATGTGAATTTTATTTATGCCTCCACATTTTTTCACATTTGTAACGAGAAGTGATATCCCTCTTTTTCAAATATAGGAATCTAAAACTATGTATTTAGCCACAATAATCTTGTTCATTTATTTAATCACACCAGTGGCCTTCACTATTTTTATTACACATTTCCCTCTGTAAATTGGAAGCCTTATATGTTAAGGGAAAATAGAAGCACATGTGACAGCAGTTCTGTCTTTCTGAATGAATCACTGTTACTCTTCCTAGGCAGTTTGGTAGCAACAGCAGATGTAATGTTGTGTTTGCTAAACTGTGTTATCACCACATTCCCTGGTTCAATCTGAAATGTGTAAATAAAGCCAGCATGATACAGATGGAACTGCAGACGATCTTTCATACAACTCAGGGCAACATGAGTAGACTTGTCCTGGAAGATCATTTTCTTTGAAACTTAAATTAACCCCAGTATTCTTTAAACTAGACAAAAGGTTGTTCCTTCTTTTGTAGCTTTGCCTTCTTGAAGGGAAGGAACTGGTGTTTATGAAGCACCTGGAATATGCTAGGTACTTTACATATGTGATAATATTTAATTTTCTCCACACTCCAATCAGAGTAATGACAATGATCTACATTTTCCAAATATTAAACTTGAAATTCAGAAAGGGTAAAGAACTTGCCATGATCACCAAGCTAGTAGATGTCAGGACCAGAGTTGAACCCCATTCTCTGACTCCATGGTCTGCTGTATATAACATCATTTAACTTCCCTGGACTTCAGTTTCCTATACATGGAAATACTAATACTAAAGGCTATGTAATACTTCCTGTGATATGTCCATTGGTATATTGCTAGATATAAAGAGAAAAGACCCATAAAATCAATAGCATCTTGTTTTAAAAGAGAAATTTTGCAGTACAGAGAGTGAAAAGAGCATTTGCTATTAGGATGATTAAAATGATAGAGGTACAATGCAAATTGAGAGAACAAAGACCGTAGTCAGCATAGACTGGAATCCTTAGGAAGAGGATTCACAAAAGCCATCAAGCTTGAGTTGGGCCTTCCAGTCATTCTTCTATAAGGCCTGGAATCTTCTCTCAAACCACAAGCATTTGCTTATTTCTTGGGTTGATGTAAATAATTACTTAATACTACTATAAACCTGATAAACTATTTTTTTCCTGGATCCATTTATTTCTCCATCAAACAAGTACTGTAGCAACACTGAGGATGGACCCACCACAGTTGTTGGTGCTGAGAACACAGGATCAGATAAAACAGCCGGGTCTTATCTGTTGATCCCCCAGTTCAAGCAGGGTATAGCCAAAAAGAGGGTAATGGAAGATATTAATGAAGCATCCAAGCTACAAAAATATAATCTTCTTGTAGCATAGAAGCTACCATACTTTGATAAACACATATTATCCAAAGGCCATTTTTAAAGCCTTTCAGAGAGCAAAAACTACATTTACTGCTAATCATAAAGATACCTGAGCTCAGATGGAAATTTTCCCTGTCTCACATGAGTAGCAAATGCATTTTAAGGAAGGGGTGGAAACACGTGAAAAAACTTTGTTTGTTTTGTTTTGTTTTTTTCTCCCTGTCTAGAAGATACTCTGGAAATAACTGATTCTTTTCTTTACTGAAGAATTTTAGGAAAAAGTGATTCAGGTTCACCACAGGTCCCAGTTTTCCCAGAAAGTTTTCATTTACTAATTATCCTCATTTTTAAACTATTGTATTTAATATTTCCACTATAACAAGGTGGGATGTGTTGCTTAGACTTTCAATTTAAGCTTTCAGCTGTTTCTGTGGTCATTACTGGTAGCCCATGAGATGCATGCACTGTGACCAGAGTTCTCAAAGACTAACACCAGGTTAACTCTAACAACCAGGAATGACCCATCTCTATTTTCCTGACTCTCTTCAGGGCCTGAGTGACTAACATCCAGCTTTAAAGGAAAGCTTCTGCATGGTCCATAATAAAACAAACTGCTCTCAGATGAGCTAATCCCTTCTTGCTTCAGGCAGTGGTAGAAAGCATGTGATGTCTACCGGCCCATTAAGCTGTGGCCACTGCCAGGGCCTGTAAGATTCAGGAAGCTTTCAAACTGCCTATTCAGAATGGTTAGTAAGGGAGATGAGAAATGATAGGGTAGGTGTATGTTAAATATTTGCATAATTTAAGCCTTCCTGCTAACAGAATAAAAAGTAGTCTGAACACTCTTAGAATATACTATTTTACTCATTGTAGTGAGTAAATGTGCACTTATCTTTTTTACTTTTTCAGTATATAAATAAAAACACAAAGATTACATATTTAATGAATAATCATGTACAGATAGTACATTTCTTAAGACAGTTGTTGATAAATGTTTACATTTCTTGTCTACCCTGGGGCCTTGACTTGATCATGTCACTGACATTTGTAAATCTAAGTCATAAACCTGCCAAAGAAGCCTCAACAGCTACTTTAAGAGGAAGTATCCAAGAAAATCATTTCTGAAAACATTATTTTAATGCATACAGCTAAAAATGCATGTTGATATATCTCTCTGTGGAGCATGACTTTTCATTTAGATCAAATGGCTATTTCTTCCACATTAATTTATATCATTTTCCACTTCAAGATTTCATCGTACATATATGAAAAATGACCAAGTAGCTGTTAATCTTCCTGCCAAAGGATGCAAACACAATATCAGAGAACTTTGTGAAATTATTTTCATTTTTTTACCTAATATATGAAAACAAAGCTTTTGCAAGTTAACTCTACAAATACTGTAATTTCTAACATCAGCAATGCCACTATAAATTTAAACATTTAGTATTGAGAATCATTTAACTTTATAATGATAATATGAATGCAAATTTTGATGGAGCAAATATTACAACTAATAAGATATTCCTCCAAAATGAAGAAATATGAGGCAGAAATGTACTTGGTGTTGGCTGTGATGCACTAATTATTCATAATTGCATCCAGACAAGCAATAATGTTCCACCACTTGCAAAGTTGTAGTGTCCACACTTACAATATTTTTATATACACAGTTGGGATATCAACAAGGTTGTGTGATAAAGATCCATCACATATAAAAATAAACATCAGCATGGCAGTATGCACTTTCTCTTCTTTACCCGTCATCATTTTAGGAAGGTTTGAACCTTCGAAGATATCTCAGTTAACTTAAACATTCTCCAAAATTGGACTCTTTTGTGGAAAAAAAAAAAACCCTAAATTATGGTCATAATCAGTTGGAAAGTTTTATTCAAAATGTTTTATGACTGAAGTACTAACTTCATTTTTGGAAGCTTTTTCTGAATGGAAGTGAATTTTTTTTTTAATGGCCAAAAAACACTTTATTTTTCTACGAAAGCAACATATAAAAGGTCAAATGTTATGTATGATTCAGTTTTTAAATTCTGAAGTTATACTTTAGGTTATTTTTATTATTATTAGGTGGAGTCTCGCTCTGTGGCCCAGACTGGAGTACAGTGCCGTGATCTTGCCTCACCGCAACCTCTGCCTCCCAGGTTCAAGCGATTCTCCTGCCTCAGCCTCCCTAGTAGCTGGGATTACAGGCATGTGCCACCACAACAGGCTAATGTTTTGTATTTTTAGTAGAGACGGGGTTTTACCATGTTGGCAAGGCTGGTCTCAAACTCCCGACCTCAAGTGATCTGCCCGCCATGGCCTCCCAGAGTACTGGGATTGCAGGCGTGAGCCACCACTCCCTGCCTAGATTATTTTAATTTATGGGAAGAATCCTTGTGATTTTTAATACAATAAATATACATTCTGACCATTAATGGAAAGAAATTTAGAAGGCATTTACTTTTCAGCATATATTTTGTTAAATGTTCTAACATATTGTCTTAAAATGTTTGACAGGAAAAGTTCCTGTGAATGAATATAAAAATACAGTGCCTTTGAAAATATTTGGGATGAAGTATATACAGATTTCAAAATTTTAAAAATAGATTGAGAATATTGTCCATGTACCACATTTTTGTTGTGAGTTTTCAAGGTACCTAAGTGCTCATAGACAGTGTTCTTTCTGTTGTTTTTTTTTTTTAGACGGAGTCTCGCTCTGTCGCCAGGCTCGAGTGCAGTGGCGCCATCTGGGCTCACTGCAACCTCTGACTCCCTGGTTCAAGTGATTATCCTGCCTCAGCTTGGACTGCAAGCACGCGCCACCATGCCCAGCTAATTTTTGTATTTTTTAGTAGAGACTGGGCTTCACCATGTTGGTCAGAATGGTCTCCATCTCCTGACCTCGTTATCTGCCCGCCTTGGCCTCTCAAAGTGCTGGGCTTACAGGCGTGAGCCACCATGCCCAGCTTCAGAAAGTATTATTAAAAGTATAGTCTACAGTGGAGTCAATTAAGGTGTCAATTTAATGACACCTCTGAAGGTGATTAATAACAATTTCGTGCAATATTAGAAATAAAAAGATGCCATTAAAAAGTACATTCTTTTGAAAAGTAATCCTGACATCGGTATATAGACAGTTGTAGCTAGTAACTGACTAAAATATATGAATATATATCACAAATAATCATTCTTCGTGTGTCATTTTTAAATATCCAGATGATCAAATTTATTTTAATGCACAAAAATCTATTTTTTATTTGAAAATAATGTATTTGTGAAATAAAAATGGAATAGTTTTATAGGTCCAATATAATAAAACCAAGTTATCAGTCATCAATAATCAAAAATTAATTGTTTACTTCTACTCTTAAAAGTATTAACAAGTCCAGATGATAAGTTATTCTGTTACTCAAGATATAGTAAGACTCTTTAGCCTAGTCTTTGGATATTTAATACTCCAAACATCAAATTCATTATAAAGTAACAGGACTCATGAGCATCGTTATTTTGGCATACTAACTCATGCTTTCTTCACAACCAGAACCTCACTATTTGGGTGTTTCACAGGGAAAAAAAATTAGACAGTTGAAATAGGAAGTTTTTATTAAATCGAATGACATGGAAACTTGAGTCATTTTCCAAGAAATTGTTTTGACCTAAACTGGATGCTGCCGAAAAGAGGAAGCCACTTTTGGCCTTTGGGTCAAATTCCCTCATGCTTTCAAATGTTCCTTTATAAACATGAATACTTATGTGGCAGACAGAGCTGGGTTTTCACCATTGTGCCCATTAATAGATGTCGGTGGACTCATGAATTAGTACGCTCTGGCAGCATATCTAATTTGTAGCACAAACTGAGGAATTAGAGTAAGGGAAAAAATTCAAATTAGGATAAAAAAGTAAAAGTATCTTGAAAGTTTGATATTGCAGAAGGAAGCAATGAACCTGGTTTTCCTTCTGCACAGAATGAATGGATAAAGGAGTACAGTCCTGATGGTAATAATTTATTCAAGCCATTGCAGCACCCTTTACTGGAGAAGGGCTGGCAATGAGGCATTCTAGCCTCTGTTCTTCCTTTGTCTGTTTCAGCCAAGTAGTTTCATAAAGGCAGATGCAAGAAGGGTGGTTTGTGTTTTTCAACATTTCTGACATCTTGGTGCTTTTACCCGCAATCCCTATTGGTAGTGGGTTCTCTTTCACTCCATCCATGACTCCAGTTTAATGGAACAAAGGATACAAGAGGAAAATGATTTTATTTTTTCCTTTTGCAGCACAGATGGTATTACAGGAATGTCCTCTTAAATTTAGAAGTGTTTGCTTGATAGTTTAGTACAATTTTCACCCAACTAAAATTCTATATAGGAAAAAAGTTCTGTAAGAACTATTTGAGGTTTTAGGTTTCATACAATAGGTGTAATGACCCAGAGAGGTAGAAGTTGAGAGCTCATTGACTACATCCCAATTACAGCAAAGTCAATAAGGGAGCTAGAACATAGCATCAGAATATTAAAAATAGTGTAAAAATACTACTCTTTAGGGAATCTCCTGACATTTGAGTGATTTCTAAGTAACCTGCATAACTGTTAGTTACCTGGCATGGTAAAAACACATGTAAGGTTTTCTATAAGCAAAGTAAGGATAATATTTTTAGAAAGCTGAATTCCATTTCACATGAAGCATTGGAAATTACGGAAGATGAATTTGTATTTGCTTCTAATGTCATGAGGAGATCGCAATCAATTGCTGATCATCCTGGAAGGGAATAATCTGGGTAGGCTGCCCTCCCAGCAGTGCACTGTGGGGTTACTTTGTAGCATGTCCACAGCTGCTTGCTTTGTTTCTGAGGTGGTTGCCAAAGGATGGATGAAATGTCATCGGGCTGGCAATATGTTTAGAACATGCTTAAAAATGCAGCGGAGTTTGACTAAGATGCTCCAGTACTAGGAATCATACTACCTCTGTCTCCAACATGCCAGGAACATCTCTGAAGAACACTGATAGGAGAGGAGTAGGGTGAGCTTCAGAAAACCTGTGGAGACAGAGGAAGTCAGAGTTAGCCAGACTGACGGGATTGCAGAATTCTGCGAGGGACGCGGCAGCCTCCACGGGGAAGTGAAGTGCTTGGTTCTGTGGGCTTCCCTTTATCACCTCATGGCAATGAGGTAGCAACTGAGGCTTGCGCGTTAGGAGTGGTAGCATCTAAGTGACTGAACAGATTTTTCTGGGGGGGGAGTCAATATTTAAGTTGTAAAACAATGATTTATCTCTTGTGTCACTCTATTGGTAAAAACCTTGTTATTATAACATGTTATAATATTTTCTGTATCAGCATGATAAAAAATGAAGTAACTGAGTTAAATCTTGCTTTTATGTTTTCTAGGAATCTGAGAAAAAGGGGTTGATTGAAAGAATCTATATGGTACAGGATATTGTTTCAACTGTTCAAAACGTCTTGGAGGAAATAGCTTCTTTTGGAGAAAGGATTAAGAAGTAAGTTCTAAATTTGTGTTGTGGTGTTTGCAGTAGACCTGCTATCCACAAGGACAGTGGGGTAATGGCAGTGGTGTGCGACAAAGGGAGGCAAGAAAATACAAAAACACACCAAAGCAACACTGTTGGGTTAGCACTGTCTGACTTCAGTTGGCTTCTTAACTTCACAGTTGGGTGGTGCCTCAGAACTGGGGTGACCATACGGCCCAGTTTATTCCAGTCACCCCAACATAAATATTACTAGTGTTCCCTTTCACTCAAAAATATATCAGTTTGGGTGACAAATGATAGATATTTAAAATGTTACCCTATTCAGAAATAAAAAGAGAAGCAAATGTGCTATACAGGAGCCTTTGCTATCTGAACCACAGAACTTAGTAAATGCCTTGAGTAACTTTTCTCTCCAATTCTCCAAAGAAAGATACACATCTAGTAGCACCATAGATGGATAAATGTGAAGTTAAGTCACCACATATATGGATGTCTTAGGACAGGATACTACTCTGTGGCCCTTTATAGAGAAAGTTGACAATATTTTCAGCTTTATGGGACATATGGTCTCTGTCCTGACTACTCAACTCTGTTGTTAAAGTGTAAAAGGAGTAACAGTTAATATGTAAATGAATGGGTATGGTATGCATTCCAATAAAACTTTATTTATATAAACAGGTAACATGCTGGATTTGATTTATAGTCTACCCACAGCTTGCCACCCCCATCTTAGGACATGATAGCTAAACTCTCTAATGGAACTCCAGTTAAGAAAGACTGTAGATTCATAGGTTTTTTTCTGTTTTGTTTTATACATTATCAACTCTGCATTACTTAGTTTTCATTTGGCACCAATAAGTGGAAGGTTTTTAATTTTTTTCCTTTGAATTATTAACTTATTTCCCCCTTTAATCTAGAATTGTGTCAACCGTGTTCTTTCTAAGGATTAATTCTTACTTTATTGGTCGTGTCTACGGGGATCATTCTAGTTTCTTTAAGAATATATTGTTTTGGAATTGCATGGGTAAACAGATTAAAAGTGGTGCTAAAAACCAAGGGAAAGCCTTATGCATTAAAATGCAAGGAAATCAATAAATGATATTAACATCAGGAAATATAAGTAGTTAACATGCAACTTTATGTAAATACTAATGTTTTCTCAGTTGCACAGCCAATGACATTGCCCTCGAATGCCCATTTATTATAAGCATAGTAAACGTGTATGTTTAAAAAAAGTAAGTTATAAATGACTTTTAAACAAAGTTGATGAATTTTTATTGAATTTACAGTTATACCCATTATTAATATCTTAAGAAAAAAATAATTTTTGCTCACAGATATGATGCCTATTTGCTTTATTCTTGTAGGTTTCATATAAATTGGCAAAAGATTCCTGAATTTACCCTCAAAATGTTTAATATAAACATATTTGAAAGCAAACATGAATAGTAAAATGAGGAGGGCATCATAATTCTTTATTCATTTCCTCACTCAACTATCAGTTATTGAGTTTCAGACACTGACTTGGTCTAAGTTGGTCTAAGAATGAGAAATGCAACCATAATTACAATAATGATAGCAACACCAACTGTTATCGCATGCCAGCCATGCACTCTTCTAAGCCCTTTAAACACACTAGCTCCTTTGAGGAGCTACTTAAAGGAATAGGATTACATCATTCAAACCACCCTATAAAGTAAGGATTGTTAATATCCTCATTTTACAGATGAGGAAACTGAATCACAGAGTGATTAAATTTGTAGTCCAAGATCACACAACTAGTAGCTATGTAGCTTGGATTGGAACCTGTCCTCCTCATTACTACACTATAATGTCATTACCCTCAAGAAATCTCTATTTCAATGAGGGAGAAACAGAGTAATAGCCAATTAGAATTCAGTAGCATTAGTGGTAGGGAGAGGTAAGAGAGAATTCTGGGAGAGATCTGATCAGCCCAGGAAGAGATGTAGGAGAAAGACAGACCGCAGGCAATTCTGAAACAGAAGAAACTTATCAGCATCTCTGAGAATAGGAAGAGATAGCTGGGCAAAGAATTGATGAATGAGGGCTTCAGTAGTGGAGAGCCCTTGTGCAAACGCTCAAAGCCCAAGACTATGTGGGAGATACAGGGAGATGTAAGGGATTGAGTTAGTGTGTCCGTGCCATGGAGGTGCGGTTGGCAGTGCCTAGAGATGAGGCATGTCATGCAGGCCTTGAGGAGATGGAAAAAGTCAGTGGAAGAAAGTTCAGTGAGGCACGTATTGACAGCAAGGAGGATAAGAGGACACAGAGTGGGGTCAAGACCCAGGAAGGAAGATCATGTTGTTTGGTAAAACTGTTTCCATTCTGGAACATCTCTAAAAGACAAAAGTGACTGTTGTGCCGTTGATAATGTAAAAGGAAATGTGTCTGAGGAGAGAAGAGGGCAGAGTGATTTAAACAGGCTCCCAACCCTGCAGTGCTTTGAGGGGCAGCTGTGCCCAGCACAGCTGTGGTGGCCATGTCTGAGATGTGTCTTCAGCCCATGAACAGAGTACTGTTCTGCCCAGCTGCAGCACAGGAAGGCTGCTAAGGCTCAACTCCTATTGATTCTTGGCCATTCATTATTACAATGACCTTAAAGTCCCTGCTGGGCATTCAAGTGGGATGTCGTGTGTAATTCTGTTGGAATTCCATTGTAACTCAGTGCTTAAGAACCAGGAAAACTTTTATTCAACTCTTGGCAACTGGCAAAAATACAGAAATACATAAAACTCTCAAAGTAAGGCTTCCCTGATACTGATGGGTTGGGGGGGACCCCAGTGGTGTTGCATTTATGTGGAATGAACTGTATTCCTTTTTTCCTACTCTTACCTTCTCTAGTTACCTTCCCTAATATTACACAAATTTTAAATGTATGTATATATGAAGCCAAAATATTTTACTCAACATGTAGCATTTGGCTGGGCACGGTGGCTCACATCTGTAATCCCAGCACTTTGGGAGGCTGAGGTGGGCGGATCACCTGAGGTCAGGAGTTCGAGACCAGCCTGGCCAACATGGTGAAACCCCGTCTCTACTAAAAATACAAAAATTAGCCGAGCATGGTGGCACATGCCTGTAATCCCAGCTACTCCAGAGGCTGAGGCAGGAGAATCGCTTGAACCTGGGAGGCGGAGGTTGCAGTGAGCCGAGATGGCACCACCACACTACAGCCTGGGCAACAGAGTGAGACTCCAGCTCAAAAAAGCAAACAAAAAACCAAAAACCATGCAGCATTTATGCTAGACAGCAGGCAGAGTGGTGCAGGAGAGTGAAGCATATCATGTGTTCTATCATTATGGAGTGAGGGCTCTAACTCTTGTGTCCTTGAGTGGCTAGGGAAATCTCCACAGAGGAGATACTGAGATTAAGGGAGACCTAGAATAGGCAAGTTATGCCTACAGATGTTCCAGGGTAAAGCTTAGAAGCCACCTTCATAAGAAGTAGAACTGCCCTGGCTAGAAATGATGTGAAAAAATACTAAGCAGAAGATGGGCAAGCAGGTTAAGTGGTTGGAATCCTGAGGTTAAGTGGGGCTGGAATCCAGGTTTGATTCCAGTTAAGTGGTTGGAATCCAGGTTAAATAGGGCTGGAATCCTGATGGGGACATGGGGAATGAGAGACAGATGCATTTTGTGTTTAAATCAAGAGTGACATGTCAAAAGGGACAAAGGAAGACAAAGGAGGGGGCCAGGTGTGAGGAAAGCAAACACAGGCTAGTGTAGAACCATGCATATGTGAAGGAAAGCCTTTAGTAGAAGACAGGACAAAATAAGAACCTACAGCAGAATATGACCAGTAGTTTTCATTTCCCTGGGAAGAAGAGTCAGAGGACCTCATTTGTCCAAGCCTTGGAAACAAGGAAATAATCCCATTGACACAAGGTCAGTGCAGTGGGGCAGCCAGTTGGGGGAGGACCCAGAGAATATACCTGCACCCACCTTCTGGGATGTGTCACAATCATTTTTGTTAAGTGGGCTGAAATTTAGAAAACGATGTTCTTCCATATTAGTGAGCTCATGTGGTTGAATGAATGAAGAGGATTCCTTGAGTTTTTTCATTAATGGCGAAGTTAGTCATTTGTCTCATAAGTGCCTAAGTCAGGGATTACCTTCTGAGGATTTAGGGAGCTCCCAAGTGAGGAAAACTGGAGAAATCTATGAAAATGTTGTTTTACAAAGTGTCTTGTTTTGAGATGGGAAAGCTTTGATTTACCAAGCTCCTTCAACTTCGGATTTTCTATAGAAGATGTTCTATGATAAATGGGGAAAGAGTCTAGTAAGGTTTTAAGTGTTAGGGGTATTGCTACTTAGTGTCTTTGAATTAAATCCTCAGCATTTTAAACAGGAATGTTCAGCTAGATTACATGAGTAACATGTGCTTATTTACATTTTTTAAAGCGCCTACTACAGAAGCAATGAAGACGGGATCGTAACCAATTTTCTGAGTTCAAATCCCAGTTTTGTCACTGGAAGTGAATGATCTTAGGCAACTTATTTAACTTTTAGGACTCAGGGTCCTCATCTGTAGGATGGGAATAACAATAATGATTTCTGCTTCATAAAATTTAAATGAATTAGTACATATAAAGAGTTTAGACCAATGGATGACAGGTATTAATCACCTAAAAATATTAACTATTATGAGTATTATTTTATGGCCACTGACTTGACTTTCTTCTTGTGTGTCTTAAATAAACCCAGGGAATGTCCCCTGCCTTCCTTCTAAACCATTTTAACACTAAAATTGTGGGTCGCTGAGGGGAAAATGCATTAGTCAACTGACCTGGCTCTTAGAAGGCAAATCTGACAGGCTATGTGGGAGAGTGAGTGTGTCGCCCAACTCCATTTCTAGAAAGCCCATGACACACCATACACTTGTGCACACACAACTGTTGGGATCTTTATTAGGACTGCATTAATTGGGAAAGAATTGATATCCAGATACATGCTTAAGTTTTCTAATATATGAGCTTGTTATATTCCAGTGTAATATCTCTTTAGATCGTCTTTAATTTATCTCATTATTATTTTAGAGTTTTCTGTATAGAAGTCTGACTTTTTTTGTGTGAAATATATTCCTGAGTACTTGATAGTGTGGTGCTAGTTTAAATGGCATCTTTTCTTCACGTTTCATTTTCTACCTGTTACTCACATATAGACATGAAATTAATTTTTCTGCTTTGATTTGTTTCTAATAACCAGGTAAACTTAGTTATCTTATTTTTATATGAAGATTATTATTCTGGATTTTTTTCCTTAGATAAATGTATAAGAATAATTTTTTCTTCATCTTTCCAGCCCTTACACATTTCATTTTCTTGACTTGCTGTACTGGCTATTAGCTGTCATACAGTGTGGTTTAGAATTGGTATTTTGAGGCATTCTTTTCTCATGGGATCTCAGAAAGAAAGCTTTCAACGTTTCACCCTCAAGAATGATGTTTGCTGTAGGTTATTGTAAATATGCTTTATCAGGTAAAGGAAGTTCCCTTTTTATTCCTAGTTTGCTATGAGTTTTTATTTTGAACATGAGCTGAGCTTTCCCTAACATTTTCACCTGCATTCATTGAAATGATGTTATTTTTATGCTTTATTTTGGTTTATGTGGCGAATTATTTTGATTGGTTTTCAAATGGTAAACCAATCTTACATTCTTGGAATAAACCCAACATTATTGTTCTACAGTCCCTTTATATCTGGCTGGATTTTATTTACTTGTTTTTGCTTAGGATTTTTGCAGTTATGATCATCAGTGAGATTGACTTATTTTGTGTTCTTGACATTTTCTTGTGGCTAGAAGTTTATTCTAAACTCATAATACAAGGTCAGGTAGGTTCTCTGTCTTTTTTCTGGAAAAGTTTATGGGAGTTTGATATCATTACTTCCTTTAAGATTTATAGAATTAGCTGCTGAAGCATCTAGGCCTGAAGTTTTCCTTTGGAGATGATTTTGCATGAAATATTATATGTTTATATATATAATATATATATATATATATTATATATATATATATATATATAAACGTCAGCCATTCTATTATTTCTCATCTCTGTTTCTGTAAATTGTAATTTTCAAAGAGTTTGTCCCTTTCATATAAATTTTCTACTTGTTGATTTAATGTTGTTTATAACATCCTCTTATTTAATGTCAGTAAGATCTGTTGCATTACCTACTCTTCTATGCTTGATATTGTTATCTTCTTTCTTCTTGACAGGGATTTATCAATTATATTAGTCTTTAGAAATAAGCACCATTTGCCTTCACTAATCTTCTCTATTTCCTGCTTGTTTGTTCATTAGTTACTACTCGTATATTTTTCTAACTCTTTAAGATGGATAATTAGATCACTTATTTTCAGTCTTTCTTCTTTCTTAACATAAACATTTAAGGCTCTACAATTTCCTGTAAACACAACTCTAGCTCCATGCCAAACATTTTGGCATGTAATATTCTCATTATCATTCAAATTTAGTTAAAGCTATTTTCTGGTTTCTATTTTGATTTCTTCCTTGGCTAAGATATGTATTGCTAAATTTCCAAGTATATGGAGATTTTCTAGTTATCTTTTCGTTTCTGATTTCTAGATTAATTGCTTTATGGTTAGAAAATATTGATCCAGCAATGGACTACTTTTGTCAATTTTCCATGTGAGCTTGAAAAGTAGATCATTGGATACATTGTTCTCTATATTCATTAGATTAAATTTGCTCATTATATTCAAGCCTTTTATATTTGTACTGATTTGTTTTTGTTTGGCTTGTTCTATCAATTACTTAGATGTGTTTAAACTTCACTGTCGTTGTACATTTGTCTAATCCTCCCTTGAATTTTATCTGTTTTTGCTTTCTATATTTTGAAGCTACATTATTTGGTTTGTAGATGTTAAAATTATTATATTTTCTTGGTTGATTGGAGCATTAGTATGAAGCAACCTATTTCTTGCTAACACAGTTTTTTCCTAAATACCTTGTTGACCAATATTGGTATGGCTATACAGTAGTCCCCTATTATCCATGGGGGATATGTTCTCAGATCCCCAGTGGATGTCTGAAATCATGGATAGTACTGACCTCTGTATATGCTATGCTTTTTCCTATACAGGCATGACCTATGATAAAGTTTACTTTATAAATTAGGTACAGTAACAGATTAACAATAATAATGAAATAGAACAATTATGGTAAGATAATGTAATAAAAGTTATGTGAATGTGGTGTTCCCCTCTCTTTTAAGATATCTTATTGTATGTAACATTTCGGAACTCCGACTAACTGAAACCACAGAAAGCCAAACTGCAGATAAGGGGTGACTACAGTCTCACCTTTCTTTTCTCCTTTTCTGTACTTTTCTTTCAACCTGTCTTTTTGTTTCAAATGTTTCTCTTGTATCTCACCATCACTGTCATTTCACTGTAGCATGTAATCCCTGCAGAATTAATGATGCTTACGATTGCATTTAGATTTAAATCTGTAATTTATTAATAGTAGTGTTTACTTGCTTGTTCCGTGTCTTTTTATTTCTTCTGTATCTTTCCTCCACTTGCTAGGAATTGAAACACTCTTGCTATTCTTTTAGTTGTCATCTTAGAGTTAACAGCGTTATGTGCCACAGTCTAATATTGTCACTTTTAATGTCTTCCCAGTCAGTGCAGGAACCTTCTTAATCTATGTTCCACATCTCTTTGATATCTGCCATCTGTTTCTTCTTTGTGATGCCTTCTAAATACTTTCTTTGGAAAATCTTGGACTGTATTAGTTCTCTGCAGTTTAAAATCCTGTCCAATTCATTCATTGGGTTCTTAACTTCAATTATTATGGTTTGCATTTTTCAAAATTCTACTTCATCAATTTTTCTTGTTTTTCATTTTCTTTTGGATTATATCTTCAAGCATCTCTTACATGATTTTTAACATATTAAACATTATGATTTAATATATTGGATTAGATTTCAATATCTGAAATCTTTTCTTTCAGATTTTGCTGGCTCTTACTCATGGTGTCATGTGTCTTTTTGTGGTTTGCATTTTTAAGAATACACCTATATTCCTTGGATTTTCATGTGGAGAGTACTCAAACATCATAGTTGATGATGCATTTCCTTGGAGAGGATTACTGTTTAAGTCACCTTGGGATACTACCAGTCCCAGGACCTACCAATCTAGGTCCTTTCTTAAATTTTTTTGCTTGAGGCTTTTCAAGCAACACTGGTAGCATAAACTGAAATGATAGATTTCTCCACTTAGCACCGAGGGCATGATTTATGTCCACTCTATGGTACAATGTGTCCCTCCTTCCTTATTCTTATCCTGAATATGTAAGCTTTATGCAATGGTCTCATATTAAAATCTCCCCGTGGAGAGTTCCTAGGCTTCCCCTCGTGCCCCCAATCTCCCATCGTACCATGCAGACAACAGAAAGCAGCTCAGAATCCCAATATTTGGCAGAAAATATTAGAGTGAAAATTGACATTGGAGCTTAGTTACCTCCAAGAGTTCTTGCAGTTTATTTTATTTTTACAGTGTATTATATTTTTATTTTCATGTCAGCCTAGTCATGGCTTTTTTTCTGTTGATATTAGTATTTTACTTTCTCTTCGGTGTGGAATGGTATTGCTAGAAAAGGAATGATAAAGTCTATTCCTTTTTAAAAAGTAATTTGATTTATTTTTGTAGCTAGTATTATTTTCAAAACTCTACCAGATATCAATAACTTTCTTTCCATATTTGTGTGTTTTGTGCAATAACAATGAGAAAAATGAGGGTAGCTAACACTTATTAAATAGTGACTATATGCCATATATCTTTATAAATGATTTATATGTATAAATGTATGGAATCCCCTCACCAACTCTGTAAAGTAGATGCAGTTATTATTCCTGTTTTAGAGATGGGAAAATGAAAGCACAGAGTGGTGGGGTAAATTACGTAAGGCCATAGAGCTAACAAAAGTTGCACAGGAGCTATTTTTACATTATAGGCTACAAAGTTAATAAGTAATCTTCCAGGGTGAAAAAAGAGTGGGTTTTGTTGCCACCTAGCTATGGATTTATGTCCAGGATCTGCCATCCACTGTGTCTCCACTTTAAAAAAAATTTGAAAGGGGGCAAATTTCTTTTTCCTTAGTTATTTGTTGTACCTGATATAGTTGTTACTTACTTTTATTATAATAATCAAATATGACCAATGGAATATAAAGTCTTTATTTTATATATGTACATTACTTCTACAGTTTAGTTTTTTACTGTATGTAGCTTTGAGCCCGCGGGTTGGGGTTGGGGGTTGTGTGAGTGTTTTTAGTGTATTCTCACCTTTTTTTTAAAGCTGCGTAGCGTTGCAGAGTATAAATCTAATTAATTTTTTCTTTATTTCGAGATTTTTCAACATTTATTTTACTGAGTTTATTTAAATATTACTAACCAGCCTGGAGAAGACATTTATGTACTGCCCCTGTGCCCTTGGGCAAGGAAAGCTGCAAGTTAAATTTCTTGCCATGCTGAACTGGATCCCGTTGTGGAGTTCAGATGATAACATTTCAACGCATATTGTAAAATTGCCCTCCAAAAAGTTCTGTTACAGGTTCTGCTGTGGAATAGAGAAGTTGGGAATGGACCTATACAAATGTAGAAATTCAAAATGTAGAAATTCAGAATAACAAAGATAGCATAATAAAGAAGGGAGAAAAATAGTGATTAATCAGTTGGTGGAGTCACATCACTGGATGAGGGGAGGGCTTTGGTAAGCCTGGCCAAATCTAGACATTGACAAGGAAAAACTGATAAATTTGTTCATGCGAAAGTTTATAATTTTTATGTTAATCATAAACAAAGCAACAAACTGAAAGAATATATAATATAACAAACATGACAAATGTCTGATTTTTCTACTATCCAAACTGATATTGGAAATCACTGAGGAAAAAGTTAAGCAAAACAGCTCAGGAGAAAACTAGCAAATAGTAACTATTTTGAGTTTTTACAATGTGCCAGACACTGAGCTAACTATTCTGCAAGTTTTTAATTCTAGCAGAATCTGTGATATAGGTATTATTATTATTCCAGTTTTACAGACTGGAAATTATGGTTCAGATTTATTCAATCAATTTCTGGGAGTTACTTAACTTGAAGAGATAAAGGTTGAACTTGAACCCAAGTCAGTTTGCTTATAAATCAATTTTCTTAAATAAATCAATTTTCTTAAGCACGTTCCTAAATAATAGCCCCAGGCCAAAAAAAAAGGTTAGAAATCATAGAGAAACAAATTAAAATGACCAATAGGCATATTAAAAGGTATTCAAATTTGCTTATAATTTAAAGAATTGAAAAAGACATATATATATAATATTTTACCTCATAATAGGCAAAGATTAAAAACAATAACACTCAGTCTTTTGTTTTTGAGAGGGAGTCTCACTCTGTTGCCCAGGCTGGAGTGCAGTGATGCAATCTCGGCTCAATGCAACCTCCACTTCCCAGGTTCAAGTGATTCTCCTGCCTCCCAAGTAGCTGAGATTACAGGTGCACGCCACCACACCCGGCTAATTTTTGTATTTTAGTAGAGATGAGATTTCACCATGTTGACCAGGCTGGTCTTGAACTTCTGAGCTCAAGTGATCTGCCCACCTCGGCCTCCCAAAGTGCTAGGATTACAGACATGAGCCACCATGCCCAGCCTCAGTCTTAACCAGAGGATGAGATTACTGTAGTTCTCCTATACTGTTGATAGAATTGTGATTATTTATACAAGTTAGACAATCTCTGTCAGTCTTAATTTGCTCATCTATAAAATGGGGCAGAATTATTAAGAGCATTACATTCTAAATATGTGAACAATGTTAGCACAATGCCTGGCACATATAAAATGCTTAATAACTTTGTGGTATTCCCTCTAAAATCCCGTCTCCCATAAAAAACATTCTACCTTTCTGTATTCCTAGCACAAGGCAATGAGGCTCTACGGTTAAATCTGTATGTGAAGATGAAGACCATTAAGAAGAAATACTCTCGGCACCTCAGTAGGGCGTTCGATCTCTAGGAATGCACATGAATCTCTACAATATATCCAAGTCCATGTCCCATCTTCTAGATCTCCATTTCCATGCCAGTCAAAGCAGGCAATAGATACAACAAAAGGAGCCAGGAGCTCTGTGAAAATAATACATAGTGTAATCACCTACATTATCTATTAATGGCAGTGTGATGATTTATAGTCAAATGCTTCCCCATTTATTTCAAGACACTGTTAGATTTCTGGTGTAAACAAGTCTGGAAATTCTAAATATAAGTAATCAGTGAACACAAAACCACCAATGCCATGTAATACAGTCCTCCCCATGGGGCACAGTGGCTCACACCTATAATCCCAGCACTTTGGGAGGTCAAGGCAGGAGAATTGCTTGACCCCAGGAGTTCGAGACTAGCCTGGGGTGACATAGGGACGCCAGAGCTCTACAAAAATTTTCAAAATTAGAATTAGGCTGTGGTGTCTCTTGCCTGTAGTCCCAGCTACTAAGGAGGCTAAAGCAGGAGGATCGTTTGAGCCTGGGGGGTCGAGGCTGCAGTGAGCTATGACTGCATCACTGCTCTACAGCCTGGGTAACAGCAAGATCCTGTCTCAAAAAAGACAAAAAAGAAAAAAAAAAAGTTCTCCCTTTTCTGGTAAAGGAAAGGTTACCATAATTACTAGTAACCGTGTGTTTATTGAGAGACAATTGTTGAATTAGAAGTGACCTAACCCTTAGTTTTGAAGATCTCCATGCATAGCCATCGTGGCAACATTGCAGTTTTTAATCACTTCTGAGAGCCAAAAGTCTTCTCTGGAACTATGGGTTCCAGGGAGGTAAAGTCACCAATATTCTGACAAATTGAATGGCAATTGGTTTGTGACTGTCCTTTTAAGAATGTTTTTCCAGTACCCAATCATTTTGGCAGACTCTCATCTTGAGGTTTTTAACAAAATTTTTCCAATAGACTGTAAAAAAAATTTCTATAATTATGAACATGAAATAAACATGACAAGTTGACTCTGTGGCAGTTGTTGAACATCAGAGGAAATTATATTTATGTGGTTTGTCTACAGCACATTTAACTGGACGGTCCCCTTCCTTTCATCTCTGGCCTGTTTGATTCTGGCAGCAGCCACCATCATTTTGTATTTCATTCCACTGCGGTACATCATTTTAATCTGGGGTAAGTTTGGAATGGTCCTTTTGCTAGCAATCAATTCCAGGTAAGAACCAATTACTCATTTTTAAAGTGCGACTATTAATTTTAAATGTGCTCTTGTTGGCAATTAAACATGAGATTAAGGAAAGCATTTGGGGAACAAAAACTTCCAGGACCTCCCTGAAAGGCCAGTTGCATGAGTGATCAGCATAGATATTTATAGGCCTCTTGCATAATTGCAATCAAATAAAAATGTGATTGTACATGCCATTTCCCTTTGGGCTTTGCTAGTCATAAATCCTCTTGGATAATATATTGCTGTGCCCGGGTAACTTTAAGGAAACACTGTTCAAACAGTGAGCAAACACCTACCTGCATCATGCCCTTGATATTATGTAAAAGTGGATCTGGCCACTACCAGGTTGCTTCTGACACTTCATCCCTCTTGGAGAAAAAAATTCACCTAACCCCATTCTTAAATCCAGAAGCAGGGAGAGGGAGGGGAGGGGGCGTTCTGTGAATACCTAACCAGTGCCTGAACAGAGAGGAAGTTATTATTTACCAGGGGAAATGGTGTGCCTACATAAAGTTTAGCTGCTTTAAAAAGAAAGTAGAAACAAAACTGGCAAACTGGAAATAAATGTCATGACTTGATTTAATACTCAAACTAGCGGTTGGACAAAATGCAAGCAGCTTGGTGAGTATTAGTGTCTGTTCCTGGGTGGGCTCTGAGTTGATATAAGGAGAGGGAACTGCAATAACTGAAATGTTGGAGAAGCAGTTAGCCGTTCTCCGTAAAGGGTCTGCCAATCCTGGTTTTCCATGACTTAGCTATGACTGCCGATGAATTCTCAATGCTCGTCACTTCCAGGGATCTTCAGATGTTAAGATGTTTGGGGAAATCACAAAGAGAAGAGACTGTGTTGAGACGCATTCATCCTTAAGCAAAAGCTGAGAGCCTGCAAATGCTGGATGAAAGCTACAACCTTTCTAAAAACCATTAAATATAGACTTTTTCAAAGAGCATCCAACAAAGTAGAATCCTGCTGTCAAGAAAAGCCAAACTTGGGCAATAGGAAAAAGTCACGGGAAAAATAGAGTAGCTCATACAATTACAGAAGTAGAATGATTTAGGGATTTTGAGAGAGTATAATCCAATTATTCTCTAAACTATTCAGGGATCTATTTTAATACTTGATGATCCTGATTCTTGGAGGAAAGTCTCATCTGTGCTTAGTTCTTGTTGGTATTTTTTGTTTACTTGGCAACAATAATAGCAAATTGGTCCTTAAGAGAGAACATAGAGCTCTTCAGGGCCACTGATTAAGAAGGCATATTTTGAAAAAAAAAAAAAAAAGTATTTTCCTGAATAATTTATATACTGAATGTTATTTGCATCAACTGGTTATCTTATTTTTCAATTATGTTTTCGTGCGTACTACTATCTTGTTTACTGATAACATTTAGAACATAGATCTTGAGATTGTTGTCTGACTCTAACCAGAATGTGATTAAAAATTGCAATCATTTGGCTAGTGGTTTGTTCACTTTTAAGTTCATGTAAGTTGAGTGCCATGGTCAGCTGTTAAACATTGCTTCTTCTGGACTTCCTCATCATCCTGGTGCTTGCTTGGTCTGTTTCTATGCATCTTTCCTTCCACAAAGAAGACTAATACTGGCTGGGTGCAGTGGCTCACGCCTGTAATCCCAGCACTTTGGGAGGCCGAGGCGGGCAGATCACCCGAGGTCAGGAGTTCGAGACCAGCCTGGCCAATATGGTGAAACCCTGTTTCTACCAAAAATACAAAACTAAGCCAAGGTGATGGCAGGCACCTGTAATCCCAGCTACCTGGGAGGCTGAGGCATGAGAATCGCTTGAATCCGGGAGGCGGAAGTTGCAGGGAGCTGAGATCAAGCCACTGCACTCCAGCCTGGGCAACAGAACAAGACTCCGTCTCAAAATCAAAACAAAACAAAAAAACGAAAAAGACAAATACTCTATTTTCTCATTTGATCATCAATTTTGAGATTCCAATCCCTCTTTCTCTATATCCAAATCACCTTGGCTTCTGATCTTATCCTCCAAGATCTTGGCAGCTTTCCAACAACTTTTTGCATCTACTTAATGAAATATTGTTCTATTTTCCACTTTATGGATAAAGTTATTAAATGGTATGGAGTTTATTATGCTCTCTTGGGCTGTCAGTAACCCTCTGAGCTTTGTACTTTACGTCTGGTTCTTCAGTTTTACATTTTAAACAGAAGCTCATAGTTTATTGAAGAGCTTACCATAGTGAATGTAGTTACAAGCCTTGACAATCACCACGTGATCTATTGCCTCTTCTCATTATGTAAAAACTGCCATGCCATCCTAGAATATATTCTGTAATTCTGTTAGGACTTATCCTAAGACAAATTAGTTACTAGCTAGCATAGGGCAGGACATTATTTTGCAAATTTCTTGTATGATTGCATCCTTTGCAGCAATTTTTTTCTCACAAAGGAGATAAATGTATATGTCTTAAAGTTTTAGTGGTTTTTCTAACTTTAAGGATCAGAAGACTTTCTTATTCTAAGTTACTTATTCATTTTTTATTGAGTGCTAAAATGGTGAATAATATCCTAAAATGTTTTGTTCTATGTTTTTAATTTTTTGAAAAAAATGTAACTATATATACTAGATTTCCATATTTTATATCCTCAAGTCATATTTTTATATAAGTATCAGAATCATTTCACATAAGCACATAAAACAGCCTAATTTTATACTAGCTATTGGGAATATTTTTGGACACACCAAAATTATTTTGACAGGTGAGATGCTTTATTTCCTCTTTAGCCCTATAATTCTTAGTGCAGCCACATTTATGTAAGAGATCTTTAATGAGTTCTTAAATATTTTTATGAATGAATGAGCCTGCAAGCTTAATACCTGTGCTCTATATAGATGACATTTTGTTAGGCCTATGACCTCTCCTGTGTAGGAGTGTGATTTTTGAAAATTAAGTGAGAAGTAGATTTTAAGGATATCTGAAGTTTTCTTTAGGAAACATTATCTACTGCATTTTAGTCACTTACATGAAGTATGTATTTCCAGAAGGCAGAGCTTTTCTTAGGATTAGATCCCATGTGGGTTTCCTTTTGAGAGATTTCCCATATTCCTTCTATTGTAGAGGTTTTAATTATACTTTTTCACTTCTAGTTGAAACCACTTCTGTTTTTTCAGGGTAGATATTAATTCTCTAAGCTAAATTTTTAGCTTTTTGCAAGAAGGACCTATGCCTCGTTTAAGTTTGTATCTTCACTTGATAGCACAATATTTTTTTACATGGAAGACACTCAGAATTTGATAAATGAACAGGCAAGGAACCCCTGCCTCACCCCAACCAGTGTATTACAGTTGGAGCTACCTGCTGGTCGCTCATATGAATATCTGAAAAATGGTGTTTTAATTGTGTTTCAAGTGGTTATTCTCAAGTGACCAAATGTGCAAAGCAGCCATGCAATTTTTCCATCTCTTCTGATTTTCTCCAAGTGATTTTTTTTTTTTAAACTGTAGGGCTCATTCCACATTCCACCCCACTGATCAATTCAATCTATGATCCAGGACCAGTACATGATAGCATCTTTCCCAACAAAATGTTATTCTTCAGTATTTTATCCCACTTGCTTTTTTTCTGTTCTTTCTTTTCTTTCGCTAAAAGTAATTTTACAACAGATATACCCTCCCTCTGTACTATTTAGGTTAAAAAAATCTAAGGTATGTTTAGCATGCTAATAGATGAAGCCACAATTTCTAAATGTGTCTGCATCATCATAGTTGGCTTTAATAGTATTAAAGGCTCTTTTCCATGCTCACTTCCTTTGTCTCCTTAGCTTGTTTGCATGTACAGTAATGATGGTAGCCCTCTGCATTGTTGTAGAATTTCAGACTACAGTATCATTTTGCCTGTACTGCCCAATGTGATTCTCCCATCTACCCAAGAAACTCTATAAGGAGGTCTTTATTATTCAAATATTAATGTAAGAAATGTGAGGTACAGGAAGGTTACGTGATTTTTCTAAAATCACACAGCTAATACATGAAGCCAGAACGGGGGCCCAGGTATTCCTACGTCACAACCTTTTTTTTCTTGTCCCTTAAAGAATGACCAAGGTGGCTGGGTGTGGTGGCTCACGCCTGTAATCCCAGCACTTTGGGAGGCTGAGGTGGGTGGATCACCTGAGGTCAGGAGTTCAACACCAGCCTGACCAACATGGCGAAACCCCATCTCTTAAAACAAAAAAAGGAACCAAGGGGTCTGTGATTTCCTGTTGACAGTCGGTCTCACAGAGTTGTGAATAGGGCAAAATTATTGAAACTTTTGATCCTGGACACCTTCATAAATAAGGTGTGCATTTGAAACATGCAATCTGAGTGCCCTATAATTTTTATCCTAAGTTTTTTTTTTTCAAACATAGATAGTCTCAGTGCATTGTGGAATACTTTTGCCCTCATTGGTGCATTTGAGCTACTGTGCAGGTTTATAATCTTCTCAGTGACTAAGAATGCAGTGTTTTGATCAGCTGTGATATTATCCCTGCCTTGCCGTTCATTGTGAAGACTCCAGATGCGCACACCATATATAATTAACAATAGAAGATATATCTGTTCTCAATACGTCTTTGTCTCCCTTCATCATTTTGCCTTGTCTGTTTTCTTTTGCCAAAAAGCCCATGCTACAATTAAATGTCTTTAGAATAACACAGTGAGAGTATTTCAGTGTAAAGGAACACTGGGGGAAATTTTAGCTAGAAACGTGAAGCTTGCTGTGGGGGTAGAGGGAAAAAAGGCAGAGTGCAGCTTTGACTTGAGGGAAAGGCGATCATTTGCTAGGAACCTTCACCAGCCCAACCGCCAAGCCACCATTTACTCGGGCACAATGGCTGGCTCCCATTTGCAAAGCAGATGTAAATCTGACCCTCCAAAGAAATAACTGGAGGTTGGCATTGTGTCAGGTATAATGCCATGCAGGAAGCCTAGTCCTCAGATGAAAGCAAAATAATACTTAATGAACAACAACAAAAAAATCAAACCCTTTGTGTGTTGGGGACTACTGAACAGTTAAATGTTACCTTGACTTCTGAGTAGGAGCCATTCAGAGTACAACGAAGCTAAGAATTCATTCAGCGTCATTGGGACTGACAGCCCTTCAGATATGATCCTTGTTAAACAAGCACCCTGTGGCAAAACTTCAGAAGGCCACCTAGTCTTTCTGCTTCTAAAACTCAACATGAAAAACGGGTTGACATTTGGTGAAAAGACTACAGCTTATGAGCTCCGGATATAGTCAAAGCAGCTCCAAAGAGCAGAGTAGAAGACAAAACGTGGTTGAGAGGAACTCCCCTCTAAAGAGTAAACCAGGGGCAGAGCGTGTCCTGGATATGCACGGGAACCCAAGGTGCAGCCACCAAAGAGGGACGGTCTATAGGATGTTGACATCTTAAACGTTCAACCCGTTTCTAATTATCCTTGTCCTTGTCCTAAATTAGCATGTTCTCCATTGCCCAGACAGACCCACGCACCGACGTTGTGATCCATAAATTAAGTTAGCAACCATAGTAAGATAATTTGCCAATAATAACTTTTCACAGTTTCCTGCAGCATCAAAGTACAATCAACATGTCAGGTTCTGTTCTGCTGTGAGAGGAGAGAAACCTGTGAAAATGAGTTGGAGGTGGGGAAAGACAGATGACTGCGGTTTTCTTTGTAACAACAAGAAAACAACTCCCGCCCTCTACCTCCCACTGCTACGTTTGGTCCAGAGCCTCCAAGCAGGGACTTGTTTGGGCTAATGAAGGCCTTTTCCCATCTGGGACATTTGTTTTCATAGCAGAGGCGGCTGTTAATCAGCGTATTCCAAAAAAGCCAACGTGCTCCCCAGTTTGAGCGTGTGTTTCTGTCGCCCTGCTGCTGGGATTGTAATGGGATTTTCACAGCTGAAGAAGGCAGAGCCCCTCTTCACCAGCCCCTGCTTCCTGCCTTCAGGAAAAGGCATTTGTGAATGATTCTACATGACAGCAACATGTGCTTGACTTGAGGTCTGGTAATTGTTTTCACACTAATTTTTACTTGTGAATATCCCCTCTCCCCCGAGTCAGGCGAGTTTTTGAAGATAGATGCTAGATAGATAGATGATTGACTGACAGATAGATAGATAGATAGATAGATAGATAGATAGATAGATAGATAGACAGACAGACAGATAAAGAGATCTCCTGTGTTTCTATTTTTCAGGCATAAATAAATTTACTAAGAAGCTTCGAAATCCCTATTCCATCGACAATAATGAGCTACTAGACTTCCTCTCTAGGGTACCGTCTGATGTTCAAAAGGTATGTAATGAATGGTTACCACCAACAGTGGCCCCAACCTGAAATCTGGCCAGCCCCGGAGCCAGAGGAACACAAGGCTTTGCTTGTGTGAGTAATTGAGATAAGGAACCAGAAAATCCTTAAAGAGGCCTGGCTTGCAGAGAAGTGGCAGAAAAATCTTTGTCCAAAGCATGAGGTGATTGGGGGAAATTGTTTTGAAAAAGAGCTACTTAAGTATGATCTGGAACTCACACTGTGTGGCTACTGGGCACTGATGCTTGTCCCCTTTCGATTGCTTGCCTCCCTAAAGAGGATAAGATGGGCTCAGTGAGTAGAATTGCATGAGATCCAAACCCAGGGAGTGTTGCTTATTTTCTTCTTCCGGGTGGCAAGCATTTTAGGGGAAGTAGGGGACAAAAGGATTATTCTTTTTATTCTCATTTGCCCTGATTTATCTCCTAGGCCTCCCTTCTATCGTCTTCCCTCTGAAGACTTAGGGATGCTGAGAATGCAGCCCCCATTTACTGTAATACACAAAGAGGCAGAGGCAGTGTGAAATAATGTGAGATCAATCAGAAGTATTATTCACAGATAATGGTCACCTAGTCCAGCAGTGTCCTGTTTCTGTGGATACACAGAGATTAACGAAGGCAACAATACTAGAAAGTCGTGTAGAGTAGCTCGATCCTGGCCCCTGTGGATCAGCCTGCTATAAATCCAGAGGAAGGAGGGCAGGCGGCAGTTTCTCTAATGGAGAACAGAGATCACTGAATAGGTAGATGGGGAGACCATGGCGTGAAATATCATCAAGATGATCAAAGACACAATCCTTTAATATCTCAGAGAATCCCAAATCAAATATCGATTTTCATATTTGAGCCACTGTAGCATAATTGGTTCCCTGGCAGCTCAGGGAGGATTTCAAAGATCTGGGGCGGAAAAGCCTTAGAGTTTCTTTCCCCTTCATTCCGAGTTCTAGAAATTAAAATGGACTCTGTGATGCTATCTTCCTTTAAAATTCATTTCATAATTAGCTGTGAAAACACATTCTAGAAAGATGAATTTACTCTTTAACATTTGTATTACTTAATTAAAAAATAATAACCCGGCCCCTGTTTGTTTTGCATTGAAGATTGACAGGTATGTCATCCTCTGCTCCCTTAGGGCACCTTCGCAAAACACCATAAGGAATGGGGTGTTTTCTTCATTTATCTGCCTCTGACAAAGTACAGCCTGACTTCTGTGATCAGGCATAATGTCCTTGGGGAATTTGTCACAAATGCTAAAAATAGGGAGCACATGTGGTCTGTAATACAATGTTTTAAATAAAGCCATTCCACCAGCAGCCTATCAAAGCCCACACACCAAAGCAATATATTTGCAACGTACCATCACTTGGGTCGCAGTGTGAGTTCACACTGTATCCTTGAAGAACAGAAATTTCCCTCAAGCCCCCAAGGATTCTCTGTGCAGAGTCCAGTCACTAGCCCTCAAAGTGGCCATTCCAGTTGGAGATGGCATGAACACAGAGAGATGCAGCAAAAGAACATTCCAGGAAGATGTACAGTATGCTAGTAAGATCCTCCGTGTATCGCCAAGGGCGCTTTCTAATAACACAGTGACAGTTTGCCACTGGGGACTCCCAAGTACTCATATTTATCACAGATGTTTTAGTCATTACATTGCAAATGAAATTAATTTCCACGAGAAATCTATATAAAAGTCTGGGGTCCAGTATCAATTTCAGCATTTTTTCCTCTCAGGCAAAGTAAATGTGTATAATTTTCCGAGATGTTTTCCCCAAGATTTTAGATATTTTTAAACGAATAATCCTCAGTAAGTTGCTGTATCATATACTAAGATAAACATTCCCAAGAGGCAGTTATTAAGCTTACTTATGGTTGAAAACTGGCACACACAAAACGAACATCATCTAGCAGTGCCCAGCGAAGGTAGAAACCCACGCATCTCATTAGAAAAATCTGCTTTTAATATTTTGGTTTCAAGAAATGATGCATGACTTCTCAAATCCTTCCTGCAATTAATCCCTCCATGTTCCTGTGTTTAGAAAATGATTCATTACCTTTGAACCTTCCTTCCTTTGCCTTCGGTTGTCCTTGGGGAGCCATTAGCACACACTGTGGCGAGCTAGGGTTACCTAACCGCCAGCATCACGGCTATTTGTTTTCACAGGTGCAGTATGCAGAATTGAAACTCTGCAGCAGCCACAGCCCCCTGCGGAAGAAGCGCAGCGCTCTCTAGGGCACACACCGACTTTGGACAGCAGCACCCAATATTGTGTTTGGTTGAGTAGACCAATGTTATGGCTGTTTCAGTGGTACCCAAGGTGTCCTTCTGAAATGCATGCCCTGTGGCACCCTCTGTATACTTCCTCCTCCTTCACGTGCACAGACATACACACATGTGCACACACCCTCATGCATGGGTGTCCTAGTTGCGTAGAGGGTCAGCCCAGCGAAAAGCAACAACCCCAAGACTGTGAAAGACTAACATCCATTCTGAAATAGGAGATAACAAGGCTGCCATGGATCTGAACACCACCTTCCTTGAGAACAGCCAGGAGCCCACTTGGATTCAAGAGTGACTTTGAACTTGTTTTCACACCTCCAACAGACTCTCATTAAGATTCAGTTATTTCCGCTCCCCAGCCCCACACTCCTTTCAGATTATCGTTCATGGGCGTAAGTCTCTTCTCAGAGTTAACAAGTCTTTGGTAGTCATCCTCTGTCCAAATATTGTATATTATTAAAAGGCATTTTTAATAATTACCAGAATTAGCTCAAACCTTTAGGGATCTTTCAGCCATGATTATTAAGGATATGTATGTGAATTTTTGGGAAACCTCTCGGTGCTGGATGCCAGCCTACAGCAGGGTCCATTGCTGGCAATGGATGGCCCAGGAAGGTCCCTAGAGATCACTCACTTGAAAAATGAGGGTCCCATGAAAGTATTTGGTTGCCTTCTGATGCCACTTCTTCTCACTTTACTTTTTGCTTATTTTCAAAATATTATAAAATGTCAACATATAATTTCAGAAAGGCAGGTGGGGGTAGGGGAGAAATGAATGAATAAATTCTCTAGGTATTTAGAAAGATAAGAAACTGAAGACCGAGAGACTAATAAGGCTGCTTACCTAATTATTATAATCATTTCATTTGCCTGAATGTTTTAAGCAGGAAGTAGAAATACTTTGGCTGCCCAAATGTATCTTTTGTTCCTCTTAGAAGTAAAATAAGCTACATACAATAAAAATTTATTTCAGAACCCCATTTCTAGAAAATACCACCCCAGAGTCCTCATTTGATAGCATCTGTCTCCTGCAGACCTCATCATTCCACAGTATTTCCCTGCCATGTAAAAATCCTGACTTTGTGCGTATATAAAATGTATGCAATTAAGTCTGTTTAAATGATATTTAAGTTTTAAAGACTGTATTTTGTTGACACATACTTTGTGCAGTTTTTATGTATGTATGTATTATAAAAAAAGTTAAGGTTAAAAAGATCTCATTTAATAGTGAGTTCACTATTTTTTTTTTTTTGTCTCTGGGTTGTAATTTAATAATCTTCAAACAAAATGTTTACGAAAAATGCCAAAGATTCTAAATCTTATCATCCCGTGTCTGTTTTTCTTCATGTTGTATCTCACTGGGTTGCTTTCTGGCTGAGCCAGAATTCTGCATGATTTGATTTACTTCAAGTTAATGAAGCTGGCTGGAAAAGAGCCTTGCAGAAATTATAAAAGCTCCAGTAAATCTCGTAGTTGTACATACAATAGATACCCAAGAACCTCTTTTGTTAAACCAGTTACTCAATCTTCTGTGTAAACAATGCCTCATTGTCTTGCTTCTAACTATCATCTAGTTTATCATAGTCTGTCATTTTGTAACGACCTAAGTCAGACATTTTTAAACAGACATGTGAGATCTGATCAGTCATTTGAATGAAAACTTTCAGCAGCAAAATAACCCCTTATTTATTTAAAAGTGGAACCAATACTTTATTGTTGTTCTTTTGCTATAGAATTTCAAAATGAAATTATTTGCCCGACAAGAAGGCATCATTAGTTAGACTTGTTTCCTCTGTAGCCCGATTGAAATTCTCAGTGTTAAGTTTAGGACCCAAACACCAGCTGGGACGTAAGAGCAGGACCGAATCAACCTTGAATAAACTGTATATAGAAAACAATTGTTAGTTGATTAAGTAGACATTGGATGTTTGTTAGAAAGGAATGTTAGTTGTAAGTGACATGTTAAGATTTATACAATTGTCAAAAACTTTTAGGAAAGATTCCAGAATGCTTTTGATAAAATTTATCGATTGTGGATTCACAGTGTGATAATTAAGTAGGGATGTTGAAGTCTTGCCAAGTTTTCCTGGTTCCCTTCTCAAACTTTATCTTCCCATTTCTAGCCCTGTCTCTCTATCTTACAGGCATCTACACCTCAGCAAGTCAGAAACTAAACATCATCTGTCTCTCCCTGTCTTCAGAACCCCAACCCTCATAATCTCCTTCCAGCTTCCTTATTTCCCTTACCAGGACTGGCATTTTCTGGGCTTGGAATTTCTCGGTCATCCTCTTTTTTTTTGTTCCTCGTGCTGTTGTCCTCGTCTCCCAACCCCTAAAGCCTAGTAGGTCCAGTGTCAATGCATTAACCACTTCTGTTCTGATTTCCACCACCCAAGTGGAGGCCTTCATAACCTCTCAGACGTCACGGCCATGATGCCAGTTACATTATGCCTAGTTAATCTTCATTCAGACTGGAAGGACCTGCCCCCAGTTGTTTCTTTCTGAATAGATTCTACTCTCCTTCAACACTTCCAAAGTCTCCTGCCCCAAAGAGGCTTAGTTAGTCCTGTGGCTGGATGTGACTCCAACTTCCTTTTTTGTACCATCACATCTTTCATATCTTTCTGGCATCTGCCATACATCATAAGAGGCTTTGACCACTGTCCTCCACTGAATAGCCCATTACAGCTAGCACCTAATAGTTACTCAGGAAATAAATACATGTTTAACAGGCCAGGTCGTAGAGATTATTTTTCTTTCTCTGCCTTTTCATGTGCTGCTTTCAGAACAGAGGGCTGGATTGGATAGATTAGTATGATCTATCCTGGAGATTCATTTCTTGCATTAAGAGCTTATTTTGTGTGATATTATTTATAATCCCTGACTATGTCAATTATAAACTTTTAAATTATGTCTTATATTTGAAGTTCTTACCTACATATCAGAGGAAAATATAATGTTTATTTCTAGGTGGTAAAACAATCTTCTGGATTCTTTTTTCTTTACTTGTAAATTATCATTTAACAAGTCTATATTGAATGCCGATAATTTTCTGGAACAAAACAGACTACATTCCCTTGGTAAAGCCAGACATTAAACAGATACTTTCAAGCAACAGCATGCCATGCTCAGATTTAAGTTTGAAAAATATTCTAGCTGCAATGGATAGCCTAGCAATTTTCAAAGTTTAGAGAAGTTATTAATATTAGCCCTTTGTAGTACTCCTGATAAATGAATAACACCCTGGACTTTCAAATAGTGGCACTGGGAAAAAAGTAAGTAGAATTGAGAGATGGTGAAGAGATAAAGTGAGCAGGACTTAACAATTGCTGGACTATGGGATGAGGGAGCGTAGAGTCAAGGATGGCTCTCAGTCCCTAGGTCTCCAGGTCTAGGAAGATGGTGTTACCTTTCACTAAGGGAGAGAACTGTAAGAACTGCTGTGAGAGGACCACAGGAGTCCAGTTTTAGCGCTGAATCTCAGGTGACTGAAAAGCATCCAAATAGGAATGTCAGCAAGGTAATGGAATATATAGTTCTCAGAGAAGTAACACACTGTACTTGAGATGTACACAAGTTAAAGGCAAACATTGTATATGAAAAGTGATCAAAACTACATGCTTCAAGAAATTAAACCTTGAAGAACTCAACAGTTAATGTCATATATAGAAAGGCAAGTCAGTTAAGAGTGTAAATAGAAACGGGTAAATACAGAGGAGAAAAACAGTAAGCATGGACTGTCCTAGAATTCAGTGGCAGAGCATACTGCAAGAAAGCTGATGTGGTCAATAATATCAAATGCCGCTGAGATCACATAAGTACAGAATCATGACCTTAATGGTTTGACAGTTTGGAAGCACCCTGGCAACAAGCCATTTCAGTGGAATGGTAGAAATGGAAACCACGCTGGGTTGAGAAGTGAGTGGATGTGAAAATATGGGGCCTCTGAATGGAGGTAACCCTTGAAAAATTCCACTGTGGAGAAGAAAGGAGAGAGAGAGGGCTGGAATTTGGAATGAAAGGAGATATTTGGGATTATTTTAGTAAGAAAACAGAGGTGTCATGACCTCAGTGTAACCCTATTAGCTGCAAAAAATTCTTCATGGGCTTGAGATGGAGTTAGCCATATTCATTATTGAAAACTATGTTCTGCACTTATACATTGTTGGTTGGAGTGTAAATTAGTTCAACCGCTGTGGAAGACAGGGTGGGTGTTTCCTCAAAAACCTAAAGACAGAAATACCATTTGACCCAGCAATCCCATAACTGGGTATGTACCCAAAGGAATATAAATTGTTCTACTATAAAAACACATGCACACACATGTTCACTGCAACACTATTTACAATAGCAAAGACACTGGATCAGTCTAAATGCCCATCATTGATAGAATGGATAAAGAAAATGTGGTAGAGGTACACCATGGAATACTATGCAGCCATAAAAAAGAATGAGATCATGTCCTTTTGCAGGAACTTGGATACAGCTGGAGGCCATTATCCTTAGCAAACTAATGCAGCAACAGAAAACCAAATACCACATGTTCTCATTTATAGGTAGGAGTTAAATGATGAGAACACATGGACATGTAGAAGGGAACAAAATACACTGGGGGCTATTGGAGGGTGAAGGGTGAAAGGAGGAAGAGGATCAGGAAAAATAATGAGTACCAGGCTTAATACATGGGCGATGAAATAATCTGTATGACAAGCCTCTCTGACACAGTTTACCTATGTAACAAACCTGCACAGTTACCCCTGAACTTTAAAAAAAACTATGTTCTATCAAAACCTGCCTCTCATTTATGTATTAGGAATCTTGTGACAACGGAACAGTTGAAAAATTAAAATAAAAATTGCCTGAAAATGCATTGAGTAGTAACTGATAATTGAATAAATGCTGAAATCCTGAAGGGTGACTTCTAAAGGAATGGCTTCAAGCATGTTACCTCTGTGTAAAGCCCACAGCTGTTCTGTCCTAGCATTTATGTAATGATTTACACAGGAAAATGGATATTCAAGCACACAAGAATACTAATATTTTATGGCATTTATCAAATGCCAGTTACTTTCTAAGTGTTTTAGATATAATTGCTCATTCAAAATAATTCTAAAAACTGAAATTTCTCCAAATACTTATAGGAAAAAAAAAAAACCTGTCGCTCTTATACAAACTCTTCTAGACAATAACAAAAGAAAAAAAACCACTTTCTTAAGCATTTTATGAGGCCAACATAACTCTCCTTCAAAACCAACTAAGTTCTACCAGAATGGAAAACTACTTAAGAAAATCCCTTATGAAGATACAAAATTGTGAAAGATATACAGAAGTCTTTACACTGAAAACATCAGTGAGGCTTCCAGATACTTGACCAGACAATAATGAGTAGATAATCACAGTTCACATATATAAGAGAGAATGCTGGAATTCTACAGATAAGTGACAGGAAACACCTAAAGCAAGGAAGGGAAAGAAAGCAATACAGTCTGTTCAGGTGGGATAGGCTAGGAGCCAGGAAAGGCTTCCCAGTATGAGAAAAGAGTAAGTGGGTGACTCCTAGTGATCAACGTTCCCACTACAGACTCCCACATTCCAGCCATAGGAATGCCCCTAGACTATTGTGAGCCCCCAGACCAACATAGGGAGCTACCTGAAGACCGTGTGACGATACTGCCCCAGAGAGGGAGCACACATAATCCCACACACCCCCAAGTCCTAAGCAGCTACAGCAAGTTGTCACTTGGATATCTCAGCCCTCACCAGACTGCATTCTGTCCTGGGCCCTACAGCCCCTGCATCTTCATATCCCTGGAACCCCAATGACATGCTTCACCTGCAGCCACAACTCCAGCTGCCTGCTACCTGTAGGGCTTAAGTGTGAGCTGTTGGCAGCTACCACACTGCTCCCAACTGTGAAGCTGCTGTGCAGCTTTTAATCACCCTAAGGACAACAAATCCACCAGGTGACAGCCATAGCAGTGGGCTGCCTCAACTGGGGCCAAAGGCAAGTGAAATGTACACTTCCCAGGCACTTGTGTGCCACTGCTGCCATTGAAAGTGACTCTATTCTCCCCTGTACCAGGGGTGCAGTACAGCTGCTGCCACCCCAACATGAACATTCTGGGGCCTGGGGTCACACCGCCCCTGCCTTCCATAGTCAGTGTCTGCAAGCACTACTGAAGGATGTGAGGATGAGTCCACTGGACCTAGCTCTGACCCCCACCCCCTAGTATCAAATCATGGCATCTGGAGGCCTGGGGAGTACTCAGCCCAGTCCACCAATATTGGCACCTGAGCACTCCAACAAGGGCCCTGAAGTTGGGGCCACCCAACCTGCCACTACCATCACAATGAGCACACACACACACACACACACACATACACGTGTCACCTGTGGGCCTGGGGACTGGCCTGCCCAGCCTGTCACAACCACTGCCAACACCACTGTGGAGCTCTTGGGACTCAGAGGTTAGTCCTACCACTACTACTGCTTCACCCATGCCATGCCAACTGCCCAAGTGCCCAAGGACACACTTACCACCAGCCCACGACTGCCACTATCATCACCCAAACAAGCTGCCTGGAGGCCCAAGAATTGGCTGGCTTGGGTCTGCTAGCACAGTGCCAGCATACACTGTCCTAGGGCCCAAGGACAGGCCCATCTGGTGTCCTTTTCACAAGCAAAAGTTCACCACAGCCTTCCCTAATAACCACAACCTAGGCCACTGACGAAAATCACAGACACCAGTGAAGCTATTTAGAGCCAAAGAAATCATGAGAGCTACACTACTGCATACACCCAGAATCAAAGCCAAAGTACCATACCCAACAAACACCACAGACACATCTTCAGGAAAAAGCCCTGCCCTAGGAAAGCAAGTTAAAAAATGGAAAGAAGTGATTGTCATGACAGATGTTCAGATATCAGTGTAAGGACACAAGAAACATGAAAAAAAAAAAAAAAAAAAAAAAGCAAAGATAGTACTTCCAAAGGGACATAAAATCCCAGCAACAGATTAACCAAAAGAAGAAATCTATGAAATCCTGGATAAAGAATTCAAAATACCAATATTAAGAAGCTCAGTTAGATCCAAGAGAATACAGAAAAACAATACAAATAAATCAGAAAAACAAGTTAGTATATGAATGAGAAATTTTCTAGAGATAGATGTCATAAAGAACAAAACAAATTCTGGAACTGAATGATTTATTAAGTAAAATACAAAATACTTTCAATAGCTCAACAATAGACTAGATCAAGAAGAATTTCAAAACTTGAAGACACGTCTTTTAAAATAACACAGACAAAAATAAAAAAAAATTGAGCAAAGCCTACGTGACATATGAGATACCTTATAGTGATCAAATTTTTTGGTGTTCCACAAGACAAAGGGAAAATAAAAAAGTTAGAAAACCTATTTATTGAAATAATAGCTGAAAACACCCTAAGTCTAGGAAGAGATTTAGACATTCAGATACAGAACGTTTAGAGATTCCAAAACACAATGCAAAAAGGTCTTCTCCTCAGCACATTATAATCAAATTGTAGTAAGTGGAAGATCAAGAGAGTACTCTTAAAAACAGCAAGAGAAAAGCATCAAGTGCCTCATAAGGGAACCCTCATCAAACTAACATTGAATTTCTCCTCAGAAATTTAACAGTCCAGGAGAGAATGAGATGATATATTCAAAGTGCTGAAAATAATAATAATCATCATCATCGTCATCATCATCTTTCCAAGCTAAGCAAAAGCTGAGAGAAATCATCACCCTAGACTGGCCTGGCAAGAAATGCTTAAGGGAGTCCTACCTGGGAGGAAAGAGACACCATCTACAATCATGAAAACACATGAAAGTACAGAACTAAATGGTAGCACAAACACAAAAATAAAGAAGAGAAAGGACACAAATATTACCACTACAGACAACTATCAACCCACAATAATAAACATTAATGGAGAAAGAAAGGAACAAATGATATACCAAACAACCAGTAATCAATTAATAAATAACAGGAATAAGCCCTCACATATCAGTAATATCTTTGAATGTAAATAGATTAAACTTTACACTTACAGGATATAGACTGGCAGAATGTATTTTTAAAATGACCAATTATATGCTGCCTATAAGAAATAAGAAGCCTGCAGAAAAGAAACTTACTACAGAGGAAAAGAAGCCTGCTGCATAAACTCTTAAATTTGATTATTCCATAAAGGTCAAATCATCATGGACAGCTTCTTTTGAATAAAGACCTGATTATACAGGCAAAAAAAAAAAAAAAGAAATCTATCTCAACTGTAAAGACACATACAGACTGAAAGTAAAGGGATAGAAAAAGACATTGCATTCCATGTAAACAGAAACCAGAACCAAAGGAGTGCCTATACTTATATTAGATAAAACAGACTTTAAATCCAAATTTATTAAAGGAGACAAAGAAGGTCATTACATAAAGATCAAGGAATCAATTCAGCAAAAGGAAATAACAATTCTAACTAATTATATATACCCAACACCGGAGCACCCAGATATATAAAGTAAATATTATTAGATCTAAAGGGAGAGATACATTCCAATACAAAAATAGTTCAGGATTTTAACACCACACTTACAGCTTTAGACAGATCATCTAGACAGGAAACTAACAAAGAAACAGTGAATTTAAACCGCATGTTTGAACAAACACACCTAACAGACATTTACAGGACATTTTACACAACAGCCACAGAATACACATTCTTCTCATCAGCACCTGCAACATTCTTCCAGAATAGACCAAAGATTGGGACACAACACAAGTCTCAACACATTTTTAAAACTCATAAATGTATCAAGTATCTTTTCAGACCACAGTGAAATAAAACTAGAAATCAGTAACAGGAAAAACTTGGGTAAATCAGTAACAGGAAAAACTTGGCTAACTACAAATACATAATACTTAAAAAACATGCTCTTGAATGACCACTTGGTTAAGGATGAAATTAAGGAAAAAAATGGAAATAAGTGAAAATTGAAACACAACATACCAAAATCTATGGGATAGAGCAAAAGCAGTGCTAAGAAGAACGCTTATAGCAAAACTTACCTACATAAAAACAAGAAGAAAGATTCCAAATAAATGGTCTAATAGTACCCATCAAAGAACTAGAAAAGTAAGAACAAACTAAACCCAAAATTAGTAGAAGGAAAAAAAATTGTAAAGATTAGAGCAGAAATAAATGAAATTGAGACCAAAAAATACAAAGGACTAGCAAAACCATAAGTTCATTTTTTGAAAAGATAAACAAAATTGATTAACCACTAGCTAGACTAACCAAGAGAAAAAGACCCAAATAAATAAAATCAGAAATGAAAAAGGAGACATTACAACTGATACCAGGATAGCATTAGGAGATATACCTAATGTTAAATGACAAGTTAATGGGTGCAGCACACCAACATGGTGCATGTATACATATGTAACTAACCTGCACATTGTGTACGTGTACCCTAAAACAAAGTATAATAATAAAAAAAGAATATAATTGAGTACACACACAAAAAAGAAATAATAAAAATCATCAGAGACTATTATGAACAACTATACATTAACAATCTAGAAAGCCTAGAGAAAATTAAAAAATTCCAGGACACATGACCTTCCAAGATTCAATCCAGAAGAAATAGACAGCCCAAATAAACCAAAAGGATTAATGAGATTGAATCAGTAATACAAAATCTCCCAACACATTCCAGGCCTGCCTTACCTCACTGCCAGATTCTACCAAATTTTCAAAGAAGAGCTAATACTAATTCTCCTCAAGCTATTCCAAAAAAAATTGAAGAGGAGCAAATTCTCCCTAACTCATTCTATGAGGCTAGCATTACCCTGGTACAAAACTACAGACCACTATCTATGAAGAACATAGATGCAAAAATCCTAAACAAAATACTACCAAACCAAACCCAACAGCACAGCAAAAAGATAATACACCAAGATCAAGCAGAATTTATCTGAGGGGAGCATGAATTGTTCAACCTAAGCAAATCAATACATGTGATACATCAACAGATTGAAGGATAGAAACCATATTATCTCATTAGATGCAGAAAAAGCATTTGATAACATACAACATTCCTTGTTGAATATTGAGATTTTGCAACATTTGATAAAAACTCTCAGTGAACTAGTCATTTAAGGATCATGTCTGAACATAATAAGGGCCATATATGACACACCCACTGCTAATGTTATAATGAATGGGAAAAAGCTGAAAACCTTCTCCGTAAGAACCAGAACAAGACAAGGATACCACATTCAGCACTTCTATTTAACATAATTCTGGAAATTCTTGCCAGAGAAATCTGGCAAGAGAAACAAATAAAAATCATCCAAATTGGAAAAGAAAAGTCAAATTATCCCTCGTTGCTGATGATTTGAGATTTCACATCAAGAAAACCTTAAAGAGTCTACCAAAAAAACTTCTTAGATATGATAAATAAATTCAGTAAAGTTGCAGGATGCAAAATCAACATACAAAAATTAGTAGCATTTCTATGAACCAAGAATGAACTCCCTGCTAAAGAAATTAAGAAGGCAATTCCATTTGCAATAGCTACCCCAAAAAAATCTGGGAAGAAATTTAATCCAAGAGTTGAAAGACTTCTATCAGGAAAACTCTAAAACACTGATAAAAGAAATTGAAGAGTACACAAATAGAAAGACAACCTATGCTCAATAAATTCAAAAAATTAATATCATTAAAATGACCATTCTGCCCAAAGCAAACTGCAGATTGAATGCAATCCCTATCAAAGTACTGATGTCATATTTTACAGAGATAGAAAAAACAACCCTAGTATTTATATGGAACCACAAAATGAGCCCAAATAATAAAAACAATCCTGAGCAAAAAGAACAAAGGTGAAAGCATGACTCTTCCTGACTTCAAAATATATTATGAGACTAAAGTAACTATAACAGCATGGTGTTGCTATCATAACAGACACATAGACCAATGTAGCAGAATAGAGAATCCAGAAATAAATCCAGGCATTCACAGCCAACTGATTTTTTTTTTTTGAAAAGCACCAAGAACATACATTAGGGAGTGGACAACTTCTCCAATAAATGGTGCTGGGAAAACTGGATATCTATACGTAAAATAATAAAACTAGACCCCTATCTCTCAACATATATACAAAAATCAATATGAATGAAAGACTTAAGTGTCAGACCTGAAACTATAAAATTGCTAGAAGAAAACGTAGTAAAAACACTTTAGGACATTGGTTAAGGCAAATATTTTGTGACTAAAGCCTCAAAAGCACAGGCAGCAAAAGCAAAATAGACAAATGAGATTCCATTAAACCAAAAAGCTTTTTCACAGCAAAGGAAACAATAACAGACTGAAGAGACAATGTGTTGAATGAGAGAAAATATTTGCAACTTCAGCCAGGGGCCATGGCTCATGCCTGTAACCGAAGCACTTTGTGAGGCTGAGGTGGGAGGATTGCTTGAGTCCAGGAGTTCGAGACCAAACCAGCCTGGGCAACACAAAGACATCTCATATCTACAAAAATTACAAAAATTAGCCAGGTGTGGTGGTGCACACCTGTAATCCTGGCTACTTGGGAGGCTGAAGCAGGAGGATCACTTGAGCCTGGGAGGTCTAGGTTGCAATGAGCCAAGATCATGCCACTGAACTTCAGCCTGGGAGATGAAGCAAGATCCTGTCTCAAAACAACAACAACAACAAAAACAACTAACAAGTATTTGCAATTTCTTCATCCAACAGGGGACTAATATCCAGAATATATAAGAATCTCAAACAATTCGACAGCAAAAAAAAAAAAAATCTCATTAAAAAGTGGGCAAAGAAAATGAACAGACATTTTTCAAAGGAAGATACACAGTCTCAAAGGAAGATACACAAGTGGTATTTTCATTTACCAAGAGGTATATGATAAAATGCTCAACAGCACTAATTATGAAGGAAATTCAGATAAAAACTGTAAGGAGACATCATTGTGCTCCACTTAGATTGGCTTTTATGTAAAAGACAAAAAAAAAAAAAATAACAGATGCTGGTAAGGATGCAGAGTAAAGGAAGCCCATACACTGTTAGTGGGAATGTAAATTAGTACAGTCACTATGGAAAACAGTATGGAGATTTATCAGAAAACTAAAAATAAAACTACCATATGATCCAGCAATCCCTCTATTGGGTATTTATCCAAAGGAAAAGAAATCAATATATCAAAAAAGATACCTGCAATTCAATGTTTATTGCAGCACAATTCACAATAGCAAAGATATGGAATCAACGTAAGTGTTCATCAACAGATAAATTGATAAAGAACATGTGGTATATATGCACAATGGAATATTATTCTGCCATATAAAAGAATAAAATCATGTCATCAGCAGCAACATAGATGGAACTAGAGGTCATTATGTTAAGGGAAATAAGCCAAGCACAAAAAGACATATATCCTATGTTCTCACTCATATGCGGGAGCTAAAAAAGGTTATCTCATCAAGGTAGAGAATAAATGATAGGTACCACAGGCTGGAATGGGTCTGTGGGAGAGGGGATGGGAATCAAGAGATTTTGCTTAATGGGTACAAACATGCAGTTACAAAGATGAAATAAGTTATGTTTGATAGCAGAGTAGGATGACTATAGTTAACAATGTATTGTACATTTCAAAATAGCTAGAAGACTTGAATTGTTCAATGATAAATACTTGAGGTGACAGACACACCAAACAGCCTGACTTAATCTTTATTCAGGCTATAATGTAACAAAATATCACATGGATCCCATGTAAAAAGTTTTGTATCAATAAAAAATAGTTTTCTCTGTACCTTAGTTGGATAATTTGTTTAATTAATGAAAGAAGATAAATAACTGAAGGGATTCATGAATTAGAAAATTCAGTATATTAAAATGTGAATAGATTTTATGTAATCCCAATAAAAATTATAAGGTTTCTTTGCAGAAATTGATCCACTGATTCTAAAATTATGTGGAAATGTAAAAGTCTAAGAATAGTCAAAGTAATATTGTGAAGGATTAACATTAAGATATTAAGATGTATTATAAAGCTATTGTAACTAAGACAATGTGGTATTGACACAAGGATAGACAGATCATAGAAGTTAGAAAAGACCAGAAGCAGACCCACACATATTTGGTAAACTATAACCTTAATTCATATCAAAGGTAACACATTTGCAGTGTAAGGGAAAAGACCTTTTTGGAAAACTGTGCTGTATTCCTCACCGGAATAGACACCTACTCCAGGTATAAGTTTGCCTATCCTGCACACAGTGCTTCTGCCAAGACTATCATCGTGGACTAACAGAATGCCTTATCCACCATCATGGTATTCCACACAGCATTGCCTCTGAAGGCACTCACTTTACAGCTAAAGAAGTGCAGCAGTGGACTCATGCTCCTGGAATTCACTGGTTTTACCATGTTCCCTATCATCCTGAAGCAGCTGGATTGATAGAATGGTGGAATGGCCATTTGAAGTCACAATTAGCTGACTACACAACTAGCCAACTAGCTGACAACACTTTGCAGGGCTGGGGCAAAATTCTCCAGAAGGCTGTGTATGCCCTGAATCAGCATCCAATATATGGTACTGTTTCTCCCATTGCAAGGATTCACGGTCCAGGAATCAAGGGTGGAAGTGAAAGTGGCACCACTCACCATCACCCCTAGTGACCCACTAGCAAAATTCTTGCTTCCTGTTGCCCCGACATTACGTTCTGCTGGCCTAGGGATCTTAGTTCTAGAGGGAGGAATGCTGCCACTAGGAGACATAACAATTCCATTAAACTGGATGTTAACATTGCCACCTGGACACTTTGGGATCCCCCACCTCTAAGTCTACAGGCTAAGAAGGGAGTTACAATGTTGGCTGGGGTGATTGACCTGGACTATCAAGATGAAATCAGTCTACTACTCCACAATGAAAGTAAGGAAGAATGTGTGGAATACAGGAGATCCCTTAGGGTGTCTCTTAGTATTATCATGCCCTGTGATTAAGGTCAATGGGAAACTACAACGACCCAATCCAGGCAGGAATACAAATAGCCCAGACCCTTCAGGAATGATGGTTTGGGTCACTCCACCAGGTGAAAAACCATGACCTGCTAAGGTGCTTGTTGAAAGCAAAAGGAATACAGAATGGATAGTTGAAGAAGGTAGTCATCAATACCAGCTACGACCACTTGACCAGTTGCAGAAACGAGAACTGTAATTGTCATTGGTATTTGGATTTCCTCCTTATTTTGTTAAGAACTTGTTTGTGCATGTATACACTTGTACTAAGAAAACATCTTCGTTTTCTTTTTCCTTTATCCTGTTACACAAGATTTATTGACTTCATATCAGCATGTAAGTGTTGTTAGCTTTATGTAATAGCATTTAGGTTAAGGAGTAGTGCACTTCCAGTTGTACAAAGGATAGCTGTATTATGTTAGGTGTAATTCTACCTTTATTATTGTCTTTTATTGAAGAATATGGATGATTTCAGGAGATGTGTATGGGTTCAAGTTGACAAGAGGTGGGCTTGTGATGGTTAAGTGTCAACTTGATTGGACTGAAGAATGCAAAGTATTGTTCCTGGGTGTGTCTGTGAGGGTGTTGCCAAAGGAGTTTAACATTTGAGTCAGTGGACTGGGAGAGGCAGACACACCCTCAATCAGGGTGGGCACCATCTAATCCACTGGCAGTATTTATACATGAAAAGAATGATCAAATTACCTCTTTTACATTTTAAACGTATATCCAAAAATCAAACAAACATTTAGATTCTCTAAGGGTTGAGGGCCATTTAAAACAACCCAGTGCAGAAAGTTCTTCATGTTTTTGCATTTGAATATTCAATCCTCATTTTCACACAAGTCATTCACCATTTTTAGAAGATTCTTATTATCAGGAGTAGTAAAATGACTTCCTGTAACTGATTACCTACTGAAGCATTAAAACATTGCTTTACAAAAATAATAACAATAATAATAATAATATAGCTTTACAACAGCAAACTGGCTCATAAAATCTCAGAATCTGATGTTCCAGAAAGTTTTATTATTTTTACAGGTTATACCTATATTCACTAGTGTGGCACCCTGAAACTGCATCTCTTACATGAGTAATTATTTTTTTTCTTTTTCTCACAATAAAGCTTGTAGAGCAAAAAGGTATAGGATATTTGAGTATTTGAGGAAGGCTATGTATTTCTTTCTCCCATAGGAAAACAGAGAGGGAGATATACACACACACACACTTACACATATATTCATATGTTTCTGTGTAATTTCAGATATTTCTAAAAATCAATTCGTAGACTCCAATTAAGAACCCAAGAACCTGCGTTTTCAGGAGAAATAGTCAGTTTTCTTCTTGCTGCATTGGAAATCTCCATGTGAAGAATTTATTTTGCTAGGAGCCCAATGTCAGCAGCCTGCTCAGTGCCAGAATTCAATTAATTAATCAGTCAGTTCAGCTTTTCTCTAGGAAGGTTTTTTATAATATTCTTTATGGCTGAGAAATCCTCAGATTTCAGTTTTTCATTCCTTTAATTTATTATTATAATACATACAAGTTTCTCTTCTCTACATATTCTCATTATTAGGTCAAAATAACTGGTTGGAAAGGTAAAAGCAAATTAATCATTTGTTTAGCTGCATAGTAAGTAGCTGGCATAACTGACTTAGCATGCATCCACCAGATAATTTATGATTTAAATAGTTTTAAATCCCTGACGCGTTTATGTTTGGTTGGTTGGTTGGTTGAGATAGGGTCTTGCTTTATCCCTGAGGCTGTAGTGCAGTGGCAAGATCATGACTCACTGCAGCCTCAAACTCCTGGGCTCCAGTGATCCTCCCACCTCAGCTTTCCAAATAGTTGGGAATATTGGTGCATGCAACCACACCCGGCTTTTTTTTTTTTTTCTTTTTTTGTAAAAACAAGTTCTTGTTATGTTGCTCAGGCTTGTCTCAAATTCCTGGCCTCGAAGGATTCTCCCACCTTGGCCTCCCAAAACACTGGTGGTTCTTTTTCTTTTTAACCCCCAAAAGGCCTACACAAGCGGGAGAAGTAGTTCAGCAAAGAAAGGTTAACAGGGACAAATGGAACATTATAGGCTCAGTTAAAGGAGAAAGCAGAGGCATGGATAATCTGCATTTAATGTGTGCTGCATGTTGGGCTCAGCTCAGGTAGAAATTGGAGGTACTGGACTAGGATACGGTATAAGTGGAAGACAGAGTTAGACAGCAATGGCCAGGCATAGGTTCTCTTGTCATGCAGAGAGTCATAAATTTAAGTTTCTTAATTTATAGCAGCATATTTGCTTGTAAGACTTGGGGCCCTGTTACAAACATGCCATTTTTTTGCCACCATTTATTATGGCCATTTATATTTAAGGCACTTTTAAATCATAGTTTCAGTCAATTAAAAATATTTTGCATCATTAACATAGTCTATCTGGGTTTAAGGTTTTGATCTGTGCTCTAATTCTTGATTTTACGTGAACCACTTCAAAAGAGTCATGGTTGCAGGGGTTGCCAGAATACTCTCAGGTTTGAGCAATTTTTGAATGATTGATTTTTGAATGAGGAGGTTTTCTGACAGTCTTTTCCCTTGCTTCTTATAAACAGTTATTTGTTCACACTGTCCATTTGTATCTAGCATTCACATTGGCTGCTCATGTGAAAGATTTCCAAAATGGTGTCTCATTCATTTTAATAATTAATACCCTTTCCTCCTAACCCTTATTTTTCATCTAGATTTAGGTTATTCATAGTTTGGTGGGAATATGCATGAATGCAATTCCATGTGTCTTAAAACTTCCCATTCAGTATTAAACTTTGGTAACTTCATACTTCTCTCCCAATGCCCTGATAAACTATAAAATTGCAACCTTAGTTGATCTGTTTCACCCACTTTCTTTTTCGGCTTCTATTTTCTACTTTAGAGGCAATAAAACTTTTACATGTTTTATAAGATGCATTTGAAAAGAGAGCAAAACTCAGAGTTCTGGTTGACCTCAAATTTGGACTATGTGGAAATGACCAGTTCTCCTTTCTTCAACAGCATTTCCTTAGCATTTGTTACTGGCTTGGAGTTTGGTGAGTACAGTGACCTGGAACCAGAAAAAATAGAGGTTCGAATTTAAACTTTGATGCTATGGTACTAACTTACTGTCTTTGGGTGACCCACTTATCATCCTGGAATCCCATTTTCTTCATTTCTAGAGTGGAAATAATAGCACCTAAATTATGGGGGTTTTGAATAAAGATTACAAATACTCAACACTGTGTCATGCACATTCTGCTCCCTTTTACTGATTTGTAGTACATATATATATATATATATATATATATATATATATATGTGTCTGTGTATATAACATATATTCTTTAAACTATATGTAATAGATATATAATTATATATACTGTCTCCAGTTATAGATATACACATAGAGAGAGAAAACTATACAAGTCATAATTGTGCACCCTAATAAATTTTCATAGATTGAATGGTCTCCTGAAACTAGCACCTAGATCAAGAAACTTAACTTTACCAGCACCCCAGAAGCCACTCCTATGTTTCCTTGCAAGTTACTACCTGCTATGATCTGTTTGTGTCCCCCAAATTCATATGCTGAAATTCTAACACCCAAGGTGATGGTACTAGGAGGTGGAGTCTTCAAGAAGTAATTAGGTTATGGGAGTGGAATCCTTATGAATGGAATTAGATCCTTTATGAAAGAGGTCTGAGAGAGACCCCTTAATCCTACCACAACATGAGGTTAGAATGAGAAGGCAGCTTTCTAAGAGGAAGAAAGCCCTTACCAGATACCTCATCTGCTGGTGCCTTGATCTTAGACTCCCCAGCCTCCAAAACTGTGAGAAATAACTTTGTTATTTGTAAGCCACCCAGTCGATTTTATTTCTTCTAGCTCCCTAAATGGACTAAGACACTAACCCTTCAAAGGTAATATCAGAGATTCTTAAACCTGGCACTGTGGACGTCTTGGGCCAGGCAATTCTTTGTTGTGGAGTAATGGGACACACAATGTTGTAGAGATGTTTACCAGCATCCCTGGTCTCTACCAACTAGACACCAGTAGTACCCTCTCCACCAAATCATGACAATAAATAAAGTCTCTAGATATTGCTGAATATTCCCTGGGGTTAACGGGGTAGTAGGTAAAGTTGCCCCCAGTGAAGAATACTAGTATATACTGTTCTTTATGCAACAAGAACCTAAAAGCCAAAGGGTGTCCCCTATGTGACTATCACATAGTCTTATCCGTCTTCTCTCCTCTTTGGTGACTTACCAGCAGTAGCTGCTGTTGAGAGCAACTTCTGAGTACAATCTACTACCAAGTGGGTTCATTGCCCAGTAGTTCGGAAATCCAGGTCATCCCTGGACCTGGAGATGCAAATATCTTCCTTCTCATACCATTTTTCCCTAGCTTTTATTATCCCCTACTAGTGGAAGTACAAATTGGTTCACACACTGTCAAAAACTATTGGCAGTACATCTCCAGTTTGTTTTGAATAATTATTTCTGTCTAGCCTTTTCTGAAAAAAGATTTGAAGTAACTTGCAACCCACATGATACGGTTTGGCTCTGTGTCCCCACCCAAATCTCATCTTGAATTGTACTCTCATAATTCCCACATGCTGTGGGAAGGACCTGGTGGGAGATAATTGAACTCATAGGAACAGTTCCCCCATACTGTTCTCATGGTAGTGAATAAGTCTCATGAGATCTGATGGTTTCATCAGTGGTTTCCACTTTTGCATCTTCCTCATTCTCTCTTTGCCTGCTGCCATCCATGTAAGACATGACTTGTTCCTCCTTGCCTTCCACCATGATTTTGAGGTTTCCCCATCCATGTGGAACTGTAAGTCCAATTAAGCCTTTCTTTGTAAATTGCTCAGTCTAAGGTCTGTCTTTATCAGCAGTGTGAAAATGGACTTATAAGTCAATTGGTACCAACAGAGTGGGGCACTGCTGAAAAGATACCTGGAAATGTGGAAACAACTTTGGAAATGGGTAACAGGCAGAGGCTGGAACAGTTTGAAGGGCTTAGAAGAACACAGGAAAATGTGGGAAAGTTTGGAACTTCCTGGAGACTTGTTGAATGGCTTTGACCAAAAGCCTGATAGCAATATGGACAATGAAGTCGGGGCTGAGGTGGTCTCACATGGAGATGAGGAACTTGTTAGGAACTGGAGCAAAGGTGACTCTTATTATGTTTTAGCAAAGAGACTGGCAGCATTTTACCCCTGTCCTAGGGATCTGTGGAACTTTGAACTTGAGAGAGATGATTTAGGGTATTTGGCGGAAGAAATTTCTAAGCAGCAAAGCATTCAAGATGTGACTTGCGTGCTGTTAAAGGTATTCAGTTCTATAAGAGAAGCAGAGCATAGAAGTTTGGAAAATTTGCAGCCTGACAACGTGATGGAAAAGAAAAACCCATTCTCTGAGGAGAAATTCAAGGGGCTGCAGAAATTTGCGTAAGTAACCAGGAGCCAAATATTAATCCCCAAGACAATGGGGAAAATGTCTCCAGGGCATGTCAGAGGTCTTCACAGCAGCCCCTCCCATCACAGGCCTGAAGGCCTAGGAGAAAATGGTTTCCTCGGCAGGGCCCAGGGTCCTTGTGCTGTGTGCAGTCTAGTGACTTGGTGCCCTGCATCCCAGTCACTCCAGCCATGACTAAAAGGGGCCAAGGTACAGCTTGGGCTGTTGCTTCAGAGGGTGGAAGCCCCAAGCCTTGGCAGCATCCATGTGGTGTTGAGCCTGTGGGTGCACAGAAGGCAAGAACTGAGGTTTGGGAACCTCGGCCTAGGCTTCAGAAGATATGTGGAAACAGCCAGATGCCCAGGTAGAAGTTTGCTGCAGGGGCAGCACCCTCATGGAGAATCTCTGCTAGGGCAGTGTGGAAGGGAAATGTGGGGTCAGAGCCTTCCCACAGAGTCCCTACTGGGGCACCACCTAGTGGAGCTGTGAGAAGACGGCCATTGTCCGCCAGACCCCAGAATGGTAGATCCATCAACAGCTTGCACCACGTGCCTGGAAAAAACACAGACACTCAATGCCAGCCTGTGAAAGCAGCCAGGAGGTGGGCTGTACCCTGCAAAGCCACAAGGGTGGAGCTGCCCAAGACCATGGGAACCCACCTCTTGCATCAGTGTGACCCGGATGTGAGACATGGAGTCAAAGGAAATCATTTTGGAGCTTTAAGCTTTGAGTGCCCCACTGGATTTTGGACTTGCATGGGACCTGTAGCCCCTTTGTTTTGGCCAAGTCTCCCATTTGGAATGGCTGTACTTATTCAAGGTCACTACCCTTATTGTATCTAGGAAGTAACTAATTTTCTTTGGATTTTACAGGCTCATAGGCAGAAGGCTCATTTGCCTTGTCTCAAATGAGACTGGACTGTGGACTTCTGAGTTAACGCTGAAATGGGTTAAGACTTTGGGGGACTGATGGGAAGGCATAATTGGTTTTGAAAGGTGAGGACATGAGATTTGCCAGGGGCCAGGGGCAGAATTATATGGTTTGACTCTGTGTGCCCACCCAAATCTCTACTTAAATTGTACTCCCATAATTCCATGTGGTGGGAGAGACCGGGTGGGAGACATTTGAATCATGGGAGCAGTTCCCCCATACTGTTCTCAGAGTAGTTAAGTCTCATGAGATCTGATGATTTTATCAGGAGTTTCCACTTTTGCATCTTCCTCATTCTCTCTTTGCCTGCTGCCATCCATGTAAGACATGACTTGTTCCTCCTTGTCTTCCACCATGATTGTGAGGCTTTCCCAGCCACATGGAACTGCACATCCAATTAAACCTTTCTTTGTAAATTGCCCAGTCTAAGGTATGTCTTTATCAGCAGCATGAAAATAGACTAATACACCACATTAATATATTAACAATTCTGAACATATCAGTGGCAGATGCAGTTGAAAATAAGATGTATTATTTCCTCGATCTGTACAAGTTGAGTTCAGAATTATTGTTTTTTAATAAATGTTCTTGCTTATAATTTGTTTTAATCTGATTCCAAATAAGTTATAAATTCACATATTGTGATTGGTGATGTGTCTCTAAAGTCTCTTTTAAGCTATTATATTTACACTCTTTTTTTCTTGCACTTTTAAAAGAGAAACATTTTTTTTTTGTCCTGTAGTGCTTTTGACCATCTTCATTTTGCTGATTTTATCCCTCATGGTGTTGTTTAATGTTTTCTTTTGTCTTATTTTCTGTAAATTGGTAGTTGAAAAGAGGTAGCCTTAGACACAGATTGGATACTTTGTAAATACTATTTCATAAGTGCTGGTGTATCCTACATCAAGAGGCATATAATGTCAATAATTATTAAAGCCTAGATTATTAATTCATTGGTATTACAATATAAAAATATTTTAAATCTAGCATTTCTCTTGTATTTATTATTGTAAACTTCAAAAAATGGAATATCCCATTCTACTACTTGGCTACATAATGATAAAAATTTTATGGGTATCCAAGATTATATCCTTTTATTTATCAATTTCTAAAATAATAATTTGTTCAATGGTATCTAAAGTTGATCAACTAGATTTCTATCTCATTATGAACACAGAAACTTTTAAAAATATATAGTAAGGTACACCATATATTTTGATATACTTATCTTGAATATATAAATTGATTATTATAGTCTAGTAAATTAGCATAAGCATTGTCTCATATGGTTACCTTTTTTTTCTTCCCTTTGTGGCAAGAGTGCCTAAAATCTATTCTCTTGGCAAATTATAGATATACAATACAATATTTTTAACCATAATCCTAATGCTATACATTAGATCTCTAGCCTTATGCATCCCATACAACTGCAACTTTTTACCCTTTGACTGACATCTTCCTTTTCCCCTCTCCCTACCCTCTAGCCCCTGGAAACAATGGCTCTACTCTGTTTCTATGTATTCAATTTTTTTAAAGATTCCACATGCATATGATTTATTTCTGTGTCTGAATACTTTCATTTAACATAGTGTCCTTTTGATCCATCCCTGTTGTTGCAAATGGTGGTATCTCCTTTTTTTTTTTTTTTTTACAGCCAAATAATATTCCACTGTGTATATATACCACAATTTCTTTCTCCACTCACCCACTGATGGACACTTCAGTTGTTTCCATATCTTGGCTAATGTGCATAATGCTGCAATGAGCATGGGAGTACAGATATGTTGACAAAGGGGTGATTTCATTTCCTTTGGAAACATACCTGAAGGGGAATTGCTAAGTTTTGTGGTAGCTCTATTTTTAATTTCTTTAGGAAACTCCATACTGTCTTTCATAATGGCTGCACAGTCTACATTCCTACTAACAGTATAAAAGGGGATTTAAACAATTTTACATTTCAAATTACTGCCATTGTTATAATTATATATATAATTTGTTTTAATCCTTGGTCAATGGAGATCTTTTGAAGTTGGCTTCTGATTCCTTTTGACATAATCTTAGCAGTTTTTAACAGTTTCTTTGATATCTGACATAAAGTGTTCCAAAATTTATCTTGCACATATTTTATTGCAGACCTAGAATCAGCCATTGCTTCCAAGGGCCCTGGTTCCTTTTAATGGGAAATTGTATTTCTAGACCACAATATGGGTGCTAGGAGTTCTCAACATTGCTTATCTTGTCATTGTTTCCATCTCTTTTCAATAGACAGAAGTAGGCAGTATGTTTTGTATGTTCTGGACAGCAGTCCATAGTAGTATTCAGAGTCCTTCTGTTTAGTAGTTGTAGATGTACTGATATGTTTTGGTTGTGTCCCCACCCAAATCTCATCTTGAATTGTAGCTCCCATAATTCTCATGTGTCATGGGAGGGACCTGGTGGGAGGTAAGTGAATCATGGGGTGGGTTTATCCTATGCTGTTCTTGTGATAGTGAATAAGTCTCATGAGATCTGATGGTTTTATAAAGGGAAGTTCTCCACTTGGACACAGGAAGGGGAACATCACACCCCGGGGCCTGTTGTGGGGTGGGGGGAGGGGGGAGAGATAGTATTAGGAGATATACCTAATGTAAATGACAAGTTAATGGGTGTAGCACACCAGCATGGCACATATATACATATGTAAGAAACCTGCACGTTGTGCACATGTACCCTAAAACTTAAAGTATAATAATAATAAAAAAAAGAGAAGTTCTGTACGTGCTCTCTTGCCTGCCACCATGTAAGATGTGACCCTGCTCTTCCTTTGTCTTCTGCCATAATTGTGAGGCCTCCCCAACCATGTGGAACTATGAGTCAGTCCATTAAACCACTTTTTTTCTTTATAAATTACCCAGTCTTGGGTGTGTCTTTATTAGCAGTGTGAGAACACACTAACGTGTACCAAGTAGTAGATATTTGGTTCTTTCTATTGTTTTACAAATGACCCTAAAATGAATTATTTTGCATATATACCTTTTTTTAATAATTTTACTAGTAGTTCCTTCGGGTAGATTCCTAAAGGTTGGATTTTTTGGTCAACAGATAAATATATGACAGTCTGCTAGATGTCATTAAAGTTTTCTTCCTACAGCTTTTATAAGTTTGCATTTTGACCAGCTATTTTTGAGAATGTCTATTTTCCCTAGCTTTACCAACCTAGTAGGTTAATGAACTTTTGGATTTTTTCCAACACGATTGGCAAGAAACTGTGCTTTTGTAGAGCTTTAATTTGTAGTTTCCTTATTATGAGAGAGTGAATGATTTTTGTATGTAAAAATACCTGGGTATTTCTTTTTCTATGAATTGTCTATCCATTTCTCTAGTCCATTTTTTTTATATAGGCATTCTGGTATTTTCTATATTTTTAGAAACTAATTATATAAGAATATTAACCCTATGTGATATAAGCTGTAAATATTTTTCAAACTTCATTATTTTTAAACTCTAATAACTGTGCCCCTTGTAAAAAAATGTGTTTTTGTTTTAATTTGTATATTTCTTTTTCTATAAAATTATTTTATCTATAGTTTTCCATCTTGCTACTCAATTTTAATTCATTAAGAAGGAAATTTTCATCATTCATAGGTCATAGAAGAACCTATGTTGTCTATTTATTTTGTTTTGCTCTAATACTTGATATTCATTTACATCTTTAAATTTCTCCTTTGTTTTCTTCTGTCATGAAGGTTTCTGTCAAAGTCTCATTTTGGTCTTATTTTCCATTACTTAAGTGACCTATTATTTTACCTCAGAAGTCCAGTAACTACTGGAAAATGTCTCCATGTTGATCTTTTTAACTCTTCCAGGTACACAGTGTGTCCTTTCAAAATGTAGTTTCAAGTCAATATACAGGATCTGCTGAGTATATTCTAGGAGTAGAATTGCTGAGTCATAGGACACACACACATTCAAGCTTTAGTAGAAACATCTAAACAGTTTTCCAAAGTGGTTATACCTATTTGCATTTCAGCCAGCATGATGTGAGAGTTCTGACGGCTCCCCATCCTCCCCATCACTTGATATCTCCATTCGTTATATTTTAACCCTTTGGATACCTGTGCAGTAGTACTTCACTGTGGTTTTAATTTGCCTTTTCCTGATGGCTACAAGAGTTGGGAACTTTTTCCTATTTCCTGACCATTACGATACTCTTTTTTTGTGGAGTATTTATTCAACTATTTTGCCATTTTCTTCCCTAAGTGAATCATACTGGTTTCCTTTCATTAACTTGTAGAACTTCTTTACATATAACGCACACATGAATCAAGGTGTTAGACGATTCAAGAGGGAGGTTTTGAGGTCTCTTTGTAAAGGTACTAAAGACTGTCCCTAATGACCTAACTGCCTCCCAAAGGCCCTAACACCAAATACCAAATAGGGGTTAGGTTTCAACATATGAATTCTGGAGGGACACATTCAGTTTATATCAGCATTTTACTTGTGCTATACTATAGCCTATATTTGTTTTTATCTCATTTAAAAAAGTCTCCCCCTGGCATGCTTCATAACATACATAATACCACAGTAATAGGCATGTAAAAATGTATAATTCATAAATAAATAAAACTACAATTATTGAGGAGTACTCAAAACACTCCAACTTCTAAGTATGCACAATTTTTTAAAAAGATACAGTAAATCATTGTGCGTTAAATTATGTAAAAGGAAGATGTTTGAGTACTAGTTATATGAAATAATCAGAATCTTAGAAAACAAAGAATCATTTTCATCTTCTTTATAATAGCCAGTTGTTATCACATGAGGGAAGACAATCAGAATACATGAGAAATTATAAACAACTGCTTTCATATTGTGGATTCTGATGCTGTAGATATCCAAATTTCATATGCAACAGAAAACACAAATTACTGAATTTTCATATCACATTAGCTGAATTGGAAAAACAACGACTACCTAGAGAAACAAACATGTGATGGAAATGGGCTCAACACTGTATGCCTTAGTGTTTTTCTCCCTTCCTTCACCATTGGTTAAGAGTATAATAAAGAGAACTACATTGACAATTTCTGGAACTATAAAGTCCAGAATCATTAAAAACTAAAAGTCAAATTGATAAGCAGAAATATTCAGTGAGGTTTAGTTTTGATGTGGTATCTCCTTTTTAGGTCAAAAATTATAGGCTGCACTAAAGAGAGCCCTATTAGTTTCTATTGCTGCTGTAAGGGTGAGAGACGACAGCAAGATGACTGACTAGAGGGTCCTGTTACTTGTCTCCCTCATAAGCAATGACCAAGGCAACACATAAAAAACTAAAATTCGACTGGAGTGTTGGAGGGAGAGCACTGGAGTGCAGCAAGGGAGTGGTGGGGTCCCTGTGGTACTCAGAAGCCCATGATGACAACATAGAAAGGGAATTGAGGGACTTTGCCTCTGCCACTCCTTCTCCTCTGCCAGGATTAGCCTGGAGTCAGGAGGGACTTCCGTTTGTGGGGAGAAAGGCAAGAAGACTTCAAGCCCCCTTAGGACACCTATGTCCTTCCTAAGGGAGAATGCCAGAGTCCTCACAAGCCCTGAACCTAGTTTGGGGAGCTGCCTAGAATTCATGTAGCTCTATTGCTCCAGATTAGGACAAGTTGCACTCCCCTCTTCCACCTCTCCCCTCCATGTTTTTGTGACTCCAGCTGCTGCAGCATGGTGGGCTCTTGCAACTAGAGCCACTGCTGGAATATTCCCTGCTCTAGGAGCCAGTAGCCACTGCACCTCTCTGGCCATGGGACTCTACTGTCATTACAATCCATCCCACACAAGTGGCTGCAACACCATGACCCCCGGTGCTCAGAGCCAGAAGTAGGTGTGACTTTGGCCCTGAAAAACAGGGACGTTAGCCTCAGGCCAGTGTACTCTGGCCAGAGAAATAGCAAATGTGCCCCCAGCAGATAGGCCCCAAAGGAAGTCAAGCTTCTGCAGAGCTATACTGCTAGCCAGATAAATTTCCCAGTGGGCCCAACACTGGTGGTATCAGTCTCAAGCCAGCCAGACGGCCATGAGCCTATACCCTTCACCAGAGAAACAGCCTGGCAGACTCACCCCTGAGCTAACTGAGCAGCTATAGCCTGCACCCCTGGCTGGAGTAATAGCTTGGCAGTATCATCACCAATGAGCCGGTTCCTGAGCTGGCCAACCCAGGATGTCCATGGGCATGCTCTCAGTCTGAGAAACAGTTCAGGAAGCTCATCTTCAGCAAGGCTGTGCTATCACTGCCACAAAATCCCACGGCCCAGTCCACTGAGAAGCTTGCAAACACTGCTAATGTGTATTACATTATGAAGAAACACTATGGCGACTACACTACTGTGTCCATCTAGGACCAAAGCCAATACACCCCATCCAACTACAGAAATAAATCTTTCCCTACAAAACCTACCCCACAAAATTGGAAGAGGCAGCTGTTTCACCAGATGCATGACTATTAATATAGAGACATAAGAAATATGAGAAAGCAAGAAAACATCACACCTCCAAAGGAATACAATAATCCTCCAGTAAAAGACTCCAAACAAAAGAAAATATATAAAATGCCAGAAAATGAATTCAATATAATCATCTTAAGGAAACTCAACAAGATACAAAAGAATACAGATAAATGATTCAATAAAATCAGAAAGACAATTCATGATCTGAATGAGAAATACATCAAAGAGATATTATATGTATTTAAAAATAAAAGGTATTTTAGAGATGAGGAATTGAATAAAATGCAAAACATAATTGAGAACTTCAAGTAGGAGAAAAAATTTCAAGACAATTCTTTTGAAATAACCTAGGCAGACTGGAAAAGAATAAAAAAAAATGAGGAGAGACTGCAGGACTTATAGGACACCACTATTTTTTTTTTAATTGTGTTATGGGAATTCCAGAATGGGAATAGAAGGAAAAAACATAGAAAATATATTTAATGAAATAATACCTGAAAACATTCAAGTCTGGGGAGAGAGATGAACATCCAGATCCAGGAAGCTCAGAAATCCTCAAATAGATTCAATAAAACAGGTCATCTGTGAGGTACATAACACATTGAGATTGTCAAAGGTAAAAGACAAAGGGAGGGCTGAGCACAGTGGCTCATGCCTGTAATCCCAGCACTTTGGGAGGACAAGGTGGGAGGATCGCTTGAGCCCAGGAGTTCAAGACCAGCCTGGGCAACATAGTGAAACCCCATCTCCAAAAAAAAAAAAAAAAAGAGTGTGGTGGCATGTGCCTGTAGTTTCAGCTACTCAGGAGGCTTAGGTGGGAGGCTTAACTGAGCCCGGGAGTTTGAGGCTGTGATGAGCTGTGATCATGCCATTGTACTTCAGCCAAAGTTACACAAGAAGAGTTTGTCTCAAAAAAAAAAAAAAAAAAGACAAAGGGAGAATTTTAAAAACAGCAAGAGAAAAACATCAAGTCACATGAAAGGAAATTTCCCACTAGACTAACAACAGATTTCTCAACAGAAAAGAATGGGATGAATGAAATATGTTCAAAGAGCTAAAATTAAAAAATGTCAAGAATACTGTACTCAGTAAAGTTATCCCTTAGAAATGAAGGAGAAATGAAGTATTCCCCAGATAAGAAAAACTAAGGAATTTATCACCACAAGATGGGCCTGACAAGAAAAGCTTAAAGAAGTCCTGCATCCAAAAGGGGAAAGATGATAGCTACCATCACGAAAACATGTAAAATTATAAAACCAGTATATCAAACAAACAAAGGAGAAAAAGAAAGGAATGAAACTTTATTACTAGAGAAAACCACCAAACTGCAAAAATAAACAATAAGAGAGGAAGAAGGGAATAAAGAATATACAAACAACCAGAAAACAATTAATAAAATGAAGGAATAAGTCCTTACTTATCAATCATAGCCTTCATTATAAACAGATTCAATTCCACAATTGAAAGATAGACACTGGCGGAATGAATGAAAAAAAAAGAAAACAAAAAACCAAGACCCAACTATATGCTGCCTATAAGAAACTAAGTTCACCTGTAAAAACACATATAGACTAAAAGTGAAGGAATGGAAAAAGATATTTAACACAAATGGAAACCAAAAGTGAGAAGGAGTAGCTATACTTTTATCAGATAAAATATACTTTGAGTTAAAAATAGCAAAAAGAGACAAAGAAGGACATTACATAATAATAAAGGGATTAAGTTTGCTAGAAGACATAATTATAAATATGTATACAACCAACACTGGAGCACTCAGATATGTAAAGCACATGTTATTAGTTCTTAAGGGATAGTTAGACTCCAAAACAGTAATAGTTAGGGACTTCAATACTTGATTCTCAGCATTAGAAAGATCATCTAGACAGATAATTAATGAAGAAAACATGGAATTTATACTGCAACACAAATGAAATGGTCTTAACAGACCTATACAGAACATTTCACTTCACAGCTGAAGACTATCCATTTTTTCTTCTTCAGCACATGAAACATTCTCCAGGATTGACCATGTACACCATTTTATGAGGACACAAAGTAAGTCTCAAAAGTTTAAAAATATTGAAGTCATATCAAGTATGTTTTCTGTCCACAATGAAATAAAACTAGAAGTGAAGAAAAGAGGAACATTTGAAGCTGCACAAATACAGAAATTAGACAACATGCTCCAAATGACCAGAGGGTCAAGAAAGAAAATCAAGGGGTAATCAAAAAAGATTCTTGAAACGAATTAAAATAAACACAATATAGCAAACCTATGGGACACAGGAAAATCAGTATTAAGAGGCAAATTCATTGCCAAAAAAATACATTAAAAAATAGAAAGATTTCAAATAATGAACCTAGTGATGAACCTCAAGAAACTAGAAAAGCAAGAGCAAACCAAACCCCAAATTTGTAGAAGGAAAGAAAATAAAGATGAGAGCAGAGATGAGCAAAACTGTGACTCAGAAAAAAAATCAACAAAACGAATCATTGGTTTTTTTTTGAAAAGGCAAAAAAAAACCAACAACAATTAAACAGACTAAGAAAAAAAGAGAGAAGATCCAAATAAACAAAATCAGAAACAAAAAAGGAGCTGTCACAACTGATACCACAAGAACACAAGGATCACTGGAGACTATTATGAACACAGTCATACCAACAAACTGGTAAATCTAGAAGAAATGGATACATTTCTGGCTACATACAAACTACCAAGATTAAACCAAGAAGAAATAAAAGCTGAACAGACCAAGAACAAGTGGCAAGATTGAATCAATAATCAAAAGTCTCCCATCAAAGCAGAGCCCAGGACTAGACATTGTCATGATTGAATTCTCTCAAAATTTTAAAAAAGAGCTAATTCCAATTAAAATTTGAAGGAAAGGGAATTCTTCCAAACTCATTCACGAGGCTAGCATAACACTTTTACTGAAGCCAGATAAGGCTAAAACATTATCAACAACAAAAATCTACAGACCAATATTCCTAATGAACATACTTGCAAATCTCCTCAGCAAAATATTATCAAACTGAATCCAACAACACATCAAAATGATTATACACCATCATCAAGTGAGATTTATGCCAGGGATGTAAGGATAGTTCAACATACATAAATCAATAAATATGATAGATTACATCAATAGAATGTCAGATAAAAACCATATAATCATCTCATCAGATGCAGAAAAAGCATTTGATAAAATTCAATATCCCTTCATGCTTAAAAATCTTTTCAACAAACTAAGTATAAAAGGAATGTACCACAGCACAATGAAGGCCATATATGACAAACTCAAAGTTAAGATCATACATAACTGGAACAAGACAAGGATTTCCACTCTCACCTCTCTTATTCAACATTACCAGAAGTTCTAGCCAGAGCAATTAGGCAAGAGAAATAAATAAAGGGGATCTACAGTGGAAAGGAGGAAGTCAAATTGTTCCTCCTTGCAGAAGACATAATCTTACATGTGGAAAAACCGGAAGAGTTCACACACACACACAAAAAAAACTCTTACAGCTGATAAATTTGGTAAAGTGGCAGGATACAAAAGCATCATACAGAAATCAGTGGCATTTCTACACATCAAGAATGAACTAGCTGAAAAAAAAATCAAGAAAACAATTATGCTTACAATAGCTATAAAACTTTTACATTTTAATAAATGTAGCCATAGAGGTAAAAAATCTCTATAAGGAAAACAATAAAACTCGTGAAAAAATGGAAAAGAACACGAAAAATGGAAAGACGTTCCATGTTTACAGACTGGAAGGATATTGTTAAAATGCACATACTATCCCAAACAATCTACAGATTTAATGTAATCCCTGTCAAAATACAAATAACATTCATAAAAATAAAACCAAAAAATTCTAGAAATTTCCATAGAACCAACAAGACCCTGAATAGCCAAAGCAATCCTGAGCAAAGAGAAAAAAGCTGGAAGCACCACACTACCAGATTTCAAAATATAATACAATGTTATAGTAATAAAAACAACGTGGTACTGCATAAAAACAGACACGCCAAGGGAACAGAACAGAGAACCCAGAAATAAACCCATGCATTTAAAGCCAACTGGTTTTTGACAAAGTCACCAAAAGCATTCACTGGGGAAAAGACTGTCTTTCAATAAATAGTCCTAGGGAAACCTAATATTCACATGCAGAACAATAAAACTAGAGCCTTATTTCTTTCCTTAAACAAAAATCGATTAAACATGAATCAAAGACTTAAATATCAGGCCTGCAACTATAAAACTACTAGAAGAAAACACAGAGGAAATGCTTTGAGACATTGGAAAAATATTTTGTGAATAAGACTTCAAAAGCACTGGCAACAAAAGTAAATACAGACAAATGGGATTATAAAACTGAGAAGCTTTTGCACAGCAAAGAAGACAGTCAACAGCGTGAAAATACAACATACAGAATGTGAGAAAATATATGCAAACTATTCATCTGACAAGGGATTAATATCCAAAATATACAAGGAACTCAACTCAACAGCAAAAAGCCTAAATAATCTCATTAAAAAGTGGGCAAAGGACATGAATAGACATTTCTCATAATACATACAAATGGCCAACATATGTATAAAAAAACTCAATATCACTAATCATTAAAGAAATGCAAATAAAAACCACAGGGAAATATCAACAGACTCTAGTTAGAACAGCTATTATCAAAGAGATAATATAACAAATGCTGGTGAGGATTTGATAAAGGGGAACTTTTATATACTGCTGGTGGGAATGTAAACTAGTATAGCCGTTATGGAAAACAGTATAGATTTTCTTCAAAAAAAATCCAAATAGAACTACCCTATATTTCAGCAACCCCACAACTGGGATATAGCCAAAGGAAAGTAAATCAGCGTATTGAAGAGATATATGCACCCCCATGTTTATTGCAGCACTATTCACATAGCCAAAATATGGAGTCAACCTGTGCTCATCAATACCTGAATGGATAAGGAAAATGTGATATGCATACACAATAGAATACTATTCAACCATAAAAAGAGAATAAAATTCTATCATTTGTGACAATAGGGATGAGTCTGGGGAATATTAAGTGAAATAAGCCAGGAACATAAAGGTAAATATTACATGTTTTCACCCACGTGCAGAAGCTAAGAAAGTTGATCTCATAGAAGTACAGCATAGAATAGTGGTTATGATAGGTTAGGAAAGGTGGGGCAATGGAGAGATAGGGAGAGATTGGTTAAAGGATTCAAAAATATAGCTAGATGAGAAATAAGTTCTAGTGTCTCATAGCACTATAGTTTAACTTTAATTAATAATAATTTATGTTTCATGAAAAGGGGATTTTTTATATTTTCAGCTCAAACAAAGGATAATTGTTTGAGGTGATGGATATGCTCTCTATTCTGATTTGATCACTATACATTATTGAAACATTACCACGTACCCCATAAATAAGTACAATTATCATGTGTCAATGAAAGAAACCCACAAAATTCATGGCTTACAAGAACACAAATATCTTTTGCCGTTCTGGAGCGGAAGTCCAAAACATCTCACTTGGCTATAATGAAAGGGTTAACAGTGCTGCATTCCTTCTGGAGGCTCCAGGGAAGAATTATTCTTATACTGTTTCCAGCTTCTAAAGTCTACCTCCATTCCTTGGTTCATGGCCTCTTCCTCCTCCTTTAAAATCAGCAACCTTGGGCACAGTCCTTCTCATTTGACCATTTCTCTTGGTTGTCTTTTCCAATTTCTTCTTCTTTTTTTTTTTTTTTTTCTTTTTTGGGATGGAGTTTCTCCTGTCACCCAGGCTGGAGTGCAGTGGCGTGATCTCAGCTCACTGCAACCTCCATCTCTCGGGTTCAAGCGATTCTCTTCCCTCAGCCTCCCCAGTAGCTGGGATTACAGGCACCAGCCACCCCGCCTGGCTTATTTTTGTAGTTTTAGTAGAGATGGGGTTTCACCATGTTGGCCGGGCTGGTCTCGAACTCCTGATCTACCCGCCTCGGCCTCACAAAGTGCTGGGATTACAGGTGTGAGCCACCGTGCCCAGCCAGGTCTTTCATTTTTTTTTTTTTTTTTTTTTTTGAGACGGAGTCTCGCTCTGTCGCCCAGGCTGGAGTGCAGTGGCGCCATCTCAGCTCACTGCAAGCTCCGCCTCCCGGGTTCACGCCATTCTCCTGCCTCAGCCTCCCAAGTAGCTGGGACTACAGGCGCCCGCCACTACGCCCGGCTAATTTTTTGTATTTTTAGTAGAGACGGGGTTTCACCGTTTTAGCCGGGATGGTCTCGATCTCCTGACCTCGTGATCCGCCCGCCTCGGCCTCCCAAAGTGCTGGGATTACAGGCGTGAGCCACCGCGCCCGGCCAGGTCTTTCATTTTTAAGGACTTTTGTGATTATACTGGCGCCACTTGGATAGTCCAAGATAAACCCTCTGTATTTTAAAGTCAGCTGATTAGTAACTTTAAATCCGTCTGCAACCTTAATTCCTCTTTGGCAAGTGACCTAACATGTTCACAGGTTCTGGGGATCAGAATGTAGCCATCCTCGGTGAGACATTACTCTGCTTATGTAACACCTACCAGGATTTTCTAATTTAAACGTTGGCCAGTGTTGGCAGGAGCACAATTCTATATTTTTTGATTTGTAGATTGTCATAAATACTTACTCGCAATGCAGAATTTCTTATAGTTGCATGTGACATAACCCTACATTCACATGTGTATGCACATGCAAACATACACACGTAACTGTGCTCCTGATGTATTCAGCGTATCCCTAAAAACAATAATAAATGAAGAAACACATCCTATTTATATGGGGAAACATTCTTATTAAAAGCTGAAATGAAGTGTATGTATAAAGAACAACCAACTGGGAATCAAAAAATCTCTGTTCTCAATTTCATTCTGCCCTTTCATAAACTTTCAGGTAAAATGGTAGTAATAATAGTACTTGAAAGAACTGTGTAGGGTGTCATGGGCATTTATTTATCTCAAAGGTATTCACCACCATTAAAACTCCATTCAGGGGTCGCAAGACGAACTTGTGGTCATCTCCAGGGGGTGAAGGTTGGAAAGTGGAACATCCTAGCTTAATTTTAATAGACAAGGAAATGCTTTTTTGTAGTTGATTCTGGTCAGGAGGCTCATCTCAGCTCAAATCCTTGATGTCATCACTAACTCTGAGAGGTTGAGTACAAACTTTTGACATACCTTACCTCAGTTTCTCCAGAAAGTATTAATAATAGGATAAAATATTTTGGAATAGAACTCTAAACATTGGCATAGTGCACAAAATATTTGTATCTATAGAGATATTGCCTTTGAATTAGTTCATTTGGTTCTGTAACAATACTGCCTCAATGTTCAATAAAAGTGGATGTTGAAACTGATCATTAGATAGAGTTTGGGCTTATGTTTTTCCAATTCTGGGTTTCAATTATCCATGTTATATTTGTCTTCTTTTATTTCAGAAAATCACAAATTAGCAATAATTACCCAACTCTTTTTGAATAACCACTCAAAAATAGAGCCTAAAACTAAATATTCAATCCCTTTAAATTGATTGGCTTAGATAATTTTCTTTTTGGATTTGGGCCAGTGTTAGATTGGAGTAATTAATCATCTTAACAGTATACTTACATTTTAACCATAAAGTTGCATTACTTTTAACTCACACTAGGAAATGTTTGTCAAAACTAGAAATCATTAAGGTAGACATACCAGTTAAGCTGTTACCTGCAGATGCAAATTTGTACCTTTGCCCAAACTTAAAACAACAACTAGCAACATTTCTCTTGCTTGTGAATTTAATTCTATTGATATCAGTGAGCTGCACAGAACTCAACTGGTTAAGGAGATATTAGGTATGCACATTTGGGGATGCCCATATGCTTTTCAGCAAATATACAACAGGTCAGGCTAATGAGAAGTGTTTGCCTGAGGAATTCATTATATTTATTGATAAGTTTGTCATATTGACATGGAGGACTGCATTGTTAGTCATTATTCGCCATAAAGGTGAGTCCCTAAGGTGGACATTAGTTTTGCATTTTAATACTTGATGAATAAAAGTTCCACTGTTGGCATCCACTTCTGCCACCTACCATCTTTTCGGACATAAATTTAGTTAGGCTTAGTTTTGTAGATAATTTTTTAATGCTGGACAGAAAGTTAACTTCCTAGCTATGTAATCTTAAGTCAATTAATCTTACAGAGACTTGGTTTTCAGATCTGCCAAATAGGGATTCTTATGTGGATAAAATCTAACATGTTCATTTAGATACAAAGAGATGAGAGAAAGACACACACACACACACACACACACACACACACACACACAGGAAGAGAGAGAGAGAGAGACGGGGTGAGGGGTGGAGGGATCAGTTGTTGTTCAAGTATATTGATAAAGTGCAAGGCAGTTTGATCATTATTGGAACTGATACATTTTGCTTTTATTTAACATAGAGAACGTACCACACATTGTCTTCTATCTGTATCTCTTGGCATTGCTCACTAAAAAGAAAAGTATATAGGTAACAATTTAGGATAATCTATCTTGCTTTATGCATAGATTTTTCACAAATTAAAACCACAATGAAAAATCATCTCGCCTACTCAGCATAACTATTATTAAAACATAAAAAATAACAGATATGGGGGGAGAATGCAGAAAAAAGGAAACATTATATACTGCTATTGGGACTGTAAATTAGTACAACATCTATGGAAAACAGTACAGAGATTTCCTAAACAACTAAAAATAGAACTACCATTAATCCAGCAATCCCACTACTGGGTATCAACCTAAGTGTCCATCAATGGAAGATTAAAGAAAATGTGGCATATATGCACAATGAAATACTATTTATTCATAAAATGAATGAAATCATGTCTTTTGCAGCAACATGGATGGAACCCAAGGCCATTATCTTAAGTGAAACAACTCAGTAACAGAAAGTCAAAGACCTCATGTTCTCACTTGTAAGTGGGAGCTAAATAATGTATGCACAATGGACACAGAGTGTGGAATGATAGATGTTGGAGACTGGGAATGGTGGGAGAGGGTGGATGATTAGAAATTACTTAATGGGTACCATGTACACTATTTGGGTGATGGACACACTAAAATCCCACACTTCACCATTACTCAATATATCCACTTAACAAAATTGCACTTGTACCCCTTACATTTATACAATTTTTTTAAAAGAAGACTTCTATATAGCCAAGTAATTCTAGGTTATATACGGAATTTCTTTTCCCTAGGCTTAATTTCAGTCAGTGTTTAGCTCCTATGTATTTGAGATCTAGAAGTCACTGTCCCACCTACCCCCACCATACTTCCTCCTATTCTCTTACTCCCCTGCAACTAGGGCATCCCTTCCTTACCCACTTGAGTCAGATCTATGGGGTCCTGGACCACACATCTTCCTCTTGCTTGATTTTTTTCCGATTATGCTAAAGTACATCTACAAATACATAGAACATAGAGTATCTGAGCCTTTTTAATGCCAGAAAATGTATTTAGCACTCATACTTATCTGCGATTCAAAGGTTAAAGTTCAGCAATAGTTTCAAACAATAATTTTTCCTGGAGCTCTGAAGATGGTGTGTCAAGTGGCTGATGAGAAGTTGACAGACAATCTAATTCTGCTTTCTTTATTTTTGGCAAGCTTTTCCTCTTTCTCATTAGTTTTTAAAAATTTTCCCTTTATCTTTGCTTCAAAATTTCCCAAGGATTTATCTAGATCTACATCATTTTTTTTTTTCATTTCATTCTGGTTGCCATTCAAGCTAAAGTGAACTCTATCATGCTAAACTATACTGTCTAATTCAGGCATAGAAAATTGTTTTCTGTTACTTAAGCTATTGTTTCCTTTCTTACGTTTTCTCATCTCTTTTACTGAGATGACTATAGACAGAAGTAAAACATCCTTGAATAATCTTTTGTCTTTTTCCTCATATATTTTTTTCTTTTTCTCTACATTCTGGAAAATTTATTTGCCTTTCAGTTTTTCAACTATTTAATTTGATCAAACATATTTTAAACGTCTAAAGCTGTGTTTTCCACTGCAGTCTATTCCTTTAATATCTCCTCAAATCTGAAGATGATAGAGTGTTTTTTTTTAAACAACTTTTGTCTGTCTTTCTGAATCATCTATTTCTTCCACGTCAGTTCTTTTATGTTGTCTGTTCTCCACAAAAGTCTGTGGACCCATTACTGATTCTATTTTGAAATGAATTGGATTGACTGTTCTAGGAAAGGGCTACAGGTTTTCTCTGCTAATGTGTAAGTAAGTCTCCTTCCTGAGAAGCCTGTCTTTGGAAGGAGACCTCTGTTAATGTGAGAAGGATGTGCCACTGGCAGTATTTGCTTGAGACAGAGTGGGCAGAAAGTCAGTTCTGGGTTGTGTGTCCTCCCAAATGTCAGAATAAGGAAAGCTTTGTTTTAAGGTTGCCAATATCACACTATAAATGCTAATATTAATAACAGCTAACACATAACTTACCAGGTACTGTTCAAAGAAATTCTATTTAATACCCAAGTGATGTCAAAAAGATGGTGGGATATGAGATACCAGCCTTTATCCTCCTCCCCCACAAAAAAAATTATAAAGTCAACCACAAACAGAAATAGCCTTGGGAGGATTCAAAGACACAGTTAAAACCTTGGAAACTGAAGCCACTGCTGCAGCAGACACAAGCCCATAGCTAAAATCATAATAATTAAAAGATGAAAGTTTTTCTCCTAATATCAAGACAAGGATGCCCATTCTTGCTATTTCTGCTCAACATAGTACTAGAAGTCTTAGCCAGATCAAACAGGCAAGAAATAGAAGACATCCAAATTGGAAAGGAAGACATTGTTTCTATTTGCAGATAATATAATCCTATATACATAAGACTCTAATGACTCAATCAAAAAACTGTGAAAACTGATAAATGCAGTAAAATTGCAAGTTGTGAAATCAACATACAAAAATCAGTTGTGATTCTATACACTAATAATTAACTATTTAAAAAATAATAATAATTTCACAATATCAAAAAGAAACAAATCCTTAAAAATAAATTTAATCAAGAACGTGAGATATCTGTACACTGAAAACTATAAAACAATGATGAAAGAAATTGAAAGATGACACATATAAATGGAAAGATATACTGTGTTCATGGATCAAAACAATCAATATTGTCAAAATGCCTATACAATTCAAAGTGATCTACAGAATCAATGCAATATCTATCAAATTTCCAACAGCATTTTTCACAGAAATAGAAAAGAAGTCATAAATTTGTATGGAAGCACAAAACGTTCTGAATAGGTGAAGTTACTTGAGCAAGAATAACAGAGTTGAAGGCTTCTCAATTTTAAATTATATTACAAAGCTATAGTAATTAAAATGATATGGTACTAGCATAAAAAGAGACACATAGATCAATGGAACATAATAGAAAGTCCACAAATAAACCTACACATGTGATCAACTAGTCTCTGAGGAAGAATTCACTGGGTATACACAATGGGAAATGATAGTCCCTTCAATCAAAGGAGCTAGGAAAACTGGCCATCTGCCTGCAAAACAATGACAGTGAATCATTATCCTACACCAGACACAAAAATCAACTTAAAATGAATTAAAGATTTAAACATAAGACCTAAAACTGTAAAATTCCTCAAAGAAAACATCAGGGGAAGCCCCATGACACTGAACTTGGCAATGAATTTTGGCTAAGACACCAAAAACACAGGCAACAAAAGTAGGATTGAACAACTTAAACAAAATCAAACAAGCTAAATTGAACAAAATTAATTACAATTAAATAAACAGAATTAAACTACAGCAAACTATAAAGTTTCTACACAGCAAAGGAAACAATCAACAAAAAGAAAAGGTAATCCACAGAATGGGAGAAAATGTTTGTTAACCATGTATCTGGTAAGAAGTTAATATTCAAAATATATGAGGAATTCATATAATTCAATTGTATGAATTGCAAAAAATGAAAGTAACCTGATTTAAAAATGAAAAGAGAACCTGAATAGACATTTTTTCCAAAGAAGACAAGCAAATGGCCAAGAAGTATATAAAAATGTACTTAACATCAATAATCATCTGGGAAATGCAAATCAAAACCACAAAATGCAAACCTGACACCTGCTAGAATGGCTGTTAACAAGAAGCCAAAAGATATCAAATGTTGATAAGGATGTGGAGCAACCTTATACATTGTTGGTGGGTATGTAAACTGGTACAACCATTATGGAGAACAGTATGGAGGTTTCTCAAGAAATTACAAATATAACCACCTTGTGATCTAGGAATCCTACATGTGAGTATACATTCAAAGGAAATGAAATCAGTTTGTTGAAGAGATATCTGCCCTCCCTTGTTCATTGCCACAGTCTTCATAATAGCCAAGATATGGAAACAACGTGTTTCTTGACAGATAAATGGATAAAGAAACTGTTACACACACACACACACACACACACACACACACACACACACACACACAGGTACGTAATTGAATATTAGTCAGCCTTAGAAAATAAGAAAATTCTGTCACTTGCAATAACATAGATAAACCTGGAAGACTTTACGCAAAGTAAAATAAGCCAGACACGCAAACATAAATATTGTATGATCTCACTTATATGTAGAATCTAAAAAAGTCAAACTCATAGAAACAGAGTAGAATGGTAGTTACCAGGGTTGTGTGTGGTGGAGTTGGCGGGAGTGGAGGATATGTTGGTGAAAGGGAACAAACTTTCACTTATAAAGTGAATACGTTCTGGAGACCTAATGTACAACATGCTGACTACAGTTACTACAAATAGATTGTAAACTTGAAATTTGTTAAGAAAATAGATTTTAAGTAGCCTCAACACACATCCAGGAAAGGCAACTATGTGAGATTATGGATATGTTAATTAACTTGATTGTGGTGATCACTTCACAATGTATATCAAAACATCACATTGTATATCTTGAATATATATAGTATTTACTTTTTAATTATACCTCACTAAAGCTAAAAATAATAATTATTTGGTCCCCAAAACAACTATGTGAGGTAATGCGATTATTATTTCCCATTTTGCAGATGAGGAAACTGAGGCACAGATGGTTAAGGAAATTGCCCAAGGTCACACAGTTGGTAAGTAACAGAGCTAAGCCCTGAATGCAGCCAGTCTGGCCTTGTGCCCTTGACAATTACATCCTCTGCCTTGACTTTCTTCAGGTATTTCACTGACGTTCTTGAAAGAAAAGGCTTCTGGTTTTATGGACTGAGACCATACTACCTATGTGCGTCTGTAAAAACTGTGACTCTCCCTCTTCTAATGCTGCCAACCACAAGCTGAGCTTTTTGAAGATTACCAAGGACAAAGCAGCTCCCTTTTCTGCTCTTCCAGTGTGATCTCTAATTTGGTACCACCCCTCCCTGCACACTACCGCGTTCCATTAATCCACACACTTCTCTATAGCTCTTGTGTAGGATGATTCTTCCTTCACTTTCTTCCACTCCCTTAATTCACATGGATTTATTCTCTTTTGTGTCATCCTTTCATTTTATTGGTCCCCCATAACAGAAGGGCCATCCTACCACGTTCAATTAAACTGATTTAAGAAACTCAAGCACAAGTTGTAGCCCCTATTCACATATTTACCTTCTCAAATGTTTTTAAGCAACCTGTGTTAATTAACATCCTAACATAATCTTTCTAAATTAGTAATTAACTTTGATTTATCCAACTTAGTCTAGTGATAAAGACAGGAACTTAGTTTATAGTTTTCCATATGGCTAAACTTAAAAATGTACTTTGTCATATATAAAAGCCTAGGCATTAACATGTCTGAAGACACTTGAGATTTTATTCTGAAAGGCTCTTATTGGGAGAATATATCCAATTTCCACAAGTTTATCCCATAATTTTCCAATACTAACCTTGGCATAAGCATTGAGTGAGTCTTGAACACCTAAGACAAGCGAAGGTCTCTTTGTAAAGATGTTACCATTTTGCTTTGTAAATGTCTCACAATTTTTGTGGAAAAGCTTAATGCTAGGTACATTTCTCAGGTTCTAGAAATGGGTTCTAATGATCTATTAAATACTGATATTTTAAACTGTAAACTTCCTTATTATTACCTGAATGTGAACCAATGGTCAGTTCTTAGACATTTCAAGTAACTGAAGACTATTCTTTTCTATGACAGAAGTAGCAGCAGAGGTTTAAGCAGAAACTTTACTGAAAGTCAATGCCACCTCTTTGCATTTATCAATGCCAGTCTTGTTCTGCATATTTTTTGGTATTCGCCATGCATTGTTAACGGTGATTGTCATGTAATTAAATCACTGCTCATCACAAGAGTCTGTTTTTATGCTGAGATAAGCATCAGAAGCGTGCTGCTGGACCCCCAGATCAATAAAGATGTTCCCAGTAGGATTACAAAGAGGCTGGGGTTGAGAAGGGCACCAGAATTAATTAGGACTGATTTCTCTTTTTCTTTCTACTTTCAATATATTTTTAATTGTTTTTCCATTTTCAATGGGCTCTACTACCCTCCTCTTTTTTCAAATTCTATACTGATGCTCAGACACTTCTGTCCAGAGGTCTGTGGGAGCTGAATGTTCAATCCCTTCTACTTTTTCAGTTGTATCCACAAACTGCAATTTCATTTAGTCCCAGTGATCTCTAGGTTTTATCATTTTCAAAGATGCTTTGAAACTAGTGGTGGCCATTTTTGGAAAAAAGCTATGTGAACATTAAAATGCTAGCTTTGAACTGCAGATGGACTTCTTGCTTCAGTTGGCATGCTCATGACAAAATTATAGTACCTGGTTTCTAGGCATATCAGTGTATTCTAAAATGAAACAAAATCTAAATCAAACTCAAATTAAAAAATCTTCTTGTTCTTCATTCAACTGTGTGTAATAACCTGGTGAGGGATATGCGAAAGAAGAAGAAAAACACATACTAAGTTTGGAGTCTATAAGCATCATATCCTAAGAGATGTGTCCCCGTGCAGAAGGAGCTGCATGACATAAGAGGACCAATACTCCTAAATTCAAGGATTATTAACATTCCTGGATGCAGAAATAAAGACTAGAAATTAGTGAGGCCGCAGCTACAAGAGATAGTGATGGTAGGGAAAGGGACATTGTGTCCAAAGAGTGAGATGGAATAGAAACATTTCTAAGCGTTGAGAAATAGATTTTTCTGAAAAGCAGAAAATAATTAATTATTCCAAAAACAGGAAGGGGAAAGTGATCTACTAATGGTGACCCAAAATGACCACATTGTAAGATCCCATTATCAGGGATACCCAGTCACAGCTGGGCTATCACAAAGCAGTAAATGATAGGAGGGCAATGTTGGTGTTTCTTGCTTCCATGAGTTTGATAATTAAATCACCCATTCATTCTTTCATTCAGCATACACTTACTGAATGCCTACTCTTAGGGTTTGAGGGATTTTAAAAGGCCAGAATAATTCCCCATTGACCTGAGTTCAGAAACAACCAAGAGGTAGATTCAAACAAATGGGGATGAAAATACATCTTTATTACTGCTATTGAAAAATAAGGACAAGCGGGCTTCCTAATACTCAACTGTGGGATTAGACTTATTCAGCCAGGCACAGTGACTGTTGACTACCACAAGACTCGCCTTCGAGGACCATAACCTGCTCTGTAAGACTCAGGGCAAAGAGGTGCAGAGAAAAATGCCTACTTTAAAGAGAAAGTGAGGGAATGGGACTGAGAGTGCTTGCCCACTTCCTTCTGCATGAGGAGGTGAGCTGATGGGGGCACTGAAGGGAGGTCATCAGGGTCACTCTAGCATCACTTCCTTCATGGCAGCTTCTTGAGTGGTAGCCCATGGCAAAGGACACTTCCTAATAGGAGACACACACATATACATTCCTGGCAGGCAGAAACCAGACAGAGTCAGTGCCTTCAAAAAACCTACCATCCAGTATTAGAAATAGAGCACTATACCAGCAATAATAATACGTGACCAACTTTCTTTTCCAGTAAGTGGAGCATCTTGAACTTGGTAGGGGCTACTGCCCTTGGACCTCTGAAGTTTCACTGAAAAATCAACTCGCAAAAGGCACATTAATAGGAGATACAAATTTGTTTAATGCATGTACATAAGAGCCTTCAGAATGAAGACAATAAGGCGCAGAAGCTTATATACCTACTTGAGGTTATAGAAAGAATGTGGGCTCAGAGCATGGCCCCAAAGAGGTTGTGCTGGTAATTCAGGTTTAGTGGCAAGACAGGTTATGAGAGGAAGAAAGGAAGAGGCCTGTCTAGCTAAGGTGGCCTTGTTATGTTGACGAAGCCTTATTGGTAGCACTCCTCCAAGAGAACAGAAGGCATAGGCAGCAAATGTCTCTTGTCAGACCTTTAAAGGTATCAGACTCAGTAAATCTCTTCCACATCAAGAAATGCCTGGAAAGGAAAGTCCTGGCTGCATTAATAATGATTCTGTATGGATGTAAATTTTCCCCACTTCAGTCTGCTGGCTCTGCGGCAGCCATTTCCAAATGTGTCAAAGAAAATATATTTTGGGGTAAAATATTTTGACTTCCCTCAACTGCATGGGTAAGTAGCTGGCCCCAACATAGCTTTCCAGTCCTATGTATCACTACTGTCTCAGAAATATGGTGGATTTCAGTTACATTCCACTACTCTTCAATCCTAAATACATACACTTGCCTTGACATTTTTTTCCCAGTGTCAAATTGTCTCCATTTTTCGGTGCTTTTCCCGTGTCACAGCTGTTTAAGAAACAGTTATTTTTATTTATTTTTTTGAGACGGAGTCTCACTCTATCATCCAGGCTGGAGTGCATTGGTGCGATCTTGGCTCACTGCAAGCTCCACCTCCTGGGTTCACACCATTCTCCTGCCTCAGCCTCCGGAGTAGCTGGGACTACAGGCGCCTGCCACCACGCTCGGCTAATTTTTTGTATTTTTAGTAGAGATGGGGTTTCACTGTGTTACCCAGGATTGTCTAGATCTCCTGACCTTGTGATCTGCCTGTCTCAGCCTCCCAAAGAGCTGGGATTACAGGCTATTTTTTTTTAATTATTATTTTTTGGGGGGTGGAATCTTGCTCTATTGCCCAGGCTGCAGTGCAGTGCCCAATTTCGGCTCACTGCAACCTCCGCCTCCCGGGTTCAAGCGATTCTCCTGCTTCAGCCTCCTGAGTAGCTGGGATTATGAGTGCACACCACGCCTGGCTAGTTCTTCTATTTTTAGTAGAGATGGGGTTTCACCATGTTGGCCAGGCTGGTCTCGAACTCCTGACCTTGTGATCCACCTGCCTGGGCCTCCCAAAGTGCTGGGATTATAGGCGAGACGCACCGCTCCCAGCCAAGAAACAGTTATTGATCCCCATGACTATGCATAACCTTTCTTGCTTTTAAGTTTGTATATCCCTTAGTTCCATTCTGATGTTGGTTGCGTTAGCAGTGGTGCTGAATCTGTACAGGTATGCAGCAACTCAAACCTTGCCTCCTCAGAAGAAAGAATTTGTCCAAGGGGCATAAGGTAGAGTGAGAGACCAAAGCAAGTTTACAGCAGGAGTGAAAGTTTATTAAAAAGCTTTACAGCAGGAATGAAAGGAAGTAAATTACACTTGGAAGAGGGCCAATCAGGAGACTTGAGAGATCAAGTGCACTGCTTGACCTTTGACTTGGAGTTTTATATGTTTGCATACTTCTGTGTTGCATTACTTCTCCCCTGAATCTTCCCTTGGGGTGGGCTGTCCACTTGTGCAGTGACCTGCCACCATTTTGGAGAGGCCTCATGCATAGTGTGTTTACTGAAATCGTACACGTGCTCATTTGAGGCATTTTCCCTCACCTGTTGAGGGTTCCTAGAGGAAGGTTATAGACCCGTTAAACTGCCATTTTGCCCCTTCGTGAACATGCTTGTGCCCTCACACAACTCCTGAGATCTTATCGGGAAGCTGCTGGTCACCAGCTGCAGATGTTTATTTATTTGGAGACCGCCGCTCCCTGGTGCCAGCTGCAACCAATTATTGTTTTAGCGAGACAGTTTAACAACCGCATGACCATCACCTGAGGGTCGCCTGACATTCCTGGGGTTGGGGGGGCTCTCCTGCCCTACTCACGTCTGCCTAACTACCTACTCTGCTCTAACAGTTGTAACCTTCCTTACTCTATCAGAAGAATGTGCTTGCCCATTTCATCCCTTCTTGAACTGTGGCATTCTCATCTCTAAATGTTGCCTAACATCCGACTCAAAGGCCTTGCACACAGACATACAATAAATATGTTAAATGGAAAGAAGCACTCCAAAAAGTGAGCATTGCCTAGATTTATTTCCTTCATTTATATCCATTCATTCATTCGGTTAGTCAGTCAAAACTTATGAGAGACTGCTATGTGCCAGGTGTTATTTCTAAGTATGATGAAAACAAAAAGTAAGTACAACGTAGTTCTGCTGTAATTGCCTGATGGGCTATTCCTGCACACTGAATAGACAAAACCTATTCACTGAGACTGTGGTATTGCAGTAAAGAAACAGTTTAATTAACACAAGGCTAGCCTGGTAAAAGATAAAGGTATTACTCAAATCAATCTCCCTGAAGGCCTGGAGGGAGGTTAGGGTTTTTCAAGGATAGTTTCATGGGCAGGGAACTAAATGAGTGCTGCTAATTGGTTGGGAATGCAATCAAAGGGGTGTGGAAAACGGTCCTCCTGAGCTGTCTGCCTCTGGGTGGGGCCGCAGGATCTGTTGAGTCATGAGTTCAGAGTCCAGGTGAGGCCAGTCAATTGCCAGAATGAAAAAGTCTGGAAAAAACCTAAAAGACCAATCTTAGGTTCTATGATATTGATGTTGTCTACAGAAGCAATTGGGAAAGTCACAAATCTTGTGACCTCTGGCCACATGGCTCCTGAGCAGTAAGGGATTATAGAAACTATGCCTACATTTTAGCGTAGTTCAAGCCCCTCCCATAATCCTAATCTTGTGGTTTTATTAATTTTCCATCCCTGAGGAAGGAGGGAGTTAGTTTCAGGGAGGGACTATTATCATCCTTGCCTAAGTAGTTTATGTTAAACTATGAACTAAATAAACTATAAACTAAATGTAGTTTATATAAACTATATAATTTAGATTATATAAACTATAAACTAAATTTCTCTCATGGTAAGGTTGGCCTATGCCCGGGAATGTGTGAAGATAGCTAGCTTGTGAGGCTAGAAGCAAGATGGAGCCCGCCATGTTAGATTTCTCTGTCATAATCTTTGCAACGGCAGTTTCGCTATCTTTAAAATATGAAAATTGAAAATAGTATCTAATACTTTATAATCGTATCTGACATTTATTAATAGTAAATGACTTGGAATTAAGGTAATAATGACACTCTTCATAGAACCCCAAATCCAGGGTAAACAAGTAAAAAGAAGCTGGACCCACGGCTCCTTTCCTTTCGTGACTGGGCAGGGTCTAACCAGTTTCTCACCCCCTCTCCTACTTAGATCTCTATAAGTCCAGAGAAGGCGGCATATAACTCTATAGTCAGAGCAACTTCTCTAAACCCTGTACTGGCCTCATTTCTCCATGCAGAACTTCAAGTGCCATATACCATTTAAAGGCATTTAAATCTGGAAGATGGCAGGTCTGTTGTCAAAGATAATTCAAATTTTCTGTAAAGTTCTATGGGAATATAGAATTTCATTATTTTTCTTCTCTGCATTCTTCCCATCATCCCCTTGTAGGCTCAATTTTCTCTGCATTTTGTGTTTTTCATAAAACAAAACATTTTCCCTTCATAGTAGAAGCTACAAATGACCTTCATTCTGTTTATTGCGTCTCCAGCTTGTATTAAGCCTTCGAGCTCTGCAGAGGGATTTCTAAAGGACACAGACCTCAAACCTGCCAACCTATCAGTTTAGCTGGGAGAAAAAATAAAAAGTTAGTGTGCCTCTCCCATGCTTGAGATTGTATTTCTACCTAACCTTCAGCACAGAGCACACTGTTCACTAAGAGAGATCTATTTTTATACTGTAGATCAACTGTCTCCTCTCCCCATCTCAGCCCTCTCCCGTGCTCGCTTTTGTCCCTTAAGATGGAATTGTAAGCCCCGTTTTTCTCCAAGGACTGGAATATATAATGTCGAAAGCAAGCCACTTTAGCTCACAAGTCCCCTGTAGTGGTTTGGGAGGTCACTTGCAGTGTAATGAGGTCTTGCTGCCACTAGGGCCCTGAAGAAAATTACAAGGAGACCAAGTATATCCTTGGAAACTCTTTAACTTCAGATGGGACTTTCTCCACAGTCAATCAGTTTATTGATTTTGTTTGTCCCTAATGATTCATGGTTTTTAAAATTTTGATGAATTGAAAAATACCCACCCACATTCTTTCTTCTGCCTGTGCAGTGTTCCTCTTTATTTCTACTGATAATGTGAATTGGTTGTTTGTTCCAAATGACTGGGAATATCAAATTGTTTGTGTACGCATTACTCTGGAAAAAAAGCAGCCCTCCTTCCTCAACTCCATGGGTCCAGTGAGATTGTCAAGCATAGGGCCAAACCCAGCCATAAGGTTAGTTGCATGATCTAGGCTCAGCTATCCTAATGCATCAAACTCTTAGCTACAGTTGTTGGATCAGTATAAGCAAGTGTCCCAATGAGAGAAATCTTTCCTAGGTTTCATGCAGAGATTATAAAGAGCTGTTAGATTTTATCTCAATTTGTTAGGCTGGAAGAAGCTACTGGCTGTCAGCTATCTTGTCTGCCAGGTAGACAAAATCAGCATGAAAAATAAAATCCAATAGAGACAAAAACTATGAGACGTGAGTTCCTGGCTCTACCTGGGACTGAAGCAAGAACCATCCAGAGATATCCCCATTAACCAATCCAATAACTTTCCTTTCTGCATATTTACATGATGTTGGGCTTCTATCACTACAATAGAAATCCCCTCTCATGCATTTTATAATGCAAAGAAATACTTTCTTCTAATTTACAGGTCTTTGATTTACATACAGTATCAAATATTTATTCTTGTTGGCAGGATATTTCTATTTCTTCTCTTTTTAATTTTGTCTTTATGGTCTTTGCCCATATTTGACAATTTTTTGTTTTGTAATAACTTTTTATCTGTTTGGGGTACTACCTCCTTTTCTGTCATATATGTAGCAAATATTGTTGCCCAGATTGTCATTTGTCTTTTGCCTTCGACAGGAAAACAGACAAATATTTTTCTTATGCATTCTGCTTTTGGCATTATGCTTTAAAGACACTCCCTACTCCAAGATTATTTTTAAAAACTCGGTATTCAAAATAAAATTTAAAAATCAATATCATTCTTCTGTACTGGGAATTACCATTCAGAAAAGGAAATTGAAAATAAGATTCCTTTTGAAATAACAGCAAAAGCTGTAAAGTCATTGGAGTTTAACCTAACAAGGAAGGCACAAGTATTTATGGAGAGAATCTTAGAACAATTACACAGTACATAAAGGAAGATTTGATTAAATGAAGAGATATGCTATATTCTTTGATGGAACAATAATGAACTTAATATTACAAAATGCTATGTATTCTACAAAGGGCACCCCCATGTATTTACCTGCAAACTTTTCATTAACCCTAAGTAGTAATATTATCAAGAACATTATCATAGGTGCTTGTTGGGGTTGGAAGGTACAAAGTCAGAAAGGTAGAGTAGTAGTAATGCTAGGGAGAAAATCAAATACAAAGACTGGAGGGCATGTTATACTGAGCAAGGAACTATACTGAGCCATGAACTGGGAGTATTTTGTATTGTGTCTATTTCTAAGGTCCAAAAGCAAAGAAAGAATAAAGTGAAATAAAATTAAAATATCAACCTATATCATCTTCTAGTACTGTTGTTTTTTTTTGTTTTTTTGTTTTTTTTTTGAGACTGAGTCTTGCTCTGTCACCAGGCTGGAGTGCAGTGGTGCGATCTCGGTTCACTGCAACCTCGCCTCCTGTGTTTAAGCGATTCCCCTGCCTCAACCTCCCGATTAGCTGGGACTACAAACGTGCGCCACCACACCTGGCTAATTTTTTGTATTTAAGTAGAGATGAGGTTTCACCATGTTGGCCAGGATTGTCTTGCTCTCCTGATCTTGTGATCCCCCCGCCTTGGCCTCCCAAAGTGATCATCTTCTAGTACTTTTAACGCTTTATTTTTATTCTGTAAGTTGTGAGAAAGGTATTGACCTTATTGTTTTCTCTCTCCACTCAAAATATTGAGCCTATTACCTGATTAAATTAGTGTATCCATTATAGATGTTTCATGGGTAATCTATTCTTTCTCACTATTTTAAATTGCCAATAAAAATATATATGGACCTATTGCTGGATTTTTATTTTGTGTGTGTGTGTGTGTGTGTGTGTGTGTGTGTGTGTGTGTTTATCGCACGAGCAGTCTGCCTTTTCTTTTACCCATGGAAAACTGTTTAAATTATATTGCCTTTATATTGGTCTTTTGACTTCCTACTCACTCAACCACCGAGTCTCATGAATTCAACCTTTAAAATATTTCTCAACTCCTTCCACTTTTTACTTCCAGTGTCCCTAGCCTGGTTAATCACACTACCGTCTTTTTCCTGGAGTACCACATAGCTCATATTTAATCTCCCTATGTTCATTCTTAATTCATTCCAAACAATTATTCACACGATAAAAAAAATTAACTGGAACCATTAGTTTATGTTACTTCCCTGCTCAGAACTTACAGGAAAATTTCCCTGTACTTAGATAAAATCAATTCAGTTTTGCAAGGTCTGCCTGTGGCCACCTCATACATGTCTCTCCAACTCTTACCCTACATCTCTCTCTGGCATTCTCTCCTTTGTCCATACTGGGCTCCTTTCATTTCTTGACTGTGCCAAGATCTTCCTGGGCCTTCCTAGGGCCTTCACACCTATTTCTCTGCTACCAGGAACTGTGTTACCCTTCCTATCCTGATTCCAGTTTGAATGTCACTCCCCTAAGCATCTGGGTGCTGGTGTGTGGCATACAGGTCCAGTGACATTTGTGTGGCATCAATGTGTGTGGTATCCTCTAATTGGGACAGATAACTCAGACCACCAGACACTGCTTCTCCATAACCTGTAGCTTTCTTGGAAAATACTTATTATCATTTGTAATTATTTATAATATGTTTGTTATTACTCTTTAATATCTTTCTTTCTGCGGGATTGTAAGCTCCCTGAGGGGAGGATCTGTGTCTATTCACCCCCACCTCTGCTATAAGCAGGGTGCACAATGTAAGTTCTCAAGTATTTCCTTCATGAATGATTACTATCTGGCTGGTCATGTTGTCTACTATCAATTTTGATTTTTAAAAGACTCAACTATCTAAATCAGCTTATTCTTCTACATACACTTTAGGAAATTTTTTTTTCATGCTCTAAAAATATCCCACTGGGACTTCATTACATTCATAAATTATTTTGGGACAACTCGCTATCTTCACATTAAATCTCTCAACATGTGACATGATATAATGATACTTTATATTTTACTTACATGGATTCTACACATTTCCTGTAAGGACTATTCCCACTTATTTTATGTTTTTGGTTGCAACTGGGTACAATAGTTTGGAAAGAGAGGGATCTTTTCTTTTTCTATTTTAGAAGTATATATAATACAGGGAGTTAGTGGTATTTTACATATAGTTTTTAATCAACATATATACTTAAGTAAATTATTTTAATCAGATCTTACTGAATTTTCTAGGTAGCAATCATATGACTAAAAAGACCATTTTTCTTTATCCCTTTCATTATTAAAGCTATTGTTCCATTGTATTTTATTTCATCAGTAATTAAACATTTTCATAATTTAAATATGATATAAATAATATAAATTTATAAATTTTATATTTTATATATATTTTATAAAAATATAAATATAAACCTTTAGGTTTAAAATTTAGTTTTTTATCACTAAGCATGATGCAGTTACTAGACTGGAATAGATTTATGTCATGTTAAAAAAGAATTTTTATCCTCTTTTACCAAGTTTCATATAAAAGTGGTATTTGATTTCATCAAATATATTTGAATCTCTAACACGATGAACTATAAGAAATAGGATTGGGAAAACAATGTTGTGAGTTCAAATTTGAGCACCATCAGGAGCACTTGCTCCACCTTAGACAATGAACTTGAAGTATTGGCCTACATTGGCTTCTCATGGCCTACAGTGCAAGTTCCTTGGTCTATTGGTTGCTTTACCATACACTGGTCTCTTCATTATAAATTTTCTCTGACTCTGCTACAGTTTAGGAAGGGGCTATTTCTTAGGTGTTCATTTTTAAAATAAAATGAGCCAAAGAAAATAGTGTTAAGTTCCACATATCAGGGATTTTTAGCCTCATTATTATTTTTTCTGACACACAAATATATCTTTCAATTTGCACAATTCTCGAAGCCATTGTAGAATTAAATAAGGATGTTTCCATGAAAAGTAAATGATTTTCTTTTATGTTACTTTTTGTCAGTCTGCTCAATGTGGGTTAAAAACTTCTTCAGAAAATTATTTGGAGATTTTCCCTTTTGTGATCATTTTTAGGAAACTGAAACTCTTGTTGCTTATTATGAAAAGACTTCTGATTGCATGTGGATGTACACCTTGAAGATAAAATAAAATGCAAGAGCCATTCTATAACAGAGCAATATCTCCCTGTCCTTAGGTGCCTAAATGAAGTTGTAAGGGTCGTAGACACCAGATGACTGCCGTCGTCTGGAGCTGTATGGACCTAACCTTCTCTCCTTCCCACTCCCTGAGAAACTGGCAATGTTCTCCTCATCCTTGGGTGTCTGTCATCCCAGGGGCCACCACAAACTCATTCCTCACTTTCACAAAACTGATTTCTGTTTATGGAGCAGCTGGTAGGAACATTCCAAGGCCAGGCACTCCCTGAGAAGCAAGCCTGCTTCTCTCAGCTGTCAGGAGCTTTTAGAAATAACACCCTCCTCTGAGGAAGTCAGAATAGCAACAGGAAAATAAGTAAAACCTATTATAAAACAGTTGTCCAAAAACTTGGGCACGGCGCGGGGTAGAGATCGATACGCTGTGAAGGTTAAATCTATTTTCACACTGTGTTCTATTTCACAGTTTAATGGTGTTTTAATGTGTCTGTCACTGAGCCCCTTCATGTTATGCAGGTAGAGCCTCTACAAAGGAGAAAGAACCCGGCTTTTCAAGCTTTGCTGTAACATCTTATTTACCAGCTGCGATCTGACAATTTCTTTTCCTTTCTAGAGAGACAGCAGGCCTGTCTCTTCCCTCAACCCCTCTGGCTCTCCTCTTCTCCTTTCTTTCTTACTCCTAATTTTGCAGAAGGCAAAGTTGGGGCCCTCTAAGTGACTTTTAGATATCGTTCTGAAAAGCTCTCCAGGATAGATACCCGTATCAAAGAAGAAAATGACTGAAACCTTTCTGACCCTTCCACCCTGTGCCCTTGATTGGCATCCTTCATTTTGCAGATGTCTCCAGCTGGCTCTGTTCAATATCACCGCTGTCCTCTCTTTTCTGCCAGGCACTTTGCTCAATCCCTAGCTTTGTCTCTCTCTTTCCACGCATCAGGTCACTCAGTACAGCCGAGTCAGGGGTCTTGTCCTTGCTTTCCCCATCATTTTGAGAGAAATCCCAAGTATTTATCTATTCTTACCCAAGAACAGATTTCTGTTTCTACTTTTACACACTTTAAGCCACATAGTAATACAGAAATTGTATTCATTTTCCAGGGCTGTCATAACAAATTACTACAAACTGGAGGACTTAAAACAACAGAAATGTATTCTCTCTCCCAATTCTGGAGGCTACAAGTCTAAAATCAAGGAATGGGCAGGGCCGTGCTCTCTCCAAAGGTTCCAGAGGACAATCTGTTCTGTGCCATTCACTTTGCTTCTTGTGTTATTGGCAATCCCTGGCTTTTCTTGGCTTGCAGACTCCAATCTTGGCCTCCATCACCACATGGCGTTCTCCCTGTGTGTCTCTGTCTGTGTGCAGCTTCTCTTATGAGGATGCAAATTACATTGTATTAAAAGGCCACTCTACTCCAGTATGATTTCATATTAACTAATTACATCTTCAATGGGCTTATTCCCAACTTTTGCCCCATTCTGAGGTCCTGACAAAGAAATGAATTTTAGTGGGTACTATCTGTGATGTATATGTCTACCTGGCTGGGCGATAGTGCCCAGATATGTGGTCAAAGATTCTTCTGGATGCTTCTATGAGAGTGTTTTTGGATGAGGTTGCCATAAATAAATCAGCAGACTTTGAGTAAAGCAGACTGCCCTCTCCAGTGTGGGAGGGACTCACTCAATCAGTCTAAGTTTTTACTAAAACAGAGATTGACCTCCCCTGAGCAAGAGGAAATTCTGCCAGCAGGGAGCAGAGGTCGGAGATTTGAATTGCAACATCAGATCTTCTTTGCTGGCTCATCCTGCAGATTTTAGACTAGCCAGCCTCCATGATCACGTAAGTCAATCCCTTAACAAACCACATTCCCTTTATACATGTGCACACATGATATTGATTGTTTCTTTGGGAACCCTAATACATGATCCAACCCAGCAGAGCCATGTAGATGAAATGTACAGAAAGTATTCCATGGAAGAACACATTATTTATCTATGCTCAATAAAGGCGAGACAATCTTTAGGCACTCAGATTTTTGTAGATTAAAGGGATCATCATGATATCTGGCTGTTATGATTTCTAAATGGCTGGATTTTCCATGGAATTCAAGTTAAGGCAGGGTGGGGGTGGGAACAATGAGGATCCATCGTTTATAACAGGTTCTCAAAGTGTGCTCTTTGTCCTTTTGTCGAGGAAGGGGGTCTCTGAGACCCTTTCGGGGGTAAACTCAAAATTTTCATAATGGTACTAATATATTCTTGGCCCGTTTTACTGTGTTGAGATTGACACTGATGGACCAAAAGTGATGTGGGTTAAACTGATACACCTTAGCAGAAATCAATACGATGCCACTGAACACTGTTTATCACCATGTGCTTGCAGAGAAATAAAAGCCACTTTCACTTAAGAATGTCCTTGAGAGAGCAATAAAAATTCTTAATTTTATCTTTTTTGTGATAAAATGGGAAGTTTATATGAAGCACTTCTATTCCATAGCAAAGTATAATGGTTATCACAAGGAAAAGTACTTGTGGTGGTTATTTCAGTCGCTAACCAAACTAGCCCCTTTTTTTTCATAGAACACTATTTTTACTTGAAAGAATTGACAAAGTATAATTATTCAGACTTGGGTACTTGGCCGACATTTTCTTGAAAGTGAACAAAGTGAGCCTATCACTTAATGGTAAACAAGTGACAGTATTTGTTGTAAATAACAAAATGTAAACTTTAAAAATAAAATGCAAATTTTAGAAAACTTACGTTTACCACTGAGAGCCTAATAGCTGTCTTATGAGATTTGTAGAGATATTAAATGAAAATAATTGTTTGTTATTATATCTGAAACATGTCAAGATTTGGAAGTTTTGTCTAACTCAGTGAACCAATATTTTCCCAAAGACCAAAGTAAAAATGTTATAAAATCATTAAGTGGTAAAACATTAAACTAAAAGACAAAGTAATGGATTTTAATGTTAATTCTTATAGTTTCAGATTCCATATTGCAACTTTAAAAAACTAACACCTGTCAAGTTTTGGTACACGCTCAAACAGGCTATTAAAATATTCTTCTCTTTCCTAACTGCATATCTGAGTGAAGTCAGGATTTCTTCCTATACTTGAACAAAAGCAATACATTGTAACATGCTAAATATAGAAGCAGATAAAAGACCCCAACTGTCTTCTATTCAGTGAGACATTAAAAAGGTTTGCAATTTTAAAACAATGCTACTTTTCTCATTAGTTATTTGAAAATAGAGTTATCATAAGCAAAGATGGTATGTTAACAAGTAGATGTTATTTTACATAATAGCTACTTTAAAATTTCTCCATTTCAATTTCTAACACAGTAAATATGGATAGATATGTTCCAAATAAACAAAAGTTATTTACAGTTCTCAATTTTTAAGAATGTAAAATTTGGTCCTGAGATAAAAAATTTGTTCTACATCCATGACTCTATAGTAAAAAGTCTAGATTTTACTCAAAGTGGAGTAAGAAGCCATTCAAGTATTTTAAGTAGAAGACAGGCTTGGTTTAGACCAAATTATTGTTGGTAGAGATGTTGATTCATGATAGAAATTATTGTATGTTTGGAAGATAGTACCCACAAGACTTGCAGATGCATTCTGTGAAGAGATAGAGGATGAAAAGACAGAATTCAAGCTGACTTCAATGTAGGGTTGTCAGATTTAGTCTATCAGTCAGGGTTCAACCAGAAGAAAATCAGTGGAAAATTTATATTAAGAAATATATTTCCAGGAATTGGCTTACATAATTGTGGGGGCTGGCTAGGAGAGCATGACTTTCACAGGGCCGGCCATTAGGAAGGGGAGGTTGACAACCTTGGCAAAAGCAAAAGCTCTACACAACAGGCAGTATTTCTTCCCCCAGAAAAACCTCAGTTATGTTTTTAAGCCCTTTCAAACAATTGAGTCAGGCCCACCAAAATTATAATATCTAGAAAACAACTTATCGAAGGTAATCTCACTTACTTCAGGTCAACTAATTGAGGACTTCAATCACATCTAAAAAATACCTTTGTAGCAACATAAGATTAGTGTTTTGGCTGAATATCTGGGGGCTATTGACTAGTCAAATTGACATACCAAAAAGACCATCACTTTATACCCCTTGTCAACCTGGCACCCATACACATCTTTTTAAACCATACTCAATCTCCAAAAAAGACAATTACAATGTTATACTTACTAATAAAACTATCCTGCCTACAACCAAAAACATGTTTAACTTTCCCCAGAAGGGTAAACATGGGGATGTTCACTCTTCTTTTGATAGCCTATTACTTAAAATATTGTAATATTAAATATCATTAATACATCTCATTTAAGATGATGGGGGAATAAGAGTTGGGAGAAAATAAAAATATTTGCCTAATGTATGTACAAACACCTTAAATAACAAAGTAAGCAATATTTATAACTAAGGTCCTCATTTTTGCAACAGATCATGTGGTCACAGCTGGTATTCATAACTACCTTCTACTCTCCATTCCACATCACCTTTGTCCTCAGTAAGAACCTCAGATAGTCATGGTTCTTTGCCTGGTAGAGTAATCCAAATATTCATTCCTGCAGAGTCTGAGCTGTTAGCAATCCTGCCTGATTTGGGTTGTTGTAGTTTCCAGTTGACTTTAGTCACAGGACTGGGTAATAATAAGAGATACTTGAAGGGATCTCCTATATTCCAGACATAGTCTTCTTATATTCATTGTGTAGTAGCAGCCCAATTTACACTTGCTAATCAGGATCTATTACCCTAGCCAGCACAGGAACCCCCTGCTTTGCCTGTTGATTCAGAAGCATGAAGAGCCCAAGTGACTGCATGGCAGGTTGATTATATTGGATCTCTCCCATCATGAAAAGGACAATGCTCTGTTCTTACTGGAATAGGCACTTATTCTGCATATGGATTTGCCTTTCCTGTGTGCAACACTCCTGCCAAAACTACCATCTGTGCACTTACAGAATACTTACTGTCCTATGTTTTATTGGCAATCTTAATACTAGGATTGTGGCCTCAGTAATGGTCACTTACTGATATCGTGAAGACTAGAAGAGTTTTCAATAAGTTAAATACATGAATTTGTTTTACTTGGACAGGTCAGGGCTGAAGACAAAAATATGCAAGTCATCGATATGTACAGGGTGCTTAAACCATGGTGCAAGATAAAAGAAGAGAAGGAGACAGTAATATGGACTCCCATAATTGAAGGTAGGTGGAAAAAAAGAGGAAGGAGCTGGCCAAGAAGAGTAATGAGGAGTAGCCAGCAATGTGGGAGGACCAAAAAATGTCTGTGCTTGATACACCTACATTTTGAATATATTTTGAATTGTATGGTATTTCGTAAAGAACATCATGCCTTCTCCCGATCTGCCATGCAAACAAATGTAGGAACCATGGTGGAAAACTATGCTCAAAACCAAATATTTATCGATCTCTGCTTAAAATAAAGCACAATGAAACCTTAAAAGAACTCATCCATGGGTTCATTCATTAAAGGAGCATTTATTCAGATTTATTTTAATTTAATTAATTTAAGCACTGAGCATATAAAATTTCTTTGCAAACCTCAGGTCGTTAAAGAAAGTTTTGATAAAAATATACCACCTGAATTCAGCATTTGATTTTGATAGGGATACAGAACACTGAGAAATGCCAGAAAATTAGTTTTGGGTTTAAATATCTTACTGCCGAGTTTAATGATGCTCAGTGAATGTGAATTTGGGAGAATTAAGGAAAAAAATGGCCATCTCAGTTAACTCCTGAGACATTCTGAAACACTATTATTTCTCCCAGAATTGAGACACTTTTTATCACCATTTTGCACTTTCCCAGAGAGGTTATGAACCAGCTGCCTATAGAGCAAAAATATTACTATCCAATTAATATTTTGGAAGCAATGACAGACTATTCTAACCTCCTGGCTCAGCAGTCTGTTCTGAGTGTCTGATCATACAGGAAGTGGGATAAACGCGGGGCCAGTCAGTTCACCGGGTCCTCATCACCAAGAGCAGAGGCCACTCACTGAAGTCTGTGAATCACAGAAGGCTGCAGCAGGGGAATTTGCATTTGAATTATGAATATTTAAACAGGCTTATTAAAACTGTGTCCACAGAGAGCAAAATGCAATTTGCTTTTAAAACAATTAAAAATAAGGGGCAGAGAAGAACAGTCACTAAATGCATAAAATTTGGAGTGAGAAGATGCAGAACAAATCCTTAGCTCCAGCACTTCCCAGCTATGTGGGAGAGGGAAATTAATTTGACCTCTGTAAGTTTTATCCAAACTCCTGTACCTCAACTTATTCTCATTCTTTGGTCAACCAACAATGTTAAAAGCATGGTCTGTGGAACCAGAACGTCTAGACTTGAATCCTGGCTGTGTCACTTGTTAGCTTTCGTACACATTACTTAGGTTCCCTGTGCCTTAGTTTGCCTTTCTCTAAATGGGGATAATACCAGTAACTATGACAATGGCTTGTGAGATTAAATGAGTTAATTCACGTAATGTATTTAGGGGACTCGCAGGCACACGATAAACACAAAATAAGTGTGAAATCTTAATATAATTAAATATATAATGAGTGTGAATCAGAAACTGTGTTGGGTAATTAGATGAAACAGTGAGCAGCTTGGACACAATCTTTGCCTACATGGAGCCAATTTAACATACAATAACAAAAGCGGTGTTATGAAAGTTTAATATGAAAACCACAAAGTTAAAGAAGCACTAAGTTAGTATTGGGGGATCAGGGGAGCCTTTCAGACAGAATATACTTTAAGCTGAAATATGACAGGTGAATAGGAATTAGCCAAGAACCAAAAAAGATGGCAGAATATTGCCAGTAGAGATAAAGAATATATATGAATATTGAGGGAAAGTATGAAAAATGAAAAGGAGGTAGGAAGAGAGGGAGAGAAAGGAAGAGGGATGGAGAAAGAGAGAGGACAGAATGTCTTTTTTCAAGTTATAATGGGGGAAAGCTCAGAATGTGGCTCAAAGGGCCAGGTCACAGTTGACTTTGGAGGCCATATCAAGGAGTTTAGACTTTCTCTTATAGGTATTGGAGAGAACAATAGTCTATATTTTTTGGGAGAGAAATAGTCCATATTTTGGGGGGGAAAAATAGTCTTTTTGTCCCCCCCAAAATATGGACTCTTTGTCTCTATTTCTCCCCCAAAGTTCATGTGGTGGAAACTTAATCTTTCACATAACAGTGTTGAGAGTGGGACCTTTAAGAAGTGATTGAATTATGAGGGCTCTGCTCTCATGGATGAATTAATGCCATTATCATGGGAGTAGGTCCCTAATAAAAGGATAAGTTCAGCCTTCTCCCTTCCTGTCTTCCTCCTGCCCATGTGATGCCTTCCACTACGTTATACTGCAGCAAGAAGACTCTCACCAGATGCAGTCTCTTGATCTTGGACTTCTCAGCCTCCAGAGCCATGAACCAAATATATTTCTACTCATTATAAATTATAAACCCAGTCTCAGGCATTATGTTATAGCAGCATATATGTGCATGCACACACACACACACACACACAACTAAGGGATTCTAGTAAGGCAACTGTTGCAGCAAGCAAGTTAATAGATGACAGTGTCTTGAGAGGTATTGATGCAGATAAGAAGATATATTTAAAACATTTTTCAGGAATAGAAACATAAAAATTTGGTGACTGACTAGATATGGGTAACAAGGAAGGCAGGCTCAAAGCTAGCTCCAGATTGAAAGATTGTGCAATAGATGCATGGTGTACATCACTAACTTAGGGGACATCAGAGGTAGGCTGGGTGTGGGGTGGATGGGATGTGAGAAGAAAGTAACATTGGACCCATTGCTCGGAGGAACAAGAGCAACAACCAAGTGGAAATCTCTAGTGGACAAGAGTAAGGTCTGGGCTGGAGACATAAGGGATATATTAGCATAGATTGGAGATTCCTGGTGAATAATGCAGAGAATGAGATAAGGAGGCTGAGCTGGTGGGGAACCCTGGAGAATACCATTTTTTTTTTTAAAGAAAGGGCCTCGAAAGAAGATAATGTAGGGGAAAATTAGGTATTGCAGTGGAAAGGTAGGAAGAAAAGCAGGAGTTTAAGGGTTTTTCTGACCTCGAGGTGATGGATAACTGTGAATAGGGCAGTAGAGGTGGGATGATGGGGGTGGAAGTCAGGGAGCTGAGGACTCAGTGAGAATGAGAATAGAGTTAGCAAATATAGGCAATTGTTTAAAGAGCTTTGAGAAGGAAAGCTGAGGACTAGAAGGAATTTGCAAGAGGAATGTGACCAAGGGGTACTGTTTTAAAGATATGGAGTGAGTCTTAAATGTGTTTACATACTGTGAAAGGGATATTCTTTATTCTTATGAATAAAGAACAAAGCTAAAGGGAGATGGGAAGACGTGATAGAATCCAGAGAGCAGCTCAGGAGGTGAATCTTCCACTGATCAGCAGGTACTAAGTTCAAATGAGTGTTTTTCTACTTGAACTGTTTCCTTTTGAGGATCTATTTTGACCACTATAAATTGGTTTGCCTCCCAGAGTCAGCCTGTAGATTGGAGGCCAATTCTGTAACTTGTATGCACGTAGAAATAATCTCAAAGTCTTGTTAGAATGCAGGTTCTGACTCAGGAGGTGTGAGGTATGGCCTGAGATGCTCCATTTCCGACAAGCTCTAAGGGTGGATAAGGCTACAGTTCACACGCATGCTTTGAATAGCCCTAAACCCTGAAGTATCTTGCTGTAGCATGTGGCTACCGGTTTTCTCCTCACAATTCTGCTCCTGGCCTCTGCCCACCTGAGGCCTTTCTGTGCTACAGAAGTAGCTTTCTAGCAGTGTCGGGGCAGGGCTTTTCTTGGGCTTGGATTCCAAAACATATCCTCTGTTACTCATTAAACTTTAGATAGTGAAGTCTTCATGATTTTCTTAGAGCACATCAAGCTCAATGATGTCTTAGTTCTATCCTACTTGCTCTCCTTTCTGCCTAGAAGATACCTGTCCCCAGGTCCTCACATGGTTGTCTTCTTCTAGTCATTTGATTCTTAATCTTCATTGAGGCTTTCCATAATGATCCGATTTAAGTTACCATCACCCTTAGTCATTCTCTATATTACCTTAAACCATTTTTTTCTCTACAGCAGTTTCCACTGTTTAACAGGATCTTTGCTCATTTATTAATCTGCTTATCTAACATTTTGCATAACGCCATGAATACTCCGTAAGAGTAGGGACCTCATCAGTTTTGTTGACCATTATAGCCTTTTTTCTTAAACAGTGTCTCACAGGTAGCAAGCACTGTAGAAATAATTGTTGAATGAAGAAAGAATGCTAAATAAGAATCCCTGGTATATGTATGCTATATTTAGAATGAACAAGTAGTAGGTGCCAAAGGAATAAGAAAATATAAGGAAGCAAAATTTAAAAATAAAATTCTCTATAATATCATAACTTTTTCTATGAAGATCATGTTTGATGTTAACAGCATTTTGGGCCATCTTAGAGAGCAAGAGTGGCCTCTGGGAACATAGCTCAGAGCCAATGAGGTAATAAGTTCCCCACAGCACATTCTTTGTATATAGTCCATTAGTTTTTTTTTTTCTATACTTGATCTTAGCCAAAAGGCAGATAAGTGATTGTCCATTTATTTGTTTCTTACTTCTGTAGATTTCTGGCTCAGTAAAGACAGAGATCACTCGGTCTTCTTTCTATATTTCTCATTATATTTTGTATTTTTTAATACAAAATTTGTACACTGACTAATCCATTTATAGTTTGGTGACTATGAAGAGTTCTCTATAATTCCCTATCTTTTTTAGCCCTTAATTAACTTCCACTGAAGGATAAGAGGAACCAGGGAGAGCAAGAAGTATATGTGATTTTATAATTCTGCCATCACCATGAAACTGTTTGTAGTGTTATATCTAGATATAGCTATCACCTCAAAAGCTGGCTAGGAAGGCCGACCATAGAGGAAATCAACTCAATCTATTTCCATTACCTCAGTGCTACTTGGGGTCATGTCCTACTTGGGCAAATAACTCACTTGGTAAGACATCAGAGGTGTTAAGAAAGAAACTAAGAGGGCTCCTTGGTCACTGTCTCAGGCTCAGTTCTCCCAGAACCAAACCCTGAGACAATGATCACGTGGTTTCCCAAGGGCACAGATAGGGTACTGGAATAGTGAGACCAGGACTAGAGGAGGAAGACCTTTGCTTCAACACAAAGGTCAGTAATAAGAACACAATTATCTTTGCTTCAAATTCGATTCAATATGAGATATGAATGTTATCTGCAGTATTGTAAGTCTACAAATATTAGCATAAGGTTTGAAAATGTGGAGACAATATTGTATCCAGAAATGCAAACTAAACTGACCGAAGTGCATTAATGAGCCAGTGAGTTTATTGCTGCAAACCTGGAGCTTCATCTTGCTGGGAACCTGGGGTGATGAGTGAGAAAAATGGGTATTTTTACTCTAACTCCCATCCCTCATTGGCTGGGAGCTACTCCCAAGGGGTGTGACACTCCCAGAACTTCTGGCCTTCCTTCAATGCATACTGGGACAATGTTCTTGGGAAGAATCCTGGGCATTGGAGTTTGGAGAAGGACCTCATTGGCATACACTGTAATGGAGGCAGCAGAGTGGCCATGGGTGGAGCGTGGCAGTGTCTGCTCCAGTTCTGTCATCAATAAAGGATCCAGACTGAGACCTAATGAACAATGTACACTTAACTGAGGGCAGTCACAGGCAGTCCTCTACACCACTGGGAAGTAGGATCATCTTTATGTTGTGTCAGTAATCAATATTTCTGTCACTATCAATTTCTCACATAGCTATTAGATCTCTTTCAGTCTTTGGAGTTTTTAAAATTTTTTTCCTCTTCCTGGAAAAAAAAAATATTGAGTTTAAAGGAGACCTTTTTAGTAACAATCATACATGTCCTGACTTACTAAGATACTGAGATGTCTACAGGGCTAGGTAGGATTTGGAATACATATGGCTAGAAATTTTAATTGATTTTTATAAATTATTATTAATTGAAATAAATTCATTTTCTTATCTCAGAAGTGATAATCAAGCGGATTTTGGCATCCCCCCCTTTTTTAAAAGTTTTATCTTATATCCTCTGCCCCATTTTCAAGACCATTCATGAGGAACAAGCATAAATAATTGCCGTTTATAGTAAGTGCTTAAACAGACACCATCGCATGGTTTCAGGCACATAACTGAAGTGTTCTTTGTGAGTAATGAAATAAGGGCTGAAAATTGAAGATTGTTAAAAACGATAATTATTTTTAAAACTGGAAAAATTCGATGAGATGTAAATGTTATCTGGAGTATTATAAGTCTACAAATATTAGCATAGGGTTTGAAAATGTGTTTTGGAGACAATACTGTATCCAGAAATGCAAACTAAATTGACCAATTATCAATGTCCAAACTCTCTTAGCCCTTCTAACCAAAGGCTATAAAGGCAGTGTTTATACACAAGTTATAGGAAAAATTTAAAAGGAAAAATATTTGATGTTGCTATTCATAGTGTTCCTTTTGTTGAAAGCCCAAGTTCACATTGTTAAGACCGACTGGCATGGTTCTCAGGGACAGTTCAGCTCTTGTGTGTGTCCTTGGTCAAGAGAGGGATTAGAGACCTGAGGAGTCAGACCCAGTTTTGCTTTGTTAAATAGCTCTCTTCTCATGAAAGGAAAGGTCAGTAGTAAGAACACAATTATCTTTGCTTCAACCCTAAACCTTGACCAGTCTGTTAACTACTGAAAGCTTGAGTCAGAAACAGCTTCCTCCCACTCATGGTTTTATAGAAATTGTTTAATAGGGTACTTACTTCAACAATGTATTTGAATTGCAGTGTGAGTATGAACAAGTATGAACGTGTCTTTTTAGTACCTGTTCATGGAAGGAAGAAACCATAGTAGCCTACAGCCACTGGGAACATAGCTCCCTCTCTTCCTCTAATGTTGCATGGCTGTCCATTCTAAGGAGCAATAATGTGAAGTCTAGGACTAGAGAAAACAGACTAACTTGATGATATTCTATAGGTTTTAGGCAAAATTATTTACTTGGGGGTAGCTATTATTAATAGAATTATTTGCATTTAACAGAAGATGTCGTGTCCTTTGCTCCCTGAGATTTAACTTCCCTGTATCAAATTGAGCAGCCACCAGCTTTCATCAAATTTCACCAGATTTCATCAAATCTTACTGAGTTCTCCTCTATGTCAGAATCTGGTGTAGACTCTGGAGCTACTTACAGAATGGTTTCTTGTTTTACAGCCTCTGTGCCCAGGTTTATGTGGAAACAAAATCATAATATGAGTGTGATGAGGGTGAAGAAGTGAAGGAAGGAAGGAGGGAGGGAGATGCAAACTCACTAGGCTTAGACACACTTGGGTGGGTGTTTCTCTAATAAATCCCTTCCTTCTCTACTGCAGAGCAGTGCAGAAAAGCGATCTGAAGAACCCTCTGACATAAAGCCAGTAGACCCTCATCCACATCTTGCTTCTTCTCCTTGAACTGACAGAAAGTCACATACAAGCCCCCCAGTGTTTCAACTCAACATTTTTTGTTTCTCCAAGCCACCACTGCTGTTGTAAAACCTACTTAATCTTACTACTGGCTTCCAACTCTCACTTCCATCAATAATTACTACCCAGAGACAAGAACTAATCCACATAGGAAGACCTTGGAAGCTTTTATTGTTCAACACAAAAGCAAGACTACCAAAGTTCATTTGTAAGAGGAAAGCAGAACTTAGTGGTGACTTTTCAAAGATGTTTTAGGACTAGTCCTAAAATGAGGCATCAACCAATATCTTGGTTCATCTAAGAAAGTCCCTCAGTAGAACACTGTCAGGTATTATCTCTATGAATACCCTTACTCAGATAACCATATGACAAACTTGCTCAGGAAATAATAAAGTGTTTCTTTTTAGAACTATGGGATTGGTCTCAACCAATATAACTAAATTATTAAAGTATGGAGTGGCACTAGATGCAGAGAACATTTCTTACCCAAAGTGTCATGATATCAAAGATGACCAATGTTCTGGGTACTAGAAATGTAGTGGAGAACCAGAAAGACAGGATCCTTCTCTCCTGCAGACTATGTTTTGATGAGGATGATAGACATGATGGAAACACTTTACTAATAAATACCTGTAGTGCTACTAGGGAGAAGCAACAGGATCCGTAGAAAATTCCAATGACAACCTGAGATACCAACAACCCAATATTTTGCAAATAGCTCACATATATTGCCTTCAGTTGACTTAATTTACTGCTTCTGGAATCATATACTTGTCTTCTAAGGTCTTCAAATTTCTTCTTGAAAACAATCAAGCAAAAACAGTGATCATTCTCTTCCCTTCAGATATCAAAGAAGAGATCATTATTAATAAATTCTGGAAGGATAAGTAAAACTCAGAAGAGATCTATGCTGCTTAAAGTTCATTTTCCCAGTAAAATTCTAATGTCTTCCCAGTATCATGATGGGGTGAGGCTGTGTTTTCTGCCCCCTCCAGCTTGGCCTTCTGTCCAGTGGATTCTGGCCCAGCCCCACCCTCAACTCTAATTAAGGTGTTTTGCAAACACGCTTATCTGACATGAGGACACAGCAAACAATAAAGTGATGAGGCATCACCACTCTGAAATGAAACCTTTGTTTTAAAATCCAGTCTTCTGCCCCCTCTCTGTTGAAACTCCCATTGCCTAGAGCATAAAGGAAGCCCTGACAATCCTTTCCCTGGCTCTGGCAGATGCTACAGTGGCTGATGCTCAAATTGCTTCCTTTCCCCATGTATTCTGCTAGAGGCAGAAAGGAAATCACTCTAAGGAGTAACTCATTCAGCCATTGTATTGACACTGCTACATCTGCCCAGATGAACGGCATTTTTATTTATTTATTTTTATTTTGCAGTCACTCAGAGGTAGATGAACACTTGTACATTTGACGACTAACAGGCAAACAATTACATTTTAAATGTTGTAATTGGCAGATATTCTGATTCTATTGGAGGATTTTTGTTTTCCACATTAGTAGTCTTCTTTGAGAGTGAGCTTGAGATACATTTATATGACTATTTTTAGAGAAAGGTATAAATGTACAATGACGTGGAATTAGTATGAATAGCTTAAAAGCAGAGGGTTCCAGTGAGTGAAAGAATGTTGGGGTTTATATATTTCTATACCAGGTTTCCTAAAGAGAATATTAATAGAAAATAAAAAGGTGAAGTGACTTGCTCAAAAGCATACAGACAATTAGATGCTTGAGAAGAACGTCAGACCTGGCATTTGATCCTGACAATGTAATCCTCTCTGCATAATCACTCACTTTAAGAGGCAAAACAGAAATCACAGTGTTGAATTGTCAAATAAACATTAGACATGCATTTAGTAATCACTCAATTTTGATAAGCAATAAAATTTAATAAACACCAAATATAAAGAGGTCAAGGAATTTTAAGGAAAAAGTTAGGAAGTTAGATAAGTCTTACGAACATCGTAAAAGTCTATAAGGAATCCAAACCGGAAAGATCCTATAATATATAACCACTCAAGGGGGAAGGGAGACCTGGGGAAAATGTGCTGATCAAATTTTATTTCTTGACGTAAGGGCTGGTTAAACTTGTGTGTTCCCTAGGTGAAGAAGCATCAAACTGTTTGCTTATTGGCTGTGTCTTTTCTTATGTTTGAATTTTTCCTTAGGAGACTATTAGCCTTGTCTGAACTTCAAGAGTAATATAGATGAGTGTTTAAAAAAATTGTATTTTTTCCAATCTTAGTAGGGACATGGGAAATAGTAGTCTTGGAAAACCCTTAGAAAATCAGATTAATGGTTGAGTTCAAGGGAGACTTTGGGTCCTGTCACAAGCCACTTGACTCTCTTGCTGGTCCTTATTTGTGAAAAGGAAGATCATAAGATATTTACCTCCTTGAAAGTTAGTGGATATATGGAAATGCTGTTGACGTTCTTCCTATTAAAATGGGTGAAGAGTATGGGTGAGTAAACATGACCAGCTTAGATCAAATGAACCCCCCCATAACCTTTAGCCTCGTGTTTATAGAAGCAATAACAGTACATCTCCTCCTCTATAATTTTGCATAGTTCTCTATACTCCAACAATCATTCTACCTGCATCTGAAGCAACTATGAACATCTTTAACCACCACACACTCTATGATCTTTGGTTTAATTATTCAAAGATTAATAATTTGGGTATCTATAGAATTTTTGTCAAAGTCATGTATCCAAAGATAAGGTAGTGGATTTTGGTTAGCTGCTGTGGTGGCTTTAAAACATGGCTCCGAGACTCTTTGACGTCTTCTCCCATTGAGAAGTTGGGGCTATTGTCCTATCTGTTGAATATGAGCGGGCTTATAATCCTTAGACCAGTACAGTACTGTGTGAGTTCTGAGACTGATTCCTCAGAGGTGAGGCAGCTCCTACTGTGTTGGAATGCATGGGCTTGGAGTCCTGAGTTGACATGTAGGAAGATTAACTACCCTGAGACCACTATGCTATGAGAAAGCCAAGCCACATGGAGACACCACATGGAGGTGCTTCAGTCTGAGTGAATCCAGCCCAAAAACCAGGCATAAATGAAGGAGCCTTCAGGTGACTCCAGCCCTAGCCACTAAGTCACCCCATCTTAGGCTTCAAGTCATCACAGCTAAGGCCCTAGACATTGAGGAGCACAGACAAGTCGTTCAATTGGGCCCTTGCTGAAGTCCTGGCCCACAGAATCCCCAAGTCTAATAAAATGGTTATATCAGTAAGTTTGGGGGTAGTTTTTTATGCAGCAACACTACTGGAAGAGGAGCTTAAGGAAATCAAAGTTTAATTAAAAGTAGCTAGACTCTTTTTGTATGAACAAGAATTAGCCCTGGCCACTGGGAATATGGAATAGGGATGTCATGGGCACTGGATATCAGAAAGCATGGGTCCTGACACCATATGTGGATGTAGATGCAGCTGTAGTTGCATCATTTACCAGGAGAGGAACTCCAATGCCTTCCCTAACATAGATAGGGTTGTTACAAGAATAACAACATTCATGAAAGCACTTTAAACTATAAGACACTATAGAGGTAGAAGCTCTTATTAAGGGTTATGCTTTCTTCTTGGTGAAGATAATTTTATGCTGATCCTACTGACAACTGCTTGTCTTCTAGCTCAAGTTGAAAGGATGGGAGACACAGGAACATCCAGAATGACTGGACAATTGAGAAGAGCCATTATACACCATTAGCATATGAAACACTGCTTGTGGTCCATCTTGAGTCTGCTTTGAGTGACAGTATTTGAGCTGCAAAGTGAATACACGTTCTAGTTTGAGGAAGGTGACTGAAGGTCAACAGAATAGAGCCATCTGCACTTGTGGTAGAGGTGTCACTTCAACTTTTCACGCCAAGGAGAATGATATTCATAGAATACTGAATAGAGAGATGGTATTTCATGATTATTAGATCCTACATTTTCTGTCACCAACATTTTAAAACCAGGAACTTTGAGCTGTCTAAGTTGAAAGAGAAAATTCTCCCTCAGTGGAGAACTAATGGCATTCCTAAGCTTTCCTGACTACAGAAGACTTCTTCAAATCCAGCTCCTAAGTATAAAGTATAAACAATAATCTGGTCATACTACCTCATTTGGTTCTGCTATGAAATGGGGATACCTCTCCTCATTAGGAAACTTTTAATATAAATATTTGGAGCTCGCAGTGCAAGGAAAGGATTAGGCAATTGTTTTACTGCTGAAGAAGCTTTAGCAGGGGTGTGGGGGCTAAGCTCTAATGTACAATGGAGCTAATTCTGAATATCAGATTAAAATTGCTCTTGTACATTTTTTTCCTTCTCCAAACAGTATTGTATTTTATACACATCGTATGAAGATCTCCTCCCTGTGTGAATGCTGGTTTGTATCCCCCACCCTGTATCTCTTAACAAGCTCCTTGGTGCAGCTGAAATTAATGCTTTAATGCTTCCTGTCGTTTTAAATAATGTGACATTGAAATACAATTTTTTTAATGTGCTGGCATTTAACATGCCACAATATTTCAGTTATTTTACATTCATTTGGGTGCTCTCGTGTTATTACAGCTGTTATGAAATTCTGACAAAGAGGTGCATTTCTTTCTTCTCTTCCACCATAATTGCTTTTTGCTACATCTCTGAACCGTAACCATGGCGATCTGCAACATTCATCAGAGGACCTCTTGTTATTTCCCTCGTGTGAATGAAAAACAAAGTGGTATAAATACTAGAAGTTTCTTAAAGGCAGCTTTTTCTCCGTTTTTTTTTTTCTCTTTCCTTCTGTATTTTTTTCATCCTTTTCTTCTTTATCCTCTTTTTTTTTAATTTTTTTTTTTTAGTTTCCAAATGTGGAAGATCTATTGAGGGGAAATTAAGTTGCATAGTTAGAAGTTTTTGATATATTTTAAAAGGAGAAATTGTTTATTCGGGGTCTTTTTGTGGAAAGCATGAAGAGAAAATGAGAAGTTGGTGCCTTCAGGAAGAAGGAACTGTTGTCAATTTAAAAAAAAAAAGGTTTCGTCTTTTCTAAATTTGACTTGTTACAAACAAGTCCTTGTTTGAGCTACTTAATGTGGACTATCATTACCATATTGGAGCCATATTACTGACATTTGGACTTGATCTTCCTTTGTGAGGGGGTGTGGATTGAAGTGACCATGTCCTGGTTTCACTTTAAATTGCCATCTTTCTGGCAATTTGGGAGCATATCGGGAGGCCAACCCTATCTACTTTCTCCGTACTGTTCTCAACTCTTCTTTAGTCTTTGTGTTCAGGATTATCAGGTTTAATTTGAGGTTTGGGGTAAAATTGAAACAGAATTTCCATTAGCTATTCTCTGTGAGAACACAGTACAGGTAAACTCGAGGACCCTGCTGTGATGCTGTGCCAAGACCAGCAGCAAACCTGAGAGTCAGCTTCACCTGAAGCATCAATACATTCCCAATTAACTATTTTAACGACTTGAAGGCAAAGCAATGTGGACTTTTATTAACTTTATAGGACTGTTAAACATAGATTTTTTTTCTAGAACTTTAGAAAGCTCACCTCACTTTTCATGGCTTTTCCAACATTTTTGGACATCAATAAAATTATTAAATATGTAACATTTTCAATGAAGCAGAGAATTTATAAGAAGAAACCCAGTTCTTGGTGCAACCTAAAGAAACAGACTTATTTTTGCCAATATTTTGTAATTTTCTGTTTTTCTATTTAAGTTCTCCACTGTATCTATTGCAGTAGATCTACTCTTGGTACTAGTGGTAAGAGATATCAATAACAGCAATGTATTTTTGAGGCACAATTACAGCAAAAGCCATTGCCTATGAGTATTCATAGAATTGTTTACACCAAAACTTTAACCTTAATAAAATTATTTTTTAATGAAAATTAAACATAAGTCTGCCATTTTTTGTTAAAAAATTTGGGTTTAAAAAATTGAGCCAGCCCAATACACCCATTCTGCTGGCCCATAGCAATTAGTCAAAAGTATCAATAAATACTTTCAGTAATTGTGTGGCCATGAGAACGTACTTTTCTGACATCTACTTCATGGATCTTCATTAGCCAGGGCCCCAGCTGCTGTCCTTTGAAAATTATTGCCCTGTTTGCACCCAGGCCACACTTCCTGAAAGCTGCTCCAGCCAATGATTGAGTGAAGATAAAGTTAGTGTTCTACAAGCAATTCATCTTTATATACCATTATATAATTTGCAAAGTACTCACACTGGAGCATCTCATAATCTCTAATATAATTCAATAATTTGGGCAGGGAAGTCATGATTATCCTTATTTTGCAGACAAGGACACTAGGGCTCTGAAGTTACATGGCTAAACATGAAAGTATTTATTCTAAATCTTCTAGAACCAAGCACTCTTCTAGATGAGTGAAACTATTCACCCATATATTTATCCAATGGGTATTTCATGAGTATCCACCAGGTCAGACACTATTAGTTGATGATAAATTATCTAACGAAGATCTGTGAGCTCAGACACAGATGCCCAGGTGATTCACTAAACCTAATGGGCTGAGGGGCTGTGGTATATTCTGAGAATAGAAGACAGAGAAGATTAAAATAAAAAATATTTTGAGATGCCAAACACAATTTGGCCAGATGGTCCAACCCCATCTCTTGCCTCTCATTCTTGAACAGGTCCAGATAAAAAAGACTCTCCATTCAAACTTGAATCATAAACACAAAGGATTACTCACATGCTACAAACCTAGAAGGGAATTCATATGAAAAGCTAAAAGGCATTAAAATGGCATTTCAGAAGGAGAATTACCTTAGGGAACAGGAAAAACATAACTGATACATAAAGAAATGAAGTCAAGTGAAAGAATGCAAGAAAGTGGTAAACAATCATAAAGCCAACACACACACACACACACACACACACACACACACACACACACACTAACAAGTAGAAAAATGCTTCTGGAAATGGAAGCCAAACAAACTAGGCAAATTTGTTTGAATGAAGAACACTCGGATTATAGATTTATGGAACGTGTGAGTAGCAGGGAGACTTCTGAGATGGGTGCAAAAGTAGTTGCAGTTTTGGCCATTACTTTTAATGGCCAAACTTAGTGATCAAAACTACAATTACTTTTTCATCAATTAATAGACATACCTGTAGCAATACATCAGTACACTGGTACTAGTTCAGCGCCGGGACCCTGTCTCCACCTTCATTTCTGCTTCTCTGCACATTTCACTTATTCTTACCACAAGCTTTCTTCATGGGGCCACTGGCAGCTCCATGTTCTACACTGTAAAAATTTCACCACCAAATCAGGAATAACTTGGTTTCCCAGTTTCAGTTTGAAAAATCTCAGTGATAGATTCTGAATGGCTTACTGCTTGACTGATTAGCTGTGGCCAATGGAGGGCTGGGCTATGTGAGAATATGAAAACACCGAGGTAACCATGTGGTCTGGTGAGAGCAGAGTAGAATTAGAAGTTCCTCAGTGAAAGGGGAAGAAGGTGCCAGACAGATAATCCCAGGGATACCCAGTAGAGAAAGATGATTGAGAAAAAATGTCAGATCCTGACAGCATGCACCATAAAAAAAATTTTAGAGTGAATAAAATAAAAGGTAAAACAAAAGTAGCAGAAATTAAACGAGAGAAAAGATAGTTCTTTTTCCTCTTGGACGTTTTGTGTTTATAAAGAAGAAACTTATTTTTGTTACAAATGCTTCCATTACAAGGATCAGTATCCATGCACTCACTCAAAAAATATTTCTTATCAAATGCCTACTTTGTGCCAATCACTATTCTAGGTAAATAAATATCAATGCAAAAAACAATGACAAGTTTTCTGCTCTCACAGAGCTCACTCTCTAATGGGGGCAAGGCAGAGACAAACACAGGCAAAGATAAAATTAGAAATAGGGAGATGTGATAGATACTGGGTGGGTTACGCTGAACTGTGTGGACTCTGAGATGACATTTAGGCTGAGCCATTAATTACAAAAAGCAGTCATGCATAAATCAGGGAGAAAAGCATTTTGGGAAGAGGGAATAGCTAGTGAAAAAGTCTTCAAAACTTGGGACAGAAAGCAAGACAGAGTGGCTAGAAGGCACTGGTGGAGGAAGTGAGTAGTATCAGATAAAGTTAAAGAGGTCAGCAGGAATCAGACCACGTCCATCATTGGAAGGGAAGAGCTAGTTTCTAAAGATTGGATCTTCAGATAGAAGGAGATGTTCTAGAATAGAAATAAAAATTGGAAAATATCAATATAGTTGACCACATAAATTTCTATGTTCTGTGTAAAGAATATAAAAAAACTTAAGAAAATATTAAACAGGAAAGATATTTTGTAATAATTATCATATAGAGTTGATACTCAATAAAATGTAAATTAATATTTTCAATTAATGAGGAAACTAAAATATTAAGGAAAAATATGGGCAAGAGAAATGGGCATATAATTTAGGGGAAATATATGTATTTTTCAAAAACTTCACTGTCAATGTATCAACCAGATTACTAAACAAAGAAGTGCCAAGTGGAACAATTAAAGGTCGTTTTTATCGAAAATGGTGAAGACTTTAAAGAAAAAACTAATCTGGTGAAACTGTGGTGAGCTAAGCACACCTGCACAAATTTCAGGCAAAATTAACATAACTTTTACAGGGTCAACCTGGCAACATATATGTAATCTTTATGATATTTATATCATTTGGTTCTAAAATTCCATTTTAAGAGATATACCTTAAGAAATTAACCAGACGTGAAAAAGATTTCTACCTAAGGAGTTTGTTGCGGGATTAGTAAGTAAAAACAAACTGGAAAGAACCTAAGTATCTGACAATAAGATATTAATCCTGACTAGTCCTGTCTGTCTTCAGTCTCTCACCATTTCAGTTAGATTTTATGGCTCATGATTTTAATGGAATTTTCCAATTACTTCAACTCTCCTGCCTCTGTATTTTTACCATTCCAGTGTCTGACAAATCCCTAACCCTAGACCATCTCTCTCCCACTTTCTAGTTATTAAGAGTTCCCTGTCACCATGGTAATGCTAGCATCTTGGACACCAGCCTCTTGCACGCACCCCTGAAACTGGCTTTTAGTTGACCTTCCTGCACCCGCTTATGTGCAGCCATCCTCTTCAGTACAGTCAGAATGGTCTGAAACTCAAATCTGCTCACACTCATTGCCATCCCTCCCCACATGGCTGCCTTTGGAAGCTGAAACCACTTCACAGAATGAAAAGAAATTCTTAGTGGGGTCTACATTCCCTAATTGATGTGAGCCCTACCTTCCTTTCCAGACTTTTCTTCCATCCTTTACTCTTAGCCTTTGGGTTTCAGTTATATTGTCTTTCGTAGAGTTCTGCCAATATGCCCATCGTTCTTGTCAACTGGCTTTGCACATGCTATTCCTTATGCCTGGAACAGTCTTTCTCAATCTGCTCCATCTTTTTTCACCCATTTCACTTTAATGATGCCTTCAGATCTCAGCTCAATCTTTTCCTCATTCGTGACTTCCCTAACCAGGTCAATTCCCCTATTTGTATATGCTTATATTCCAATGTACTTTTACTATTTTATACCTGTGAGTTATAAATGTCTATTTCCATGTTTGAGCCATTGACAATGTATATCTTTCTTACTGTTTAGTGAGGAACATATAAGATCCACATATGCAGATAGTATGTCTGCTTTGGAAATGGCTGTATTCCTAGCACTCATCCTGGTATATAGTAGGTACTCAATACACATTTGTTGAGAATAAAGGATTAAATGATGCGTGTCCTTAAAAAGAAAGGTCATACACCACTAAAATTGAAGAATTTTTAAAGGATAAACATTTTAATACAAATCTATACATAAAACTGTATATAAGATGTCACATGGCTATACAGTTTTATACCTATATATGCAAAAAATGTACATGAAACTAGTTATCTCATGTATGCTTCTGGAATTTCCAGATAGTGGGATTATGCATAAGTTTTGTTCACTTGTTTCTAATTATCTTGCGAAAAGTTTCAACAATGAGTTTATAGGGCTTTTATTATCTGAAAAAATACTTTAAAAGATAATGTGGCTTATATCTAACTCAACTTAGGAGAACACTGAAGTTAATTGGTCATCTCCTCAATATCTCTCGTCTTGCACTGGGGAATTTCTGGTAAATGGATTTCTCCTCTTGGCCCACATGGGGTCTCTAGCGGGACACCTGGGCCTAGCCTCCTGATGTGTGCACTGAGAACTCAGCAGGCATGGCCACGTGATGATTAGAACACCTTGGCATTGAAATGTCCAGATTGGTTGGGGCTCCTGTCCTTCCTGCTTGCAGCCTCTGGGTCTTTTAGTCATGTAAGGCAGGCCAACTGTATCTCAAAACTGTGGGTGACCTTTTTAGAATGGCTGGTCTTTGAAAATCTAGTTGACAAACTAAGCATAAATTTTAAAAGTATATATAATGGCATATACATAAATAATATGTGTATCATTAGATAAGACATAGATGAACAATGTATTTACCTAAGACAATAATTGGTAGGTATATTCTCATCCTTTAGAGTGTCAAGACTTATTTTTATTAAAATAAGAACAGAGGTAGATTCTAACAGTTTCCATATCTCAGCACAATTATTGGATTCCTCAAGGGCAGAGTGGTAGAAAAAAATGTTAAAGACAGCATGAAAGTAAAGAGATATCTGAGCTTATGACAGGATAGTTTTGAAACATGTTCATATGTTGATTTGCCTCTAGGAATTTACTTGATCCTTACTTCTGATCATTGAGGGAAAACATGAAACTCTTTATACAAAATACATGAAGTCAAAACAAACTGTAATGCACTATGTTAGCTTGATTAACAAATTAGTAAAATCAAAATGAAGGATCTTTTGAGAAAGGTTGGCCAGTATGTCTTTTAACTGTCATCAAAATAGGTATCACATATGCCATCTTATTCTGAATTTTTAATGAGTAGCACATAACCTATCATTTTAGGAGATTCATGCTCTGCTTATCTAGGTGAGAGAGAGAGGTAGAGTATTTATTTTCATGTAGTGAGCAACATTTGAGTCTGTCTTAACTGATTTCTCACTTAAAAATTATTAAGAAATTTTATTCACTAACATGTATAGTGGTAGGATATATATCCTTCCTACCTGATTTTGTTTTATCAGTAAAAAGAGCGAGTCAAATTAATTTTTATGCTCCAACATTTTCCTCTGGTGTGTGTGAAATATGTAATACTTAGCATTTTCAATTAAATAGACAATTTATAAGACATGACTTATTCTAAAGCCAATTAACTTATTTCTCCCAATTTTTATAGTCTACTCTCTAAAAATTGTTTGTTGCGGTATTTATTATATGTTTGTTGTATAAATACCCAGCCTTCCATCAGAGATTATGAGCTTTGTTGCTGAGAGAAGGCTGGTACCCTGAAATGGAGGATTGACCCTTCTCCTCCCCTGTGGGGTACAGAAATGAAGTTTCTTTTTCCCAAGATGACTGAATATTGAAACATTTGGGAGAAACGGGCATTTAAAAAGTGCCTTCGCGGTGGCTCACGCCTGTAATCCCAGCACTTTGGGAGGCCAAGGCAGGTGGATCACAAGGTCAGGAGTTTGAGACCAGCCTGGGCAACATGGAGAAACCCCCGTCTCTACTAAAAATACAAAAAATTAGCTGGGTGTGGTAGTGCGCACCTGTAATCCCAGCTGCTCAGGAGGCTGAGGCATGAGAATGGCTTATACCCAGTAGACAGAGGTTGCAGTGAGCAGAGATCGTGTCTCCAGCCTGGGCGACAGAGCAAGACTCTGTCTCAAGAAAACAAACAAACAAACAAAAAAGTGCTTTTCATACCTTAGTGACCAATTCAAAAGTTGCAGTTATACCCAAGGATGACGAGAGGCAAATAAAGACCTTGAAACAACTTTCAAAACAAAGTGTCTGATTGATCAAATAAAACTCTTTAAGGTAAATCTCTAAGAGTAGTGAGTAAAGGGTAGAGTGAGCAAACTTCCCCTCCCCGACTCGATCTCAAGGTACATCGTGACACGGACCAGAACCATTCATCGAGCTCATGGTTGCATACTAGTTGGGGAGGCGAGTTTGTTCCCCCATCCACAGAGGGATGCTGGCTGAGAAGTGCAAACCACAGGTCTTGGTGGCTCCTTTTGTGCAGCCACCAAGCAGCAGGGCAGCTGGCAGGAGCCCCATGAGTTGAATCACACTTTCAGAGTTTGGTGGAGCAAGGCTGCACAGGTTTTCTTATGGACCAACAGATACTGAAGAAAGTAGCTGGGCTTATGTCCTATGAAAAGGTCACTTCTGGCCAGGTGCAGTGGCTCAAGTCTGTAATCCCAGCAGTTTGGGAAGCCAAGGCAAGTGGACCACCTGAGGTCAGGAGTTCAAGACCAGCCTGACTAATATGGTGAAACTCCATCTCTACTAAAATTCCAAAAATTAGCCAGGTGTGCGCCTATAGTCAGAGCTACTTGGGAGGCTGAGGCAGGAGAATCACTTGAACCTGGGAGGTGGAGGTTGCAGAGAGTGGAGATCGCGCCACTGCACTCCAGCCTGAGTGACAGAGCAAGACTCCATCTCAAAAAAAAAAACCCAAAAACAAACAAACAACAACAACAACAACAACAAAACAACAACACGATGTCATTTCCTGACCCAGGCAATGCTAAATCACACACAGGACACCTAGTGTTTCATTTTCAGTTTCCCTATCTTTGGTTTCTGGCAATACAAAGCAAAAGTTCCAGAGGCATGGAGTGAGGCATAAGTCATTAAAGGCTGTCCTGGGTTTTCCCTTCACGGTGTACTGGGAGACACCATGTGGTGTGAGGCATTCATTTGCAGGTATAGAGTCTGTAAAATTGTATTCTAAAATAAAAAAAATTTTAATTAGAAGGCAGCATCTGTGAACCTTTTGCTGAAAGCCACTATTTTTTTTTTCTGATAAATTATCCCAGCTCTGTGGCTCCATATCCCCCTCCCACCATGTCAAAGATTGTAAAACCAGCCTCTGCTCCTGTTGCAATACTCCTGTAACAGTCAGATGGAGATTTCTCTGCTTAATATTTAACAAGCTACCCATGCCTCCTGGAAAACTTTGAGAAATATTTAATTTAGAGCCACTTCTTCCCTCATAGATTCTCATGGCTGCCCTGTTTTGCTCTCATTTCCTTATTTCCAGAAACTGTGTGAATCAAAGGTGGATCTGGGCTTCTGAGGAGGGCACTGGATTCTTAATCCTTACCTGATGCCATCTTTTGCCATTTGAAACAATATAATTCACTCTGGTTGCAATTTGAGTAGCCAAGTTGAATAATTTTTTTTTTTAATTTCAAGTGAGAGCTTTTTTCAGGTTAAAAAATATTCTGCCTAGCAATGGTGGTCTTAGGCTGCCTGTATTAGTCTATTTTCATGCTGCTGATGAAGACATATCTGAGACTGGATAATCTATAAAGAAAAAGAGGTTTAATCAACTCATAGTTCCATGTGGCTGGGGAGACCTCACAATCATGGCAGAAGGTAAAAGGTACTTCTTATGTGGCAGCGGCAAGAGAATGAGAAAGCCAAGCGAAAGGTGTTTCCTCTTATAAAACCATCAGTTCTAGCGAGACTTATTCACTACCATGAGAACAGTATTGGGGAAACCCTCCCATGATTCAATTCTCTCCAACTGGGTCCCTCCCACAACATGTGGGAATTATGGGACCTACAATTCAACATGAGATTTGGTGGGGACACAGCTAAACCATATCCATATGCAGATGAAGGCGGAGATTGGGCTGATACACGTACAAGCCAAGGAATGCCAGAAATTGCCAGGAAACCCCCAGACTTAGGAGAGAGGTGTGGAACAGTTTCTTCTTTAGATCCCTCAGAAAGAACCAAGCACACTGACACCTTGATCTCTCAGACTTCCAGCCTCTGGAACTGGGAGACAATACATTTCTGTTGTTTGAACCATGTAGTTTGTGGTACTTTGTTATGGCAGCCCTAGCAAATGAATACTGTAAGTATCATATTCATGTGGCAAATATGACTAGTCTCTCAATATCCAACCTCTATTTTTTTTTCTTCCCCCAGAGATGAAGTTTCACTTGTCACCCAGGCTGCAGTGCAATGGCATGATCTTGGATCACTGCAACTTCCGCTTCCTGGGTTCAAGCTATTCTCTTGCCTCAGCCTCCTGAGTAGCCGGAACTACAGGTGCGTGCCACCACGCCTGACTACATTTTTGTATTTTTAGTAGAGACAGGGTTTTACCATGTTGACCAGGCTGGTCTTGAACTCCTGACCTCAGTTAATCTGCCCACCTTGGCCTCCCAAAGTGCTGGGATTACCGGCATGAGCCATCATGCTCAGCCAAATTTCTTAGTAAAAGAATTTATACTTTTTACTGAGACATTGCCACTGGAAATAATACCTATATTTCCCAGCCTTCTTTGCAGCTATGCCAATAACATGTATGGTGAGTTGTGGGGACTTTAGAGCGATTCCTTAAAAGAAAGGGAGAAGATAAGAGGTTTTGTCTTTCTTTTTTAAAATCTACTTTTCTAATTATTCTGGAATTCAATGGTCTGAAAGAAAGCTTGAAGGGCTGAAGTCCCCACTGCTAACCACAGAGCTACTACACCAATTGTATACTGCCTTCTCCCAGTCTTTCATGGTATGAGAAATAACTAAAGCTCTGTCTAATCTAAGAATCATTGTTTGGAGTTTACTCTGATAAGAAGCATCATCTATTTGTAACCGATACATGGCAGTTGTATATATGAGAAGACTTAGATTTAGAGAGGTGATGTGACTCACCCATGGTCATTCGGCATCAGCAGTTGGCAGAAGCCCAAATTGAAGTTCACATTTTCTTCTTTCCTAATTCAGATTTTATCAAAGTGTGGTTCATGTGCCCCTGTTCAAAATCGTTGCAGGTGCTGGTTAAAAATACCAATTCTACTTTGTACTCAGCCCTTTTGAATATCAGTCTCTAGAAATCTACGCTTTAATCAGCAATTAATTTGATCATTTTAAGTACACTGAAGATCGAGAAAGCCCCCATTTCAAGCCACTTCATGCTCAGGTACCAAATCCGAGAAACAGATTCAAAGGGCTAGAAACAACAGTTCTGGTTTTCCCATTCATGGTTTTACAATCCACTGTCCTGAAGGTGAAACGAGCCCTCAGCAGTGAATGAACAGGAGAGCAGAGCCATCTATCACATTTGCATCAAGGAGGAGAAGTTAGGGGACTCTTAAATTTCCTTGGGAATGCAGAACATGCCAGAAAAGAGTAGTGGCCAAAGCAGTTACTGTGCATTCTTCCACCCCACACACGTCAGGGTCTGAAGTGGGTGTGAGTCATCCTTGTTGTCTATTGCTATCTCCACACCATTTTCTCTCTCCTTCCCTCCAAAACCTTGAACCTTTCAGGCTCATACCCTCTGCTTGCCTATACCTCCCTCACTTCCAATCCATTTCAGACATTTATTGTTGTCCTTGTGACTTATCCTTATTCACTGAATACTTTGGCATCTATAGTCTTTCTGTCCGTTTCAGCTTCTTCCTATTAACCAGTGGAAATCCTGGCCTCTCGTCCTTGACCTCATTTTCTCCAATGACCTTCTTATTCACTCCACCCACTTCCATTCTCACACCTTGAAGCATATTAGTAACCACAGCATTTCTGAAATCACCAGTGGAAACAGCTAATTCTCCCAAGAGAGCCCCTTTGCTCTCCCAGCTCCTCTGCTCAAGTTTCTCTATCACAATACTTTATCCAACCTGAAGCTCCCATCTTCATCTCCCCCTGTTGCTCCACCAATCAGCCTCTTCTTTACTCAGTGGATGTGAGTGCAGGTTAGAGTGCCTGCTCCATTGAGGCAAACTCTCTCTTGCAAACATACTTAACTCTGCTGCCACTTTGAGCATTCAGCATGAGCTAAATCCCAATCCAGGGTGAACCCAATTACTTGCATCCTCCATCTCACATCCATACTAAAAGATGAGCCCGACTAGGGAGAAAAATAACATAATTAGGCAGATTAGAATCATTATGAATTCATAATCTTTTAATCACCTGCTTCAGCTGGGCACTCATTAAAGTCTAGCAAACATTGAATTTCTCTCATCAGCTCATCCCTGTCTGTCCTATCAAAGTAAGATCCATCTGCCTCTGCACGGGCTCCCAAGAATTCACTAGCTTGTTATTCCCATTCTACCCAATATCTTAAATCTTTATCATCACTTCTCCATCCTTCTCATCAGTATACAAGCTTGCTAGATATTCTCTTTTTGAGAAAAGTTTTGTTGTTGTTGTTGTTGTTGTTTTGAAAAAACCATGAAACCTGGAAGCTCTCCTTGGATTCACATCACCCAGCTATCACTACTTCATTTTACTCAACTTTCTTGCCATATTTCTCAAGAATGTTTTATATATGATACGCCATACCAACACGTCTTTATCATTTTGTGATCTGCTCAAGTCTGCTTCTACCCTTGATAACATGAAAACTGTTATTATTAAAGTCGTTGGTGTTCTCCACATTTTTGGATCCAATCATAAAAAAGGTTCCAGTCCCCATTTTAGGTTAGCTGTGGCTCTGTTTTATGTATCTTCAGTCCAGTTTCCAGCCTGAAGAGGCAGCCCATTTTCATGGATTCAACTATTTAAAAATGTTAAGTCCTTGGGAGGCCAAGGTGGGTGGATCATGAGGTCAAGAGATGGAGATCATCCTGGCAAACATGGTGAAACCCCATCTCTACTAAAAATACAAAAATTAGCTGAGCATGGTGGTGTGTGCCTGTTGTCCCAGCTACCTGGGAGGCTGAGGCAGCAGAATTGTTTGAACCCGGGAGGTGGAGGTTGCAGTGAGCCAAGATCGTGCCACTGCACTCCAGCCTAGCGACGGAGTGAGACTCCATCTCAAAAAAAAAATAAATAAATAAAATAAAATAAAGTCCTCATTTTTTGTTGACTGTGGGTTGCTCTAGGTCTGTTTCACATGACTTGTTCCAGGAGGGTCCAGGTTGACAGGCAGCTCCTATCTGGATTATGCCCTGGTGTAGACCATTCTCATGGAGAGAAACACAAAATCTGATTGAAGAAAGGTTCTTGCGTCTTCTATTGGGATGTGACATAGGTTAGGCCTGCTCACTTTATGCTAGCCAAATTAAGTCACATGGCCAGACCCAAAGTCAATAGCGTAGGACTGTATACTCTCACAGGTGGGGAGGGGTAGTGCACTGCCAGACAAACAGCAACAAACAAGAAAGTATGATCCTCTTACAGAGAAAGCGTGGCCAAACATGTGGGGACAGTACTGCACTCTGACAATCATTTTAACTTGATCCTTGATCCCTCCTGTTCTTATTTCATCTCATACGTTAATTGCACTCGCCTGTGTATCTACCAGAACCTCATGTCAACTCATTCAAACACAGTAATTTGCTAATTCTTACCCACTTGACTATTTGTCATTTCCATATTGCAAATACTTATTATTCCTGTATGCTTTCTCCCTATCTTATTGTTGTACATTGATAAATAAAGAGAAAAAAATGTTGAGTCAACTGTGTGGTTATAACTTTGTAAGGCCCTCTCTGCTATATTTTTTCTTCCATCTCTTATAACTTCATAGTGTATATCTTATAGCGGCTATTAAAATAGCGTCTGCCCTTCTCTTTCTGTGTATCTCTCCCACTGTGAATATTTTCATTTCAGTGGATAAATAAATCTTTGGCTATATGAAATGTTTCAAGCCATCTGGCTTGAGATCCATCAATTTTCTTCCTTGCTATTTCTAAATATCAACTCATTGTCCCTCTTACTCTCCTTCATTCTTCATAGCACAAAAGGAAGTATTCCTCTGTACGAAAACATCCAATTATTCTTTGTGCTCACTTGTGACAATATTATAACCTTATTGTATTCCATTTAATGCTATTTACTGAGGATGCCCTAATGACTAGTGTATGGAAAATACAAAATAAATAATGTGACTTTATTTTCCCAAAGACAACTGGGGCTGCATATGTGTCAAATAGAAAATAATAGATCGGGATTTATTCCTCCATTAGCTTTTTAGGTTTGCTTATCTTTCAGAGTAATTTAAATTGAAATGGAAGACAAATCCTTATTTGATTGTTAGCCAATTCAGTACTATTTATTTCATGTAAGTAGGTGTGGGATCTAAGTGCACTGCTGTTAAAAGGCTATTTAATGTCACATAGAGGGCCTATTAATTTTTTCAGTAAAGTGCCAGCATGCCCAGCCAATTGCATGTATTTAATAGGGAGAGTCTGATCTTCTAAGTCGGCCTCTATACTTTGTGGTAATGGTGCTAGAGCTTACATTCTGTTAGACATACTAAAGCGCTGCTTTTGTCATCAGAAGTCTAGAGATAAATTTCAAAGTGAATTTGTGGTTCTGTTTGAGAAAAGCTCAAAGAATGATACAAGTTTTGTGGTAGAACAGAGATTCAATAGACAGCACAGGGTGGGGAGGATTGGCTTTGTATTAATAGGGAAAATATTGATAATTCAAGTTAAATTTTAACACATTGTTGGTAAGGATGCATATTTATATAGGCTTGAAACAGGACATTATCATGGCCATTATTTTCTTATGTGGTCTGAAATACTAGAAGTCACAAAGCTGTTTTCCTTTTCGTGCTTACAATTGGATACATTGCTAACTAATTAATGCTTACAAGTGAATAGTTTTCTTTTCCATAGAAATCATTGACAATGTGAGGCGGAATCTTAACATAATGCCTAGCACATAACAGTCAATATTTGTAAAATAAATGAATGAATTAAAATTTGATAAAGAAACACAAATGGCACTCGTGGTTTTAAAATGGTGGAGGAGAGATGATGTCTCCTCTTCTTTCCAAGTGTCAAATCACTCACAGAACACATGAAAATTCAGATAACATATCCTGCTATGAAATGAAAACCTCAGTAGCAATAATGAAGTTTAAGAATATTGTAGTCTTTACATTTTAAAAACCCATATCAAAAAGGAATAGAGGCATTTAGGGAAGATACAGCAAAGCAACAGAAGAAAAAATACTGAGTTGGCACACCCTGGGGTGGCAGGAAAAAAAGAAAATCATCACAAAAATGAGAGCTGTATTGCCAAGAACAGAAAGAAAAAGAGGCCTTTTTAAAAATACAACAAACATAAGGACAGACTGAAATAAGAAAAACAAGGGTTAAAAGGAATTGAGAGAAAATAAGAATTATTATAAAGAACAAACAAAAAAGATCTGGCCGATAACTACTGGTGTTTCCAAAGAAAAACACTGAAATGGAACAAATAGAAATTGTTTAAAAACATAATTTCTAAAAATTCCATAAACACTTGGATCTATGGATTTAAATAGTACTCCACGACCAATAAAAAAGTTAACATCTAATGATCAACAATAACATATATCCTAATAAATTTACTGCACTTCAAGGGTAAAGACATTTCATTTGGAGATAAAGATATATTATCTAGTCTCTAAAATCGGGAAAAACCAAATGAGCCTAATGTGCTCTCCCTCTTTCTCCTTCTCCACCTCTCATATATATGTACATATACTGTATGTGTATATGTGCATATATTGTATATATTTTATATTTTATTTACATATTTTACATAGCTCTTGTATTATAAATCTCCTGTATGCACATGTATACTACCATACACACACAAACACATATATACACACACACACACACACACACACACATATATATATATGCATACATATATATATGTTTTCAGGTACAAGAGATTGGAGTAGTGGTTGAAATATTATCGAGGAATACAAAGATGACTCCAGAATTTTATACCCAGCCAAACTACTATAACAGCATACATGCAACAGATAAACACACAAGCTTTCAGGAAATAGTTACTACACGAGTCCTTCTTAAAGAAATTCAACAGTTTAATGGAAGAGAACTAAATACAATTTCTAGGACAAAGTTTAAGAAAGAAAATTATGAAGGAGAACTAGCCATACTGGATATTAAGTTTATTGTAAACATCATAGTATTCGAGACAGTGTGGAGAATAGAAAGTCCAGCAGTAGTTCAAATGCATATATGAATTTCACTTATAATGAAGGATGTCTTAGTGTTCAAACTATTTTCGAATAAAGGGTGGTTGCTAATCCAGATTAAAAGAAAAAAGTTGGATTTTTATCTCACATTTTGTACCAAAATTTTAGATTCATCAGAGTTTTATAAATATCAAAATCATAATATACTATAAGAACGTAGGAGAATTTTTATGATAAAGGAGGAGAGAAGGCTATTCTAAAAATGATAAAATCTCAGAACTCAGAAAAAGTAGATACATTTAAAAAGATAGTCAAAAACTGCAATGTGGCAAAAAAAAAAAAAAAAAAAAGAGTCCGGAAAATAAAAGTACAAACTACAAAATTGGGAAGTAAATATTTGCAACTTATATCACAGATCAAAAATTAACACAGTAATTGTTCTTGGTAATCAAGAACAAAAGCCAAGAATGTAAGATTAAAAAGTCAAGAATCAGACTTCAGAAAACAAAATGCACATAGCTATTAAACCTAGGAAAAATTGCTCAAACAATAACTAGTATATGAGATACAAATTACAACTATGACATAACAGTTCTGTATTTTTATTTCATTATGTATAAAATTGACAAAGATAAAAATGTTTGAATTCACAACCTCATACTTTACTAGTCAAAATAAAAATTGGCATGCCTCTATAAAGAGAAATGGGGAAAATCTATTAAATTTAAAATTTTGACATATTCCTTGTTAGTCCATTCTTTCCTTGCTATGAAGAAATAGCAGAAACTGTAATTTATAAAGAAAAGAGGTTTAATTGGCTCATGGTTCAACAGGTGGTACAGAAAGCATAATGCTGGCATCTGCTTGGCTTCTGGGGAAGTCTCAGGAAACTTACAGTCATGGCAGAAGGCAAAGGGGAAGAAGGCACATCTTACATGGCCAGAGCAGGAGGAAGGGAGAGAGGGGGGAGGTGCTATATACTTTTAAACAACCAGATCATGTGAGAACTCTATCACAACAACAACAATAGGGGGATAGTGCTAAACCGTTAGAAACCACCTTTGTGATCTAATCACCTCCTACTAGGCCCCACTTCCAACAATGGGGATTACAATTCAACATGAGATTTGGTGGGAACACAGGTCCAAACCATATCACCTGTCAATTTTACTGCTAGAAATTCATACTACTAACAAAAGAGTATAGGGAATTATATATGTAGAAAGATATTCAATAGTTTAATAGGAAATTTGTCAGAATCTAAAATGTCCATGAACAGAGAATTTGCTATAAATTGTGGTACATCCATACCATCAAATACTATGCAAGAAAAAAGAAAAAGGCAGTTCTATATAAATTGTTATAAAAGGAGGTCTGAACAATATCATTAAATGAAAAAAGAATTGAAAAATATGTAAAGCATCCTGCCATTTTTGTTCTTTTTAAAGAAGCAGCATATCATGTATGGGTATATGTTCAGAGATATCTACAATATTTAAACAAGAACCAGTAAGGGTCATTGCCTCTGTTGAGAATTAGGGAACCAGGAAAGGGATGTGAGAACAACTTAGATTTAATTGATTCCATCTTTTACTTCTAAAATGATTTTACTTCTAAAATGATTTAAGAAATAGGTCAAGGTATATTTAAGTTTTTTTCTTTTCTAACTCACCTACAAAGATTTTGAGAGAAAGCCTTTTTTAAAACTATTTATTAGTGATTCCAAGTGGACACATTTAACTTCTACTCCGGTGGCAAATCTCATTAGACTTGTACCTCACTTTGCAACCCTTGGTTAGGATCTCACTGCTTCCCTCACACTCCTGGTTGTTTACTCCAATGGAATTTCTCTACTTACCGCAAGAAAGAACCAGTCTTATCAGGGCTACCAAGGAGAGGGTTTCAGCACTCCAATTCTTGGCTCTCCCTCAGATCCTGGGGCTTACCTTATTTCCCAGAGGGAACAACAAACTTTTCTCTTGCTGCTCTTCTTTTGTTGGAAAATCTTCAACCTTACGACTGAGAACTTATGAACGTAATGATCACACATTTTTGCCCCACATTGGCTAGTGTCTAGAGCTTCCATTACGTTTTCCCTCCTGCAATGTACATTTCTTAGCCTCTTGATTCACTCCAAAATCTTCCTATCTCATTAAGAAAAAAAATTAGGCTGGAGGACTTAAGGTTTAGTCACTAAGCCCTGCATTAACAGTGTTATGCCTTCCTGAGAGCAGCACCTGATTTCTGGAAGTTATTATTGCTGGAATATTTCAAATTAACAAGGAAGTCCCAGAAAGTCATCAATAAATTGTTACTTGATTGATTACAAATTAACAACACTCTCCTTACACATACACACACATGCCAAATCTATTTTCATATTGGAATTTCCTCTCTCAGAGTAGGAGAGGTGGTGAAATGGGGTGACCATTTCCATGCCTCAGATCCCCACTATCCTGCCAACCCCTAAATAGTCTGGTCCCTGCCACCTTTGTGGCTATCTATTCTAAAAGCATTTTCTCGGCAGCGTTTGTTCTGAAGATTTGACCTGATGAGACTGGATGCTCGAATGAAATTTCTGCTTTATTCTCCCAAGTTAATCAGATGGTTTGACCTTTTGTAAATAAAGTTTTATTGGAGCACAGCCACATTTATGCACTATCTTTGCTGCTTTCATGCTACAATGGCAGAATTGAGTAGTTTCCACAGATACCACATGGCTTGCAAAGCCTAAGATGTTTCCTAACTGGCCTTTATGGATAAGTTTGCTAACCTGTACTCTAGATCACGTGAAGTCCATAATAGTTTATATTTAGTGTAGCTGGAGACACTCATTAGTCTTTTAAGTACAAGCCACATCTTCAGTCCTCTTCTGACAGCAAACCTCTCACAGCCTTATTCCTCTTATCCTCCTCATCTGAGATAACCTTTGGGAATAAAGGCATCCCCTGGGCAATGGAATAAACACAGGATTCATGGGTTGGAGGAGTACTGTCTGGTGTCATCTTAATTCTCTCTCACAGCTGAACAATTTTGCAATTTATAACCACCCAATGGGTTCTTGCCCACTGCCTAGATAGAGCTGATTCATCAAGGCAGGGGAATTGCAATAGAGAAAGTTTAATTCATGCAGAGTCAGCTGAACAGGAGACTGGAGTTTTATTATTACTCAAATCAGCCTCCCCATGGGGGCTAGGGTATTCCAAGGATAGGATGGTAGGCAAGGGAATGGTTACTGCTGATTTGTTGGGGATGCAATCATAGGGGTGTAGAAAATGGTCTTCTAGTACATGCATGCTGAGTCTGCTTCTGGGTGGCAGGTCCCTGTGGAGTCATAGGTCATCAGAAACGCAAATACGTGGAAAGACATCTCCAAAGGTCAATCTTAGGTTCTACAATAGGATGTTCTCTGTATAAGTAATTGGGGAAGCTGCAAATTTTGTGATCTCTGGAATAATGGCTGGTAATCCTTCATGCCTACACGTTAGCAGAATTCAGGCTCCTTTCATCCTCCTAACCTGATGCTCTTTCATTAGTTTTACAAAGCAGTTTAGTTTTGGGGAAGAGCTATTATCATTTGAACTATAAACTAAATTTCTTTCAAATTTAGCTTGGCGCAAACCCAGGAATGACTAAAGGCAATGTGGAAGTTAAATGCAAGATGGGAGTTGGGTAGATCAGATGTCTTTCACTGTCATAATTTTCTGTTTTAATTTTTGCAAAGGCAGTTTCAAAATTACTTAACCTCTCTATGCTTCAATTCCTTCATCTGCAAAATAATAGGAATAAGTACCTACTTTATAAAGTTATTATGAAGTTCAAATGAGATCTTAGAGTATATAACTCACTGGTACGTAGTAGTAATTGTTTAATGTTACTTAGAATTGTTGCTCCTCAGACAGCAGTGACCATGTAATTCACCACATAGGCACATCTTAGCCAGCCTCTTTCAACCAAAGATGAGTCCTTTATTCAAGAGCAAGTAGGTCCATTCTATGGGCTCTAAGGAGTCAATAAAGTGGCCAGGAGCAAAGTTTTTGTCTGACCAGTGTGGCTGAGACTTAGGGAGAATATATATTATATACACATAGCCCTGATTGCTCAGGACAGGCCTGATGTACACATATCATCCTGGCATAATAGATCTCTTTCACTTTTTAATTTGGATGATAACTACACAGCTATTGTATCCCTACAGAATGTTGACTGTCAAAAGCAGATAGCTTCAGGAAGTAAGCTGATATTGGGAAAAGTGAAAGATTCACAGAAATGTCATTAAAAAAAAAAAAAGCTCTTAGGCAACAAGAGACTCCAGGGGTAAGCTGGTGTTATGAGACGTGTCAGGACAAAGAGAACACTATAGACAGTAGGGAGAGATTCTGCCTTGATATTCAAATAGCTTCAGAGATAAAATTTGTATTGGGTTTGTGGCTGTGGTTTGACACAGAACAACAAAATGAAGCCTGTCAAATTCAAGTAGAGAGATAGAGGAATCCCAAGGCTGAAGGTTGGTCTGAGGTCAAACTTTCCTAGAGTTAACTAGGACCTATGGGGACCTATAGTAGGGATAGGCTTATCAAAATAACTCCCAGGGCCTCCTGGGGCTCTTCCTTAGTGAGCCTCTATTGTTTGTGGAAGTGACAATTCTAAGACACCTTTGAGGAGAATAAACCAATTTGATAACAGCTTTTTGTGTGTGTGGTGGAGGGTGGGAGGTGGGTATATATAGAAACAGATAAACACAAAAGCAAGACAGGTCAGTGTTTAATCATGTACCATAATCCTGATCATCATAGAGCATTAGTGGATCCACTAGGGTCGGATATTTACTGGGTGAAACATCTAGATGGTGGCTGGAACCAGGCTGGGACTCTAGAGGTGGACCCTGCCCTTAAAGGGTAAGGGTGATCTTGGAAGGGATGAGCCTGTCTGTCCCATTTTCTTGTGGTTGGATTGAAGTTGACATCTTTGGGTGGATTACAATATATGATCACATTAAGCTACAAGCATCCACAGAATGACCAGTGATGAACTGGGAAAGACCTCTGGCAAAAGAGTTGGTACAATGAACCTTCTGTGTATGTTAATGAAGAGCTTCCTTTGGGATGAAAAAGGAATATGGCCAAGCCTTGCAACTCAGGAGTTAACTTTTCTACAAGATTAAAGAGAGAGAGAGGGAGAGAAGGGAAGAAAGGAGGAGGAAGAGGTGGGGCAGAGGAGGAGGCAGGACAGAGGAGGAGGCAGGGCAGAGGGAGAACCTGCAGCAGAAAAAGAGGGAGAAAATGACAATTATATAAAAATGTCAATACCATAATACAACTTTATTGTAAAGTTAATTTGATGAATGTTTTCTCAATCAAGCTTCCATCAGAGAAACAGAACCCATGCAATATATACCTATATAAAGAGATGTATTGCAAGGAATTGGTTTATAGTATTGTTGGAGCTGGCTAGGCTAGTCTGAAATCCAAAGGGTAGGACATCAGGAAGGGTAGGTTGGAAATTCTGCCACAGGAGTTAATTCTACTGTCTATGGCCCAACTCTCTTGTTTCCAAAGGAAGAAACACTGTTCTTAAGGCCTTTCAATGTATTAGATTGGGCTCACCTAGATTACCCAGGGTAAACTCTTTTGCATAAAGTCCATTGACTGTGGATATTAATCACATCTACTAAACTACCTTTGTAGCAACACCTAGCTTAGTGTTTGATTAAATAACTGGGACTATAACCTAGCCAAGCTGACATATAAAACTGATCATCATTCATGTCAATTTATTTTATTAATTTTTTATTTTGAGATAGAGTTTCGTTTTTGTTGCCCAGGCCAGAGTGCAATGGCGTGATCTTGGCTCACTGCAACCTCCGCCTCCCAGGTTCAAGCGATTCTCCTGCTTCAGCCTCACGAGTAGCTGGGATTACAGACACGTGCCACCAAGCTCAGCTGATTTTGTATTTTTAGTAGAAACAGGGTCTCCATGTCTCTGATGACCAGGCTGGTCATCAATTTATTTTTATAATCATATCTGTTGTGTTTAGAAATAAGTGCTTCTCAGGTATGAGGTGATTTTTTAATAGAGTCAAACCAAAATTTTACAATTGTAATACACTGTGATAGAAATAAGCAGAGTTAGACATTTTTTTTAGACCTAAGATATCCCCAAGTCCCCAGTGCTTCCCTGTTACCTCCAAAAACATCCAACCTAGTCCCAACCTACCATTCCCAATCCTTCCTTCTTTACTCCACACCTCCTCATTTGAGCTACTCAGATCTTTTATCATTCACTGTGGGTGCCATACCCTTCCATGGCATGTACAGCACATACTGTTGTACCAGCCTAGAATGGAGGGGAAACACCCAAATGAATGAGTGAGAGATTAAAAAAGCAGGAAGCAGATGAAGGAAGCACAGCCATGCAAGGTGTCATGGCTCCATGCGCGCTGACTACTGAGAAGAGCACACCAATGTCTTCGTCCTCAGGCACAATCCTGCTGACCCTCCTAGTCACTGATTCAGAGTCAGGCCCCTAGCTCCTAGTGCTCTGCACAGCAGGTTGATACTCCAGACCCATAGAATTCCTGCCTGGGACCCAGGTGCTCTGCATTTCCTAGACAGGGACAGTGTGAGGGCTCCTGGTTTCAGAAGAGGTACAAGATCTCAAAGTTTGGTGATTACGTAGCTAATGGGGTACTAACGCTTCATTAAGGCTTTACAGAAGCAGCTACTCTAGAGAAGGTGATGAAGAGTTCAGTCAATCTTATTAGAGGCTCTGAAAGTGCTGGAAATATCCCTCAAGTTATCTGTCTCCCAGCTGAAGTGGGGGTCCACCCTAAGCTTCCTTTTTTTGGTAGTCAGAGGAGTTATTTATGGCAGGAGAAAGAGCGCCTCCTCTTCTCTGTGAGATGTTGAATAGGGCTGAAAATTTTTACACTTGCAGTTAGAGTTTAGACAAGATTAGTTAAGATGTTTGAAATAGCATGAACTGCTATTCAGGATTAAGCAACCCCAATTATAGGTCAATCCTTGAAACGATTAAAAGACATTAAACATCAGTTTTATTAGATGTCTAAGTACAGGAGAAGGGTCATGAATTAGAGACAATAATTCTTTTGGCCAGGGCTAAAGACAAACTTTTTCCATTAGAAATCATGTTGAGGCTCAACTGACTGACTCTTATGCCTGTGGTCATTAGAAAGTCCTCGGGGGCAGCATTTCTGATAGTTGAGGCCATTCTCAGTTTAGAGCAAACCCCACACAAGCAAATAAAAAGCTTAAGGCTCTGTTCACTAGGACAGCACTTCTGTAGGATCCCAATCTCATGGTGACTCAACTTGGACAAGGTCAAATTTTTGTTCCTTATCCATTAAGGAGACTGCTGCCGATGGATCACTCTCTAGTGATAGAACTATATGGGTACACTGAACTCTAGGATGGAGTCTTTCTGCTCTTCTCTCCATCCGTGGTAGCAAGCACAGCACTTGATTGTTTTACTGAAGAGGCTGTTAGCACTATGGTTAAGAGCCATCTATGGGAGCTCAGACTTCAGCCTGGCCACCTTCTAGCTGCATGACCCACTAACCATGCCTCACCTTCTTCATCCATCCAGAGGTCCTGATAATTTTCTTCCCACTTTAGGGTGTTACATAGAATAAATGAGTGAGAATTGCCACATTTTATGTTTCTAAAACTCCATCTGAATTCAAGTTCTCACACACCTAGATGTGAGAGATCCAAACGTCTGCCTGACTTGAGGTGTTTCCTCTTCCTAGGATGGCACAAGAAAAATGTGTGGGGGAGGGAGCTGGTTAAACCGCACCTGCTAAGCAGGGAAAGAACCTCTGGACTAGTGGCTGACGTAATCATGACCTCTGAGATGTTCATTGTCCAAGTCCATTTTCAGGCCTGTTATTCCATCCTCTAAGCCAATACTAGAGTTTGGTCCCCCCTAACCATTTCAGATAAGCCCCTGGGAAGTCCCAACACTGGTCCAGCCTCAGGAGCTAGGTTTGTCCTCCCTCAGAAGCAAGCAGGGAAAGAAACTGAAGACGCTAGTTTTAGTTAAATATCTGGGAAGGGTTTAGGCAAGCACCATGGCTTGAAGTCGGTAGAACTGTTTAAGGGAGATGTTTGGGGGCAAAAATCAAGCTGGTTTGAGGCAAAATGGTTGATGTCCAGTCATAGAGAAGTTTTTCTTTCCTCTGTGCTCAGAACACTGTGATGTTTGGCAACCCTGGGCTGGAAGCTTTGAGAGCATCTGTCATCCTGTGTCTAGTTCCCATGGTGAGCTGAAATAATCAGGCTGAGGCCTCATGGACAGCAGGTATGGACAGGTGGGAAAGGAGCAGGGAGGAGGCCCAGTGTGGTATGGAGGCTGCGGGACACAGACTGGTTGAAGAAACTTCCAGAAATAACTGGAGGGCACTTGGAGGACTATTAATTTTTAGCAGTCAGGTCTGCAGGGGCTCAAATGCCATAATTAGGTCATTAAAAGTAAATGTGATAGAACTTTATATTGAACCAAATGCTTGGCCAACAGGGACTATGGAAAAAAATGTTTTCAGATATTAAAAGAAGAATATGAATCTTCATTTTATGCACAGACAGGTAAGATCTAGGTAGTATATTCATACTCACATTTACAAATGGGTACATATTTCAAGCTCATAAAACAAGGATCTAGTCTCAAATTCTACTGATTCGGTGAGATACTAGGTGTCAGTTATGCTCTATTCCAAAGCTAGGTTCTAGATCACCTAAACAAAAGCTCTAAAGGAAGTGAGAACCCTGGTTTGAGGACTATACCCAACCCCATACCTCCAGCTTATAAAAGACTGCACAGGAGAAGTTTGAAATTGGCAAGCATGGTCTGCTATTCTGCCAGTCTCAAGCTGGCTGAAAGGGCACAGAGTACTCCTACAGAATTCAACGTGTGTGCCTAGGCCCTGTGCCACCTGCCTCCACTGAAAGAATAATCTGATGTGAGGCTGACCTTTGCAGCGTGACTTTAGCAGCCTGCTCTCCAGACAGCAGACAGTGCGGACCATGTGAGAGAGTCAGCTGTGAGTTTACCTGGGCATGGGGGGCTAGAGTCATCCCATCAGTTACAAGCTGAATGTCATCTTCCAATTGCCCAGGCAGAAGAAGGGAAGAACAGAACTGTGGCTGAGGGACCCTAGCTAAAGCTGGAGAGGTGATATCTGAAAATGCCCAGGAAAAAGGTCATCTTCAACTTCTGCTTCAATTGGGTAGAAGAAATGAAAGCTATAATAGTGGTAATCAAATGAAACGTTTCTCATTCCTTGCCCCTTGTTCCTCCTTGCTCACCACCGTGCCTCAATTCAAATAATAAAACTATTCGAATCTGAAACCCGAAGCAAAGCGGACCAGGGAGGAGCTGGAAGAGATCCAGAGAGAGGCAGCCAACCTTATCCCACCTCCTTGACTGCAAGTTTCAGCCTGGGGGAGGGAAGGAGTTTTAATTTTGATGATATTCAAAAGATCTATTATTATATTGGACAGGCCAATTAATGAACGGAGACTTTTTTAGAGAATAATATGACCAGTTTTATTATGTTTTATTATTATGTTTTATTATGTGGGACTCACTAGAAAAAATCATAAGACCTGCCCTAGATTTCATCGAAGTCATGGGGAGAAAACCTATCCTACAGAATATGTTTGAAGGGCAGTGGCTGGTGAAGAGGAGGAAATATGATTTTTCACTGCACCATGGAACTCGTTTACTTAATGAAACTGGCTACATCCACCCACAGTCACATTCCTTATGCCCATTAGCTTAGCCCCTTCCTCACTTTCCTTATCTCTATTGTGTCCAGTTTCTGAAAACCGTATGTTGCTCTCCTTCGTTACTCTGCTTAACTCTCTCTGCCACATATGCAGGCACTCCTACAGCCCTTCCTGGCCTGGAGGCACTGCTCTAAACTTCTGCTTGCTTTGCTGGGGCTCCGAGATGCGCCCTGTCTCTCAGGATCACCCTTCCCTAGGATTGGTTCATGCCCTATACAATCCAGCTCTCGGCTGGCGTCCACCTAAAGTGAGGACGGGGCCTGGTTGGCTTTCTCTTCCCCCTCTTCCTCCTGTATTACTGCTAGACTTTTGTATCATGTCCAAGCCTCTCCAGTTGAAGACACAGATGGCCTTTGGGAAGTTTTCTAGAGCCCCTGCTACAGAATTTTATTTTTCCTTTTTAAAATTTTTTGGAGAAGGGAGAGAAAAATTTTGCTTATTACATAGGCAGCACCTGTTTACCATGCATCCCTAATTTCTGGTGTCATAACTAATTATTTGATGGCTCCGAGAGGAACTTCCCATTCATTATATGTCATTTAGCAGCAAATAACTTAAAGCAAAGCAATAGTTCGACAAAATATATGCTGCATTAAGTTGGATGTGAAGTTATGAGGGGAGAGAAACAGACAACTCTCACACTGTAGAGTTTTAAAAATATATTTGTTTAAAATAACTAATTGCTGTGAGTGCCAGTAGAGTTGCAAAGGTGTGGGTTGTCAGAATCTGGATATTCTTATCTCTTCGGTCACCCTACTGCCAAATTACTAAGAAATATGATGAGAACACGCTTTATAGTCAAGAAGGTGATTTTCAAGAAATAAGACTAATGTTGAGGTTAAATTGATTTATTGAAAATCTGGAATAAACACTTTCTTAATTTTCTTATGGAGAGCCCTGACCTCTGGGAATAAAAGGTTTTGGGTTTTGTTTTTTCTGTATCCACCCTAAATTACCTGTCTGATCGTAAAGAGGCTTTTGTGACACATAATTATTTTATCTAAAGACATTCTGAGGTTTTTTTTTTTTTGGTTGTTTTCTTCTTGTATCTCCTTATAAAAATATTCAAATGGTAGACCCTGGGTTAAAGGACTTTCTATTAGGTTAACATATTAGATTGCCAATATATTATTTTTTTACTTACAAAAGTGTCAGTTTTATGCAGTTTAACTTAATACTGGTCTTGAAGCCAGTTACTGGCCAAAGTATGAGATAAACCATCTTTATTTATAGACAACAATCATATAATCCTGGATTTCTACTGATTCCCACTATAGCTTGCTGGTTTAGTAGCCATTTGAGCTCAATATCATTAACTATAAATACCTCAAGCAGCAGACATAATAGGGATTTGAGAACATGGCTGGTACAGTAGAAAACAAAACTGTCAAAACAACCAGTTGAATATCTTGTCTCAACACTAAATTGGGCTGGTTTACACACCTAATAAGACCAATCATGTTCCAACTGGTCAGAGAGAGGATCAAAAGCCAACTCATTACAAAGTGGTCTGTTCAGTGGTCAGCAATAAATCTACTCAATATGGTTGTGAACTTGGTTGAGTTGAGCATCAAAAACTACTTATGGTGGGAGTGCTGATGGTAAAAGGACAAATCTACTGGAGTAACTAGAGTTTCTCATTACTCACATATTATCACCACTAGCAGAAATGGTGGAAAGCTCTTAACTGCGAGTTTCTCATCTTACTTGTTGAGAATAATCACTTGTACCCAAATTCAGATATTGTTGCCTTGGTACTAACATACTGGAATGGTAGAATTCAAAGAAGCAGATAATCTGGAAGGAAATACAACTATGGCTAACAATGGCTACCTTCTCCAGGTGCATGGAGGAATCATACCTGCCAGCTTCTCTGAGAGAAGAAGGGGTACTGGATCCTGAATTACAACTGAAGCTCATTCTTTCACAAACAGCAACAAGATAAATGAGGGTCAAATAATCTAGCACTGTGTGAAATTTCAAAACTCAACACTTCCACCCAGAGTTAAAGATGGTCAAATAGAGAAAACAGAAGAGTGAACCAAAGTTCAATTGGAAGTAGAACCACTAAGATAAAGATAGATAGATATCTCATAGTTATATGTATGTGTGTATATCTATAAAATAGCTATAAATACATATAAATATAATATATGGTTATATCTATATGATATATAGTTATAAGTTAGTTATCAATAGATATATAGATCCATTATATATAGATATAACTATAATTATAGATATAACCATATAGTTATATAACTACATATAGATATAACTAGTTATATAGATATACATAGATATATAGATAACTATATAGTTATATAACTATATGGATAACTATATATATATAAAACCATTACATATAACTATATAGTTAATATCAACTTAATACATAGATCTTGAAGCCAGTTACTGGCCAAAGCATTAGATAAACCATCTTCGTTTATAGACAACAACCATATAATCCTTGGTTTCTACTGATTCTCCCTATGGCTTGCTGGTTTAGTAACCATTTGAGCTCAATGTGTCTATCTACCTATCTATAACTACTTCTCAATAAATAGGTTCATCTTAAGTGGAAACATGTAAGTCGTAGAATTCTAAGAAATATGTTCAGCCTAGCCAAGTGTTGTGCTGAACTCCTATTAACCACAACAGAGAAGGCACCAGTTTTAAGAGACCTATGAGGAGACCCAGAGCCAGCAAATGAGACATGGGGTTTTATTAGGAGCTTACATACAGGGGAGAGGGTCCTGTGGCGGTGGACTGGTCAGAAGAACCGCCTTATGCACAGAAATGGCCCAGTGGCATTGGGCTGGATAACATATTTGCATGGCCCAGGCTGGGCAGGAAAACTGTAACCACTTGCAAGCAGCATGCATCTTGTAGAGCATTTTTAACTTAACACCCTTCCCCTAATGACCTCCACTGGCAACCTTCATTTAACACAACACTCAGGGCCCTCAAACCTCTGTACTGCCCATGTTCCACAGAATGGGTCAGGGGCTCAGATGTTCCTCATAGACAGACGATGAAGTTCTGAGTTTGCTATTTTTGGATTCCCTATCTTAAAACACACACTCAGGTGCGTCTGCCAAACAGGGTCGTTCTAAGGGTATGCTTAAGTTATTGCTATCAGGTGCATTTACCCTACACCAAGATGACACACTACAAATCCATCTGGGGAAGCCTGATTTTCACGTATTTACCCAATGTTATCTGCTAGTAGGTATTCCCTGACCATACTGTGCCGTCCTCTGGATACAGCCAGGGAGAGGAGAGAGAGCAAAGAAAGGGTGAGGGGCCAACCAGCCCTGCCTCACCTCTGCAAACATAACATTTTAAACTGCTCTAAGCCAAGCCAAGAAAGAAGTCAGTAAGCCTAAGGCTATTGGAATGGGCAGAACATCTATTCTATTGCTGAGACAAATGAGCAAAGACGGGCTTCTTATACAAGTCAAACAATTCAACACGAGTTTTGGTGTTAGTTATCAGAGCATACAGACTTTGTGTGGTTATGATTTCTTTCTAACCTGGTCCTGAGATCTCTTTGTTGAGAGTGGCCATAGCTGATACAGTCACTCTCAAGAAAAGTCCTAAGTGAAGGGAGAAAGTTAGGTTTTGGTGTGTTACTCAAGTGAGATACGACGAGGCAGGAAAACCAAAATGCATGAAGCAGAAGAAATGTATTACTTACAAATCCCAGAGAGGTTGAGGAGGCCCACGGAATGTCCGAAAGCAGCAGGGAGTGCGACCAGGGGTGAGGCGCTCAGGAGAGAGGAGACCTGTGGGACTAGGCCTTTATTAAGGTCCGTGGATGTCTTGTAGGCCTTTTCCTGGCAGGTGTGGATTGGCTAACTTAAAGAAAACACGTGCAAAGAGTCACATGACTCTTACATTGACCATTGGGTTTTATCATGAATAGCAGCTGTAGGATGCCTTGGATTTGGGGTTGGTGAGATGAGGAACAACCGGGAGGTGTCACACTCAGCCACTAGAGGGCAACGTTGAACTAGGCCAAAGGTGATGGGGCACGACTAGGTTTCAAATAACTTACGTGAGGCTTAAAGCAATGACTTTATTAACTAATTTATGACAAGATTTCAGAATTCCAGCAGAGCGACTGTCTATGAAGGCAGTGTGTTTCGAGAGAAAGTCCTAGCCTGGCAGACCAGGACTTGTGACTCCTCCATTTCTAAAGCCATCATCCAGTCCTGGTGACTTAACTAAATGAAGGTGAGTGCTAATAGATTCAGCCCCCACAAAGGGGAATGATTCTGGTCACCCTTCTCAGAATCAGGTGTGTTCACCGAACAAGGTGGTTAAGTGTGGGCGTCCCTGTGATCCAGGTGCAAGCAATTGGCTGATGAAGAACCGCCTCTTCAGGCCCCAGAAGTAAGCCTTTGAAAGCTCTCTCATACAGTGCTGCCCTGTGCTCTGATGATCTTGGGAAAAGGGGAACTTTTCCAAGGAGAGATTTTATTTGTAGTTATCCCAGATCACCAGAGTAGAGGCTTCTGTATTTGGCCCTAACAAAGAAGAATGCATACCACCCAGAGAGCTTGGACTCTGAGCAAGATGAAGTATGCAGACATACCTTTGCGTGGTCTCCCTTTGGAAAGGAGGGGAGCGTGTTGTAGTTGTCTGTATCAGGCAAGATAATAACTTTAAAAGAGTATAAAGCAAAATGGCAATACCTGGGTGCTAGGTTGCCTTGTGATGAAATGTAGTGGATTTGGATTGTTTTTGTCTGTCCAATACTTTTTCCTCTTTGGGAGAATTGGCTCTTCCCATAATCTTTATGACTGAGTGGGACCCTCACAGCACAGACCTCTTCTTGGTCACAGCAATGGGCATAGGATCCAAGATATGTTCCATTGATCAATTGATCTATCTTTACATCTACCTTTCTTTCTAACTACTTACTTATTTATTAACTATCTATATATTTACCTCTCTTTCCATCTTTGTATTTACTTCTCTTTCACCTATCTACCTACAGATAAAAATAGATGTAGACGAAAATGTGTTTATATATGAAAAATAATGTTACCAGAGGCAACAAATTCCCTTCAACCAGCTTGAATTTGGTTTCTGATATTTGTATCTAAATGGAGTTTGGTCAATTCCACACTCTTTGTCCCAGTTTTGCTTACATAGTATACAATCTCAAAAATAAAGCAAAGAGTATCATTCTCTTCCTTTCCTTTTAAGATAACAGGCACACGGAGAGTTTAAGTAAAATACTCAAGGCCATGCAGCTTTTAAGTTGCTGACCTGGGATGTGAGCTCAAGCCTGTGTGACTCAAGCCTTAGCACATTTCTTGTGTGCCAATCTTTTTTTCCTTTCTTGGTATCATGATAAATACGACATTTCATGGACTCATTGGCAAAAACCACCTGGTTTCACAAATAAAAATGAAGCCTGTGGAGGCACTGTGCAGAAAAAGCAGAGTGTTTGGACATTCAACTATTTTTTAAAAGAGAAAAAGTGAATTTAGCCAGAATCATGTTAATAAATATAGTTTTATATTAATAGCACCTTACATCTGTGCGTCTCTATTTTACAGAGCACCGTGATATATCCTTCCTTTCTCAGTAAATTATTTAAATTACTCTGGTAAGCTGGCAGAGTACTCGTTATGATTGCAGAGAGGCCATGTGTTCTGGGCTCAGAGAGGCAAGGTACTTTGCCTAATGTTTCACAGCTAGGAAGAGATAAAAGCAAGACTTGGGCCCAAATCTTCTGACTCCAAGCTACAGTTCTCCAATTAATGGGAAAAATGGCATTTCTAACCCAGTGACCGTTGTGAGATTATTCTATGTGTGGTATTTTAAACCCTGCTAGGTAATTTAAGTTAAAAAATGGTTCTTTTCTTGTTTCATGGAAAGACGTTGTTTCTGTCTTCTCTCTCTTCCTCTCTGAATCCCTTATTTATCCCACATAACCATGGACCCGAATGTTAATCCCAGTCACAATGATTGGATATATATGTTGATTTCTATGTGCCTGACTGTTAAACGCCAAATAAAACCATTATCACACTCCCAAATTCTTGTTGCTCAAATTCATACCCCTTCTTTCTATTCTTTTTTAAAAGTCCTGATGCAATTCTGATCATGTGGGTCTCTTGCTTATAAAATTCAAAGTCTTCTTTGCATGGCATCTCACCCCTCACCCAATGCGATTCTGAAGCTCAGCCAGGATGGGATCCTGGTCCATGGAGGTCTCAGGTGAGTGACAGAAATATCTTGGGATCTGGGTTTTCTGAGATGCATGGTCAGCACAGCTGCAGAGGGAGGAGGAGAAGATCATGCAGGCCCTTGGCAGCCAGTGAAGGACAATGGGCTTATGTGTAAACATCGTTGACAGTGGACTGGAGTGGCAGGCAGATGGAGGAAGGGGAAAGGAACACAGCCAAGAGAGTGCATGGAAAAATGCCACAAGTGCCTAGACAAGACGCCTGCAGCGCCAGGAGCAGCCAATCTTGGTCTCCATTATACCCAACTTGGTTTGTGGGATCAAGGTTGATGGGGGGGGGGGGGGAACGCTCTTACTCAAATGAATAATAAGATATGAAAATACACGATTTTGCTTTAAAATACCTACAAGAAAGAAAACATTTTAAAATGCGCTTTCTCCATAACCCCCAATTTAATATTAGAAAGAATGGTAATGTGCAAAGAGTCTGAATTTTAACATTAATAAAATTAAATGGGAATTTGATTATGCTGTGTTACAGCTACACATAATGTTCTCAAGCACAACTTTTGCAAATCTGTTAATTCCACTGGTGATTAGATATGTGCATTTCAACACATCTTGCTGCCCTTTGAAATCTAGTACAATCAAGATGTTAGATTGTAAGTTATTTTCTGGTTATTAAGATGCATTTCAATCCTCATCTTTAATCAACTGAAGATTCGCAAGATGGCTTTGATTCGCACACTGGGGTGTGTGTGTGTGTGTGTGTGTGTGTGTGTTGTGCACACCTCAAATTGATGTGCTGTCTCTCTCATTTCCTGCATCTCAGGATGTTCCCTCCGGTATATGTTATTAATAAGGAATCTGTGTTCAGTTTCATGCACTTAAAAATGGGAGGGGGGGTGTTGGAAGGCTCTTTACATCCCTAAATCCTAGGGGGAGCCCCGTGGCTTGGCCCCTCCTGTCAGAGTCTATAAGGGAAGGCAGAACTCAGCGAGGCGGAGGGAACACAGCCAGTTGGTAGATAACGCCTGGCTGCCCTCTGACCCTCGGGTTAAACTGCTGTCTGGGCTGCTCAATCTGGTAAGCCGAGTTCCAGGGAGGGAGAGCTGCCAGTTATCTGTCAATGCGCCAAGACATGGACTTCATCACAGAGAGGCACACGGACCAAATCTTCCTAATGACCTCTTTCAGGCCCCCCCTCTCTCTGCAGCACTGAGGCCATTCTAGTATATACAATTTAGGGAGTTTCCAAATCATCGAGGAGCTGATGGCTTCTCTGGACCTTCCAGGGAAAGTAAAGGAAGGAGGTAACCTGTTTCTGGAACATTCTATTTCAGGCCTTCATGTGGTTATGTAAGCTGAGAGGATGGTGAGGCATATTCCCCCAAAGTGCTGCTGTCAGCACGAAGGACTCTGCAATTCTGTGGTTTAAATAAGCGGTGTACAGCGCCTCCACCAAGGATTTCAGTCAGGAGTAGAGGGATGGGAAGGAAAGACAGGACACTTTTATGTCAGATGCCACTAGAATATACACAAAGACAAAGCAATCTGTTGAGAGTGAAGAGGACACACACAGAGACTGTGAGTACGCACAAAGAGAGCAAGGGAGAAGTGAGAGAGACAGGCAGAAAGAGACACGAGGACAGAGAGACATGCAGAGAAAGGCACACAGAGCTGACAGACATAGCAACAGTAGACACAGAGACACAGATAGATGCAGAGAGAGGTAGAGACACAAACGCACAAAGGGAAAAAGAGATGGAGACAGGCAAAGAAACAGAGAGGCCCACAGAAAGGGAAGCAGAGAAAGAGGAAGAGACCGGCTGCCAGACAGACCAAGAGAGACAGAAAGATGCAGTCCGGCTGCAGAGCTTATTTGGGGTTCCAAGATGGACACTCGTGTGTCCCTAGAAAGCAGGACTCAGCCATTGGGTGGGCTGTGGAAAGGAATGTACCCCGACCCCCGACCCACACTACAAGGCTCTCCACTGAGGATGGATATTTGGCTGAGCTTTGGAGAAGGAGCAAGGGCTGGCTGGGCATGCAGGAGTAACAGCGGTGGTAGAGATGAGAATTGCTGTTTGGTTGAGCTGAGGAGGCAGACACATGTATGAGCTGCTTCTCTAACATAAGTGCTTCCACCATCCTCCTTGGAGGGCTGTCTTCTTTCCTCTCCTTTTCTCCTCCCCCCGCCCGTCTTTCTGTTCCCTTCTTTCCCTTGTTCCTCCTTCTGTGGAGCTCCCTTTGCTAGTATTTTGATTCACTCACTCTACAAATATTTTCCAACAACCTGACTATGTGGTTCTCAGCCTTCTGGACACTGGAAACAAATCAGTGAGATGAACCAAGTTGGGACTCTCCTTAATTAAGAGTTTTGCTGTCTGGGTGCCCCATGCATTGTACATGACGGGCACCAGAGTCACAGTTCGCATTGAATGAAGGAGGCCAGAGGGCTCTGGAAGGGAACTTGCATTGTGGTTGCAGAGCTGAACATCAGGCATGGGAGAGAAGAAGTTCCCATTCCCAGGCCAGAGGGCCAGTGTGTTTCATTCATTCATGTACCAAGCACTTATGCATCATCTACTACACACCAGGAACTGTGTCAGATGCTCAGGCAATTCAGTGTCAACAAGTCCAACATGATTGGAATTTAGACATTGGGTTCTTTCACTATTCCCCTCAACTAATGAGCAGATGCTAAAGCAGGAAGCAGGTAAACTGAGTCAAAACTCAGTGCTGTTTGCCAGTGACTCATGAAGGAGAGAAGGCCAGGCGCTGATGACCTTTATCACCTCATCCAAGGCTATCCTGCTGTTGAACGTTTTAACTAAATGTCGCCATACTTCACGGGAAAATCCAGCAAGAACAGCTCTGTAGCCTTCCGCAGCTTTTGTACAAGAATTATACGATTCTTAGTAAAATGCAGCTGAATTATGAGAAAAATGAGTTCCCAGGAACTCTAGTTTGGTCCCCAGCTGAGGCTGAGATTAGAGCCACTGGGCTGCCTGCTTCCCAAAGCCACCAAAACACACAAATGATGGCTCCTCAGAGGACAGCGAGGCATGCAAATTAAATGAGCCCTCCTTTTCCTAGAGACATTATCTTTTTCACAATCCTGTCGTGTTCACTTAAGCTCTGTTTAAGCTTGGAGTTAAGGGCTGTGGCATGGTCTTGACACAATTCACACTTTGGCCTCTTTCTGGGATGTGGGAAGTCACAGTTCAGTAGGTGGTGCTGTCGGCCTTTGAGTCAACCTCAGACTGTCCCCTGGCCTTAAACTAGGGCAGTCTCAGGGTGGAAGAGAGCACTTGCTGTATTAAAGAAGACTCCAAATGTCATTGCAACATAAAGGAATGTGCTGTTTCATTAATAAGGTTTTCAGGTACAAACTCAGCCAAATATGACATTTTTTCTATATTCTTCTAGAATTGTTTTCTTATATCACACAGGCATTTGTTTATACATTCACTTAATCAGGCCACAGATGTGTATGTTGAGCTGTTCCTCTGTGTCAGGAAATGTGAAATTTTTTTTCTGAGATTCAGTTAAGAGGAACAAAGAAAATATATAAAATCTGATCCCTGGTACCTAAAACCTTCAAACTAGTATTAATAAAATGGATTAATAGAGTACCTATCATACGTTGGCTAATAGGCATTTGATATGCATATATTATTCGTATAATCTTCTAAGAATTTCCACTTTCCAGCTGTGCAAATGGAGATTTTGAAATATTAAATGACTTGCCCCAGATTGCACAGCTATTTAAGAGGCTAAGGGGACTTTGAGGCCAAGTCTATGACCTTAAACTCAATTTCCTTTCCATTGCAATAAGATTATAGCACCAGGAATACTGTAAAACAGGAGAGGCTCTGGTGCACAAAATTTAAGGACTCACCCTCTCTTACCCTGATAAGATATAAGCAGAGATGAAGTAGCAGCAAGAACAGAGATCTTGGAGCCTGCCTTTTTGTCTTTGACTCCCAGAGTCTCCTTTCATTAGCTATGCAATGTTGCACAAATTTCTTGATTTCACAGTATCAGTTTCTTCATCTGTAAGATGGGGATAATAACAGTACAAGGCACACAGAGGTACTGTGGGGAGTAAATGAAATAATGTATGTAAAGTGCTTAGAGTACTAATGAACACATATATAAGTATTAGACATTCTTATTTTTATATTATATTAAAATAATTACATGGAATAGCTACATGTGAGAAATCCCCTCTATGCAATTTAGCTCTACAGTTCAGAGGGGAAAGAGCGCTTCCAAATACAATAACCTTGGAGGTTGCATTTGGATTAACTTTTGGCATGATGAAAGGATTTTGACAACTGGAGGTAGTAATATTTGTAGCAACAACATCCTCTCTTTCTTTAGTCCTTATTTTATGTCACGTGCTCTGCTGAGTCTTTTATATTCATTTTCTCATTTAATACTTGCAAGAATTCTATGAGGTCAAGACTTTCTGAGCACTTTCAACTGAGTCAGTGTTCTCTCTGCCCAAGACTGCCTCACTAATAAGCGGCAGGATAGAGTTAGCTCCAGGTCTGCTACATCTCCAAATCCATTAGCTCCTGGGCAGACCATAAGGTGGAGAGGTGCAGGCGAGATCTGAAGTGAAGTTGACTTCCCAGTGGTTGTACAGATGCTCTTGGCTAACTTGGAGCAGGATGAGAAATCCACTTTAGCACATGCGGTGTGCCTGTTGGGAAGTGTAAGAGAAAAGAGCTGAGAGCTGGGGTGGGCCAGAACCTGAACTTAAAGAATCTTCAAGGCCAGGCTAGAAAGTTTGCATGTTAGTTGGTACTGAATAGAAAACCATTGCAATTCGGGGATTGGGAATAAGCAAGTATGTTTGCCAGACACAGTTATATGATAATTGAAAAAGAGCTTGAATGACCTATAGTTCGGTCATACTTACATTTTAGAAATGGACAATTTAGGATTAAATCCCCCTATAATCTTATATTGTTGGAACTATAGGGTTATTTTTATCTGTCCTGGGAGAGGCTGTTTGGAATTTTAGATGAGTTAAGCAAAAAGGTGCTAGGGAAATGTGAAATTTTAAAATGCCAATTGGTTATATTGAATTACTTGCCTTTGGCTCTTCATTTCTACCTTTTTCACTAATTCAAATGCATGTACCACCTAGGGAAGCATTTTGAAAATGCAGCCAGCCATTCTTTCATGATAGCATGAGCTACGGCACTTCTATAGTGCCCAAAGAAAATTATACTCTGAACGTGGAATTTAACTCTAAATGGAGACCTCCTTATGATCCAGAAAGATCTATCTACAATGCTTTTTCTTGAATATGTAAGCGCCTGAACCTCTCTTCACTGTCATCCGGAAAGTTATATTAGGATGTAAGGGATTTCTGCTCCTCTTTTCTGTTCTAAATTAATCTTACCGTACACCAGGAGCAGGGCGAGTAAGTGGCAGGAGACAGGGACCCATTCTCCAGCTATTTCAGCAAAGCGTGCTGCAAAAGAGAATTCTTAGTTATAGCACTTGTGGTTTAGTTATTGTTTTAATGAGCCTTTGCTGTGTAACCACAGCACCATTATGACCCGGCCACACCACAAGAAAAGGAAGTTCCCGTAAGCCGCCTCCTCACTCATCTTTTCATGTTGCTGGAAGTCAGCTCCTCTTAGCGGTGTGCAGCTTGGGCTTCCGGAGTTGGCTGGGTCTTTGTGCTTATCAGCGATACCCTCCTGTCTCCCATCCCTCCCTCTCCCTCTTCCTTCTTCCTCCAAACTGCCAGGCCTGAAGTATCAAGGAGAGAAGGCGAAAGGGAGTGTAATGAATCACATGTCTCGGGCCCGAACGGTTGTGGAAAGAAATGCTGGGCAGGAAAAGGCAGCACGCCACTGGGATGAGAGGGCCCCCTTTCTCCTCCTGCCTTTGTCTGTCTTAAATAGAAACAGATATTTTTCACATGACTTTCCCAAGAGACCACAGTTATTAAGAAAGTGCCAATAGTATATTTAAGAAAAATCGCACTCAGTGAGGAAGTGTGTGTGTGAATTGGTATGAAACTGTACAGTGGGATTTCATGCACTTTTGGGAAAATTTGTTCTTTGAATTAGGAGAATGAGCTGGATATTCCAAAATAGAAAACAGGGATTCCAGAGCCCCAGGTTTTCTGTCACTTTTGATACACCAGCAGGTGACTTTTAATGACTCGTTCCGTGGTACCTGACTCTGGTCTTCCCATGTGAGCACACGGCTGTGTGGTATAAACTTGACCCCTCCACTCTGCTTGGTTCTGCGTCATGGTGAAAAACGTGGCTTTCAGAGTTCTATGAACCTGAATTTAAATCCCAGTCTCACCATTCTCTAATGGTGTGATATGGGTACAAAGTCAGTAATTTATGAGCCTCAGTTTTCTCAGGTGTACAACAGGGAGCTTCATACCTGCGGCATTAAAATTTTGTGGCGATTAAATAAAACAACATGTGTAAAGTACCAGGTACATAGTAGGGGCTTAATCAATAATAACTGTTCTCGTCCTCCCATTTCTTCCTCCTTTTCTTCCCCTTCTTTCTCTGTTCTCTTTCTCCTTCTCCTCCTCCTGTTTTGGTAATTCTGGGAGCTGTGGAGCATAACACTGTTTCTGCGTCCTGCCATGAGGAGGTCTTGGCCAAATGTAATCTTCCTGGGCATAGCCATATGCACATAGCATCAGCTTTCCAGTAAGAGCTTCTCAGATGAACTCAGAGGTCCGTGTATATCCCTAATGGGAAAAGAGGCTGGAAATACAGTGCTGGTCTGATTCTTTGACAGTTTCCCAATTCCTAGGGCTCCAGCCATACCGAGTCTCCTTGCCTGTACACGGGCAGCAGGTGGAGGCTCAGAGGATAGTAGGCTACACACTTCTTTGAAATACTGTAATTTAGAATGTAGAAGTGAAACATACGCCACTAACCATCATGATACCTTTTTTGTCTGTGTACTAAAAACTAGAATGTTTTAGAAAGAAATATTACAGTAGGAAGGTTAGGTTTAAATCAATTTGAGGCAGAAAAAAAATGAGGAACCTCTTCTTTCTTTCAACAAAGATCCACTGTACACCACTCATGTACCAGGCAGTGGTGAAGTAGTGAAAAACAAGATAGCCATGGCCTCTGCTTCCATATCTGTGGTCCTTAAAGATGGCCAAGAATTTTCTTGATGCTCTGGGCTGGCTCTGTGACTGCTTTGGTCAACAGCGATGTGGTATCAGTATATTAGTCTCCTGGAGCTACCATAGCAAAATACCATAGACATGGGGGCCTTAAAAACAATATTAATTGTCTCACAGTTCTGGAGGTGGCAAGTCCAAGATAAGGTGTTGGCTGAGTTGGTCCCTTCTGAGGCTCTGAAAGAGACTCTGTCCAATGCCTCTCCGCACATCCTGATGGTTTGCTGGCCATCTTTGGCTTGTAGATGCATCATTCCATCTCGGCCTTGATCTCTGCATGGCATTCTCCTTGTGAGTCTTTGTATTGTCTTCTCTTTGTGCACATTTGTGTCTCTGTCACAATGTACCCTTTGTATTAAGGACACTAGTTACGTCGGATGAGGCCTCACCCTAATGACTACCTCTTAACTTGACTATATTTACAAAGATACTATTTCCAAATAAGGTCATGCTTTGAGGTACTGGTAGTTAGGATTCCAATATGTCTTTTCAAGGGGACACAATTCACTCCTAACAGTCAGACCAGCCCTTAAGAGATTGATGACTTCTTCTTCTTGTCTTGAACACTCGCATTTGCAAATTAGCCACCCTGTTTTGAGGAAGCCAAAGGGCTTCATGGGGAGGCCCATTTGGAGAGGACCTGAGGCCCTCTGGCCAACAGCCCCACCTCAGTTCCCAGCAAGGACTGCCAGCTGTGTGAGTGAGTTATCTTGGAATAGATAACTCACTTCCAGACCTCAGTGGAGCTAACACAGCTGCCCTGTGTATAACAGTCATGTGCTACTGCTAATGAGCCTGACCCAAATTGCATATTTGTGAGCAAAGCAAATGTCTGTTATTGTTTTCAGCCACTAAGTTACATGAGAATAGATCATCATAACAATATCCTTGAAAGCAGACATTACACAAGTAGTTGTGTGTGACAAGTGTTGGAAATGAGAAGCACAAGACCCCGGCAGGGAGTAAACAAGACAGCTTAGCCGGTCTTGCACTGGTCTGCTTTGTTACTAAGTAAATGCTCTTCCGTGCAGATCAATTGGAGGTGCTTTACTAGTTTGGCATTCCTAGCAAAAGGCATATTTGTTCTTGCCTACCTGGCTTTCTGAGATGCATTTAATTCGAAAACACCTTCACTCTCTTTGCATCTGTGTTTCCCCTTTGGGAAGTGGGAAGGGTGGGAAAGCCCGTAAGTGGGTGATAACAGCTCCCATCCAAAGAGAACTCCATTTACTTTCATCTCCTTCATAATGGCACAGAAAATGGAGCATAAAAATACCCCGTGGAAGGTTAAGTGCTCTGTACTAACAGTGGAGGATATGGAGGAGGCAATGAAGCGAAGGTCGGAATGAACAGGGAGGGGTGAGTTCACATGTGGGTGGTTTCTTTCTTTTCTTTTCTTTTCTTTTTTTGCCTCCTCTTTTACTACTGTTCAAATGAAGCTATGTGATACAACACTTAATAATAAAGGGAAATTGCACAGCAGATAGGCAAGGTGACCACTTTTGACAAGAGTCCCTATCAAATCAGGTAATCCAGAGTGGTATGCTACATTCAGCAAACCAGAACAAGGCCATCTTGTCTTCTAAGAAAACCTGAGGCCAGGTTTATATTCCAAGTCTGTTGTGAGGGATGGGCAGAACCGGATGGGGCTGGGTCCAAGGGGTCATTCTGTTCAACATCTAGGACAGCTGTGTTGGACAATGGTGTGCTTTTAGTTTAAGGAACCCGGGGTCCAGGCTTGGGATGGCATTGGAGCTTTAGACATGGTTTCCTTGGTTCATTCACTCAATGAATACTGAGTGCCTTATATATGCCAGACATTGACGTAGGTAGGCAATGAATAAGTCACACAAGGACTCTGTTCATGTCACAGATTCATTCTAGCAAAGAGAGTGGCACAAATATAACAGACATATATGTATATATATATAATTTTAATTATAATAAAGTGACAAAGTGGAGGGTAAAACTGTCAGTCTTTTTATTCAAAGACCTTTCATTCAAACCCTGATATTTCCTTAAGTGACTTAAATAAACTCCAAATGACTTCTCATGGCATTTAAGATCCTGCACAATCTAATTCCTACTATACTTCCAAAATTATTTTTTTTCTCCTTTCATCATTCCTCAGGACACACCTGTACATTTCAGTGTTGTGAAGCATAGCTCTGGTATCAGACTGCCTAGGTTCAAATCTCAGCTATGGCACTCATTAGCTATATGACCTTAGGTAAGTTACTCAGCCTCTGTGAGCCTTAGCTTTGACTTCTGTAAGATGAGTAGAATACGATTGCTATCTCCCTGGGTGACTGTGAAAATCAGACGAGATCATGGATATGAGAGGGCAGCATTCATACTAAAGTAAGATATGACTTACTTGGAAGTATTAATGACTACATTATAATAAAAGTTTATGTGTGTATTCATATATATATATTCTATATTTAATCTAACAGTGACTCTGTTCTGAGTCAGAATATATCTTAATGCCACATAGTAAGCCTTAGACTGTGCCTATTTTACTATTCATGCACAGTGGATAGATGCTGAATAAAATATAGTCAACTCACTGGTGTCTTGCGGTGATGGCAGAGATCCTTAACTAGGAGGAATGCTGTTTCAGAGGGCTCAGAATGGGTAATTAGGAGACTGTCACAAGGAAGCGTGAAGAACTGCACTCTTTAGCTTAAAGAACTGCAGTTGGGAGCCATATGATGAGAATCCATGTGTGCCACTTGGCAACATTAGAATTCCAAAACAGAGTGATCTTTAAAGATTCCCTCCCCTTGCAGCTGGGTGGAGAGGTGATCTGGGCTGCTCTGGAAACAGCGGTGAGCCTTTTATCATTTAAATATTATTCCATCGGGGGCAGAAAAGGGGGACAAAATACTGAAAATAAAAGTTAATTAAAAAATAAAATCAAGAGAAATGTCTCTCAGAGGCCACCTCTGGTACAGAGACCACCTGTCATTAAGCATTTTCCTGTCTATAAACCCAAGATTGGAAGCTGATCGACTCTTCTCTTGTTTAATTTTTAATGCCTCCTGTCTGGTCTCTGTGGTAGCTATTATAAACAGAGGCTGTCACATAGATATGTACCTTGCCCAGAGAAAAAGTGATGCTTCCCACTACCAGAACTGATATCCACTGGGCAAAACCTGCAGTGGGATTTATTACTTGCCTTGGAGAATTTGCTCTTGCATTGATGCAAGTCTCTCCTCTCCTTGTGGGTGGATTAATATAATAATAGAGGAAGAGAATGTCGTTGAGAAAAGAGAATAAATGGTGGCTCCTGAGCAACAGGGTATCTTCAGATCCTAATTTTCACCTTTCTGGTTCCTTGGGTCACTCATTCAATACAAATTTATTGAGCATCTACTATGTGCCATGCATTGTTGTATGTACTGAGGTCAAAGCAACAAAGCCAGAGAAAAATCTTTATTCTTTTACCCCACAAGACATTCTATTGAGGAAAGGGAGAGAATAAATACTTTAACAAATAAGAGTGCTGGGCCATTTTAAATGATGAAAGGGCAAAGAAAGTAAAAGCTGGAAATATGGCACCCTGGGAAGTGGGTAGGAAAGGCCCCCTAAGGAGGTAATGGTTAAGTAATAAGGTGAGTGATGAGGAGCAGCCAAGAAGGCAAAATCACATGGAATGGCATTCCAAGAAGAGGGAATGGCAAACACAAAGGCCCTGAGTTGGAGATGAGCTTAGCTTCTTTAAGAAGCAGAGGCATTCGCTGCGTTAAGAGAAGGGACTTCAGACTTATGATGAATACAGGCAATTGAAGGTGCCAGAGGACTTTCAGGAACCTGTAAAAAGGGGGAAGATTTGGTTCTGAGATTAGGTTTCAAACCTGGGATGCAAACATTCAATTACAGCCTCATTTTGGCGAATGTGAAAGAAAAGTGTAGGAGATCATCTTTCTTGAGTGGATTCACTCAGTCGTGCTCCCTAGACATGACCTTCATGGACCTGTTGCCTTGGTCTCCAGGGACCCGTTCCCTCCTGACTATATGAATGCAGTGGTCTTTATACTGGGAGCCCTTTCTCCTTCCGTCACTCCAGGCCCCAATATTCTATCTTCCTTCTGCTTCCCTATCACCTTCCTAAAACACACCCCATAAAGCCTCCCTCCCGTTCAATAGTGGCCTTTGAATTTCAACAGGAAGAACTAGCTCCTTAGCACCCCACACAAGACACTCACAGTCTGCCCTCTGCACACCTGGATTCCACGTGGCTGCCCACCACTTCTCCACAAGCACCCATGCTTACGAAGAGCCACCTGCATCCTGGCAGCCCCCAGCACCTTGACTTCGGCTCTTCCCTGGGCTAGACGGCTCATCCTTTCCCTCAACAGGAGGAGACGCTATGTTTTTTTGTTTTTGTTTTTGTTTTTTTTTTGAGTCAGAGTCTCACTCTGTCACCCAGGCTGGAGTGCAATGGTGCAATCTCGGCTCACTGCAACCTTTCCCAAGAGAAGAAAGCCAGGCCAGGTAAAGTGTTAGATTGGAGAGGAAGAGGAGGCCAGGCAAAGTTTGCAGGGAAGAGCATTTCAGTAGGTAAAATCGCAACACCAAGGCTTGAGTTAGAAATGAACTTGGTGGGTTGATTTCTAGTTTGTACCCTCTGAGCTCTGGGCGACTGAGGGTGTTATGGGTGGAGGGGGCTGGGGAGTGCCCATAGTTTACTTAATTTTGTGCTTTCCCCAGTCCCTGCCACACACAATAAGAACTCACCCTCTTTCTGAGCTCATATTTTGAAGAAATTTAAGATAATTTAGAGGGGAACAAAAAACTTGTGGCATATTTATTAAGTGACAATATTAAAATGAATTCTGCTGCAGTTTCTATCATGAGATTTGTAAATAGCATTTAACGTTTATAATCTCATTTTTGGAGGACTTTAATTTTGTTGTTTCAGGAACGTTTATAAAGTAAAAAGGAACTCCTGGTTGCATCAGTGGGGGAAGCTGCTTGCTTCAGAGGGACCTGGGAGGAGATTTACAGAACTCCCTGTTCTTGCCCTAATTAAGGCATTTGTTACTGTTTTAATAGCTCCAAGGTACTCACTGTAGCTGGGTTTATAAACAGCTTTTTTTTTTTTTTCCAGAGGAGAGGAGATACTTCCTTTTACGAGTTATATACTGTGACTCCTTGAGGGCAGGGATGATGGCTTGTATTAGGAATTTACTGTGCTCAGTCCCTGTCCCAGAGATGCTGACTCCTAAACTCTGGGAATGGAATCCAGAAAATTGTCTTACAACACAGCCCTCTGTTCATTCTGATGTCCGCTCAGCTTTGAGGACCACTGAGATAGGGGAACCATTTTCATTGAGTATACATAAGCCAGGCACGGTGCTGGGTCCCTGCTACTCAAAGGGTGGTCCTCAGGCCAGAAGCATCAGGGTTACCTGGGAGCTTGTTGAAAGACTCTCAGGACTCGCCTGAGAGAGACTTGTTGCATCAGCTGGTTTCAGATGCATCATCTCATTTAATTCTCAGAGCAAATCTCTGATATAGATCTGAATATCGTCACAGAAATCTTTGTAATATATATTTTTTATATAATTCACTCTTTTCCCTTTAATTTATTGTCTTATTCAGTTCAGCTATTTCAATTACAGTGTTTTGAAAGCAATTTCCCTGTTCATGGTAAAGTTTCAATTTAACACTGCGTACACCACTTGCTGAGGAAACGCTTCTATTGACTGGATATCTCTCTTTCCCCCAAGTCTTCTCTGCAATTCTCTCTTCCACCACCAAAATGTCGTGAACCAAATTTCCTTGGCTACCCCATTAATTAAATGTGCTAGCCAACCACTCAGTCACCATAGTTGAGGCATTTAGAGTTGTCCTGTTCTATGATCTCTGTGGCAGCTGGCTTCTGAAATGACTGGCAGTAACCCCTGCCTCCTGGTGCACATGCACTTGCATAGACCTCCCCCTAAGTGTGGATCTGCTTCTCATGAATAGACTATGGCAAAAATAATAGAATGTCCTTATGAGATTAACTTAGAAAGGACTGTGGCTTCTGTCTTGATCACCTCTCTCCTTTGTTTTTTTTGGGTGGCTTGTTCTGTTGAGTCAAGCTGCTATGTTGCAAGCTGCCCTCTCAAGGGACCCACACACAGGCACAAGACTGAGGGCAGCCTCCAGCTAACAGCCAGTGAGGACCTGACACCCTCAGTATAAGAACCCACAAGAAACTGAATCTTGCCAGCAGCCACTGCATGAGCCTCTAAGCACATCAATCCCCTCAGTATAGCCCAGAGATGACTTCAGCCTTGACCAAAGACTACACTGTAGCCCTGAGAAATCCTGAGCCAGAGGACCCAACTTCTAAGGGATACTTGGAATTTCTGACCCACAGAAACTCTGGAATAATAAATGTTGTATAAACCTGCTAAGTTTTGGGGTAACTTGACATGCAGTAATTGATAACTATTATAATCTCCCTGCAATTGAGGTTGTCAAGATCTAGCTCATGGGATTGACAGAGAAAGGGGTTCTGTGCTTGATCTAAATCTATACAGAAAAATCAAGTGCATGAGAGGCTGCAAGTATTTGTCAAATTTGGTTTCCCCCCATCCCTATGTACAATGTAAACCATGTGTCTCTAACTACCTTGAATCCAGATGGATGATGGACTTGAATTTAAGGTCAATAAAATGTGCCTGGAAGTAATGAGCACTTGGCACGTATACTCAGCCTGGTTCCTAAAATACCTCATTTTAGCAGATCCTTCATGCTCTTAGTCTTTGCTTGTCAGCTGGTTGGACCAAGAAGAGAGCTTTAAGGAGGAGTTAGTGGGGAGTGAGCTGATGGAAGGACCTCAGTCCTGTGTGACCACATTGAGGAAAATCTAGGACACTGCCAACCAGAAGCATTCACACTAGATTCTGTGTAAGCAAAGAAAGGAACTTTTGTTGCATTGAACCCTTGACTTACTGGTGATGTTTGTTATGCAGCCAACCTAGCCTATCCTGACCAAAACACATATCTTATATTTTTGTCTGTTTTCTTTTTTTATATTTTTAACATGTTAATATAAGTTTATTATTTTTCAGTCCCTTAAACACATTCGTTGATCTGTTATCTTTTGAGTAACATTCACTTATTCACTTCCTGAACATTTAATGATTTCCAGGCACTGGGTTTTCATTCATAAAAGAGCATAGTTTTTCTCCTTAAAAAATGTGTAATGAATCAGGTCAATAGATGCACAAGAGGAAATTAAATTGTAATTTAATAGAGATATACACATGAACCCTGTTAGAATACCCTTTAAACGTCAAGCACTACCCTACTCACAAATATTTTAACACCATGAACACTTAGAACTCTCTTCATCACATTGATCATGTGTCTACTGTGTGCAAAGATACGAAAGTGTATCTGAATTGGAACATAATACATTTAGCTCAAATAGAGATATTCTATATAATAAGACATTAAGTCATGGAAGAAAAACATCTAGGCATTTGAAATTATTCAGTAGCCACTAGGGAACCATTGATGGTTGTAGAGGAAAGATACAGGATAACACTGTCTTTTAGAAAGATTTATTGGACAGAGCTATGTAGGGTGGCCTAGAAGACGGAAAGCAACATGCATATAGGAAGACTAAGTGGGAGCCTCACTGCATGGTAGATCAGACGTGTCAACAGAGCCCTGCCTGAGGGCAATAGGAGAAGAATTTAATGGATGGAAGTTAGCTTTGAAAGAAAAATCTATAAATCTGGCTGAGAAATTAGCCCACATGAGATGAGAAAATTGCTTGGTGTTTAACTTTTTATTTCCTCCATTTGTGTTTAGGTTCATACACATGCACATGTGTGGGTGACTGTGTATATATGTATGTGTGTGTTGTATCATTTTCTGCATATATCACGCTATATCTAGGAAAAGTACTAATTCTAATAACGTTATGTTAAATTGTTTGTATTTTACACACATGTTTAAAACAATCCAACCATATATGAATTCTAATGTATTTTTTGGAGAGAATTAAAAACACACCTTTTTTGGTGTGAAATTTTGGAGACAGCTCTAGACTATGTGGAAAAGACTGAGTTTGCTGAAAGTTGAAGAATGTCTTCAGAGTGTGAGTGGTCTCTGCTCCGGGTGATTCCTGCCCCTCTTTCTTATGGGGGAGAGGTCATGCTTCTACTTTTCTTTGGCTAATTGGTAAGTGCTAGGAGAGCCATGTGGAAAATTTGACGTGTGTTCCTTGCTGGATGTGTGTGGCCGTGGAGGTGGAGACAGATGTTTGACTCTCAGCTGGAAATTGTAGTGGGTAGAGGTGTCTTTGGGTAGCTTTGGAGGTAAGAGGCAGTGCTGCATGGGGAGCAATCTGTACTCCAGAGTTGGCTGGGCCAATGAACCTGTTTCTCAGGGACTTGCTGTGTCCTAATAAGAAGCAAGACTGCATCCTGTGGAGAGAGATCCATCTAAGAGGGCAACCCCAAGGGCCTTAGATATGCAAACAAGACTGAGGGTGTCTTAAGTGGCCATCAGGAGAGACTCTGTTCATGTCAGGGGAACCACAGAATAGAGGCCCTGAAAATAGTAGTTGTCTAGAGATCCCTCCACTCCTATCCCAAGTGGTCCCATGTGAAAAAGATGCAGCATCTGGGTCCCACAACAGCCAGAAGCCTTTGGTATCAGAATTCAACAATTCTTGTCATAGAAGCCTTTCCTGGACTTCACCTCTTCTCCCTCATACCCCTGGAGGGGACCTGAACAGCAAGGAACATGTGGTTGAAAAGGTGGCTCAAGGAAGAGAGGAATCTGACCCTGCCTCCCTTTCCTACATAAGGTCCCCTGCCCATGAATTTAGTTCTGAGCCAGAAGTTAGAATAGGTTAAAAATGGGCTGAGAACTTAGCTTTGATATGGCCCTAAGCTAGGTATTTTCTTACTCAAAAGTGATCAGGCAATTTTATTCACTGAGAAGGGACAACTAGAAAAGCTTTGGGTTCAGCTCAGGATTTCAAGCAGGATGGGGAGGTTTGGGATCTCAGGGTGGCTGTGCTAGGGCAAGTGAGAGAAAGGATCAGTTGCTTCTTGCTTATAACCACTAAGTCCAGCCCTCTAGACACTGGAAAAGTGCATTTCCTGCCTTCTATTAGAATAACTTCAACAATGTTCCTGGCATGGTCTAACTCGAAAAGAGACCAGGTAGTAAGGATTTTATAAGGTCTCCAATTTTAAATTCCTCACCCCATGTCATCTCCACCCAGTGCCATGCTGAATTCATACTGGAGTCTGAAGCCAAGGAACTATCAGTGCTATGGAGTGAACGTTTGTTTCCCCTCAAAATTCATATGATGAAATCCTCACCCACAAGGCGATGTTAGCAGGAGATAGAGGCTTTCAGTGATGATTAGGTCATGCAGTTGGAACTCCCGTAAGTGCCATTTATGCCCTTATAAAAGGGACCCCAGAGCGATCCCCCCTCCTTCTTCCATGTATGAATATGAGGAAAAAGCAGCCATCTCTGAAACGGGCAACAGTCCCTCACCAGGTGCTGAATCTGCCAGTAACTTTGATTTGGACTTCCCCACCTCCAAAACTGTGAGAAATAAATTTCTGCCGTTTATAAGATACCCATTCTGTGGTATTCTGTTATAGAAGCCCAAATGGGCTAAGAAAATCAGTAATACTGATCCCATGTTTATGTACAATTTTGATATTTTGTTCACCAAGGATTTTTGTATTAATTGTAATCCCAGCACTTTGGAAGGACAAGGCGGGTGGATCATGAGGTCAAGAGATCGAAACCATTCTGGCCAACATGGTGAAACCCTGTCTCTACTAAAAATACAAAAAGTAGCTGGGCATGGTGGCACGTGCCTGTTGTCCCAGCTACTCAGGAGGCTGAGGCAGGAGAATTGCTCGAACCCGGGAGGTGGAGGTTGCAGTGAGCTGAGATTGCACCACTGCACTCCAGCCTGGTGACAGAGTGAGACTCTGTCTCAAATAATAATAATAATTGTTATTATTTTGATTTTTTAAAAATAGTTTTAAAATATTAATGATTTTGATTGTTGACCTTCTTTGGTGTCTTAAATGTTGTGCCCAAGATAGTCCCAGCACTGTCTCCCCTCCACCTCCTCCAGTTCAACACAATTAACATACATCCAGTCTCTAGGGAAAGGGGAATATGGAAAACCCTTAGAATGAGGGACAGGTTTCTACACAACCTTCTGCTCTGTAGCCAGAAGTCTCATACCCAAAAAGGGCAATTGTGAGACTCCTTGGGATCCCAGACCAAACTACTGAAATCTTAAGGTTATGTATTTGCTAAAGGGAAGCATATATTCTTCACCTTTCCCATCTAGACCACTGTCTATAGAGAACTGAAACTGCCCTTAAGGACTTTAGGCAAGCTTATTTAATGGAAGTTTTCATAGATGACTATTATGCACACATTCAGTCATTGAAAGCCAATGTGTCATGAAGATGTTCTCTCTCAGAAACTTGGAAAGATTTTTTTTTTTGGTCATCTACTGGTATAAATCAGTGGTTAAGACAGTGGCTCAGTTAGCAGAGACGCTTTGATCTCTAGTTCTGCTACCTCCTCATTGTGTAAATTTACTTCTCAGTCCAAACCTCAGTTTACCAATGGCAAAATGACACGTTAGAGGATACATATAAAAGATGCAAGAGTCTGTTTAGCTTAGCAGGGATGGAAAATACGGTTCAAGGGAAACAAGGTGAAGGATGAATTCATAAATGTAGATGAGGCCAGATTGTAAAGTACCCTTAGTTTCGTTGAGGTTCCAGTGAGAAAATCCACCCACAGCACTCAGATGTACCCAGAGGGTTCCTGCTGTTTTCATCATTAGACTTTTACATGATCAACAATCTTGCTAACACTGAATATGGGTGAGGGTCTCAGCATGGCAAAGGCTGTTCCTCCTTGTGTGTGGAAACCTTTATTTAGTCATTTTAGCTATTTGGCCTAAATTGTGAGGTTTGGCCTGAATATCATGTTGGGTCCTCAGCAACGCAGTCAGAGTAAATAGGAGGACTTCAGGATTGGTGGGGTAAGGGGATACCCACCTGTCCTGAAAATACCAATGTATGCCTCCAGGTCTAGCAAAAGCAGCTGTGGTTCAAGTAGGCACCAGGGTTAAAATCAGACACCACCATAGATGTCCAAGCAGCAAAGAATCCTTAGCATCAGGCAGATAGGGCATGAGAGTAAGGCTGGGGGCAGGGGTGAAAGATAGGCTTTGATGATGCGTGCCAACACCAACTGAACTGGGGCAGCCATCAGGCAGTGTTTTAATAAGGCTCCTGAGGCCATGTCCAGCCCAATGGGGAAAAGGACCTGATTGCGGTGTGATGCCATCCCCATCCACCCACCACTTCCACAAATTTGAGATTTTCTAACGTGATAATCCAGACTATTTTTAGCAAGTCCCAGGAATGAACAAGAAGTATCCCACCTCCCCGGAACATGAGGCCATGCAGGGTTGCAGCAGAATTAGAGACACAGAAAGAAGTCTCTCTTCACTGTGTACCTCCCACACACACACACTTAGGGAAAGGAGTTTGCAAGACCTAAATCTATTGAGCCAAGCTGACTGGGCTTCTGCCCCGGTGGGTACATGAGTAAGAAGGAAATGAGCAGGAATCTTGAAACCATGTTGGCTTGAGCCTGACTCCAGTGGTGTAGGCTCTAACTCATGGGGCCCTCTGGGTGCACAGAGACCCCTTGATCTGCATTCAAAGGACCAGTCCTCAACTGCATCTTCCAGAGGATCAGAGGCTGCATGGTAGAGTCTTCAGGGAGGAAGGCCTGGGTGGCAGGAGCAGGATGAGTCTAGGAAATCAAGGTCCAGACCAATGAGCAGTGAAGCAAGAATGTTTTTGACCAGAATGACACATTTAAACTAAATGTTTATCCTGTGGACATGAGAGAGATGAGAACAGGGAGTCACAAATGGAAATGGGCTGTCAACTTTGCAAAACTCTCGATCAGGCTGGAAAATGCTTAAAATTTAGGCATAAATCACTGGTGAAGACATGTTCTTTGTTATTTTGTTAAATTATTTTAAGCAAAGGCTCTTCTATTTGGGCAACGTACTCCAATGTGTCAGGACAAGAAAACTCTTCTGTACTCTGACTTACTCTTTTTTCCTGCAATTTTCTCGTGTATATTCTTGCTGTGATCTTTGCAGAGATAAAGAATGGGCTATTATTTATATACAAAAATTGGTGGACTTTGTATATTATTTATACACATTGTATATTCATTTCCATCATTTATCTCTTCATCCATTAATTCAACAAATATTTATTTGAACTCTTGCTGTAGGGCAGGAACTCGACTGGATACATAAGATGGATGGTTTCTTTCATCAAATAACTTCCAAGGTAGCCAGTGTGGTAACACCAGACAAACCAATAGTTATGAAACAAGGTTACGTAGTAGTTACCCCCTTATCTGAAGTTTTGCTTTCTGAGGCTTCAGTCACCTGTGATCAACCATAATCCAAAAATATTAAATGGAAAATTCCAAAAATAAACATTTCATTGGTGTTAAATTTGCACCTTCTGAGTAGCATGATGAGATCTTTTGCCATCCCTCCTGGGACATGAATCATCCCATTGTCCAGCATAGCAACGCTGTCTGCACTCTCCACCCACAAGTCACTTAGTAGACCCCTCAGTTACCAGGTATTTGGTGAGAGAGAAAGACCACATTCACATACCTTTTATTACAGTGTGTATATTGTTCTAATTGTTCTATTTTATGATTAGTTATGATGTCTTAGTGTGCCTAATTTGTACATTACACTTTATCACAGGTACGTATAGGGAAAAACGTAGTTTCTGTGGAGCATAGTACTATTCCTGGTGTCAGGCATCCACTGGGGGTCTTGGACCGTATTGCCCGAGGATAAGAGGGGACCACTGTATGTACTTTAGTGAGTAAGATGCACTTAAGACTCTGGGGACCCTAGAAAGGAAGGATAAGTGTTCAGAAAGGACTGCACAAAAAATAGCAGTGTCCCAACAGGAAAGGAGATTAGTCCTGTAGAGAAAGCACACAAATGAAGATGGAGAGGCTGGGAAGAATCCGATGAGCTCAGCCTTCTAGACCCTTGCTTCTTGAAGTGTGATTCGGGACCAGCAATGCCAATTAGAAACTCAGCATCATCATCTCCACCCTCAAGAGTGGAATGGGGGCAGAGCTAGGAGGGAGGGGCAGGCTCCAAGAACCTTCACGTGCAATGATGCTATTTGGAAATTGCTGCCCATGAGCTTCAGGAGGGCAGTAACCCAGCTGACGGTTTCTCAGTATCTCCTCACAGTGTGTTGCACATGGGCACCCATTTATTTGTCCAATGAATGCAATGCTACATAACAGGATGACAAGAGCTTTATCAGTTGACCAGCCCTGGTTGCTTCACCTGACCTCTCAATCTCCTTTATAAAGGCAGGGTAGTAGTTTGTCTCTGAGTCAGAAAAAAAGAGACCTGAGTGGTTTTTGTTTATCTTTTTTTTTTTTAGGCAGGGTCTTGCTCTGTAGCTCAGGCTGGAGTGCACTGGTGCAATCTTGGCTCACTGCAGCCTCTGCCTCCCGGGTCCCGGTTCAAGCAATTCTCTTGCCTCAGCCTCTTGAGTAGCTGGGATTACAGGAACGCACCACTATGCCCAGCTAACTTTTGTATTTTTAGTAGAGACAGGGTTTCACCACGTTGGCCAGACTGGTCTTGAATTATTTACCTTTTACAATAGTTCAGGACTGTGACAGGAGATATGGGGGAAAATATACCTTCATCTTCCTATTTTGTTCCAGACTGATTGTCTGCCTGTTCTCCATAAACTTCTTCCCTCTCCCCACTCCCAGTCACCCAGATTGGGGAACTGACCTTTTGAATTCGATGGCAGTCATAGCAAGCCCCAGTCATTGTTGGTAATATTTCTAAAGCTTCTGAAGGTCACCTAGGATTAAGATAGGTGCCGCATGCTGCTACTTTAATTATGAAAGACACGAGAAATAAAGGAAGCCCTTGGAAAGAAAAGAAGAAAATCCCTGCCACAGCCCAACAGGTGAATAGGCTTTTGCTGGAGCCTGGGGCTTGGGCTCGGGCTTCCCAGGGCCTGTGATCAAAGAGGAGGCCTGGGCAGTGTGAGAAGCCATGTGGTTCCCATCTCCTTGACAGTGGGATTTTACTAACCCATTTCCCCCTTCTCCTTCCCCCTCCTCCAGAATAGAGAAGCGGCTGTCTGAAGAGGACAGAGATTTGAGATAAAGAGGCACATCTATTTCTTTCTTGTGGACAATATGCTTATGGATATGAAATCACACCCGACTCTTGCTTAGAAAGCAGCAGCGATTTGCTCGACGGAGTGGCACGTGTTTACTCTCACTGATGCTGTTTGAGGTGATCCGTTTTCCTGGTAACAGACAGAATGTGTTCCTTTCTGTGAATTCACAGAGGCTCCAACGCTGCAGTTCCTTGGGAGCAAACTCTGCTGTTAGGCACTATAATTTTTTGATTTTGCAGTTCACATGATGTCTCAGAAGAGGGATATGTCTTTTCTAACAACCATCATTTTTATACAAAATGGAAGGTATTCACATTATGTCTTCATCTTCTATATCTCGACTAGTAACAATATCAGGACTACTCCCTCCTGAGAACTATATTCATTTCTCATTAAAGATATTTCATGTTTTATTCAGGAATTTAAAAGAAGCTATCAGAGCCTGGAATGGCATCCGTTTGGTATAATTGTATCTCACTGATGCCAGCCCCAAGAGTTCTAATTAATATATATTTAGCTCCCTGACTGTCTTTAGACCAAACAGTTGAGCGTAGAAGACAGGAGGAAAAAAATACATTGAGATTGGAAAAGGAAAGTCTTTCTTAAAAGAGGAAATTTTTGTGCAATGCTCTGCTCCTATGTCTATGTCAGAAATTACTTTCAGGCCACTGAGTGCCTTATGAAAAATGGAGTGGAAGATGATAATTATTTTTATTGATCACACATTCAAGTTATTAATTTTTTAGTCTACTTTCTTTCTTTTATTTTTCACAAAAATGTTCATGCCCAGGGAATTATGTGCATTCACAATCCTCCTCTGGTTTGTTCTCCCCTCTCCTCCCTCTGCCCTTTTTCTCTCCGACCTCACACTATTAAAAAGCGATATTGTTCCTCTTTGCCAATGTGAAAATGACTGGAGCCATCTTGGGATTACTTGGCCTCCCTAAACCCATAATATGAAAAGAAGCTAATTGGGTACCAACCTCATTCCTTATGGGGTTTGCCATTCCCCCAATTCCCTCCAACCACATCCCCATTCTCACTTGCAGGAAATGAGTTTGGGGACATTTCTTGTGCTGGTCTAACATTGCAATTCATAGCACTTGTGTTCACTTAGAAGCTTCAATTCACTCCCGTTCCTGGGATGCTGTGGGATTGTGGTTTATAAATCACTCCTGTGGTGCACTGTATGTAGAGATCAAGACCCCTGTAAGCTCCAGTCATATTGAATTGTACCAGGCAACGGAGCGTCCTTAAGAGTTTACAGTAAGAAAAAACAAAGGCCTTATAAATAGGACAATCCAACAGACATTTACTGCATTTACAAGGCACTACTGAGAAAAGCAAAGATGCTATTTTCTTTTGTTCCAAATGTTGGTCTCATTCATTGACTGTTGAGGTTAGTTTTTCAATACGACATAAATTGGGGTTTAGAAATAGCCTATACTCAAATTGAATTGTTATTTAAACAACTGTTAGAGGTCATTTAGTGGTTTACTAGCCTGTCATTAACATACCATGAATCAGGTTCACACTACAAAGATTTGTGCTCCTCACTGAACCTCCATCATGACAAAGTCATTGCTACTTCTTCTCATTGGTATGAGAGAGGTGGGTGGCCCTTCCATTTGCTGGATGTGTAACGTGGATGAAGTCAGCAACCTGGTCTCCATGCGCAAGCTACCTTATGTGCAAAAAAGAAATATGTTTATTTCATCGGAGTGTATTAGACTCAATATTATAATGACAAAAAGACCAGTTTAGTGTTTTAAGTGCTGACCATGCCTAGGCACTGTGCTCAGTGCTAAACATCCAATTTCACATTCAGTAACAAAGATACATTATAAATTGGTGTTGAATAACAATTTAAAAAATCTGTATTTATCCAGGTTCATTTTATTTCTCCTGAAAGTCAGACTGGGTGTTTTGTGGGAATGAGGACTTTGAAAAGATTTCTATTGGAAGGTGGACTCAGGCTATTTCCCTCTCAGTCCAACAGCGCATCTTTCTGAGTGGAAGCAATCCTCCCAAAGCGGGGATTGGAGAGTGCACGAGAGTGCTCAAGCACTCATGCTCAGTTGATTTCCAGATACATTAGCCCACAGCCTTATTGACCATCACATCCATTTGACCAGACTCTGAGGGTTTTTTTATTATCTGAAACGCCTCACTGCATGGGCATGATGACAGGTATGTCAAGAGGAGAACAATAACCAGAAACAGATGCATGGAATATTCACTAATATGTCAGCAACTATGATGCATTTCGGCAGCGTCCATCCTCACACACACACACACACAATGAAAAAAAAAAAAAAAAAGGAAAAGAGAACATTTATTTTCATGAGGCCAATTTCCATGCCAAACTGAGCATCTGTCTGGCTTTTGTGTTTGGTATAAACAGGACTCACACACACTCAAAAATAATGTCAAAAGTTCAAAGGGTGGAGAGTTGAGAATTCTCACATGGGCAAATAAATGAGGTCTGCGGATTGGCTGGCCTTCACTCAGCTTTACATGAAGTGTCTCCTTGGGACCGGGGTGATGTGTGGCTTTGATTCTCTGCCCTTGTTCTTCCATAACCTGGTTTGGAATGTAGCCCAGTCCTAAGAGATTGGGGGTCACTCTGGCTTGATAGTGTAAGGTCAGAAAATGGAATGAAGCTTGGATATCTCAATTGAGATTTGAGTGTATAAAAGTATAAATCAAAAAAGCAAAATCCTTGAAGGGACACCTTGCAGCTGTTGCTACAAATGAAAGGTTTCAAAATAAGTAGATACAAGAATGCCCAGACCAGTGCAACTAATAATTCCCCTCTAGTCCTACTTGAAGAATATACGAGTACAACTGAACATTGAAAAATAAAGAATATACATTATTCCAAGCAAGGATGCAAGCCTGAATCCTTTAATAAATGTTGTGTTATTTCAGGGGAAATAGAGTATTAAAAAAAAATCCTTTACCTGCTTTTCTGCAGAATGTAAATTAGAAATTGTATCCAGTGACCAAAGTTAACCTTAGAATTTATAGGATTATTTGTTCTTTGTTTTAGAAAAATCTGGATAATCTCAAAGTTGCGTCATTCATTCAAAAAAAAGATGGGGAGAACCAGATTTTGTCCGCCTTTACTCCTAAATGCCAGTGTCTCATTTGGCTGTAGGATATTCATGATGTTATGTTTATTTAAACAGACATATCTCTAGTTTATGGGCACATTCCAGAATAGAACTGCGTGTTGCTTGGAGTGCAGTTCTTATGGGCAAACACCTGATCCCCTTTAATAAAAGATAAAAGGGAAATCGTTCCCTTGCCATTCAAAGACCTTACTGTGCTGTGCTCGTAGACACAACCTTATTGCTTGACCTTTCTTAACCAGTACAAGCATCCCATGTACTGAACTCCAGGTACAGTGATTAAAAATGACTCTTCTAGATGCCACTGAGAATCTACTGTAGCAGAACTTGTTTGAATCCAGGACTGTTCTAGGATTATGATTATAAAGCAAGTCTTAGGTGTTGCAGAGTTATATGTGGTGGGTGATTAGAATTGCTGTTAAATTATGTCACAGCTTATTCTCTAAATACTAGAATATTTTTAGTTTTTTATATTTCTAAAATATTTTCAAGGCAAAATTTTCTAATAATTATTTAAAACTATGATTTTCCACCATTGTCAAAAAAGATTATTTGATTTTCAAAACAATCACCCTTAATATGTTTCATTTTCAGGTTATTTTTCCTTGTTTAGAAGAAGACGATGAATCATAATTATGCAATTGAGTTTGTGCACTTAGCAGCTAAATGAATATTTTCCAAACTGTTTTCTGTGGAACACAGAGCTGAAAGAATGTTAGTAAATTTTAGGAAAATAAAGACACCCTGTGTCAAATAAGTTAAAGAAATGCTGAATTAAACATAATCAAAGAGTCGTATTAATGGTAGAGCTTCCCAAAACATTTAATATGCAAAGTAGCATGTGATTTTTCACTGGAGGATGAACTTTATGCTGTCTTTCCTTTCCTTTTTTTTTTTTTTTCCCAAGTCATAGCCCTATTTTTCTGAGATCATCTCTACTTATCTAAAGCTCCAAAATCTTTAGGAAATACTGCGCTAGGAGCGATGGCTCACATCTTAGGCTACTTGGAGAAGAAAAATGTTTATTTTTTACATAGCTAATGTCAAGAGCAAGTGACATTGGAGTTTAAATTAGATTAAGTGGCCTATGATGCTACTTAATTCAAACTGAGAGTTTAAAAAAATCTCACAAACTGTTATGTACTTGAAATGGAAAAGAATAAGCAAAAAAAGAGAAGGCTTTAAAACATGTTCAGTAACCTCTTCAGCAGACACCCGCATGAAACTTCATTAATCATTTAAAATGTGACAAGGCAAAGAAAATCTGATTGAATGACTGTCCAAATAATTATAGTTTATTCCTCCACTTTTTCTCATTGAAATCACATTGTCGTTTGAGTGGTCATCTTGACACGACTAATTATTGCTATTCAAGAAAAAGGAAAAAAGAGTCTCAAAATGTAGTTTCACCAATTCTTGCCATCGTAAGCAATCATGGGAAAAAGGGAGATTGTGGAGAATGAAAATTTGAATATTCCCTTCTCTACCCCTCCCTCTCTGTCTCTTCTACATGCGTTTCCCAGGACCTCTCTTGTCTCTCCACCCTCTCATCTGTGAGCTCTCCTGCCACCCTTCATCGGTCACTGGCCCATCGTTTTAGTCTTTTGCCTCATCAAGGAGAACCCGCGATCTGTTTTGCCCACGTAGGTAAAATGCGTTGAGAAATGTGCCTTGAGCTGTGGCAAAGGCTCGCGAGTGGTAAGGGGATACGGGTCTTGCCCAGCTCTGCCATTCAGGCCTGGGACCTTGAACAGGCACTCAGTCTCCCTTGGCTCCATTTCTTCCTCCATAACATGCTTCTGTTGAGCCAGATGACATCTCCAGTCCCTCTGAGCCCTAAGGGCACATGGTCCTATGTCTTTTTGAGTTTTCATTCCCAGTCTCCCACAGGAAACAACACAGCGAAGTCGACAACCTTGAGGTAACTTATTAGTTAACTGTGACTGCCCTACCCTTAGAAGAAATGGCACTTCATCAAAGAGGGGAATAGAGTCAACTCCTGTGGAAAATGTTCTGAATGGTGTGCTCATGAATTTCGATCTTTGACTGGAAGCCAATATGAGTGAACAGCTTCAGGACAAGCCTCTTACATTAATCACCTCATGACTTTAACTGAGAAATTGATGAATTGAATTGAATGTATACCTGGGTTCCCGGGCAGCAAAGGTGCTGATGGAACTGGTCTTCTCACCATTTTCTTTGAAAGAGAAAGGAAATTGCACATGGTCCATGCTCACATCCAGGAGACAAGTATTACATTGCTCCTGAAATGGAACCATTCCTCTCTGATCATTGCTTTTCTCCATGGTTATTTCTTAAACATAACTTTGTTTATATGTAACCCCAAATCAAAGAAAACTAAAACACCTCATGGAAAACAAAATTGCCTAAGTATAACACAAGAACAATTTGCTTTTCACTGCATGCAGGGTTGCTTCTCTGCCCTGGCTGGTTGTGAGATACTTCCAGGGAACATGTTTCAGGGTATGAGAATGAGGCCAGTGGCTGCTGATGTTAAAAGGACATGGCATCTGCACTAGGTTGGAGAGGGGGCTGGTTGCACAAATTAAAGTCAAACACATCACAGTCTGATCAGCAGACATGGGCTTGAGTGTGTTGTCTAGGTTTTTTCTTTTCTTTCCTTTTCTTTTTTACTACCTCCCAGTAACAGTGAGGCAATTAAAAAAAAAAAAAAAGACAACTCCATTTGTCTCCTATCATCATTTCTTCTCACCTTCCCTCATCTTGGTTCCTCACTCTATTTATCTGGGAACACAAATTACAATTGAATATGGGAGAAAATTTAAATATAGGTAGCTATTTAATCTGTCTTTGACTCATTCTGGATAACAGAAATTTTCACCCAAATGGAGCTGGAGAATATAAACCCACTGAGGAAAAAAAAAAAAGGCAAGTGTATCGCGTTTGGAACAAAATTAGGTCTCTTACTGCCAAAAATCAGAAAAATATGTTGGGTTTTTTAAAAGACAGATTTAGAATTTGATACAGACACCATTTCGTGTGCTGGAGGATTCCTCTCAATGGGTGAGTTCACCCATGAAGAGCTTTAATTACTTGATATTTTAAAAGAGTTCCCTATTATACAAGAGAGAGAGGAGAGACATTTGTGTGGGAGAAGCCTAAAGCTGTTTGTAGGAGGCAGAGAGTTTAAAAGGTAACATCTTTAATGAACAAATTTTCATTCCCACAGTAAGAAGCTGTTTTTGAAATCTTCCATGGCCTGCTACCAGGGCAGGGGGAATAGCTCCATGAGAAAGCAGGGTTGTGAGTCAAGCTTACACAACCAGTAACCACTTGTTTAAACCAAGCCAAATGACAAACCCCATCAAATTCTGTTTTCGTGGTTTTATTATTATTTTCTCACATTAATTTGTCCTAGAGAACACCGTGCGAAGGTCTCACAGCCCTGGTACAAGGAGGAGCTACCACAAAAACTCAGAGGGGCTGAAGTGGCTTCCTGCTCTCCTTCCGGCCTGACACTTCCTTTGTTCCTATAATCTCAAAACAGCTGTTTCCTCTGGAACCACAAACCCCAGCTGGCGGCCTCTCTACCTCCTGGATCCTGCTGCACATAATGTACATCAAATCTGAATGTTGATATGAAATCTTCTTCTTTTTCCCATCCTCCTCCCTCCCAAGCTCCCCGCCGCCCTCCTCTCATCCTGTATTTATGTTGGCCTTCACTGGGAAGGGGAGGGGAGGAACAGTTAGAAAAAAAGTGATACAAGCATTTCAGATCTTCCAAATGGCAAAGCGAATTATCGAAAATATTTAGAATCTCAGGTATCTCAGGTTGGGAAACATGTTTCCAGAAACCTCCTTTGTGAGACAGAAATTGACAGTCAGCCTTACTTTTTGTTTGCTTGTAAAAATCAGTACCTTTTAATAAACAATATATTAGTTATCTGTAGCAGAAACTGGGCTCTAATTTCACATAGGAGATGCAATGAGCTGTGCATGGTAGTTTTCCCTTGAAAACCATACGATTTTACTAATCGATGTCTTCATTGAAACTTTTGGGTAAAAAAATAAGGAAAAGGCTAGGTTCCACTCAGGAAAAGGTACTAACAAGTTTGGAAGAAACGATACAGAGAAGAAAATAATTGGAGAAAATGCAAGGCTGTATTTGAATCACTGCAAAACGATGGCTTGTTTATCATAGTCCTTAATGTGTTGATGGAATGAGGGGTAAGAAAAAGTCAAAGGGCCTGTGTATTAGGGAATAGAAGGTGGGGGAATGAGGCAATGAAGGCCCATGGGTGGAGGTATACTAGGGTTCTTCAGAGGAACAGAACGAATACGAGATAGATAAGTAAATAGAAAGACAGATAGGAAGAGATTTACTACAGGAATTGGTTCGCATGGTTATGGGGGTCGAGAAGTCCCATGATCTGCCATTTGTAAGATGGAGAACCAGGAAAGTTGGTGGTAAAATTCAGTCCAATTCCAAAGGAAAGTTGGTGGTATAATTCAAAGTCCCCCGTGAGAATCAGGGGGCAGATAGTGTAATTTGTGGTCTGAATCTGAAAGCTGGCAAACTGTAAATGCTGATATCTGAGGGTATAAAAAGATGGATGTTCCAGCTCAAGCAAAAGGCTCAAATTTGTCTGTCTTCTGCCTTTTTGTTCTATTCAGTCCCTCAAAGGTTTGGAGAAGTCTCATCCATGTGGGGGAGGGTCATCTCCTTACTCAGTTTGCCAATTCGAATCCTGATTTCTCTCAAAAACACTCTTACAGACACACCCAGAAAAAATGTTTTACCAGCTGTCTGGGCATTCCTTCACCAGGTCGACACATAAAATAAACCATCACGGGAGGGATGCCGTGTGGGTGAGCTGGGAAAGGAAGTCAAGACGATGGGAAATGACTTGACTAAAAACCTGGAAGGGAAAGCACAAGCTTTGGATTTGGGACAAACCTTAGAATTCATGAGTGCTGCCCTATTAACCAGAGCGCACAGCGAATTCCAGAGAAGGACATGCTCCAGGTCACTGAGGGCCCAGGAGCAGGCAGGAATAGAGGCAGGGCTAGTGCCCTGTCTCTCCTCCAGCATGCCCTTCTGCCTCTGGCGTTTTCCTCTCTGAAGTTTATGTGGGTGATTCTTATGTGGTGTAATGGTTAGAGGCCCGCACTTGAGAGGCAAAAGATCTTAGCTCTTATACTTATTATCCATATGATCTAAGGCAAGCTATTCTAAACTCTACGTGCCTCAGATTTTCTAACAATAAACAAGAAATAAATTGCATCTGACTCCTTCGGCTATGGTGATGATAATCAAGTACTTAACCTAATAGCTGCACAAAGACAACTCAAAAAATGTTTGCTTTATTATAATAATACTACAAACTATTATTATTATTAAAAAGGATATATTTAGGTTGGTAGAAGACTGACTTAGCTACAGTTAATATATTCCCTGAAAAAAATGCAAAGACATGAAATTAAGCAAATAAAGATATCAAAGTGATATTAAAGAGCAATTGAGAACAGATAAGGCTTAACGTGAAAAAGAGAACATTTTGTGCCTTGTTTTGTTTGGTAAATGGACTCTCCAATTGCAAGCTGATTTAACATTTTCAAATCAAAATTTAATACCTAATTAATGATTGACATTTATTTGCATTTGCTATAATTTGCTAAATAATCACAAAACCATAGAAGGTGGCTCTTAAGGATATGGATGGTTGAGTTGGGCTGCCTAACATTGGGTAGTAGTTCTGCGACTTAGGAGCTGTGAGACTATGGGCAAGTCATTTAACCTCTCTGAGCCTCAGTTTCCTTACTGTAAATGGAGATGAAGTTATGGGAAGGGTTGCATCAGTTAATATACATGAACATCTTTGAACAGTACCTGAAACATGGGTGCCCCATAGTAGGAAGAATGATTTTTAATTGATAGTAAATAATAAAAACAATAATTACTAAATGAATAATAAATACTATTAATATATTAAGTAGAGTTTTTATGATAAAAGCATAACTGATTAATTTACAAAGTTTTGGACTACTCTCTCTACTATTTGTACTGGTAAAAACTCTAAATAATTTGTCAGCCAATATCTAGATGTTACTACGTACCAGCTGGCAGCAATCACAGTGATGGGCTCAGTGCTTGCGGTGAAATAATTAGCCTTATAGAGGTTGAAATAGAAATTCCAAGCCTGTAAGTACTTTACATTTGCTAGAGCCCATAACTACATTTGTGTCTGATTTATGTCAGTTTTCATACTTACAGTATCCGTTGTGGTTGGAAAGGGGATTTCACTTAAATGCTCTCAAAGCCAAATGCAATGTGGCTGCTTCTTTGGACTTCCCCAAATGTTGATGAAACACTCACCTAAACCAGGGATTTTCAAAGTGTTATCCCTGGACCAGCAGCATCAGCATCACCCAGGGGCTTTTTAGAAATGCAACTTTTCAGGCCCATCCCAGACCTGCTGCATCAGAAACTCTGGGCTGAGGCCCAGCAGTCTGTGCTTTCAACAAGCACTCCCAGGAGTTCTGATGCCTGCTCAGTCTGGGAACTGCTGCAATAAACCAATATAAATATCAACGCTGACACCTATCAAGCATCAAGCATAGTTATTAGAATTGCTACTGGACACTATTAGAGGACCATGCATGCACTTCTCCCCCTCCACTCTGTTTCCTATTTGGTACCTCCCTCTGCTGACACATTCTTCCTTTTGGATGTGTTAATGTTACTAACCAGGCTGTGCTGAAGTGACTTTCCCCTGAGCCTCAGAGTCCTTTCTGTCACTTCCTATTATATGTTGATTTAATTAATTTCACTCTTGAAAAGCGGCTTTATTTTCAACTTCTTAAATTGAACCTCCCTGTCTCTACCCCCTAGACTACTGCCAGCAATGAGAATACTAATTTTAAGAGGACCATGTTCTTACGGGTGTTTGGCAATGATAGGTTTAATCCCTGGAGTGGTTTAATAGGGGGAATGGTGTAATCAAAATGCAGATGCTACCATCCTGCTGTTTAAAAGAGTGTTCGCTGCTAGAGAACCTCTGAGCATTCTGGGAAAGGGGGTGAAAAATGGACCTAGAAGAATCGACACAGAAGAAAACCTAGAAAATATCCAAGTGGGATGGAATTCTGGAGCAGGAATGTAATTTAAGGACCAATGCATATCTGTAGGTATGGCAGTGGCCATAAATTCTGAACAGATCTCAGATGTTTTGGACTTTGGTCCATGTATTCTGAGAGTAGACTAACTGGGCACGAGTCTCTGCTGACTGCTGAAAAACTTACAAAGAGTAGGAAGAGAAAACGGTCAGTGGAAATAAGGAAGAAAATGGTGACTCAAAGAGCAAGGGAATTAGTTCTATTTTTCTTCATGAAGGCTCTGAGTGTGAAACATGGAGTATGAGAGTTACAGAGTCCCCGCCAGGCCAGCAGCACGCAGTGACTACAGCAATACACAGTGGAGGGTGGTGGCTCAACCCTGGAAGGCAGGATGACAGGCAGACCTAAGACAGAAAATACTGCAACAGTGGAGAGAGAAGCAAGCCTTCTCAGCCTCACACCAGTGCCTGAACTGAGAAGAACTTGACCAACCACAATTCTGCTAACAGTATATTGAACAGTGCATTCCTGTCCATATTCTAGACACTCCTAAAGCATTGGCAGGGATGCATTACGTGGCAATAATTATAGCAGTGGTGGCACTAGTCATGTTGTAGGACAGGCTTAGATATGGCTGTACTCATAGGGGTAACTTGCATCCAAATGACTTGACTATTTGCTATCTATCAAAAACACTTGTAAGCAGAGTGTTTCAGGATCACAGAAGATAAATGATCAACTGGCTGGGGAATCCAGGAAGGCTTCCTAGAGGAGGTGACATTGGGCTGTAGGGGAGGAGCTTGAAGGAAGTCTAGAATTTTAGCAGGCAGAGCAGGTGGAACTGGTTTGCTACATTCTAGTATAATTCCAGGCTAAAGATCCTTCTTTTTAATTGTGTGTGTGTGTGTTTTATGTGAACACACCAATACTGAGAATGGCATTCTCAGGTAGATCAGGCACCTTAGCACATCCCATTTCCATTTGCCGTTTGTTACCCTGGTCGCCAGTCTTTCTAAGCATTCCATCTCATGGTGCGCTCTGGCAATGGCACACAGAGCCCTCTGTGATCAGTTGGTAGTGATGCTGTGCTGAGGATGGTGAAGCTGTGTCCTGACTAGGTGGAGAAGAGGGGCAGTCACTATTAATGAATGACATCTGCCATGGACCAAGGGAAAATCTTTATGAGGGTGAGGACCCTGGGCATTGCCCTCACTAGCACAACACCCTCCTCTGTTTAGTGGGTGTGGAACTTGCAAACACTACTTGCTCTTTTCCTACTGACATTTCTTTATCTGGGAAATGATACATGCATCCTACATATATTACTGGAAAAGAGATGTGTGCTAGAAGAGGTAGATTTCAATACAAACAACAAAAGGACAGTTCCTGACAATACATCAACAGTTTTCATTCAGTTTTGAAGAGGCTGATGGTATTAATCTAGACACCTACAGTCAGAATCATTCAATAAAGTTCCTGCCATTAATCATGTAATGTTTTCAAAATGAGTTTGCTTGTTTTTTTTTAATTTTTCCTAGAAGATATATAGAGATAGAACAATGTATACATTGCCTAGAGAGTTAAGTTAGTAGAAACTCTCATGATCTTTCCAGAAGTTTCCCTCTGAAATGTTTAATAGTCTATATAATAAAGGAGAAAAATGTTGACATGCCTGTTATATATACATATATATATTTTTTAGACAGTCTCGCTCTGTCACCCAGGCTGGAGTGCAGTGGCACAATCTTGGCTCACTGCAACCTCTCTCTCCTAGATTCAAGCGATTCTCCTGCCTCAGCCTCCCAAGTAGCTGGGATTACAGGCCCCCGCCACCATGCCCAGCTAATTTTTGTATTTTTAGTAGAGATGGGGTTTCACCATGTTGCACAGGCTGGTCTTGAACTCCTGACATCAGGTGATCTGCCCACCTAGGTCTCCCAAAGTGCTGGGATTACAGGCATGAGCCACCGCACGTGGCCAATATCGTATTTTTGTATAGTATAACATATTTTTTATAAAATAGTGTGTAGTGCAGTCATGTGCTACATAATGATATTTTGGGCAATGACGGACCATGTATACAATGGTGGTACCATAAGATCATAATACTGTATTTTTGCCTACATTTTCTATGTTTAGATACACAAATACTATTGTGTTACATTTGCCTATAGTATTCAGTACAGTAACATGCTGTGCAGGTTGGCAGCCTAGGAGCAATAGGCCATACATATAGCCTAAGTGTGCAATAGACCACCATCTAGGTTTGTGTCAGTACACGCTCTGATGTTCGCACAAGGACAAAAATGCCAGAGACAATCCTCAGTGCGTATCACTGTTGTTAAGTGATGCATGACTGTGTTTGCTTTTGTCATACTGGCTATAATAAACAGGGAACATACATTTTAACATTTGTGCAAGCATAAATGAATGAAAATACATATATTTCTTCTTTTCTTTTCTTATGGATGAAACTTCATAATTTAGACTTTGCTAAGGATCTTATTCAAGGTCTCACTGAGGTAATATTTCTTCTGGAGGCAACAGTTAGGCTAGTCTCATCATGGCTGGCATCAATATGGCAACACAATATTGCCCATCCTTTCTCACTCTGGTTCTGCCTTTCTTGATTTTTTTTCCCCTAGAACTGTCAAGATGCTCAAATTTATTACTTAAAATAGAGATCATTGCGTGCAATTCAGTAACTTCCCCTCTGGGGAAACAAGGCCACTTTGAAGTTCCTTTTATTCTCAAAGTTCATTAAGTTTATGCCAGTGGTTGTCTCAAATTAGTTTTATAGAGATAGGCATTTTGCAAATTTGTCATTTATTGATTGCATTAAGCTGACCTAATTTAGCTAAGTTGTTTAGAAAAATGACATAATGTGAATTTATCCCCAATTATTAGATAGCAAATATATAGTAATTACTAGAAGTGTGCAGACTAGCAACAGATCCTCTAAATGCCGTATTCATTTTATCTGGCACACAGATGATTTCAAATTCACTTACTTATTTAACAAAAATTTACCCTGCACCTATGATATCTCAACATTGTGTTTGGCATGGAAACCTTAAAGGCCAATAAGCCTGAAGGGAAAGCAAAGAGCCCAAACAAATCCACACAACCAACGCAAAGGAGCATGGGCTGTGAGGAAGGACCCATGGAGGTCGGATGAGAGGAGAGAGCAGAAACTCTGCAGGAAGTGATGAAGACTACAGAAAAGACTTGAGAGATGAATAGGAATGTGCTGGAAGCCTGGGGAGGTATCTTGCAAAGAGATGGGCTATGACAAAGCCTGCTGGTTCTCAGGGAATAGGGACCATTCAAGCGATGGGGACAGAATGGGGTTCAGAGAGAAGCGGGTGGAGTGAGAAGCAGACACAATTCATAAGTGTTATGCTAGCATTCGACTGGGCCTGAGGGCTGGGGAGATTTTTAAGCAGAAGAGAGACCTGGTTGGTTTGGTGTTTTTGGAAGCTCACCACGAAAGCTACATGAGAGAAGGACTGGAGAGTGGAGACTGAAGCAGAAGATGGGATAAAAAACAGCCTCCAGGGGTGTGCAGAGTCCAGGTAAGAGAGGCTAAATCTGCTCTAAGGAAATGACACTGAGTCTAGAGAAGAGAGGAATGAAGGATCTGAGAAATGTTTCAAGGTTCATTTAACGGCAGAGGTTTTTGCTTCCCTGTGTGTCCACATCATGGGTCTGAGAGCAGTCTGACCTGAAGCAGAGATAGGGGAGCTTTTGTCTTTTTGGGCTGATTGGCACGTGCCATAGGCTGTCTTCCCACCGCAGATCAATAAGTGAAGAAGACGGGATGCTGCCCTCATCTTTTTAGGAAGGACCGTAACACTGGACTGATAGTAGCTGCAGATAAACCACCTCCTGCCTAATTATCCCTCTGAAAGCATAAAGTGTCCCTCCCCTTTCTTCTTGTCCAGGAGCAGCTCCAATGGTGGAGTGTTCAGTCATCCTCTTGTCTCAGTTGGGCAGGGTCAAAGTGCCAATAGTGCAGAGTCCGAGTCCTACTTGGAAAAATCACACAGTCAACTATAACTCTGTAACAGGAAAGGATGACAACAAGGAGGCACAGAAGTTCCTGGGTTGCAAGTGCCTTTCGAGCACCTGGAAATTCTATTAGAGCCTATCAGGTAGGTTTGCAATGATGATGCTTCTTCGGCAGCTCTGACCTGCTCTTGCAGAAGGCATTGTCAAGAATAGGGCATGCCAAGAAAGCACCTGGGTGTAAGAATCCTACAGACCTGTTTTGCATCCTGACCTATGTCATCTTTCTTATCTCAGCCAACTTACTCAACTCGTCTGAGCCTCATCTCCTTGTCATCAAGCGGGGGTCACACCTAATTTTCTTTCTTTCTGTAGGGACTGAAGGTCATGAAAAATACAAAATTCTCAACAGAGTGTAATGTCCTTGATCTTGCCTCACCTCCCACAGGGAAAGGAAACTTCCTGACTTGAGCCTCTAGCAGAGGCACCAATGGGTTTTCTCAGGACCCCAGCACAACCCAACTTTCTTTTATTTGCATAGTTGCTTAACTTTTCTATTAATATTCTTCTCTCTGATCGCAAGCATTTTGAAGACAGGCAATGCAAAGATGTATTCCTTTTTCCTGTACTTGAAATAATCCTAATCCATTCCATCCCTTGGGGTCGGACCCTGCATCTTATTTATTACCTAAAACATTGCAAAAGATTAAATAGTTTGAGAAAGATTGGAAATTCACTGTCATAGGTGGTGGCGAAGTTAATGATATGAGAGGGAGAGAAGGAGGCTACTATCAGTTGTTGAATATGAGACAATGTTTTACACAATGAGTCAGTGTTGTACATTTTACATTTGACTCATCAACCCTGTGAGATCAGTGTAGCCATGAACATTGGAACCCCCTCCCAAAAAATTAGTGTGTGGAACAAGGTAAAATTTATTACTTATGTAAGACAGTTAAGACGAGCAGTAAATATGATGGCTCCACAGGCATCCTTCTGTGCTAATGTTCTGTAATCCTCAGCTTATTTCCTCCAGGCTCAGGATGGTTGCTTATGCTCCAACCCTCACATCCATATTCTAAGCAGAGGAATGAAGGAAAACATAGAAGGTATGTCCACACCCTCTAAGAATATTTCTCAGTTGTGGACCTTTGGTTTCCTCTTACTTGTCTTTCACCAGAATGTACTCTCAGTCTCTTTTAGCTAGAAGAGAGTCTGGAAAATGAGTCTGTTATCTAAGCACTTAGGCAAACGAGGAGAAAGGATGTGGGCAGCTACGAGTGTCTCCTGTAGTAAGTGTCATTGTCCCCACATTTTAATGAGAGGAAACTGAGGCCTCCTGAGTTTAACAGTGTTCTGGTTGTCTACTGCTTCATAAGAAACCAACACAAACTTAGTGACTCCAAACAATAAACATTTTATTATGTTCATGATTTTGTGGGTCAGAAATTTGGATGGGATCCAACAGGTATGGCCCCACTCTGTACTACAATGACTATGGCCTAACCTGAAGTGACCTGAAGAGGAAGGGATGCCTGGGGCAACATACCCAGTGTCTGGCACCTCATTTCTGGCATCATCTGGGTTCCTCAATTCTTTTCTGCATTGTGTCCAGGATTGCTTATTCACTCCCAGGCCTGGCATCTTGGTTGGGACGGCTGGAGCAGCTGAGGTTGGCCAGGCATCTGTCTCTCTCTGCATGGGGCTATTCCACATGGCTAGCTTGGGCTTTCTCACAGCATGGCTGTCTTTGAAAGTGAAATTTCTTCTACTAGTGGCTGGCTTTCTCCAGAAAGAGTGTTCCAAGAGACCAAGGTAGAAGTTACACACTCCTTAAGTTAGCTTTGGAAGACATACTTCTGTCACAATTCACTAAGCTCATCCAGATTCAAAGGATCAGGATTTAAACAATGCATCTCATTGAAGAGAGTCATAGAAACTTTGCAGCCATCTTTTTCACGAAGTGATTGCTTAAGAAAACACAGCTAGGAAGTTAAGGGGCTCAGCTTGGAGCATAGAGTTGACTTTACACTACATGCCTTTAAGCAGCAGGTCTTGGTGCTTTAAAAGAGTAAATTAAACAAGTTGACTTTTTCGTAGGCATCAAAGATAGTAGCTGGCTATAGAGCAGCGGGATGTAGTAAGATTTGTGACAATGGTATTTTTGTTGGGTGCACAGATTCTGGCTCTCAATGGAGTATGCCCTGGGGCTTTGCACTCAGCTCTCTTACTAAATGTAGCTGCCCCCCTCCTTCCTCTCTCCAAGCCCCCTCCAGCTGAACAACTGGGCTACTGCTCTGCTGTCTCTTTCATATTTGTGAATACTCTCTCAGGTCTGGGAAATCAGATTGTCTCATTTAAATTTAATTTAAATTTCTGTTTGAAGAATCAACCTGAGACATCAAAGGGAATCCAAAAAATGCACTACACAATAAATGATCAAATGACTTCTAAAGATATTGCACTTTTATATCTAGAAATATTAGATCAAAACTCCAATTTCTTTTATTGTTAAAATTAAAGAGAGACTTAAAAGAAACTGCCATGTAAGTTTGACACTGTGTTTAACCAACAGACAAATTGGCATAGCCTGGTAAGGTTATAACCATCAATACATGCATTCTTTCCCTAATTCATAATGAGTCACAGTCTTCCAGTCACTAAACGTCAACTTGGTTTCAAGTTAATTTTCTTCAAGTCATAAAAATATTATTCAGAGTACAGGTCACAGATGCCTAATTTACAATCTGGGTATAATTAAATTACCAGTTTATCTGTTCAAAACAGACTGAGTTTGGTGTTGAAATATGGCCTTTGAGAAACCAACTTCTCAGAAAAAATTCCATCTTAATTATTTGTGCATTTAATTTTTGAAGATCTGAAGTCCTATTCCCTATGTTAACATAGTTAGAAATAGCCCAAAAGTTTCAAGGCTATAGTGAATTGACATTTGCTGTGGGTCCTGGCAGGCAGGTACTTGGGAAAGTGCACAAGCGGGAAAGGCATGCAGCTGGCCTTAACAGGTGCAAAGGAAAACAGGTGCAAAGGCACACCCTCTTTTCACCATGAAAGAGTGAGAAGAACACCTGCTAAATGAATGAGTGAGCATATCTTCACCCATCAAGAATTAGATGGGTGATCAAAAACTTGAATGGGTGATTCTTAACTTACCAAGCAGGAAAAGCACAGTCATTGGTAGAGATGTCAGGAGAGTTTGGGGCAAGAAGTTTTAGCTGAGGGTCATCAGCCAGAGGAAAACCACCCTTTCCAGTGGATGAGCAAAAGATGATGTGTTTCTTATCTGTTGGTCACATAAGACTAGATTAGAAGGATCAATAATAAATAATTAAATCAAACGAGAATAATATTTCTTTAAATTAAATATTTAAAAATATCTAAAAAAATTTTTTTTTAAGAAGGAGGAAATGACCATGGTATTCTAGGGGGAAGAACAGCATTCCTCCCAGGAAGCTGGCTTTTTTTCTTTTTTTTTTTTTTTTTTGAGACGGAGTCTCACTCCGTCACCCAGGCTGGAGTACAGTGGCACGATCTCGGCTCACTGCAACCTCTGCCTCCCGGGTTCAAGTGATTCTCCTGCCTCAGCTTCCTGAGTAGCTGGGATTACAGGCCCCCACCACCAGACCTGGCTAATTTTCGTTTTTTTAGGAGAGACAGGGTTTCAGCATATTGGCCAGGCTTGTCTCGAACTCCTGACCTCAGGTGATCCACCCAACTCAGCCTCCCAGAGTACTGGGATTACAGGCATGAGCCACCATGCTGGGCCGAAGCTGGCTCTTTTATGTTTCAGAAAGCCTGTTACTGAATCTTTGCTAGAGACACCACTCTCCTTCCTGCTCTGGGGGTGAAGGAGAGGGTTCTAACAAAGAGAACTGAATTTGTTTGTCTAGTAAAATTATAGTAATGTGAAGTCTGTCCCCTGGCAATACCATTTGGATTTCAGAAGAACAGGAGAGAGATAAGAGGACTGACAAAGGTAAAGTCTATGGTAGGGAGAGCACACTCCTCCAGAAAAACAGCAAGTAAGATCCAAGAAAATGTGGCTGGAGAGAAGCTCTCTGCACCTGGAAGCTCTGAGAAAGCGAGTATTCACATTTATATTGGTTCTCATTATGATCTGGGCTGCTGCCAGTCTTCCTTATGTCCCCAGCATCACTAGGGTCTACAGATAAAGTAGGAATGGCAGTGCTTTGGGAGAATGGGGAGAAGGGGCTCAACTATGGTTGGGGCAGTGAAGAGGGGTCTCTGAGAACAGCAAGCAGAAGAGATGAGATGCTGTCTATGAGCTAGGCTACAGTGGCTAAGCACATTGCAGGGCGCCCAACTCAAAGATTGGAGCAAAACATCCATCCTGCTCACTTCAAATACCAGCAGGGCTGGACCCCGCAAAGTGACTATATTTTGTATTTTTAAAATTATTTTTATTATATTATTATTATTATTTTGAGACAAAGTCTCTCTCTGTCACCCTCGCTGGAGTGCAGTGGTGCAATCTCGGCTCACTGAAACCTCCACCTCCCAGATTCAAGCAATTCTCCTGCCTCAGCCTCCTGAGTAGCTGGGATTGCAGGTGCCCACCACCACACCCAGCTAATTTTTTGTATTTTTAATAGAGACGGGGTTTCACCATCTTGGCCAGGCTGGTCACAAACTCCTGACCTCGTGATCCACCCACCTTGGCCTCCCAAAGTGCTGGGATTACTGGCATAAGCCACTATGCCCAGCCCAAAGTGCCCGTATTTTGGTGTGTATCTGAAAGAGAATTGAGGATGGTGGACACACCCGGTATTTGCAAGACTACAAGCTGGTTGGGATTCCAGTCCTCAGACTACGTGTTTATACATTTTAAAGAAGGTGCCAGTGTCCCAGTGGGTGCCAGAGTGGTGGATAGTCAGCTTCCCTCAGAAAGGAAAACTCCCTCTCTCTCTAGCAGCTATCACTCTGCATCAAAAAGTCCCTCATGCATGCTTCCTTCAGATCCCTGCAAAGGATAATGCAAAGGATTCTTCTGGTCCTCTTTTTAATAAATCTGGTAATAGGAGTTTCCACCATTTCTCTTGGGGTATTTTTTTTTCTATTTATGTATTATAAACTCACTGTATGGATTTTGGAAAGTGTTGTTTTCATTGAGCACCTGAGTAACAAAGACTTGTCTGCCAGACCTGACTCAGTAGAATCTGAGATTGTTCCAAAATTAAAAAACTTACCAACTGAAAGAGGTGACGAAGGAAGTGGGGTGGAGGTGGGGGGCTCACAGATCCCTGCCCCTCCACAGCCTTCTTCATCTTTGACCCTAACTCTCACTAGATTTTTAAAATACTGTGAAACTGGAGTATCATCTCTTTCTGAAAACCAGGAATAATGGAATATGTCTAACTGAAAGGCAGAAGTTGCAGTTTATCAAAAGCTGTTGATTTTGTTATGTTCAGTCAACATGGCTTTCAACTTCAGCCCCTGCCTCCATCTGTTTGGCCTCTGTGTCAGATAAAACCCTCATCACCCAGCTCCTCTGGTTTCCAATCCAAAGCAATGGAGACATTGCTGCCAAAGCTATTTTTCTAAAACACAGATCATATCATGCCATTTTCCTACTCAAAATGTCACAATGGTTGTCCATTACTCTTTCAAATCTGGCTTCTCCCACTTGTCATGCTAACCTTCACTCACGCCCGCCCCCGCCCCCCATTAGGCAGGATAACCATGTAGCAACCCTCAAAAGTAAACCCATTGGCATTCTTCAAGGATGACTTGCTCATGCATTCTTCCACGCCTTTTGTACAGGTTCTACCTAAATTGCTTGCTCACACATCCCATCCCATCTGCCATTGCTATTTGACCTTTAATTCCTGAACAGAATCTCACTTCTCTGTTGCCCAGGCCGGAGTGCAGTGGCACAATCTTAGCTCACTGCAACCTCCACCTCCAGGATTCAAGCACTTCTTGTGCCTCAGACTCCCAAGTAGCTGCGATTACAGGCACCCGCCACCATGCCTGACTAATTTTTATATTTTTAGTAGAGATGGGACTTTCACCATTTTGGCCAGGCTGGTCTTGAACTCCTGGCCTCAAGTGATCTGCCTGCCTTGGCCTCCCAAAGGGCTGGGATTACAGGTGTAAGCCACCATGCCTGGCCTTCACTTCTATTCTTTTATCAAACATTTGGTTAACAAATATTAATGAATATTTCCTGTAAGCTATGCACTAGTATATATTATTTTGAAAATAACGCCATCATATTTTATGGTTACTAAAGAACGTAAAGATTTTCCACCTTCAAAGACTTGCATTGTAAAAGGCAAAAAGTAATAAACAAGTATTTTCAGAAATACTGTATCATTCTTATGATGTTGATTTCAGGAAAACAAGCAAGGACACAGAACCCAGCCTCCAGCACACAAGAAACGAAAGGGTAAACCCAAAGGAATAAACAAAACAAAAATACTTATGAGGTTATAATTTCACATGATTTCAATAAATTACATTATTATAATATAATAAATTTTAATTTTATTATATTATCACTGGATGTATATATACTATAATATATTATAATTGTTTAAAATTAATTTTAATACAAAAAACTATAGTGGATTGGCTGAATGCATTAAAATTCTATGTCTTTTTTATGCCAAACAGCTAACTAACACGGAAATATACTAAAACATATTTGGTAAACTACTAAAACATTGAATTTTATAGAAAAATATAAAATAACATCATGAGATGTTATTTCAAGAAAGATGTTTTTTAATGACATATTTGAGCAACCAAGCATTATAATGATGAGCTAATATCAAGGATAGGCAGGTTAACCATGTAGAACAAGTAAGCCAGAAACAATGTTGGAATGCAGGGGGCAAGGCAGGGAGAATATGAGAGGCAAGGCAGAGAGAGGAGGGGCAAAGGAAGGAATGGAGATGAGCATGTCTCTGGTGCAGTTACAGAGTGGGAAAGAAAAGAGGTTGGGAAGGAGGAAAGAAGACTCAAAATAGAAGACCAAAAGAGGGGAAATAGAAAAAGACAATTGCTGACTTCAACTTGCATAAAGATCAGCTCCTCATTGAGTCAAAGTCAGACCTCTGTGAAGGTTCATTAAATCTCTCTGACATTTCCAATAATATGTAATTAACTAGGAAAAAGATTCCTTTCTAGTTAATTGGATAAACCTGAATTCAGAGTCTATTTACTAGCTTTCACCTTACATATTTTTGTAGAAACAAACAAAGCTATATTTTGGAGTGAAAACACAATAAAGTTGCCAGCAACTGGAGATGATTCTAGAAATAATAGAAGGTCATGTATGTCTAGGCCATGAATGGAATATTTGTTATGCTTGGCACAGGCTTGAGATGTTTTAAAAACCAAATACATTAACTCCATCAAGTCTGATCAGAACCAATTTGAGGAAAGGCACAATTATAATGATAATTAGTAGAGATTATTTTAAAAATTGAAAATGATGAAAAAACATAACAAATGCATGTGCACTTGGAATGAATTATTCCAAAGTAATAATTATTTTTGAGGACAAAAAACCCATACTACAACACGTGAGATTTAGCAATCAACAAAGCAAGTGCAGAAATAATTGATGTAATAGATTACAAACAACAATGAAAATACCCACAACTCTAGAGTGTGTGACTAGGAGCTCTGCCTCATATTAACATCTGTTAGCTTAATATTTGCTCAAGTAAAAGGGGGGGTTGCATGGCTAAGCATGGTGAAAATGGTGCTGCTAAGGTTAATGCCACAAGACAAAGATACAGGGCTCTTTCAATTGCATGTGGTATCCAAGGGAGAAGCAGTTCAGTAAACATACAATTTTGAGAAAAACCACCAAAGTTCCTTTCCTCGGGGAGTTTATAGAGCAGTGAAGGGGAAAAATAAATATCTATTAAATAAATCAATCAACAAGGACTTGCAAATTAAGAAGTGCTAAGCAAGAAATAGATTGCTGAGAGAGAGTTTAATGAGGGGGCCTGTTTGTGTAGAATGGAGGAGGTAGTCTCAAAAAGACTGAAGAATGGTAGGGAGCCAGGCATGCAAACACCCAGGGGAGGAAGGTCTTCTGAAGAATAAACAAGATGCTGTTTTACTAAATTGTAAAGAACTTGCCCTGCATGAGGGACTAGCAGGCCCTTGTGCCTGTAGCAGAGGAACAACATGAAATATGTGGTCAGAGAAGTTGTTGGTACATAGCTGTTGGAGCCAGATGTTGGTACGTACACCAATGTTAGTTGTTTGACTTTTATTCCAAGTTCATTGGGAAGCATGGACTTATTCATTCTAGGGACATAATCTGATTTATGTTTGTAAAAGACCATCTGCACACTATGGAAGAATGCAATAAGGAAGCATGAGTAATTTAGTAGGAGTCTATTGCTAAAGTCCAGACAAGGAATGATGGGAGCCCGTGCTATGACGAGTGGAAGGAGACATAAAAATGGATGGATTGAAGATACAGTTTGGAATAGAACTGAAATGCTTCTTGAATACACTAGGCAGCACAGCTTTGTGTGGTGGGGGTATGCTAATAAGGAAGAAGGAATCATCTAGAATGACTCTTATGACTCCCAAGAGTTTGCCTTGCTCATCTGAATAGTTGGTAGAAGCAACTGAAATGAGGATGTCTGGGATAGAAAGATAGAGAACAGGTTTCAGGGAGAAATGAGTTCATTTTTGGCCATGTTGTATTATAGTTGCTATAAGGCACTGAATTGAAGATCTAAGTAGGCAACTGACTGTCAAAGGCAAAGACAGGTGAACTGCATATGTGACTGACTCTTGGACTTGCCAAATGCATATGATACTTAAATCCTTGGAAATGGATGAGAGCTTCCAAAAGCAGAGTATAGGGAAGAAAATGAAGGGATTCTACTCTGAAGTCCTGAAGAAGCTAGGTTAGAGGTTTTACAGAGAAGCTCATGAAGGAAACAAAGAAAGATCCATCAGAGACGTGGGAGGAAAATCAGGATTGTGTTAAAGCAGAAGCCAAAGGAGAGTGTTTCGAGAAAGATGGAGCAGTCCTCATTTTAAATATCATGGAATTTCACTGAGAACAGAAAAGCACCTACTGGGTTTGGTAACGTGGGGATTACTAGTGATGATAATAAGGGAAAAATTCAGTGTACCAATAAGTAGAAGACAGACATCGGTGGATTAAAGCATGAATTGAATGAGAGAAAGAGGAAATAGCTACAGGAGACAAATGCAAGAAGTTTCTTATGGCAGAGAGAAGAGAAATCAGATAGTGACTGGAAGAGTCTCTGGGGTATTTTTTTTTTTAAAGAATGGGTGATGCTAAAATATGTTTGATGTGTGATGGAAATGTCTCAGGTTGGGATGTGGGAGACAGGAAGAACATCATGTTCTTGATGAGAGTCCATGAGGAGGGCAAGTCCAGAGTTCAGGAGAGAGAAAGGAAAGGTGGATGTAGACCCAGGTGAGTCTGTGGTGGGCAGATTAGAGAATGCTCAGTAATGGCCTCCCTCTACACAATGACGTACAATGCAAGATCATTAGTTGAAAATCAGGTGGCATGGGTTGGAGGAGCAGGGGCCTACTAGAGAGGTAGAGATGATATGAAAATGACAAGTAGAAAAGTTCACAGGATTAAACATGGAACATGAAAGAAGTTCTGGTTGCCAAGAATCACTACTTTTTAAGGTTCGTTAATTTGTAATGACAGTCATCTGCCTTATAAAGTGATTTTTCGCAAAACGCGTTGGCTCCAATGGTACAGACATAAAAAAAGTGAGTGCCTGTGTACCACAAATATTGTAGATCTTTCTAGGTGAGTGCAGTGGAGGGAGAGAGGGACAAGGGAATTGAGGGGCATTGAAAAGCAGCGTTTGTCATAATGAGTCATGGGATCTAAGCCGGATATGAAGAAGACAAGTGGAAAAAGGACGGTACTCTACACACATAACAGAATAGCTAAAAAAGAGAAAAAAGAATGTGACCATTCCAAGTGTTGAGGAGGAGATAGAGAAATTAGAACATCTGTGCATTGCTGGTGGAATTGTGAAAGGGTACAACCACTTTGGGAAACGTGTGCCAGTTTCGTCAAAATTTAAACCTCTACCTACTGTATGACCCAGCCATTCCACATCTAGGGCTTGTGCATGAATGTTTATAGCAGCTTTATTTGTAATTGATCAAGTTACACAGTTTAAATATGTGCAGTTTATTGTATGTCACTTATGCCTCAATAAAAAGAAATCCCTATGGTAGAAAAAAGGAAGTTACTGATGGATAGTGGGAAAGTGATGGGATCAATAATTTAGATGTTTCAATGTAGTTTAAGAATTGATTTCATAGGAGTATTTGAACAAATGAAGTCAGTGGTTAAAAGTGATGTTTGGAAAATGATGTGCATAAATTGTTTCTGAGATGGAGCCATTTCTGGTGATGACAAGGTTTGGAAGGACAGTGGAAGATTAAATTGGAGTAAGAGGAGAAGGTCCTTAGAAATGAGGATATCTAAGAACTGGAAGGCCTCCATGTTGTATGACTTATCCATGTGCACATTAAAGATGTCAGAAATGATGGCAGAATTGAAGTAGAAGTATGAGCTAGGAGCTCAGAACTTTGGGGAATTGAGGAGTCAGGAGGAGGTTGGTAGACAGTAATAGCAAAGTGGACTAGGGGATGGTGAAGCCAGATAGTGCAGACTTTAAGGCAGGGTATTGCAAGCTGCAGCTTGAAGTCATCATGGTGTGAAAATGGCAGTGGTACTCAAAATCAGAGATCGGAGGTCCAGCATTTGAAGAAACAGTTCAAAAATATAATAGAGTTTGCTGCTCCCAGCAAGAGGCGTTGAAGAAGGTCTGAAGGAGGGGGTATCTGGCAAAGAGCTGGCTAAGACTGATTGCTGATAGAGTGTTAGTGTTCTAGCAAATACTGGCCTAACTAGAGATGTAAGGCATGATATTATTGATTTCTATATTCTTTGATGGTAGTTCAGAAACTTCAGGCTTAAGGTATGGTGTTGAAGTGGTCTAGCAGAGGAGGGAATCGTGCAAGTTATGCCCTGCTGCCTACTTGGTGTGAGAGCCTCTTAAGAAGCCTCTGGGTGGCCCTGAGGTCTGCGATGTATGGACGGCTACTCCAGCAGGCCTATAGCAAAGGAAAGGCAAAACTGGAAAACAAGTAGAAGGTGATGAGAAGAAAAATGGCGCCACTGGCTGGGCAAGGAACATGCCATCTGGAGTAAGAGGCTGAAAGCTTGCTCATGCTCTGAGTGGCCTTGAGTAGTGGAGCCTGCTGCACAATTGTAGGATGGAGATCAGCCCTGAGAGGTATGAAGGTAAGGACCTGGAGAGAGGCCCAGAGCTTCAGTCTACAGGCTTTAGTGAGGCTTGTTTCATATCCTCCAGGGAGTTGGCTCTCCACACACCTCTATCATGGGATTACAACATTGCCTTGGGATTACTCTGGGCTCCTGCACTTTTATACATCCCATTTTTTAGTAACCAGGACTTTGTTATTTCATTTCTGAGACTCACCTTTGTCTGTCCCATCCTTTACTTCACTGCCTACCCCAAACCTAGAGCTTGGCACGCAGTGGATCTTAAATAAAAATTTGTTGAGCGAATGAATACATGAATGAATAAATAAATGAATCCCTTTCGGAATTTATTTATTTTGTTCAAAAATTTCCTCCACTTTGGGAAATGCAAAATTTGGAACCCCAAAGTTTTTACTTTTTTTTAAGATCTCAAGCACAAAAGTTTTATCCTCTTTTTTTTTTTTTCTTTGATCAATTCCTTTGGGATATTAGAGACAGTGCTAGACTATGTATTGGCTCTGAGAGATACAACTAGGTCTTTTATTATTCAAAGATGAACATTTCTTGACTTACTTGGTAGAGTTATAAACATAGCATGCTACAGAATAGAAGGCAGCTGTGGAGGTTGGGGCAAATTATTGAAAATGGAAATAGCACAGATCTTGATGCGTCTGTTAGTGCACGTGCAGGGCAATGTGCCGTAAGGTGGCTGATTTGCACTAACAGGAGTGCTAATATGATGTATTAAATGTCAGACTGGCATTGCTGGGTGTGCATATCTCTTCTGTTGTACTGCCTGTTTATGCTTATTCAGCCCTTTGAATAATTTAACACATTTCATACTCTAAATTACTCTCAGCAATTTGATGGGGCTTCTGGCAGTTTACTTGAAATGCTCAGTGTTAGGTCAACATAGGGTCCCAGCTTCTGCTAAATAGAAGTACTCTGCCTACTTAGAAAAACATAATTAGTTTTCTCCGTGGATCTCTTCAAGGGTGGGGTGGGCTGGAAGAGTGGGGGTAGGGGAGCCAGATGGGAACCACTGCGTGAGTATATTGGGTTGTCAATCCAGAACAGGCCAGGGATCCAAGAGTTAAAAATTTAATGGGGCAGGCCTTCAGGAGAAGAAAAAGTTGAAGGGCATGGAAAATAGTTTGAGTGCACTGTGCAAATTCGTGTGTATGATAAATGACCTTCATTTAGTCAATACTGACCACGGCTGAGTCCTCTTTTCAATTGAATCCTTATGTAAAACTGGCCTGCCCCAATGAAGACTGGCTGCAGTGGTGTGGTCTAAGAGCTGCGGCGTTGAGTAGTTTGTGCAAGTGAAATGGTGAACCACTCTCAGATTGGGAACCTCTTCTTTACTTACCACTGTCCTCAGTTTACTTGTATGTAGACTGCAGTGATTATGCGAAATCCTTACAATCCTTGACTATCTTTTCTTTTCTCTCTAGAACTACAATTTCCGTGACTACAACCAAATCAAATGTTACTCAGAGCTGTAGATACACTGGTTTCTTCGGGGCTCTAGAAATGTGGTTTTAAGAACTATATTTCCCTTCACCGTTTTCTCCCTCTTTCTTCTGTGCATGCCCAGGACGGAAAGGGCATAGAGTTTTGCAAGAAGTGAGGATTTTAAATTAAGGCTTAAAATCTTACCTTTGATGATGCATCACCTTGGGTGAAATTCTGAGTGTACTAATGACCCCAGCCAAGCCATGTGGCAGCAAAACGATGATGCAAGGAGGCCCAGGCTCAGCGCTATGTGATGAGACAGCAGGACTCTGATTGACTGTCCTCTCTGGGGTTGAAATCCTCCACCATCCTCTGGATACGCTGAAAAACCTTCCTGGGGATTTGAAGAATTACATATTCTGAGACTCCATAATGAAGTGTTTGCTTATCATTCATTTTACCCCCTTTGCAATAGTCTGAGCCTTCATTGTCACCTTAGGTCAAAACTATTTGGGTTGGTGGCAACTCATGATAAGCACATGCTTTCGAAGGTTAAAATGCCATTCGTTTAAGACCATCAGATTAACTTTTTTATTTAAAAATTTTAAAAAACCTTCAAAGTGTGAGGAAGACCAACTATATGTGTACTTGTGTCTATATGTGTATATGCCTGCCTATATGAATTAATCATGTAGGTACACTCAAACACATAGAAATGTTTGTACATCACATATATATGATAGACATCTATTAAAATATGTTTTAAGAAATTAATGATACTTTGAAAAATTAGCAGAACTTCAAAAATAATTGTGTTTATAATTTATTGTGGAAAGAAAGAAATATTCCATCTTCTTTGAAAATCTGTTTTACCTCTAGCCAGAAAGGGAACAAATACTTTTGCTTAAAAGTAAAGTCTGTGAAGAGTACCATTTCCATGGAGCAAGGCTCCTAACTAGCTGTCACTATGCAAAATTATTGAATATCTTAAAAATATAAGATCATCATTATAGGTGTGATTACTTTATCTTTTAACAACACAACAAATACATGTCTTTGAAAAACATATATTTATTATTTCCCCTTTTTGGCTAACAAGGTCTACTGAATGTGTAACATTCATTTATTCCATTATTTTATTCATAATCGTGGCCACATTTTTTCTCAATAAACACACTACCCCCGTTAGAAAAATTATATATATTATAATACTCATATTGAATGGTTTTCTTCCAAAGTGGAAGAGAGCCATCTTGGTATGTTTATCATCAAAAGGAACACGTTCATATCCCACATCAAGTTTTCCATAAAGCCATTATTTAGTGGGCACATGGTAAATTAATTTTACTCCACTGTGCTTGCTATTATACAAGTGACTCCCACCCCTGAGCCCAGAGCTGGAAAACTCCAGCTTTGACTGAGCTGAGTTCTTCCCTGTTGGTTGTCAGTATCAGTGGTTGTATAATCAGCAGGGGGCTGACAACTTCGCTACTGTGTATACACGTACATAGGTTTCTGTTGCTTCCAGTTTGTGATGATGGTATATCTGTAAGATTGATCTTAGGTGGAAACTCAGCAACTGGATGTCAAACACTCATAGGGTAGATGCATGCCTTTAGAAGGTATGTTTCTCAACAGCCAAGTTACTGACCATCATGCCACATGAATGCACTGGAACTTTTAGTTTGTAGAATTTGGGTAGAGCAGGTATTACTGTCCCTAACTTTTAGCTCTTTTTCTTAAAGGTTATTTTTAACTAGTGGTCAAGGTGTCCATTCACTGAGCTGTGCAGCTCCTATACCATTTGCCTGTAAACAATAGATTTTCCACATGAAAAGCAAGGGCAAATACAATTTGCTGTCAATTTTGACTTAGCGGAAAGATACAGCACACATTCTCTATTTTTTTCTGCAGTTTGTTAGTGACTGTTGCTAGGTAATGCCTTCTCTACCAAGCATTAGGTATCTAACGAGAGGACCTAGAGAGTAGGTTTCATTATACAATTAGCCCCTGATGTGCTGACTACCAAGTTCCAGAATCTCACATAGCTGTGTTCAGATGAGAAAAAATATGTTCCAGGCCAATCGCTATGAATAGTTATGGTCAGAGCCTACAGTGATAGTAGACCATTTAAAAGTAGCCTATTCCTAATAACTCAGTTTCTGGTATGTCACCACTAATAACACCTTGCTTCATTTTCTTGAGGATTTACAGTCGAAATAGGATAGGGATGTGTCAGAAACACCCTTAAAAATAGCAAAACTTCATGACACTGTCATTCAACAAATAAGTACACTTTGGAAAGTGGTGATTTCATGAAAGATAAACAAACAGAGCATGCATAAACTCAATGCACACAAGCACACACACGTGCAGAAACAAAAATATGGTAAAAGGAAAAGAAAGATGGATAGAGCAAAATTATAAAATATCCAGGATACAAGGAAGGCAAAACATGAGAAATAACCTTCTTTTGGCCTTCTAAGTAGATAGAAAGCTCTGTGGTGTAGGATCAGGCCTGGGAGCTGTAGGCCTAGCCAACTCAGTTTCTGCACAAAGCCCTCCAAGCCTCTGGCATGTAGTGCAGAGGACTTAGTCTCTCTACAGCTTCCGCTTTGTAGGGAAGTCTTGTGATGCAGCCTCATTTTTCTTTCAGTTGTGTTACCTGTGTTGCATGTTAAAAAAAAAAAAACAACTCTTTCCTCTTAAAAGTGATAATATAATTGAGATTACTTTATTTACAGATATTAAAACATTGTTGGCAAATAAACATTGTATATAGTGCACAGCCTGATATGTTGAAACAGGTGTGCACTGCAGAAAGACGAACCCAAGATGACTGGGATTCTTGAGGCCCATCCCTGCCTTTCTCTAATCCTCATCTTCCATGCCACACAAAGTGTGCGATATTGAGGACTGAGATCCTGGGTGAAGGTGTAGCAGGTGGTTTTTGGTAGGAGGAGATGGAGGAGACAAAAAGGACTCTCAAAACATTGCTCTCACCTTCAAAGCTCCTACCCTCATTTGTCATTGACCTCTGCGACTGGGTAAAGGGAGAGGAGAGGGTAAACAGAAGGCCACTCAAAGGAGGAAGAGTGGGTGTCCACAGAGGGGTCACAAATGAAGAAGGCAGCAGGGACAATACAGCAGGCAAGGTTGGGGAGTGGGGAGAGGCCACTCTCTGCCCAGGAGGCAGACCCTAGTCATCTTGAAGCTACCACTGCAGATGATCTCATTCTTCCTCAGGGATACCCTTATGCAAGCAATTTCTGATTATATATTTGGAAGGTGAAATTAATTTTTTCCTTTCAAGTCATGTGTTGAGGGAGGAAAAAAAAACCTTTTTGTAAACTGGAAATTTTTAATTTCTCTCCTCCCAGGGCCAAATTAAGTGGAAAATATTAAGCAATTCTAAACCCAATTCGAAAATTGTCCTGAGGTAAACTCTTCCTAAGACCTGATGGAATGTATCATTTTGAATAATTCCAAAGTTAACAGGAACATTGTCAGGAATAGGGAACACTCAACTCCAAAGAAAAATTAACTGTGATTTAAAGCAGTTTTCCACTGAGAAAATTGTGTTATTCTTCTTTCTAATTGCTTTTTGTATGCTATTTTATTCTTTCCCTACAGTTGGAGCTCTAATCCTAACTGACTGAAAATCCTTCCCTTCCCAGATACCTTAAAAATATCCAAAGAGAAATTCCCAGGTCTCCTTCATCACAGAGCCTAAAATCTGTTTACTAATGACTGTACTCAACATAAGAAACTTCTAGAATCTGTCCCTACTGTGGCCCTGTCCATTTTGGGGTCAGGATGGAGCACACCAGCAGACAGGGGCTCCCCCACCCCTTTTCTGGAGGCCTTGGGCCAAGCTGTTGCTCTCGCTGGAATAGCCGCATCACGGCCTCCCTCACCCCCTTCCAGTAACTGCACCCCACTCCTTCCACCTAGCTAACACCTGCACGATTTCCTGGTCTCTGCTCAGCTGCTACTTCCCCTTTCTCAGCTTCCTTCACCGCAGTCAGGGAGGGTGAAATGCCTCTCTTTGGACTTCAGTGTTCCCAGCACTGGGTCACACTATGGGTATGGTTTAGTCTGTTCCCATCCCCGGACTGGCCAAGAGCAATGTGAGCCAGAGGACCCTGTCAGATTTTTCTGCAGAATCTAGCAGCCCCTCCTGATCTCTACTGTGCCTGCTTCTGTTCAGATCCTCATGTCTTTGTGGGACTGTTGGAGTGGCCTTCCTTCTAGTCTCTTGCCACTAGTTTCTCTCTGGTCCTTGCATCTTCTGCACTCACGGATGTAGCCATTTGATTGTCATTTCTGACTGACACACACACACACACACACACACACACACACACACACTCAGTCTCCCCATGTACCCACAAAGCCCTCTCCCTGCCGGCCTCTTCATCTCTCTCTGCATTCCATCCATGTACTCTAAGCTCCCCCAATGTCACGCTCCTGATCATCCTGTGAGTTCTCTTCCCGTCTCCCTGGTCTGTTCCTAGCTCTCAGTGTCTGTCGTGTGCACGGTGAGTTAATGCAGTAACCGCAAGTTCTATCACTCCTTGTACAAGATTCACCTTCTGAAGCTTGTTTCTCTTCACACCCTGGATGCTGTGGCATTTTCTTTGGTGTAAGGAGACCGTATGCCCCAGGTTTCTTCAATCCTAGCTCTCACACTTCCTGAGCTGACCATGAAGTTTAGGTCCATCATCAGGGAGTCGGAGGCTTCATGAGCACCTTCCCCAGCGGTGTTAATATCGTCCAAGGAAAGGAAGACAGTGCACTAGAATCTCCCATGCAGTCTAATTTCTGTGATGAAATTTTTGATATGGTGGTGCAGCCCTCAGCCTCCCTGAAACAGGATGTGTCTCTGGAGGCCTGCAGCAAAGTCCTTGATGACTCTCATGCTGCAGACCTCCCATGACCTGGGACTGCCAGAGGGCTTTAGGGGTGGACCAAGGTGTGTAAGGGAGAAGCCCAGTGGAACAGTGGCACCCACTACCCTTTGATTTTAGAGAGTTGGGCTGAGTGAGTTAGGGGGAGAAAGGGGCTTTTCTCTTAATTTTTACCCCTCCATAACTCTTGAGAGGTTTATTCTGGTGAGTTCTCACTAGAGTTAATTTTCTGACCCCAAACTGGATAATTTGGTGCATAAGTGGTACTGAGTATCAGCATGATTAATATGATGTTATTTCCCATCTTCTATTTAGTCTAAGCATTTGTGATTGCTTGGTGATCACGCTATATGAGATAAAATGAAAACAAAATAAACTCATATGATTAAAAAAAAAGTCTTGGTCATTAATCTCATTTGGCAGGAGTGGGTAAGGTTTTTGAGATTAACTGAAATTACTCTGACTCCCAAGATCTGAATAGTGAAATGACTGTTAATTGCACACACAGAGTCACAAGAATTATTGGCAGTGACTTGTTTTCCACAGTAAACAACAGACCCCTGTGAGGTGTTGCTGGAGGCCTCCCTCCCTTTCACCTGGTTCAGAAGCCCTGTGTAAATATCATTTGGGAGGAGGAATTATTCCACGGGAAGATATCAAAGCTGGACATTATTTTTTGTTCAGCTAACAGGTATGTAAATTCACCTCTTTAAACCCCTTAAGGAGGGCAGAGATTATTAGCAAATCTATTGTAGCTGAAGCATAAATTGAGGGAAGAGCTAAGATAAAGCTTGGAGGAAATTTATTTGTGGTGATAAGTAGAACACATTTTTCAGCCTGTAGAGAATGTGGAAGAGGTAAACTAACATGGCAAAAAGCAGAGAGGGGACACATTCTGAGTGGAAGGACTCAAAGATAGATCTGATAGTTCAGATTTCTACAGATCAATGTCCCAGCTCACAGCTATATGCAACAGAGTGGACCAAACTTTAAGAACTATTGGCTTAAACTAATTATTCTATGCCTTTTCTGAGCCACTGTGCATGGTAATGGCCTGTGTCAAAAGCAGAGATTGTTAGCAACAGAAGGGATCTTGAAAGCATCCAGTTCAGGGAATTCTAACCTGTGGAATCCTGAGGGGTACCCCCAAGTTGAGGGTGGACGGGAGACTAGGTTGGCAGGGCTTGGCATATCCGTTCCCATTTCAACCAATTAAGCATCATTTTTATTTGTTTTATAAATTTCACTTAAATTTGTGAAAGTGGCTGGTTGAATCCACCCTGCTCAGTTTACAGGGAAGCAAGAGCTGCAACTGTGCCCTCTTGCCCTGACTGCTGTCCCCTGATACTCAACTCAGTTTCTTTCTGGTGCTCCATAGTGATGGCTTATGTTGGTAGGATTACCTGCCACCCACAGATCATCAGTGTTGTTGGCCATATTTGTTATAGAGACTTGGCAACAATTACAGGTATATATGGATTACACAGAAGGGCAGATGTGGAATACCTAAATGTCATACATTCCCAAACTCTACCTTTCATTTGTTAGGCAGCTGGGTGTTTGGACCGAGGTATGTTCGTTAATACTGAGACTCATAGCCCCACAACAAAAAGATCTGGGGTTGCTCTGAAACTGCTGGAGAACTTGACTAGTCACTTTGATTTTGGGGGTGCACGTGTGGCAGTTTAAATAATATTATATAGTTTCCTAAAATCCTCAAGTGCAATGTTCTGTGAACCTGAGAGTACAGGCTGGATTGATTTATTTTAACTCCAAATTCATACTGAAGAGTTTTCTTTGAAATATAGTGTTGTCACTGAGATATTCAAAATATTTAAAAGAAGAATTGACATGAAAACACCAGTCAGTATAGATACAGATTGTCACAACTATACTGTTTGTATGAGCTGAGTGTTAGCCTTGGTTATGCCAGACGGTAGTGTGATGGGCAAGAAAACATAGATTCCAGTTCTAGAACAGTCACAGATTTGCTGTGTGACTTTGGACAAACCACTTTTCCTCTCTGGGTTTCAGTTTCTTCATTTGAAAGAATCTAGGCAATCTAAACTTTCTCATCTCTCCAGTCTGTAAATCTAAGGTTCTCTATAAATCATGGAAAATAGGACTGAGTTATGGGATAGGACTGACATTTAAAAAAGAAAGAAAAAAAGAAATGCACACTTTCCTGGGACTTGGAATAATGGTTGTAGACTTCTGAGAATTCCTAAATACCCTAATTATATATTTCTATTTGTACCACAGTGGTTTTGTCTATGGCCACTGCCTATCCACAAAGATTTCTTCAAGATCTCATTTCACAACTGAAAAAGATGCTAACAGCAAAAGGCATCTCATTAGTTAACATTCATAATTATTCCTACTGTTAATCAACAAGTCTTAATATGTATTGAAAAACAGCATTTCATGAATATTGAATGTTCTGTTGCCTCTATTCAGTATGTGCTGGGTGAATAGAGAAATTTAAGTAATCTCTAAAACTGCTGCTATTTAAAAGCCAGCAACCAAAAACTGCAATACTATTTGTTTTTTTTTTTTTAAACCCAGATAAATTACACCCCTCTTTACTCATTATCTATCTGCTAAACGTGTCTAGGCACCCACCACTGGTACAAACTCTGATGTAGTGCGTGCAAAAATCTCAAGCAAATATTGACAAATATTTCAAGAACTGAGTATATAAAATCCTAGTCACATCATATATGCCTCATTAATTTAAATCCAAACCATTAGCTGTATTAGATTTCTACTTACAGTAGTGGAGAAATATTATTGCATATCAATGAACACTTTCCATAGCAAGGGAACATATATTATAGGTGTAATTCATTAAACAACTTCCATATAATCTAATAGCATGGACCCAACTCTTTATCATATCTATCCCTACAATCCAAGAGCACTTGACATTTTGTGGACATGATGTTTATCTTTGAGGTTAACCACAAGATGCAAACTCTAACAAGATCTGAGAGCCTTTTTAGTGCCCACTCCGTCTCTTGCAATACCACGTGTGGAGTACACGTCTCCTTTTGGGGCATCCTTCACTGTAAGATGAATTATCTGGCCAGGCACGGTGCTCACGCCTGTAGTCTCAGCACTTTGGGAGGCCGAGGCAGGCAGATCACCTGAGGTCGGGAGTTCGAGACCAGCCTGACCAACATGGAGAAACCCCCGTCTCTACTAAAAATACAAAATTAGCCGGGTGTGGTGGTGCATGCCTGTAATTCCAGCTACCCGGGAGGCAGAGGCTGCGGTGAGGCAAGATGGCGTCATTGCACTCCAGCCTGGGCAATAAGAGCAAAACTCCATCTCAAAAAAAAAAAGAAAAGAAAAAATCTACATTGCACTTGTCCCATTCATGAGTCTTGAAGTCAAATAAAAGTATAGGAATTCTTTAAGATTCCATGGGATATTAATGTATTTTCACAGAGGAAAAATTCTAAACTAAGCAAGAATGACAGAAAAGCAGTGGAAGACACACAGAGATATGATTGAATTCATAACTGGCTGGTAAAATCTGTGGGCTCTGGAATGAGATGATTTGAAATCTGGTTACACCACTTGCTACCTAAGTCACTTTTGGCAGATTGACTTTTCTGATCCTCAGTTTTCTCATGTATAAAATGGAAAATGTAACAGTTTTTACCTAATGATAGCTATGAAGATTAAAACAGATAACATATGTAATGTGTGTAGAAGAGTTCTTGGTGTATAATAAGTGAGCAGTGAATATTACTCATTATTATTTTTTGTTTCAACAAACACTAAAAACACTACTGTAATTAAATAGATTTTCTGTACTGGGCACAGTGGCTCATGCCTGTAATCCTAGCACTGTGGGAGGCCAAGGCAGGCAGATTACTTGAGGTCAGGAGTTTGAGACCAGCCTGGCCAAAATAGCGAAACTCCATTTCTACCAAAAAATAAAAAAAATGAGCTGGGCGTGATGGCGGATGCCTGTAATCCCAGCTACCCGGGAGGCTGAGGCATGAGAACTGCTTGAACCCAGGAGGCGGAGGTTGCTGTGAGCTGAGATCATGCCATTGCACTCCAGCCTGGGTGACAGAGTGAGACCCTGTCTAAAAACAAACAAACAAACAAACAAATATATATATATAATATAGTGAATTTTTGAAAGTAAAAAGGTCATCAAAGAAAACTGAAGACTAAGCTTAAAAGCAATGGTAATTAGAAAAGAAAAAAGAAAAAAATTAAATAGTATAATTAATTCCAGAGCTCATTTTAAAAACACACTAAAACCACATTTCTGCCACATTTAATCTATAATAAAAGCCATAATGTACAATATTAGGAATGAGAATGGGACTGCAAATACAGCTGTGGAGGAGATTAGGAAAATGAAAAAAAAATCCCATTTACAGTCCCAGCAAATGGATGATTATTAGGGAAAACAAAAATGATAAACATCATGTCAACAAAATACCAAGTGCTCTTTGATTGTTGGGATAGAATATGATAGAGTCAGGTTCATGTCATTAGATTATAGAAAAAGTTGTTTAATGAATTACAGCTATAATATATGTCCCCTTGCAATGAAAAGCATTAATTTACATGCAATAAACCTCTCCAGGCAATATTTAATTACCAGCAAAGAATAAGGCACTGAGCCCAGATAGATTACTAGGTGAATTCCAGCAAACATTCAAGAAGAAAATAATTCCAGTTCTATTTTAAATATCCAGATTTTTAAAAATGGAGAAAATGTCCTCAAATCATTTTGTTATATTAGCATAATTTTGGAGCTATAAATTAACATTGCATACTTTTCTGGTTCAGCATCAGTATAGTTGCAAATGTTCTAAATTAAATATTAATAAGATTCAGTTGAATTGAAAGACGTTTCAACATCAAGAAAGCTATTAAAATAATTTATTACATGAATAGGTCAAAGGAGAAAAATACAATTCTCACAATGTATTCTGAATCCATTAAATAAAACCCAACATCCATCCCTCATTAAAAAAAAAAAAAATCTCAAACTGATTCTAGAAAAATCCTTTTTTGATATACTAAAAATATCTGAAATCTACCATGAAAATTACAAATGATGATGAAGCCTTAAAAGCATTCTTATTAACATTAGGGGAAGGTATTTTGTCATGATTTGATAACTTCTAGAAAAATTATAAAATGTAAAAAATAAATAAATATAAATATTTCACACACCAAGGAATAAACTTAACTCTTGTGTACAACTTAGTTTGAAAAGAGAACTTCACTGTTTATTTACCTATTGGTGAAATAAGACTAATACATGCAGAACGATTTCCCTGTTTCACATATTTAATACCATTAAATTTGTCTAAATTTATAATTTTACTGTGATCTCAGTAAAGGCATCATTATATTTTAAAGCAGTGGTCCTCAACCTTTTTGGCACCAGGGACCAGTTTTCCTGAAAGACAATTTTTCCGCAGACAGGGGGTGGCGAGGATCGTTTCAGGATGAAACTATTTCACCTAAGATCTGCAGGAATTAAGTTAGATTCTCATAAGGAGAGGAATCTAGATCCCTCACAGGTGCAGTTCACAGTAGGGTTCCTGCTTCTAAGAGAATCTAATGCTTCAGCTGATCTGAGAGGAGGCGGAGCTCGGGCAGTAATGCTGGCTCACCTGCTGCTCACCTCCTACCCAGGTCACTTACCTGCTGTTCACCTGCAGCCCAGGTCCTAACAGGTCACAGGTACAAGTCTGCAGGCCTGGGATTGGGGAACCCTTTTTTGGAGGAAACACGAAAAATAATTCTAAATTTATTTAAAGAGAAAAATAAGAAGAATACTGAAATTTTTTTAAAAAAAGAAGTCATAAAGGAAAGCTTATTCCAACTGATAAAATAATGTTCTAAAAACCACAGTAATTAAAACAGGAAAGCATTATCACAGGAATAAACAGGCAGAGGCTACATCCAGATCAGAACTTTGTATATCTATGCAAGCATCTAAAATATTTTTATTTAAAATGTATAATGTGACATCTCAAGCAAGCAATAAAATTAAGCATCAATAGAAAATGTTATTGTGTTTATTCCCAAATAATTTGGTTTAAGAAATGAAGGCCCTTACTGTATCCTATGTCTGCAAAATAAATTGCATACGGACTAAAATTTAAGTTTATTAGGAAACAAGCTGGTAGGTCTTCAAAAAGTTAAACATAGAGTTACCATTTGAATTAGGACTTCTGCTCCTAGGTGTATACCTAGAGGAAATAAAAGCATATGCTCACACAATACATGTATACCACCAAATGCTTATAGCAGCATTTTCAGAATTAGCAAAAGGTGGCAATAATCCAAATATCAATGCCTAACAATTGATGAATGTCTATGCAAAATGTGATACTGATAAATACTACAAAATGGAGGAATCTTAAAAACATTATGCTAAGTGAAAGAAGCCAGTCACAAAAGACCATGTGTTGTATGATTCCATTTATGTGAGATGTCCGGAATAGACAAATTTACAGAAAGATAGAGTAGATTAATGGTTGAGACATACTGGAAGAATGTGGTGGGATGGGGGTAAGGAGGTGAAAGCTGAAGGATGTGAGGTTTCTTTTAGGGCCAATGAAAATATTCTAATATTCTGCAAATATACTAAAAACCATTGAACTGTATAGTTTAAATTCATGAATTATATGGTATGTGAATATCTTGATAAATCTATTAAAAAATAAAAAATTGTTTTTAAAATAAAATAACATTCTTGTGCTCAACATTTTGCTTATAATAACAAAGCCAAAAGTAACAAAGAAAAATACACTCATAGATTTAGATATGCAGAAATGAATAAGAACTTATCCTCAATGGACAAAGTTACATAACAAGTGATAATATACAAAAATATTTGCAATATATAAGAACAACATAACGTTAATATCATTAAAAACTAAGTGGAAATAGTTAAATATTAAAAGTGAGAAAAGGACATACTTAAGTTATTCACAAAGGAAAAAATTCTATTGGTCAATAACAATGTGACAGAATGGTCAAGAGCACGGGTAACAGAAATAAACACATTAAAACAATGATGATGTATTTTGGCTACAGAATGGGAAAGATAAATAACGAAATATGTACTATGTTTGCAACACTGTGATAAACCAAAGTTTCATTTAATATTAGTGTATACAATTCCACATACGCTTCATTATACTCTTTCTGTGGGGTCATTTAGTCCTGAGGAGTAGTCTAAGTCTAATAGTAAAGGCTGTGACATCACATAGACATGGCTTCGAATCCTAATTCTGCAATATAGTAGCTGGGTTACTTTGGTAATTGACCCAACCAATCTAGCCTTCACTTTTCCTTATTGCAAAATTGTAATACTCTTTGCACGGGATTGTTCAGGGGCTGGAAATAAAACGCAAGTAAAAACAAAATCCAACACGTTGTTTAATGCATAGTAAACAAACTGGCTGTTGCTTAAAAACAATAATTACTAGTTTAAAAAAATCCACGTCTTTTAACTTCAGAATTTCACTCCCTGGAATATTTTTGAGTAACATAATTAAGAACCTATGCAAAAAGAAGGCAATGCTCAGATTGGTAAATTACTGAATTACTATTTGCAAGAATTTTAGTGTATCCATAGAATGGACTATTACGTAGCCATAAAAATGGTTTTAAACATTTCAAAAATTACTTCAGCAATATGTAACCAAAACCTTAAAATGTTTATAGTCGTGGATCAAGCAATTTTACATGGAACTTATCCCAAGAAGGTAATCATACTATGTTCATAATCTGCAAATATGACAATAATAGCAGTAGTGAAAAACTAAAATCAACCTAAATGCTAAATAATAAGAGATTGTTAAACTCCTACCAGAGTTAACTACTTGATCATTTTACTTATACCAGGAATTCCTTATGTGGCCAGAAACTGAGTTTATCATCTTTATCCACCCGACTTGCTCCAGTGTTCCCAATCTTGGGATATGATTTTATCACCCACCAATGTTTGTTCAAGCTAGAAGCCTGGAAGTCATCCTTAACCTCTCTGTTCTCTCCCCTCCACAATAAGCAGAAGGCCTATTTATGATTCTCCCCAAATCTCTCACAAATGCAAGCTTTTCTTTTTGGTCCCACCATCCCAGTCCAGGTCTTGGTCATCTCTTGCCTGAACTACTACCATGACCTTCTCGCTGGTCATTGTGTCAACTCCTTCACACTTGCTGCTCACTCTTTTTCTGACTCAAATATTTATACTTAAACCATAGTTATCTTTTAAAAACATACATTAAGTCATATCAGTCATTTCTCTATTTTAAACAGTTCAATAGTTCTTAGAAAGTTCTGGCTGAATGGTGGGCATGCCAGCACTGAAACTCTTCAAGTGCAAAGATTAAAGTTAGTAGAGATTTGATGAGGAAGTTAAAAAGATGCTACAAAAAAATGGGCAAGTTAGAAAAAGAACAAAATAAAACATTTACAAATTAACAGCATAAAGCTCAGTGGACAAACATCAGCTAGATATTTACTAGAGAGTAAATATCAAACTACTATTGGTCAATAACAACATGTTTGCTACTAGACAAACATCAGCTAGATATTTACTAGACAGTAAATATCAGCTAGATAAAGAATTAGCGAATAGGAGGATAAATCTGAGAGATCTGCACAGAATGCAGTACAGAGAAACAATATGAGGGAATACAAAAAGAAGCTAAGAAACGTGGAAATAAAGGCATGCTAATGGGAGAGAAAAGGGCATTTGAAAGGGATCTCCAGAAGGAGAGAACAAAGATGACACCTGATGAACTAAAAATTATAAATTACATGAATTCTGTGATTGGAGAAGCATACCAGTTCTAAAGAGAAATAAATGACATCTATATCTTGGCACTCAATAGTGAAAGTGCAGAACAACAAAGACAAAAGGAATAGCCAAAAACAATCATAAACATACATAATTTGAGACTTCTCAATAGCAACATAAAAGATCACCAGAAGGCTGGGCGTGGTGCTCCATGCCCATAATCCTGGTAGTTTGGGAAGGTAAGGTAGGAGAATTGCTTGAAAAAAAAATTTTTTTTTTAATTCGTCGGGCTTGGTGGCACACAGCTGTAGTTCTAGCTACTCAGTAGGCTGAAGTGGGAGGATACTTTGAGCCCGGGAGGTTAAGGCTGCAGTGAGCTAAAACGGTACCACTGCACTCCAGCCCGGGCGATAGAGCAAGACCTCATCTAAAACAAAACAAAACAAAACAAAAAAAAACAAGGTGTGGTGGCTCACACCTATAATCTCAGAACTTTGGGAAACCAAGGCAGGCAGAGGATCACTTGAGGCCAGGAGTTGGAGACGAGCCTGCCAGCCTGGCCAACATGGCAAAACCTCATCTCTACTAAAAATACAAAAAATTAGCTGGGCATGGTGGCATGTGCCTATAATCCCAGCTATTCCTGAGGCTGAGGCAGGAGAATTGCTTGAACCCGGGAGGCAGAAGCTGCAGTGAGCCAAGATCACGCCACTCCACTCCAGCCTGGGCAACGGAGTGAGACTGTCTTAAGAAATAAACAAACAAACAAACAAACAAAAGAACATATATCCCAACAATCTTGGTTCAAAGTCCACATTCTGGCAAAACAACAGCCTTTTAGAATAATATAACGGAATAACAAAGTATTTGTAACTAAATGTCAATTAATAAAACCCAAAATATCAAAACTTGTAGGATGCAGCTAAACCAGCAAAAGGAAAATATATCTCTTTAACTTAATCAAAATTAAGAAAAACAGAATATTTAGTTTAAAAATGAGAATAAACACATATGAAGTACAAAAAGAAGGGAAAAATGAAGATAGTGGCAGAAATTAATGACATGAAAAACAAACAACAGTACCAACAAAACCACAATCCTCAAGATGGGAGGAAAGGCAGAACATGGCACACTTGAATTACCAAAATGAACTTAAGAAAAGAAGACCTACATAGACCTCAACACATTAAAAACTTAAACCAATTGTAAATGCTGCCCTTATAAAACACTAAGAGCGAAGTATTTCACGGTAAGTTCTACTTAACCAATCCATATCTTACAGAAGTTGTTTAGAGTAGAAAAGAGAAAGATCCCCAACTCATTTTATAAAGCTGATCTAACCTTGATACCAAAAGTGGTTCAAGAAAGTATGAGAGGAGAAATCAGTAGACTAATCTCACTTGTGAACACAAATAAAAAACTTCTAAATAATACATCAGTATTTATACCGCATTGGCAACATTGCATTTAAAAATATATCGTAATCAAGTAGGGCATTATCCAGAAATGCAAAGATATAATAATAACAGAGGTGTAACCGATTTATTACTTTGTTAATATACAAAAGGAAAAATGTTTATTTATTATTATTTCAATAGATGTATAAATAATGTTTTGTGAAATTCAATACCTATTCATGATTTATTGGAAATAACACTTTCGGTTAGGTAGGAACAGAATATGTCTTCTTTTCCCCAATAAAGGGTATCTTTCAAAAAGCTATAGGAAACATCACAACTGATGATGCATCAGAAGCATTCACTCTAAAGTTAAGAACAAGACAAGGTGATATGCTCTTACTGCTTTTATTTCCTATTATACTAGACATTACAGCCATTTTAACAAAATTAAAAAGAAAGTAAGAATTATAAGGCTTAGCAGGAAAGATATTCACATACAATAACTGTCAGCTTAAAAAATCCAAGAAAATGTATACGTAAAATATTGGAATTCCAAAGAGAATTCATGAAGGTTCCTGGTCACATTGTCAATACTTATGTCATTAGTGTTAATTTTGCATGATCGATCATTAAAAAATAAAATTGCTTAAAAAACAATATTTGTGATAATATTAATAGCCATAAATACCAAGATGTAAAACTAACAAAATATATACCTAAGATTTTTCTAAAAATTATGTAATTTCACTGAAAATAAACAAAACACATAGATAGGTAGGCAGATAGATGATAGATAGATAGATAGATAGATAGATAGATAGATAGATAGATAGATAGATTGACAGATAAATATATATATCATGCTTATGGATAGGAAGGCTCATTATGGTAATGGTGGTGAATCTCCACAGATTAATACAATGTAATTCCAATCAATATATCAGTAGGGTTTTATAAAATTTGGCAAACTTATTCTACAACATATATGGAAAAATAAAAAATAATAGTAACAGGAACATTTTGAAGATTTTGAATAATATAAAGAAACTTTCACAATCAAATATTTAGTCCTTTTGTAAAGCTATTGAGATACTGTTACAAACCAGACCAGTAGATTAATGGAATAGAATAGAGAACATGGGACCATGGTACTTTTATATATTGACAGTGCTTCTCAGATACATATCAGAACTTGATACATGGCGAAGATGGAATTACAAATTGGTGAAGAAAGACTAGGTTCTTTCATCATGAAATGTGGAAATATAAATGTTCACAATCTCTGTGGAGAGCAAATTGGTAAAGTCAAGTGAAGTTCAAGACATGCACAATCTGAGCATGACCACACATTTCTGAATTTAGGTATTTGTGGTAGCAAGACTCTCATATATGTGATCAGAAACATGTGCACTGAGATCTTTTTTTAAAGCATGAATTCAAATAGCAACTGAACTACCCACAAATAAGGAAAAATAAATAAATTATGAACTATGATTTATTAATATAATGGACTATTTCAAGCATTTCATGATTTATTGTTTTGGAATCTGGTTTTTATGACACTCTCAGATGAATAAGATATGGGAGGCTATTTCTAAGTTTAACAGTAATGATGGACAATTAGTATAATTATGGTTTATTAAATTTTGTTCTGTGTATGTGCATGCATATTTTCTGATTTCATAGATTGCACAATCGTTATTTGCATAACAAAAGCAAAAACATATTTTCAAGTATAGGTTTCCTTATATCTGGCACAGTTACTAACTACTAGGAGAATTATGTTATCTTGGTGAGAGGAAATTGGGGATGAGATGAGCCTTGTTGAAATAAGGTCTGCTTTGGGTAGGAATTGTAGATAGCACCCCTCAATCCAGTCCTATTGGCAGGTCATAGGGAGGACACTGTGATTAAGAATACTCTCCTGTGGAGAATGGAGTCAATGCCAGCAGAAAAATGGCCCTCCAATGGATACTCATGTCAAACACTCAGTACCAGTAAATGTTACCATATGTGGATAAAGCATCTTTGAAGATTTAGTTAAGGATCTTGAGATGAGATCATCCTGAATTATCTGACTGCACCCTAAATCTAACGATAAATATCCTTATAAGAGACAAACAGGTTAAAATAGACAGACCAAGGAGAAAGTCACATGAAGAAGAAGGAAGAGACTGGAATCATGTTACCACAAGCCAAGCAACAGCCACCAGAAACTGGGAGCAGAATCTACTCTAGGTCGTTTCGAGTGTACAGGGCCCTATGGAAACCTTGATTTCAGATTCCTGGTCTCCAGTCATGTGAGAGAATAAATTTGTGTCATTGTAAGCTACCCGGTTGTGGTCATTTGTTACAGTAACCACAGAAATATATTGGCCAATGGTATCTGAGCTATACATGGTGACGATTAAGCCAAAGAGGAAATCACTTCAGTCTTATTTGCCACACTAAAATGGACTCTTTTGAAAGACATAAACCAGTTTGAGATCACCCTGCACAACTGACTGAGTTCAGTCTTCCAAGAGACAGGCAGCTCCACGGAACCAAGGAGGGCAATGAGCAGTCCCTTCACCTCCCTTCCCAAGCTGAGCATCCTCCCAACCTCGCAAGACCTACATAGGTGCACAGAAATCTCTTAAAAAATTCATCTCGTGGGAAAATAGTTGTTTGATGAACTGTAAAGAACTGGGAAGATCGGTGGTCCTTATATCCCTGTGATTTGCAAGATATAAAAAATTTATTTACTTTGCTTTCTTTTGTTGTATCTTTGTACATTTACATTGTGGGCAGAGTGGCAGAGTGGCCATTAGGCCATTTAGAGAAACGTTTTGCCCTTAATTCTGAAGGGTGTGTGTGTGTGTGTGTGTGTGTGTGTGTGTGTGTTTGTGTGTGTGTAGGGGAGTGATAATTACAGTCAAGGAACATTTCAATAGCCCACACCAAAAATTAGGGTAATGGGGACCGGACTCAGTCAACGAACCAAAATGTGCCAGAAATAGCATATCTCATTATTTTGTACAACTCAACTTCATTTCAGTGATAAGCTCCCATCACCCTGGACTGTGGAATGCTTAACGTCCATCATTCTTAGGGGTTCTTCTCTCGCTCTTTCTTCCCATAACACTGGAATAGGGCCAAAATTCTAGAATCTTTTGTTATGCCACATGTTGGGGACATACATTTATCAGTTATTGGTCTTGACCTCTTTGTTGCTACTAAGAATACCCCTGCACAGACCTGTATGATCTCTTCAAGTTCACTGGCTCCCTGACACCTTACGTGCTGCTTAGGGCACCACGCTGCTTAATGAGGGTCAAACATGCATGGCTGTTCCCATCTGAAGTGTGCCCAGCAGCAGGACACTGATTCATATTCTCCAGAACCCATAGGCATCTTCTGGTTTCTCTTCAGGAGCTCCTTTTCAGTAGTTCATATATTTCCTTCTCTTTTCCTAGAGCAATATTCCCATTCCTCCCTTTGTTAGCTGCCTCATATAATGTGATCTATGGTTTTAGACTTTCGGAAAGAAAATGCAGTAGTGCTTTCTGCCCTCATCACACATTTCAATTGAGACATGGATATCCAGAGCCCAGATCAGCCAAATGAGAGAGAAAATGCAGAGAGAAAAAATATAAACTAACAGTCTCAGAAATGTAGCATCCAGCATCATCTCAGCTGCTTTAAAGCAAGCATTTGCTAAACATTCTGCACTTCAACCTCAAACTTCTTTTCTGCAGTTATGTTGCAGTGGTCATTCAAACTCAGGGAGAAGAAAGGGAGTAGAGACAAAAGTTCTTCAGAAAATTTAGGAATTTGCCATCAAAATCATCACTTTGAAATCCAGACCTAAGTTAATATCCCCAACATTCCAGCTTTCTCTGTCTCCTTTCTTAGGACACGCTCATGAGTGCACCCGTTTATGGCCAGCAGCTCAGGGTGGGTCTCTGTGTCACCTAGAAATGATGCTGGTGCTTGTCTGATGCTGCTTGTCCCCTTCTAAGAGGACATTTGTGAATGCCAGGGAATCTCAATGTAGCTTGTCTTCCACTGATCTGGAGAGAGCTTACCTCAGGTAAGGTTGCTAGGTCAGTTCAATTTCCAAGGGGAAAGTATGCTCTGTGACAATGACATTTTTAAATCTCCGTGCTTAGCAGAACTTGACGACTTCACTCCACCCTCACCTATTCAATTGTATACTCACTGAAAAAAACCTCAGAGACATTGAGATGCTGAAAAAATGCAAAGAAATTATCATTTTAAAAAAAGTAGCATACCTACTTTGAAAGTCTACCTGGATATAATGCTTTAAAAATCTGTAAAGAAACATTTTCATTTCTTCAGGGGTCTTGGGGTAGAGTCACTCAAAGAATCTGACCAAATGAGACATTTTTGATTAGCTACTCTCTTGTCATGCAACCCCCATGCCCACAACACACACACACAATGTTATTCACCTTTCTTTAATATTCAGTAAAATACTGGGTAGCCTCAATCACAGATGTAGCCTCAACTCTCATACTTTTTTGCTCATCTCTTCCAAACTCATGTCTCCACATCAAACCTCTCTCATGAAAGTCAGCAGTTTACTTGAAATCTCCACCTGGAGTTATTTGTCATCTCCGGGCAACATGTCACAATTCCTGTATGAGAAATTCCTCTCTCATATAGGAATTTCTCCCCAAATGTCCTGCTCCTCTTGTTTTCTTCAGTTTGGTTAATGCAGCACCATTCACCTAATCACTCAAAGTAGAAAATGGGCTGCAAACTTCTGCTCCAACCTGCCTTTTTTTTGTGTGTGTGTGTGTGTGTGTGTGTGTGTGTGTGTGAGACGGAGTTTCGCTCTCGTTGCCCAAGCTGGAGGGCAATGGCATGATCTCAGCTCACCTCAACCTCTGCCTCCTGGGTTCAAGCGATTCTCCTACCTCAGCCTCCCGAGTAGCTGGAATTACAGGCATGCACCACCACGCCTGGCTAATTTTGTATTTTTAGTAGAGACGGGGTTTCACCATGTTGGCCAGGCTGGTCTTGAACTCCTGACCTCAGGTGATCCGCCCGCCTCGGCCTCCCAAAGTGCTGGGATTACAGGCGTAAGCCACCGCGCCTGGCCCAACATGCTTTTTTCTCTACTCCTCTTTGTTAGGCTTGTGTTCATCCCAGAGTTTTATTCAAAGCATTTTGTTCAACAACTTATGATAAGAATTATATTTTACATCACACACACACACATCTGAAATAAGAGTATCCCAAGACAATAATAACACTACTTTGGGTGGGACACACTAATAACCTATTCTATTCTATTCTATTCTATTCTATTCTATTCTATTCTATTCTATTCTATTGTAATCCATTTCACTTCTTTTTTACATGCCTCTTGCACTCCACTAAATTGATTTCACACAACCCAGTATTGGGTTAAAACCTGCATTTGCAAAACGTAGCCAAATGGAACCACAGAAAATGAGCTACATAAGGAAACACAGGTAAAACCTTTGCTAAAATGTGTCATACATGGTAGATCCTAGATTACGGTTCATTTGACTTTTAATGCTATTTCCTACCCCTTGATTTTATTTAAGTTTTTCTTACTCCTCTGTGACTGGCCTCCCCTCATTTCCAAATGTCTATATTGTACACATCTTTCCAGATTCAAATACTGCCTTTTCCACAAGTCTTCCTTCGTTTGTTGAATTGGGTGTGATTGGGAAGTGATGGCCTCCTTGTGTAAAATTCCTGGAATGCTCCCTTCACCTCTCCATCAACACAGCACTTTCCACTGTCTGAAAGTCTCGTGGGCAGAGCATTCATTTATATGTCCAGTCAGGTCCTTTATAGGAGTCATTGCTGGCCAGGTGCGGTGGCTCGCACCTGTAGTCCTAGCACTTTGGGAGGCCGAGGTGGGTGGATCACGAGGTCAGGAGATCAAGACCATCTGGGCCAACATGGTGAAACCCTGTCTCTACTAAAATACAAAAAATTAGCTGGGCATGGTGGCATGTGCCTGTAATCCCAGCTACTTGGGAGGCTGAGGCAGGGGAATCGCTTGAACCTGGGAGGCGGAGGTTGCAGTGAGCTGAGATCGCGCCACTGCACTCCAGCCTGGCGACACGGCAAGACACCATCTCAAAAAAAAAAAAAAAAAAAAAGAAAGGTACTTGAAAGAATGTATTGGTAGCATTATAAAACTATTCATATTCTGGATCCAGTGGAGCAAAGCAAGCCTTCGAACTTGTTTTATCACAAGCTCTTAACTCTAAGAGCCCAGACTTTCTGAACATGGGTCACACAGGATACTAAGTATAAGAAGACTGGTGTAAGTCTATTGCTATTATTGGCAAGATCTCTAGACAAATTAGAAATATTCATCAAAACATTGTCTATTAATTCATTCTTCATGTAATAAACTATGCTCAAAGTGGAAACACTCACACACTAGAAAAGAGGACATGACAAAATCAGATAGCTAAGATAAATATACATGTAAGCATTTACTTATTTCTTATCCTCCTCTTACTATTATTAGAAGACTAGGCTTATCTCATATTAAATACATAATTGAGAGGATTGGCCTTTAGAATTCTTTATTTGCTTACCCCCTAAAATTAGCTGAAAAAAAAAACAACAAAAACAAACCAATGTGCCGTCTCACCTAATACAAATATTGGTATCTGAAATTTCATTGAAAGTTTAGATGGTTTCAAAGGATAAAGTTCTGGCAAATTTTTAGATAGAATGGTTATGTCACACATTTAAATACATCAGTAGAATCCAGATACCATCATCATCTGAAATTTACTAACGCAATTTTTTTTTTTTTTTGAGACAGTCAGCCAGGTCAGAGTGCAGTGGCACTATCTCAGCTCACTGCAACCTCTGCCTCCCAGGTTCGAGCGATTCTCCTGCCTTAGGCTCTGGAGTAGCTGGGATTACAGGTGTGCACCACCATGTCCAGCTACTTTTTGTATTTTTAGTAGAGACGGGATTTCATCATGTTGTCCAGGCTGGTTTTGAACTCCTGACCTCGTGATCCGCCTGCCTTGGCCTCCCAAAGTGCTGGGAGCCGCCGCACCTGGCCTACATCTTTCTTTTTCCTTTTCTGAATTCTAATTTGAACTGTTTTCTCTCCCATAGATTATCTTAATGTACACTTTTGCCGGAAATTATTAATCACTCTATTATACACATCTATGACAAAATATGCATATATAATATGTATACTTAGATAGAAATATTTTAATATGTTTTCCTGTGAACATAACTATTAAAACATTTTTCTGATTGCGGTATCATTACAATTATTAATAACACTAAGCCGATTTATAAACATTATAGATTACTAATTCTGATAGTTATTAAAGATCAATAAAATTTAATCAGAATTGCATTCCTTGATACGATAAATCATGCCTCAAATTTTTTATGCATTTAATTAAAAAGAAAGATATATGCTAGTAAGAACTAGTTTGTCTGGAAGCAGTTACATTATTTTTAAAAAATAGGAAGCAGAAATTGTTAAACCTTTTAACAATTTTAGAATAAAATAAAATGATAATTGACTGTAATTCATATAAATATTTAGTAATAATTTTTAAAAATTACATGTTAATAACTCCTTGAATAACACAGAGAATATGAAATATGTCACATCACATTTTTATCTGGAGTTCTATCCAGTGTCTCTTGAAAACTTTGGTAGTCCCATTAAATATTCTAATTACATTAAATGCTTTAAAATCACCCTACCTACTTTGCATATGCCGCTCTAAAGAAGCTGTGCTTTCCAGCTCTTGACTTGTCCTAGTGATGACTAATGAATATGAGAGACAGGACTAGCTGGATTTCCTAGGCCGACTAAGAATCCCTAAGCCTCGCTGGGAAGGTGACCGCTTCCACCTTTAAACACGGGGCTTGCAACTTAGCTCACACCCGACTAATCAGATAGTAAGGAGAGCTCACTAAAATGCTAATTAGGCAAAAACAGGAGGTAAAGAAATAGCCAATCATCTGTTGCCTGAGAGCACAGCGGGAGGGACAATGATCGGGATATAAACCCAGGCATTGGCGCCAGCAAGGGCAACCCCCTTTGGGTCCCCTCCCTTTGTATGGCAGCTCTGTTTTCACTCTATTTCACTCTATGAAATCTTGCAACTGCACTCTCTTCTGGTCCGTGTCTGTTACGGCTCGAGCTGAGCTTTTGCTCGCCGTCCACCACTGCTGTTTGCCGCCATCGCAGACCCGCCACTGACTTCCATCCCTCTGGATCCAGCAGGGTGTCCTCTGTGCTCCTGATCCAGTGAGGTGCCCATTGCCACTCCCGATCGGGCTAAAGGCTTGCCATTGTTCCTGCGCGGCTAAGTGCCCGGGTTCATCCTAATCCAGCTGAACACTAGTCACTGGGTTCCACAGTTCTCTTCCGTGACCCACACCTTCTAACAGAGCTGTAACGCTCACCGCATGGCCCAAGGTTCCCTTCCTTGGAATCCGTGAGGCCAAGAACCCCAGGTCAGAGAACACGAGGCTTGCCACCATCTTGGGAGCTCTGTGAGCAAGGACCCCCGGTAACAAATAGAGCTAAAAATTGTTGCTGACATTAAATATGTGAAAAATAAGAAGCAATTTTTAGCATTCCGGTTTCTTTTTTTTAATTTTCCTTTTCTTTCTTCTTTCCAGCTGATGCTGTCTTTACTTTTCCCCCCTCCTTGGGCTACTTTGACCATTGGCAAGTAGTAGAAGAATTCAAACCCTTACACCAATGTTTCTGTTACTTGGACTTCAGTGAGAGAGCAGAAGACAGCTTCTTCAGCTGGTAGGGAAGACAGAAATCCTGCTGTGGTTATGGGTTTATGGTAGCTTGATTACAATTATTAGAAAAGTTTCCCTTGATACTTAAAGATTTTTATTCCTGCCGGGTGCAGTGGCTCACGCCTGTAATCCCAGCTCTCAGGGAGGCAAGAGGCGGGAGGATAGCTTGAGCCCAGGAGTTCGAGACCTGCCTGGGCAATATAGCAAGATCCCGTTCTCCACAAAAAGGAAAAAAAAAAAAAGACAAGATTTTTATTCCTTAGAATGACGGATCACACTAAGTTTGAGAACAGTTGCAGTAAATGTCTTTCTTATGTAAAGTAGAAGGGCTAAGAAACATGCTAGTGAATTTTTTAGGCTAATCGCTTTTCAAAAAGAGGCTACATGGAAGATGAACCTGTAGAGATGAACTCTCTAAAATCTACTCATGAGCATATACCTGCTGTAAAGCCTTTATGTTCCCTCAAGAGTATTCAAGAAACCCGACTTCAAATCTCAAATGATTTTTCTTGGAAATGTATAGCTCGTTCTGAGTAATTTCTCTTTTATTATATTAAGGAGTTGAGACAATTATGAACATTTCTATTTATGCACTGGAATAATAGTCCTTAACCTGACATACTTTCCTGGAGCTTCAAGAAAATCTATGAAGCCCCTATAATTTTGTATGTAAGTACATATGTCTGCTTTTGTGGGATATGGAGTTAGAGCTTTTATCAGATTCCAGAGGAATCTGTGGCCCCAGAAGAGTCACTGTATTTTCTTTCCTCCTTGATTTTTGTAGAATCTCTAAAGACTTACCAAAAAATAAAAAATAAAGAGTAAAATGAAAGCGAATAGTGGATCAGTGTACTGCTTTTTAAAAAGCAAATGTGTGCTGAGTAGAAGCAAAATCTTAAGAGAGTAAAGCTGCATGTTAGATTCAAAATCTGAAAGCCTTTCCTGCAGGAACAAGATGCCAAGTTTCACGTGGGGAATTTCAAATGAAACATACCTCACAGGATGCGAATGTCCCAACAAAAATTAAATATTTTTCTTCAAGGCTGACTTTTTCCTGACTTATCCTGACTTTTTCCCTGAAAAATCTCCAAACCCTTGGTAGAAAGATTAATAGTAATGATGCCAATAGCTATGTTTAATAATCAACTAGTATATTCCATGCACTTTACATAAGAAAACTATCCCTTAGACACCTGCCACATCTTTAGAAATGGAACAAATACGGCTCAGAAACATTCAGTAAGTTGCCCTAGGTCATAGGATCAGCAAGTGGAGACCTACTTGGAGCCCACATACGTCTGATTCTCTGCTCCATCTCATCTTATTCTGGTGAAATGACTTCACTGGACTAAGCTGCCAGTTCCAGAGACAACGGCCATCAATACATTGTCCCAGCCTGTCAAATGTTACTTGATAAAATTTGGAAATCTCGGCCACAAAGACCAAGAATTAAGAGTGGCCGTGTTCCATGACCCACCTTATCTGAGCTGCATCGTGCTCTTTCTGTGTGCTTATGGTGAGGTTGCAGCATCCTCTCATATTTCCTTGGCTTCTTGTACCTGTCAAGCATCTCCAAATCAAAGGGGCTTTCTTGCATTGACTCACTTATTTCAGCATGACTTCTGAGTCTCTAAAGAAGATATATTCGACGTGAATGAGGCTTTTCCTCCTTGAGTCTCTCTCCTGCACTGAATTATGTCTCACATCCCATGCTCCTTCTGCTGCAGTATATTATTTCTCCCCAATTTCTCATTTGTTTTCTAGACACTTCTACCTGGGGTGTCCAGTCTCTTGAGCTCATCATCTTGTTTGTTTTCTACTTGCCTTAAGGCTTGGAGGGATTTTACCTCTTCAAAGCTCAGTCCATTGGCTCATGGAATCCTAACAGCATGCATGATCAAAGCCATTGGCATTCAAATGATTCCCCAAACTCCCTCACCTTTTCTCTTCTGAAGTTAAAATAATGAGTAAAAATCAGTTACAAGCAGATGTTTTATTTGCATTTTCATTTGTAGCAGTTTAAACTAGTTTGTCTAGGTCATCCATTTGAATGGGAATTATTCTCAATAAAAACACATTTAACTTTGATAAAGTAGGCAATACTCAACTCGCTTCCTGGTGGGTATCCTCTGAGTTCCCAGTTCATGATGTTTTCTCTTTGAACATTTGGCCACAAATCAATGGTCAAAACATGTTTTACATCATCCAATTGGGTTTTAATATATAAGCTTCATCTTAGGGACTTTGCCTTTTTTATTCAGTTTGTGCTGCATGTCACACACTTGGAGATTTTAAGTATCAATCGAAAGCTTTAATACAGACCACATGGTTGCTATTTGGCACAGTGTTGAAGGTCTCTTATGAGATGCTGTCTCATAACTAAATGCTCAGCATTTTGAGGTCGGGAGCCACACCTAATGCATATTAATAGCCATGACACTTAGCATGATACCTGATATTTGTTAGAGCAGAGACGCTTATGCGCTAGATGAATGGATGCAGGCTTTCTTCCATAAACTAAAATAATATTCTTAATATACTGTTTTTAAGTTATGTACTTTCCCTTAATGAAAGCTCACTTGAACGTGGCCCTCCTACCCCTCCAAAGCATTTCATTGGCTGGTGAAGATTCTGGCTCATGTGTCACCAGGAAACAGACATCAGCTGACTTGCACCTAGAGGGAATACAGTTGCTGCCACCTCCCTCCCGGGAAAGTGAAGCCTCAGAGATTTGACTTGGATTGAGACCCTTTGAAGATAGGATGTGTCGGGAGATTGCAGTTGAGAGTGTAGCTGGGTATCCACCAGCCATAGATCAATGGAAGATAAAGTCTCCAACTTGGTGAATATAAAATCAAGAAGCCAGGGTGATTCCTAGCAGCAAGTCCTAGCAGACCAGGGAGAGAGCAAGCAAATCATTTACCATGAAGGTTTACACCCAAGGACCAGAAAAGGATGAGCAAACTGCTCCAGAGGCCAAACTGAAGATGTTCCTGGAAGCGATGAGAGACAGGGAAACAGCCGTTTATGGTGAGAATGTGGAACTCTGGGATGCCAGGAGAATAGGATGGAGCAGGTGAGGTCCCTCAGAGGGAAGGAGAGATGAGTTAAGCAAACACAAAGCCAACCCGTTTCCTGAGATGAAGGGCTTTAAGAAAAAATGTCAGAGGCTGGATGTGGTGGCTCACGCCTGTAATCCCAGCACTTTGGGAGGCCAAGGTGGGCGGATCACAAGGTCAAGAGATCGAGACCAGCCTGGCCAACAGGGTGAAACCCTGTCTCTACTAAAAATACAAAAATTAGCTGGATATGGTGGTGCACACCTGTAGTCCCAGCTACTTGGGAGGCTGAGGCAGGAGAATCGCTTGAACCCAGGAGGTGGAGGTTGCAGTGAGCTGACATTGAGCCACTGCATTCCAGCCTGGTGACAGAGTGAGACTCCGTCTAAAAAAAAAAAATGTCAGAGGATTTTCTATGGAAGAGTCAGGATCATCCCGAAGTCAGGCAGCTGCTTCTGGAGAAACCAGTGGGGAGGGCAGCAAGGGGTGGCGGGGGCATGGTCTTCCCTTCTCTCCTCCACTGCGTTTGGGGCCATTTGTTTTAAAAGTGGAGAGAGAAGCTGGCAGCTGTTTTCCTGGGTGATACTTTAAGACTCTGTTCTAGTGGAGTTACTTCAGGCCCGGTAGCAAATGTGGGGCAGGGTTGGCAAGGGAGTCAAACACACCACCCCTGCCTCAAACCTGACCTGAATCTGCCACCTCCAGGACTGTCAGCACTGGGAGTGCCCAGTTCTCAGCACAAATATTGGGCTCGGTTCTCCGGGTGTCACCATTAGCAGAAGCAGGGTGATGCTCTTTCACGCAGCAGCTTGGGTAATGAATGATGACACATGAATGCCCACGCAAAAAAAAATAAATGAACAGCACAGACCATGTGAATGTAGCTGGCAGGCATGTTTGTGAGCTCCTGTGAGGTTTCCCTCTGGGAACTCCCAGACCCTGGGAGAGGGACTGAAATTGAGATAGAGATAGCATTAAATGTAGTAATGCATGCAAAGAACCTAGTAACCCGCTTCTTTCAGTTCAGGGGCTCAGGTGGCTGGAGCCTGTCCTGGCTACTCAGGGCACAAGGCCAGATCAGCTCTGACAGGAGGCCATCCTGTCGCAGTGCACACTCACACCCATGCTCCCTCACACTGAGACCATGTAGACACTCCAACTAACCTAATGTATATGTCTTTGGGATGTAGGAGGAAACCCGAGTACCCAGAGAACAGCCAGGCAGACATGGGGAGAACTTGCAAACTCCACACACACAGTGGCCCTGGCTAGGAATGGATTTAATTTCTCATCAATGTTATAACAAAATGACATTGAACTAAATAATGTTATTTGAGAAACTGCTGTACTTGATAATTATAATAAAAGACTATATTACTAGTTTATGTATTTACTATACTTTTTATCATTATTTTAGAGTGTATACCTTCTACTTATTAAAAAAATTAACTGTACAAGAGCTTCAGGCAGGGGCTTCAGGCTATATTCCAGAACAAGGCATTATTACAAGAGATAGTTCTAGGTGTGTTATTGCCCTGAAAGACCTTCCTGTGCGACAGAATGTCAAGGTGGAAAACAGTGATATTGATGATCCTGACCCTGCATAGACCTAGACTTATCCGCAAATCTGTACATTTTTGTCTTAGTTTTTAACAAAAAAGTTTTAAAACAGTAAAAATAAAATTAACAGAAAAAAGCTTACAGGCTAAAAAATCTAACAAAAACTTTTGCACAGCTATGTATTAAGCTAAATGTTATTTCAGAAGAGTCAGAAAGTTAAAAAATTAATAAGTTTATAAAGGAAAAAAGTTACAGTGAGCTACGGTTAATTTATTATTGAAGAAGAAAATATTTTTGCAAATTTAGCACAGCGTAAGTGTACAGTATTTATCAAGTCTGTACAGTAATGTCCTCAGCCTTCACATTCACTCACCACTCACTGGCTCACGCAGAGCAGCTTCCAGTCCCGAAAGCTCCATTCTTGGTAAGTGCTCTAGACAGGCAGACTATTGTTTATCTTTTAAATTGTATTTTCACCATGCCTTTTCTATGTTTAGATATGTGTGTATATACTAATAGTTACCATTTTGTTACAATTGCCTGCAGTATTAAGGACAACAACATGCTGTACAGATCTGCAGCTTAGGAGCAACAGGCTACAACTTATAGCCTAGGTGTATAGTTGGCTATATCATCTGGGCTTGTGTAAGCACACTCTATGATGTTCCCAAAAGGATGCAACTGCTTAAGAACACATTTTGTAGAATGTACCCCCATCATCAAGTGGCACATGACTGTAAGCAAAGTTAAGAACTGCTAGAAAACTAAAAGTAAAGATTCCACTAAGTTTGCTAAACAGTGTGCCGTCGTCAGCACAGCAGCTGTCAAACATTTGCCTGTATTGAACAGATACTGATAAATGAATTTCTAATTTGCCAATAGAGATTATATGTAACTTTAAGATATAACATTTAAGATTAAAAAGTTTAGATCTTCAGGAATTCACTTTTAGCCCTCCTCCAGCTCCATTTCTTCCACCTGCTTTGATCAGCCCTTTGACAGTTTCCACCTTTGAGATCCACCCCAATATTTTCTGGTGAGTCTCCCCAGCCATCCTTCTTTTGTTCTGATTTCAAGGTCAAAGAATGCCTCTGATTCCAATTTTGTGGGCCCTTGGTTTCCAAATAACCTTTGTAGCTTTGTACTTAATAGCTGATTAATCTTACCTCTTCTAGATGGTTTTGTATGCTTCTTTTTTTTCTGTGGTGCCTTTAGTGAAAAGTAAACCTTTGCATCCGCATTATTTTAGCAATATAGCTAATTGTCATTATTAATATTACTATTGCTACTATTGCTATTATTATTATTGTATTCTTCTTTAAAGGCCATTTCTAGGCAAAATTGAACCAAAATATGTCTTTGCTCAAGTTCCTTTCTATTCCTTTTCAGTTATAACATTGCTCCTGCTGCTGAGATGAGGGACTCACACATAGACAGTTCATATGTCTGGATAGCTACTGAGAGGGTGAAAGGAAAGACACCATTAAGAAGAGAAAAAGATGGCTGGAGTTCAAAACCAAGGTCATATATATAAGCGGTTTTGTTCTTTTTTTTCTTAAAAATGTGTCATGAATATTTTCAATGAGTAGACATTCTTAGATATGATTTTAATGCCCAAATAGTATTCCATTGTATGGATAAACCATAATTTGTTTTTCATTATTCTTAATTCTGATGTTTAATTCATTTGTATTACTACCAGTGTTAACATGTGCTTTTTTTGAATTCTACTCACTTTTACAACACAGTTTGCAAAAAAAGAGCAATAATATATTTAATTAATTGCATAAATATTGTTTTATCCTTATTGATGACAATGTTGCTGAGACTGTTAGTTAACTGTTAGTTGGCAAGTAGAAATGTATGTTAATGAGGTTATGTCTGAAAGTCAAAATAAATATAGTGAATGTGGCTTAGGGTGTCAATGATTTTTGTGTGAAAATGCCTGTTTTTTTAAAGAGATGCATGCACAAAATTTGAATAATGCCTACATGCCAGCAATAACCAATTAGAATAAATATTGGGAAAAATGATTTTAAAAATCAGACTTCTTTTTCAAAAATAAAAACAGTCCCACAAAACACTAAATACTGTTTCAATTAAATTTTTTGAAAACTTACAATTTGGTGGTAAAAATTGCTTTTGAAAATGAATTTTTACTACCTAAATAAATTTCAAACTATTTTAGAATTTAAAGCAATCATGGATGCATACTCAAAAAATATATTTATATATTTTATTGGATTTAAAATAGTCTAATTTAAATTAATTTTGAAACATTGTAAGAGCTCTTAGAATTGGACAACCTTTAGACATGTAAATCTGTTTCTTAAATTTGATACAGATATATATATATATTTTTAAATTTCATTATTATTATACTTTAAGTTTTAGGGTACATGTGCACGATACAGATATATTTTTAGGAACTAATTATAAAAGACAGTAGGAGGTAGATCTTTATGATTCTTTTGATCTGAACAACATTAAGTACCGTCATTTCAGCTTTGTAAGTGTACAATCACAATATTTTAAAAAATCTTAAAATATTTTTATAGCATTGTTTAGTGCTAAGAAGTTAATGCCACGTAATGCTAGAGTAAACAATCATCTTTGATTTGGTTGAGAATTTTATAAACATGCTGGCTTTGGCTTGAGATAAATCTTCATTTTGTTACAGAATGCTGTCTTTTCTGGGTTATATTAATTTTTATTAATCAAAAAAAGTACATACTTGTACTTTATCAAATGTGTGCTTCCAAACACAATCGCATGGCTTGTACTTAGCCTGATATGGAATTCACTTGGTTATAATTTCCAAGATTTCTAACAGGGCCCAGACAGCAAGGCTCAGGCCTTTCCATAGAGGCAGTGTAAAGATTCACTGACAGAAAAACACACTCAAGGTATGATTCCTTTTTGCAAAGAGTTTGCAACTTTTGGTACCACATGGCTCCCCAGGGCTCTCTGTGATGCCCGACCACAGCCTGCTGAGCATTGATTTCCTTTATTACTTCAGGTTTAATCCTAAGTTCACTCTTTTCTTCATCTAACAGGAGCCTCTTGAGAAACCTGGCATGTGGACCCTGTGTGACGATACTGGGTGGAGACAGAGTCAGCAGCCCAGTTAGAAGCTATTCCAGAAGTCATCAAACAGTCAAACAACGTGTTGAGGGTAGTGTGATGCTTTTTCTGAACTGTGTGGTAGAGATACGCAGAAGGAGCTCAAAGGAGGGACACTCAGGCCAAGGAAGGCCAGCTGGGGGGGTCCTTGCATGGGAGAGAGGCCTTGAGCACAGTCCAGGCAAATGGACTCTGTTGGGGACACTGGTAGCTTGGGGGCTTTTTAGCATCCAATGCCCCTTGTCATGGGCTCCATGATACTGCCTCAGTAGCCTTCCTCACTGAGCATACTCTTGTTGGAAAGCCAATTCTGGACACCCCTCCCCATTGCTACTTCCCACTGCTAGAGCCAAGGATCTTCTCTCACCTCGCTTTGGCTGGGTGCAGCCAGGGGTCTACCCTTGATTTAAATTGTATCAATTAGATGCATGGTCTGTGGATTCTGACTGTGAAGTTACTGCTCAAATACAGGGGCCACCTAGCAGTCAGATGGGCTGCATCTGCAGTGGCGGTATGCAAACCAGATGGTTCCTATAGCATGGCCCTGGGTGTGAGGCTTGGTCACTGGGACCTCTGGAGGTGCCTCGGTTCCATGCCATTTTCCATGCCTAGTTCTCAAGCCCCTCGTTGTTCTGAAAGTTCCTGGTAACCTTTCTCTTTTAGTTCAATACCACAAACAGGCTTTCGTTGGTTGCAATTGAGAACTTTGGCTGGCACAAGCTAGATTTAGATGATCCCAGGGAAGAGAGGGGAACATTCCAAGTGGAGGAAACAGCACCAGTAAGGGCTTAGAGACAACGTAGCATCTACCTGTCTCAGTGGAGACAGAGCAAGGGAGAGGCCTGGTCGTGGTAGTGCTAAACAGCCAGGAACAAAAGGGAAGACAGAACTAATGTGTGTTGATTGACTACTTGCGTGTTGGTGACATTTTTTCCAAAAATTATTTTAATCAATCCTCACCATCCTTTGAGGCTATAGCATTAAGAAAGATAAGGAGTTGGGATTTAATATTAGCCCTTGAGAAAATATGGTGGGAATTTCAGGGCCTACAGTGAGGCAGTGGGAGAGATTATTTTGGGCCAGAAGGACCCTTCGTTCCTGTTTCTCAAGGCAGTCTGGAGAGCTACCTTCTTGACACATGTGTATGTTTTACCTATGAAGTGACAGGTGAACTAAACAACATATGATACCAACATGCCTTGTATAAGTTTGGTCTTTTTTTTTTTTTTTTTTTTTTAGTGTAAAGAAACAAATAGCTTTAAGCAAGTTTAGCCAGGTACTAAGCACAAACATTTGACTGGAGTTTATTTTTTTTATTGCAGCCTATCTATTGTCTTGAAGTGGATGTCTCAAAAAGAACATTATGTTCAAAGTCATCTTTTTCATAGCATCATAGTAAATGATTATGGCACCATTCTTAAAACAATTTTGGGTAGGATTCACAGCCCCTTACAACTAGAAGGAAGCCTAGTTTGATCTTTTTATTTTAGAAATAAGGAAATGAAAGGCACAAGAAGGATTTGCCAGTGGTACAGAGATGGGCAGTGGCAAAATAAGGACAGGGAAACGGAGCATCTTAACTTTGGATCCAGTCCTCTCACCACTCAACTGCATTAAGTTTGACATAGATTTTATGAGTACAGTAAAATTTTATGTCTAGCTGGGGCTCCTTGGGATCACCTTCTTAGACAGCCTAAGTAATCGCAGGCTCTTATATATCTTCTTCCAAGAGCATTGTTCATAGCAGTGACAAATATCAGAACATTAATCATATTTTCATTTTATATAGATCAGGTAACATGAGCCTTGTACATCACATTATTCCTGTGGTCATTTCCTATTAAATATTATGGTATCGAAAGAATCGAAAATCCATTTTTCAAGTGGTTCTCTGTCCCACGGAGCACCTGGCCCTCCCACATTAAAGGCTTCAGCTTGTGCAAAGCTCTCAGTTTGTACCCGATCCTTCTGGAAAGCTATCCCTGAGCAAGTCTCTTGATGGGGGTTTCTCTTACATACTGTCACACTGAACTGAAACTACCTGTTAATTTCTTTTTGCCTGTTGCTCTAAACTAGAAGCTCCATGAAGGCAGGGAGCATGCCTTGTTCACCAGGATTCCCTGGCATTTAGGACAGTATACAATGGAACACAATAAATGTTTCCCGCATGAAGCATCTGTACTTAACCAAAATTCAAAGAAAAATGATACACTGACTGTATTAGATATTTTTTAAGGCTTTCATGGTGAAAGATGTTTGCACCCAATGTTGACTCAATAGGGAGCCAGGGGCTAGGAAGAATTGTGACTTTTTTTTTTTTCTTCTTGAGACGGGGTCTCACTCTGTCGTCAGCCTGGATTGCAACAGCAAGATCTCGGCTCACCTCAACCTCTGCCTCCCCGGTTCAAGAAATTCTCCTGCCTTAGCCTCCTGAGTAGCTGAGACTACAGGTGCCTGCCACCACGCCTGGCTAATTTTTTTGTATTTTTAGTAAAGATGGGGTTTCACCATATTGGCCAGGCTGGTCTCGAACTCCCGACCTTGTGATCTGCCCTCCTTGGCCTCCCAAAGTGCTGGGATTACAGGCGTGAGCCATCACACTCGGATGAATTTTGATTCTTTAAGAAGAGAGTGCACTTGGTAGCTGGCAGAAGGGTTAGGGATAACTTGGGCAGAGCATGGGGTAAATCCAAGGAGAGTTGATTCTGCAGAATTTCTCCAACTCTGCCCATAGCTCTCCATGGAAGTACAATTGTCACTTGTACCTAGCTCTCAGATGATTCCTCACCTGTAGCGGTGATTCCTTACCTGTAGCAGTGATACACAACATGATGCGTCCATGCGCTTCTCCATGGCTGGACCTCACGTCCTGAGCTGTCTGTCACATAATTCTGTCCTGACAGTGCCCTTACCTGACCAGTGGCTCCCTCTGTCATCCCAGGCTCTCAGCCCTCCTCTCCCAGAACTTTTTTTTTTTTTTTTTTGAGACGGAGTCTCGCTCAGTCGCCCAGGCTGGAGAGTGGTGGCGCGATCTCGGCTCACTGCAAGCTCTCCCTCCCGGTTCATGCCATTCTCCTGCCTCAGCCTCCTGAGTAGCTGGGACTACAGGCGCCCGCCACCACACCCGGCTAATTGTTTTGTATTTTTAGAAGAGACGGGCTTTCACCGTGTTAGCCAGGACGGTCCCAATCTCCTGACCTTGTGATCCGCCTGCCTTGGCCTCCAAAAGTGCTGGGATTACAGGCGTGAGCCACCGCACCCAACCTTTTTTTTTTTTTTTTTTTTTTTTCCTTGAGACAGAGTCTCCCTCTGTCGCCCAGGCTGGAGTGCAGTGCAGCAATCTCGGCTCACTGCAACCTCCACCTCCCTGGTTCAAGCGATTCTCCTGCCTCAGCCCCAAGCAGCTGAGACTACAGGCACCCACCACCATGACTGGCTAATTTTTGTATTTTTAGTAGAGACAAGGTTTTGCCATGTTGGCCAGGCTGGTCTTGAACTCCTGCCTTAGGTTTTCAGCCCGCCTCCGGCTCCCAAAGTGCTGGGATTACAGACATGAGCCATTATGCCTGGCCCTCTCCCAGAGGTTGATGGTCTACTTGGGACAATAACGTTTCTTATTGATTCCTGGGCACACTGGTCCTGCCTCACTCCTTCCCTGTTACGAGTTCTGCTTCCTGTGATAGAAGAAGTTCATTTATAAGGCTGAATCCACTGACGTATCTACTTCCTAATATCCATTTTTAAACTGGCTATTTAAACTGGTTGAATTATTTCAATACTTTTGTCCCTCTCTTTGGCTTTTCTAGTATTTCTCTCAAATTCCATAGTCTGTCTCTGGAATCCACACTGACAGGCTCAGGGCTTTCTGTCCTTTGATAGACCTGCCTAGGGTCAATTGCCTACCTGCCCAATTTTCACTTTGGATTCCCCCGCTAGGGATCTATGAGCCTTTATTATGTTGGGACATTATATTCTGCACCTCTCAGCTCCCGTCCTGTCCTCCTGGTAGGTCTAGTTTTTAGCTTTGGCGTTCCCTACCCCTGCCCCAACCCCCCATACTACCTGCCACCCTGCTATAAGTAACTGAGCACAGTTCACTGAATCATGCCCACAATAATCGTGATAGGATTAGAGTGGAATTCAAGAGAAAGGCTGACTTGGGATATGTAAACCCTCTTTAAGAGGAGTCCTTAAAGGACCCTATTACGGAAATGTAAATATAATAGAAAGTGACCTGGTTTGTCATGAACTTTCAAAGCTTTCTGGCTGTCTCTCTTCATTTGATCTGTCAGGGCATGGTAATGTTAACTTGCATGTAATACTTACCCTAAAAGAGGTTAGGAAGCACTGGATTGGAAATGCCTTTTGACCAAATGGGACATGATGTTGATACGGGTTGTATAACATGTTGTGATGAGAGAGCCCCTAGGAAAACATATGGAAACAAAGAGAAACTAGCTTACAGCATTAATACTAGGCTTTCTTCCTGGAAACCAGGAGATAGTATGTGGCAGGGTCTGGACCCTGCCTCCATGAGAGGGGCCATGAAGGACAGGTTAGCTTAGCTGACCTTTCATGGGTTGTTGTAGAAACCCAAGCAAACAGTTCTAACAAATGGCGATCATTCTCCAACAATCAGAGCTCTTATCTAGGAATTAACAAATTTCCTTTCAGAGTTTGCAGACCAGCAGAGACAATATGTGATTCAACACTCTCTATTCAGCCCAGTTATATGGTCTGAAAGAGAGTTGGGCCCTAAAAATTGTTTAATGAAAGAACAGATGCTAGCACCCATGTGCCCATGCACTGTTGCTTCCATACAACTTTCTCTGTGAAGCTTTTCATACGGGGTTTGTAGTTCCTCGGGATTTTTGCTTAGGAAAATGTTCCGGGCTAGGACAAATCTCAGTATTTTGCATGCCCTCCATTCCTGTTCACCAACAGAACCATTCTTTTGAAATCTCACATTCAATTAAAAATGTTCAAATGACATCTTACAGGAGTGATATAAGCAAGCATAATTTTTCCTCTTATTGAAGTTTCTCTGGCTACCTTCTTTGTGAATCCCACGAGTCCTTGATAACTATAATTTCCCATAGAAAAGATTTTGTATGTAATTTTTATGACAGTTCATTGTCAGTGCTCATTTTTCCCAACTGCTGCGATGATATTGAAAGATGAATGTTACTCCCAGTGTTTTGGCCACGTGGAACAACTCCCCTTCCATTTAAAAATCTTCCCTGGTGGATCAGCCCTTGGTCTTTGGCATTGCTGGGTCTTTCCCATTTTTTCCAACTCTCTTTGTGACCCTCTCTGTACCTTTCTTATTTCTCTTTTACGCATGTAACCCATTAAAAAGGTGGTCTTCTGTCTTCAAATTTTCTAGCATTTTTTACACTCTAAATTTTATTACTTGCTTTACTTGCGCCCATTTTCTTAATTACAGTAGCTTTAGTAACAATAACACAAGATAACATTTATGGAGTGATGACTTTATTTCTGATACTGAGGGAGTAATCTCAATGAAGAAATGGAGAAAGAGAGAAAAAAGAACAGCTATGAAATCCGCACCCCAACTCACATCCACTTGCCCGAAGACTTCATTCTCAGCATGCCGTCTTCCCTGTTACCACCCCAACCTTCAGCCCGAGTTGCCTTTACCAAGAACTCTGTGTTGATTCCTTCCCTCACTCCCATAGCTCACACCACCTTGTTAAGCTCAAGGCTTCAGGGAAATAAAAAGTCGCTTATCATCTTGAAAAGGGCTTCTGTCCCTGCTGTGTGGTATAATCGAACACAGGGCACTTATTTCCTGCCCCTTATTATCTGGTCCCTCATAGACATCTAGGTCCGCTGTTTTCTCTCCCTTTTTTAAAACTTGAAGTTCTATCATTGTGTCTATTGACACACACAGCAGAGGGCTTCCTGGATGCCCTCAAATGCCTTTGTGATAGTTCTTACTCCAAAGTGCCATTTCTTAGTGATCCTTGAGTTCAGAGCTGTCATTTGATAGCCTTGGGAACTGAGGCAATCAAAGAGCCATCTCATGTATTCTTGGTGTCCCTCTGCTTCCGAATAATTCCTGCAAACCCACGTACCTAGAAAATGTTAAACCAGAATGAGTGTCTTCTATGGTAAATGCCTAGTTCTTCTTAACAAGATGCATACTTAGAACCTCTCTGCTCATTTCTATGTATTTTCTATGGGAGGCACCAAAGAATGTAGCTACAGGGGACACATTAGAACCCTCCACTCCCCTCAAGCATGCAAAGCAAATGCCATCTAAACAGCAAGAGTATTCTTGCTGAGCAAATGAGTTTTCCAACAAGTCTCATAGCAGCCTCAGCCCTCTTCCACACCCTGAAATCAGAGTGCACGCCCCAAGTGCCCTCCCTGACCTGTGTTGAAAATGGAAGCCTCCGTGTGTCTCTCCAGTAGCTCTTAGCTACTGAATGGACTTTCGTTTCCTTCCAGGGCACACAGCTGTATTCTCTGATCAGAGAAACAGTTCTCACATGCTTTCCTAATATTAACTTATTTTTCGCCAAACTTCCCATCATACCAGATAGTGTATAAACTTCCCATCATACACAGCTCATCATCGTGACAAAGCTTTAGATGGAAAAGAAAGAGAATCATCCCTTAAGCCGTGGCCTTTCTATGTGAGGTACTTATGTCCTCTCTGTTCTCAAAGAGTACACAGTCAGTGGTGGAGTCCCATGTGGGACATGGTATCTGTGGAGTGCCACATAGCATGTGAGTATGAGTCCATGGAGGGATGCATACTGGAGCAGAGCTATGCGCCACACACCCAGGGTACACTGAGTAGGGGCACTGAACTCTGCCTGGATGAGCCAAGAAAGGAAGGACAGGGTGCCAGAGTGAAAGACCTCAAAAGGAGTAAGAGGAAAACAGAGTCTCAAAGGGTGGAATTTGAAGGATGGGTTCAAAGGAGTCTTGAAGGGGTTTCAGAGAATAAACAAGACTTTCTCAGCAAGAGAAAGAAGTAAGGGATAAAGAAAGAAAAGGTAGGTGGGAAATGTAAAAGGCATTGATAGATTTATAAGTGAACAAAGAGGATAGGGTAGATTAGGGCCTGAAGGGGGACCAGGTCAGAGATCCTGGCAGGGAGGAAAAGATAGGGAGTGTGGTAGCTCGTATAAAGGTATTAAGCATTTCTGCTCATAGCTCCTGGGAGCCACCAGAATGTTTTAAGGAGGGACTTGGGTGGATTAGATGTGTTTATTGGACCTCTCCAATACAGCCTCCAGAGGGCATCTGGACCTAGGAGTGACGTGACCAGGCAGTGACAATCCGTAGGTTGTGGCTGAGTTCAAGTAGGGCCAGACCTAGCTTGATAGGCATGAGGAGATGAGGGACCCGATGTTTCTGAAGTGGACAATGTACTTCTGAATGTTTAGATTCTCATTAAAAGACAATGGGGCTCTGTTGGCTCATGGCTTACGAACCTAAGGAATCCTCTGTCTCTATACACAGAGCTGGAAGCAGGGACTAAACTGCCTCATGAGGGCTGTTTCTTTCTCTCTCCAATCTCTGGCTCTATTTCTGTGTTTACCCAGGCCACCGCACTCCTGTAAAAAACAACTTCATCTAAAGAAGTCCTCAGCATATCCACCTCCACCTCCACCATCACCTCCGTCTCCACTACCACCACCACCTCCACTTCAACCACCACCACCACTACCTCCACCTCCACTTTCACCTCCAGCTCCATAATCACCTCCACCTCCACCACCTTCTCCACCTCCTCCGCCTCCACTGTCATCACGACCACCACCCCCTCTACTTCCACAATCACTACTACCTCCATCTCCACCATCTCCACCTCCACCACCACCTTCACCATCACCACCACCACCACCAGCACCCTACCTCCTCCTCCTCCACCTTCACCTCTACCACCTTTACCACATTCACCACATCACCGCCACTACCACCTTCACTCCTACCACCACCGCCTCCTTCACCTCCATCTCTGTCTCCATCACTGCCACCTCTACCTCCATCTCCACCACGACCTCCTCTGCCTCTTTCCTGTCCTCTACCACTTCCACCACTACCACCAGCTTCACCACTAAAAATAAGTACCATGCTCCAACTTGGTGCCAAGGACTGTACTGGGTGCTGAGGGCACAGAGATGAACAAAGCAGACGAAACTATCTGCCCTGAGAAGTCACAGGAATTCAGGTGAGTCAGGGCACATATGTTAAATGGTAATATATGTTTTGTTTTGGCACGAAGGCAGGCACGACTCTGCTTTTAGATTATCCTTTATCTTTATTGATTCCTCGCTTTCTCTCTTCCCTAGCTCTGGCCACATTTCCCTACAGCTGTCATTGCTCTGAGAGTTTTCATTGGCACAAGACAGAGAACAGCTGAGCCTGCAGCTTCTATTGTCACAACTCTTTGACCAGCAGAACAGGAGAAAACTATACCTGACAGGACTCCTTCCAAAAGATTCAGCATCAATTCCATCCCAGCATCTTCCCCAGACCACAGGACCAAGTATCCCTGCTGCCTCACGACCATTACACCTAAAGACGCAGTATGTCTCTGCGAGTCTTCCCTGAAGCCTGGACCGCAATGAGTTGCCTTTCCTCCTAATCCTGGAGAGAAGAGAATTTCTGAATAGAAACCGGGGACCTTATTAACTTCAGAGAGAGAGAGAGAGAGAGACACTGAGTTTCAGGTCATGCCAGATTTATTACATAAGTGAGCAAGCCATAAAATGTAACGGTTTGCATTTGCTTTGTACTACTCAGTACCTGAGGGGGGAAAATTGATGTAAAACTTTTCATAACTCTTTATATTTTTGTCACACCACTAATTGATATCCTTTGCTCATGAAGATGGTTGGTACCTCATTTAATGTTATAGTTTTATGAAAGTGACAAGTGACAGCGTATGTGTTTGGAACCAAAAAGTTACCTTAGAAGGCATGGGGTCCCAGTTCCTTGTTTTATACATGAGTAAACTGAGGTAAAGGAGAAGTAGTTCTCTTGTGATCACAAAACGGCAGAGCTCTGTAAGAAGTTGACCCTTAGTGCAGTGCTCTTCTATTAATGCAATCAGGTGCCTGAGCAGGATTGGCCAAACCTGACCTTGGGGGCCCATTCTGGGTTGCCTGGACAACAAGCTAGCCAGAAACAGCAGCTCTTACTCTTAGCAGGAAAGGGCTCTTCCTCACACAGGGGACTGCAATACCTTACTACCTGAGTTCTCCAGGTGTGCACAGCCAGCATTCCCTGACAACTGCAAAGTGCAGGCCCCTAAGAGCCTGATGCCTGAGGATGACCAGCCCACCCCATCCTCCTCAAGGCTCTTCTTACCCTTGCCCTGTCAAAAGAGACCTACATGGGCTGAGCACCAGGTGGCTCACACCCGTAATCCCAACACTTTGGGAGGCCAAGGCGGGCGGATCACTTGAAGTCAGGAGTTCGAGACCAGCCTGGGCAACGTGATGAAACACTGTCTCTACTAAAAAACAACAACAACAACAATTAGCTGGGCATGGTGGTGGGCACCTGTAATCCCAGCTATGCGGGAAGCTGAGGCAGGAGAATCACTTGAACCCAGGAGGCGGAGGTTGCAGTAAGCTGAGATGGCACCATTGCATTCCAGCCTGGGTGACAGAGCAAGACTCAGTCTTAAAAAAAAAAAAAAAAAAAAGAAAGAAAGAAAGAAAGGAGACCTACATGAGGCAGGATGGAGGGCAGAGCTGTGGAGGATGGAATGGTCACTGGAACACAGAATCCCACTGCAAGTCCTACAGCTTCTCTAGGGGACACCTAGAAAACCGGGGGGGGCCTTGCTTTCTTTTTGCTACGCTTGGCCTGATGTAAGCTTTGCCCAGTTACATGTATTCTTAGCCCACTTTGTGTGATCTTTTGAAATGTGTTCCCAACCCTGACACCTGACAGGTGGAGATCCATCTGAGACCTACCTGGCAAGGCACACACTTAACCTCTGACCTTTAATTTTCTAATTGCAGACTAGAATTTTATCTGCTTCTAACTACTTAATAGGTTTCCAGAGAAAAATCGACGTGTGCTTTACTTATGGGCGAGGTCCTTGAAATTAAAGCATTTTATAATTCGGAGCATTCGGGTTTTGTGCCTTCATACAAGAAGCTCACTTGGCGAAAAAGTATCACCTCATTCTCTTGCTAATTCTGGGCTTATCGCACATTCAGTGTTCCATAAAGCTTGACTTGAAAGCTTTCATTTCAAACCCAATTCATATGAATTAGTGTACTACTCAAAATGTCAGGCTGCTAATAGGACATACATAGCAACTGGAAATTGAAATAAGTGCATTTTAATAGAGCTCAGAATTAGGATTTCCTCTATCTGTTTGACGTAGTATCACAATTATAATTGAACATAATTTTTTTTTCTGTTGGCATTTAATGATCCTCTATCTAGAATTATCAATCATCCCGAATTCATTATACCATTTTTCAGCGGTAAAATGGAAAAAAAGAAAGAAATTCAAAGCTTTTTAATTATGGTATGAACATGGAAAATCATGTCACCTAATACAGATTAAGGGAGAAAATGGATGGATCTAAGATTACTCAATTGATCATTCTATCGAGTAACCAGTGAGATCCCATGTAATTATGGCATTACATAATAGTTATTTTCATTATGTTTAATTTTATATGAGAAAAGTTTTATGTTACCTTTTAATCTCTAAAATATAGTCTAGTTAATTATTGACAATTATTACTTTTTGAGCTTTTGATAAAAGTGAATTTCTTCTCCAACCCAAATGCAATATTTATGAATGCTTGGCTGCCCTTAATATCAGTTTTTCAAAAAGTTGTGGACATTTTAAAGTAATTACTGCTCTTCACTTTAGCTTTAGTTGAACACCTGGGTCTGACTTGAGGGCTCCAAACATAAAATAAAATAGTACAAAAGTCAGAACTGCTGTCAAAAAACAATTAGAAAGCATTGTATTCTGGGCCATGAGGAAGTTAGATTATTCAGTTTCTAATTCCTGTCAGGCACAGATTCTAATATGAATGTGGACATTTCCTTATTATCGTAGATTTCCTAGACATAACCCTATTGTCAGTGATAGAATTCTTCCAGGCTGTTCCTATTTCTGTTTATAACCAGAAGAGGGCAGTCAGGTTCCATGATTCAGAGATAATTGCCACTGCCTCAGAAAGTAAGATTTCCAATAAATCTCAATGATTGGAATTACGTTTTCCTTTAATAGTATTAAAGGGCGTTTATAATTACCTGAAGAGTTTTCTGCTTTTATTAAAAACCTTACAACCTTGGTGAGATGGACACTTTCTTCAAAAGAGATGAAATGAAGGTATATATTTATTTGGATTATTTCTCCCTTGAACATGTTATTTCTGTTCCTATCAGCCTTCTTCAACATTTAGCTGGCACATGAGGGAGGGAGAAAATCTTATCATGTAGATAGTCCTCCTAATTTATAACTTTGTGGCATTTTATAAGTAAAAAGATATCTATTGTACAAGGCAAAGAACATTCATCAGCACTTCAGTTTCAAATCAAGAAGAGAGAGAGAATTAGAAAAAAAAAAGATTCACAGCAATTGAAAAACAGATATCTGCCAGAGGAACTTAAAATTCCAAAACACTTCTAGCAACACTTACTTACCATGAGAAAAAAATAATTACACTTCTAAAATAAAACTTTGAGTAAAACAATGTTAGAAGAATGTGATGTATTTTTTTCCTCCTGAGATCTCTTCTATAAGCAGTTGAAAGAAAATAAACATAAAGCTGAACACAAAATACAACAAACATTTCTGCTACCTTTTTCTCTTCTTTATTAGTAATAAAACCAGAGACTAGAAACCCCCTAATTTACTGAAAATAGAAAAACAGATATATCGGAATGAAAGCTTGAGTATTCAAAAAATAAATTATTTTTAAAGGGCCAGCCTTAATTTTAACATATAAGAAAAAGTTAATTTCAGGACGTAATTTCAATAAAACGATAGCCACAAGAGTTAACCATAATTCAGGCTACTTATTCTTGTTTGTATTTGAAATGTTCCCTCTGTGTTAATAGTGCTTCTAATGCTATTTCTAGGTGATTGTGCAGGGAATCAGTACTGTCTGATGCGGACAAATATGTGTATACTTGTGTTTATATGTAAACTATATATATATACGTATGTGTCATATGGCTGTGTACATTTCTATCAGCTACCTGCCTACAAAATAGCTCTCTCATGGTTATGGAATTCACCAGCCCCGCATGCACTCCTCTTGAGGCCTGTGGATTAACCAGGAATCCAGGTGATTTTCTATTTGATCCATGCCTCCAGCCCCTGGCCCACCGTTCCTGTAGATGCTGCCTCCAGAAAGAGCTGCCTCTGAAAGTGACCTTGCTCAGCAAATGCCTATTGGCTTACACAGAAGTAGCAATGCCTTTCCCAGAAGAGGCGCTGCAACTGGTGCTGCTGTAAAGATGGGTATGGGATCTGGGGTGGGAGGGAAGAGAGAGGAGGGAAGCAGCTTGCCAAGTCGCTTGGGCTACTTATAAACAAACTCAGCCATTGTTTCCCAAACCCTTTACAGTGGAGAGGGGAGCTGGACACACACTGTGTCCTGGACTCTATTTATGTTCTGTGCTTGGGGAGAGCTGCTTTTAAGAGACTGATTCGGTTTGGAAGATGATTTCCATCAGCTACTTTTAAAAGATACGTGCTATTTCAGCACAAAGCTGAAGCCCCTGTTAGAGCTGCACTAGGGATTAGGAAACGGCGTGTATTTTAATGCCTTATGAATAGGAGTAGCTGATAAAAGAGGCTCTTGTTACCACTGCTACATTTAAATGTGAAAAGCAGCTGCTTCTAGGGAGGAGGGGGTAGGGGAGAGGAGAAGAGATATATTATTTTCATAGGGATTTAATTTTCAGACTACACTGAAACCATAGAATACCAATGGCCATTCTCTTATCGGCAGCTCTCTAATCGTACTGAGATCTGTAAGATTGTGGAGAGGGAAGGAGAGGGACTGGGAGGCAGAGAAAGGGATTGTGTGTAGCGATGAGGCTGGCCGTTTTCATCTGCGTGTATGTTTTGAACCTCAGATCAAAACGCACGCGTGGTGTTTTCTTCTTCTCTTAGGAGCATTAACCCTTTAAACTTTCAAAATGCCAGCCAGTTAAAGAGTTTGATGCAACTATGCTGTCTTCAGAGCATGCAATTTTTCGATGGGCCCTGAGAATAAGATGACCACTGAGACCTCATTACAGAATATGGACCAGGTGTACGCGCCTGTGGCCAGGTCGGGGCAGGGGGCATGAAAGAGGGTCTCTTCCAACATTTCAGAGACAAGGATTTCAGGTAGAATCCAGGACGTATTATGAATCCAACAGAGAAAGGCTCTTTCTGCAAATCTTATGACCACCGGAAGCTGATGATATAAATAAGACCTAGGATTATTAAACAAACTAGCAGGTATTTGCCAAATACTATCAGTATTTGAAGAAATACGACTAAAGAATATAGATATTTTGAATGAATGAATCAATCTGGGCACCATTATTTTTCTCTCCATATTATCACTTAATAGCCTGGTTTTGTTTATTCTCATGTTGGACTTATTGAAACTGATCGCTAGTGAATTTTCTGTGTGTTTGACCCCTGACCTGCCCATGAGGTTTCTAAAGTACTTCTTAAAAAACCTAGGGTTTTGCTCCAAGACATTGTGAAGACATCTTTCTGATAAGAATTAGTTGCCTTTGGCCGGGCGCAGTGGCTTACATCTGTAATTCTAGCACTTTGGGAGGCCAAGGCGGGCGGATCAAAAAAAATTAGCCAGGTGTGGTGGCGGGTGCCTGTAGTCCCAGCTACTCGGGAGTCTGAGGCAGGAACGTCACTTGAACCCAGGAGGCGGAACTTGCAGTGAGCCGAGATCGCACCACTGCACTCCAGCCTGGACGACAGCGAGAGACTCCATCTCAAAAAAAAAAAAAAAAAAAGAATTAGTTGCCTTCCCCATAACTACTCTTACTCTTTCTAATTTTTTGTAGTATTGCCATTATCCAATGGTTTAACTCCAGAAGTTAAAGGATTAAAAACAAGTCTGGGAGTGATAAATCGGTAGTTCTCACCTAAGTTATAATTAAGGGTAATTCACATGTAGAAGATGGTTTGACAGCTCTAGCCCACGTGCTTAGACACTTGAATCCCAATGAATCATTTGAAGCCAAAGTATAACCCCGGCTGTCTTTGCACATGATGTGCAGGTGGATAGACTTTGAGACCGTCCTCTATCAACCAAGAGCAAAAAGAGAAAAGAGGAAAAAGGGCAAATATCCAGCTTCCCTGCCACACATCAGAAAGCCAGAAACAGGCGGCAAGATGCTTCCTGCTCCCAAGCACAACCAGGCTGGCCGCCCACAGCCACCCTGCACTGCTCTCGCACCTGCCCAACCTGTGCTTGTAATCGGACAGGGGGCATCCCTGGCCTGGGTGGTCCTGCTGGCTAGGCTCTGAGTGGTCAAGTTCCTGGCAGCCTGGGTTACTGGAGAAAGCCACTTTGGGATATTAATCACAGCAAACGAATGCGCTCTCCTGGCTCATGCATGGGGCACATGCCTAATCACGGGCTGAATAATGTTAAAAGAATGTAATTTGCTTCCCCTAAAATCTCTTCTAGAACAGCTACCGCAATCGGGTTCAATCAATATTTTGATTTCCTGACCCAATTTCTCTGCACATGAAAAGTAAAAGCCAGCAATCCAGCTTCACCAGGTACCATTGCAAAGCGAGTAAAAGAGACAAGCAGGGAGAAAGAGCTGGAGCCAGCACCAACAAGGCCGGGCAAGTCGAAGGAAGTGGCTCAGCACCCAATTGTGAGCTCTGAGAAAGCTGTTGCTGAAGGCTGGTCTGATGCCTCCGGCACTGATGCCCATCCCTGTTCTCTGCTGCAGTCGCCACTGCTGCTCCAGCCAACATCTCCGCTTGCTTCTGAGCTCTCTTGCTTGCGTTCTTCCGTTTTGCCCCTCCTCTTCCCCCTCTCCTTCTTCTTTGACTTTTTTTTTTTTTTTAACTTGGCTACGGAACATTAAGTTTGACGAAGCGAAAGCAATTCAACATCTTTTAACTGAAGGAGGTTGATTTTCATTTGCTACCAAATGGCTCATTTTTACCTTTTTAGCTCCTGGAAGAGTAAAAAGTGAGAGGTCAGCCCTGCATCACCATGGCAACCCGGGCAGCTCGGGCCTGGAGCAGATGAAGGGAGGTGATAATGGCAGGGAAGATTGTCCCCTTACTTGGCATTTTTCTCCCCATTCAGGGATGTGCCTGGATGTATAAAAACAATCATGTCGTTTTAGGACTCTAAGTTTTAAAATTTGGCTGCTGCATTGTCTGGTCCAGGGCTGGGACCTGGTGTGGATCTGTGTGGGTTTCGGATGGTGTTTGAGCCCATCCTTGCCTTCATCAATGCCCACAGGGTCTTCAGTCCCACCAGCCACATCATGCATGTCCTACCCTGGCAAAATCTGTCCTTCCATGTAAGAATCCACCTGCTGGTGTCCAGAAAGCCAAAAATCTTAACGAAGAGAGAATCTGGCCCTTGTTGGTGGAAATCCAGTATAGCAGGCCCCAGACTCAGCACATGGCACCTCACTGGAGCCTATCTGAAAAAAGGTCTTAATGCTATTCCAGAAGAAAGAGAAATCAAAATGACAAGCATGCCGCAATGGCCATATTCAACCCTGCAGGAGAAGCCTGGGTCAGAGCAGGAAGGAATTTCCATGACCTCTCAGCTCATGGACTCAAATGTCCACCACATTCAGCCCAATGCAGTCCTTGGTAAATGGGAGAAATAAAGAACATGCATTAACACCTGTGGGTACCAGGCACTGTGCTGGGTTTTGTAATATCTTATTGCCTCTGAGCCTCTCAGTAATTGTATGAGGTGGGTGGTTTAATTTTTTAATCTTTGTTTTACAGATTACGAAGTTTAGAAGTGTTAACAGATGTGCCTAGGGTCACAGATTCTGACGTGGGCTCCGTTCATGTTCTAACTGGGTCCTCTCTCCAGGATAATTAATATTATCCCAATGTATGAATAATAACTTCGTGTCAGAAGACCAGAGTTGGTGCTTTTGCTCATTAGTTCATTCATTGAGTTGCAATACAACTATCAATTAGCTGCTGTAATTTCAGGACAATTCAGGTGCTTGAGAGAAGTTGATAGGGAGACAGTGATGCTGTTCTCTAAGAACTGGAGCCAAATGGTTTGAAGCTCAGTGATGTGAACTTGGACAAGACATTCAGCAGGATTGACGTTCAACTTTCTCACCCGTGAAACGGGTGTATTAATATTTATCTCAAGAAGCATTGTGAGTGACCATAAAAGAGAGGCCCTTGTCAGGTGCCTATCAGGGTGCCTGGCTCACTGAGGAAGATGCTCAATAAATATCTGCTCTCATTCCCTTCACCTTCCTTGCCCTCCACCTCACTGCTGCCGTGTGGCATTCTCTTCTGTCCTAGTGTGAGGCTGGTCACCTCCCTGCCCTCAGAGCAACCATGCTCCCTTCTAAGTTGCACGTGCCTGGCATCTAGCAGTCAGGATAGACCTTTAAAGACCCAGCTCTACTCGTAGCATTGGGGAAGGGTTGCAGAGCAGCCAGGCCCAGAGCAAAGAGAGGGAGATGCTTTGCTATTTACAGTCCTCATGGAGGCCATCTCAAAAGAGGAGATTGCCTCACTCCCTTACCCTTCTCTGTCTCTCTTTTAATAGCCCTCAGTGGTGGCTATGAGTTCTCCAGGGTAGTCTCTCTGCTTATCATTTGCGCAAGCTCAGAGGGCCTTGCACAGTTTGGAGCTCTTCTATGCTCTCCTATTCAGGGGAAGTTTCAAAGCCATTTCAGATTGAACTGGGCTTTATAAATCCCAATCAGAGCTGGCCCTGAAGGACTTGACAAGGTTGTCTCAGCTAAATGGCAACTGCTCAATTTTCAGAAAGGAAAGGCACAAAGGATCACTAGGCAATCCTTTCTTTTTAATACAGTTTGAGTTACAGATGCAAAAAAATAATGCAAAAATCATCAGCCTGATCTAATTCTAAGGCTATGGAAAGGGTGAGTGGCATCCATAAAATATTAATAATGTGTTGCACTGGCAACAAAACCTGTGCTGAGTTTCAGCTCAGACCATTTAGCCAAATGTTGCCTTATTATTGTAATGTTCAGAGTCGAATTCTCAGTCACAAGCACCCTAATCTGAAAGACTCTCTTCTTGACTCCACTCCTCTCCTGCCCATCCCTGACCCCACCTCCTTCTCCTGCCCTCCTCATAGATGAAGATGTATATGGTGCGCCAGTGCTGTGAATCACACAGGAAATCAGCCCTTTTGCAGCCAAAAAACTAAGAGGAAAGATAAAACTGACACCTAAATATGATAAAAAGGAGCATATGGCATAAGATCAGGAAAAGTAAAAATTAAGAATAGTGATAGTTCACGCTCAGGTCTGGGCTTAACACTCACGTTATCAAAGATGGCTTCACTGATGTCTCACTGTGCCTTGGCTATCTCTTTATGACGTTGTATTGCTGTGTTTTACTTGTGTGGTTGTTGACTTACTGTTTGTCTCACCAAGATGTAAGTTTCCAGAGGGCAGGCCCTGTGTTTGTCTGGTTTTCCATGGTATTGCTGTGGGGTTCCCTTAGGAAGAGATAGAAGCACGGGGGTAGGGCAAAGAGAAAATCAGTCTCCTAGGCCAAGGAGCCTTCCAGTGGAAATACCCAGAGGTGGGAAGAGTGGTGTAACCTGTGTGTCTGACAGGTAAATTAGCATGAAGGAGACTCTTGGGCTGTGGCCAGGGAAGGCACTGTGCGGTCAAATCCTGAAGTATTATGTGTGTTAGAGCCATGGGGGCGTGGCAAGCTGCCAAGATTAGACTTTAGTATTGAGACCAGAGGGATAATGTGGTGAGAGTATGTCAGTGTTTTTGAAACTGGATAAATGTATTGAGTAGAAGAATGTTTTAAGACTGAAGGATAGCTAAAACAATTTGTCACGGAATATTATTCATCCATTTAGCAAATGCTGATTGAGTGCCAGCCGTATGCCAGTCACCACTCAGGCTGCGAAGATTCACCACGAGACAGGCCCAGGCATGAGACGGAGCTTATGATCTGGAGGAGACAGACAGGCAATGAACACACAATAAGCAAATGAGCAGCAAATCAACAAACAGGCTGATCGTTTCAGAAAATGAATGAGGGAGAGCTGGACAGCTGGAGGAGATGGCAGTGACAGTCAGACTCAGGTAATGGAGAGGCTCATCAGCCACAGCAAGGGATTTGGATTTTATGCCAAATGCAATAGGAAGTGATTGGCGAGTGTTAAGCAGGGGAGGGGCAGGGTCTGATTTATAAAAACATCCTATGGCTTGTTCTATGAAGGATGGGTTTTGGAGGGCTCCAGGGGACAGAGGGAGTAAGAAGATTAGTTGGGGAATGACACAGTACATAATCCAGAGCAGAGATGATGGTGAGGTGGCAAGGCGTGGAATGCAGGACAAGTTCTAGAAGTAGAGACCACAGGACTTATCCTTTGGGATAAAAGGAAAGAAAATAATCTTAGATAAGTCAGTTTGGTCCCAGAGCTACCAAGTGAAGAGTGGTACCAATTTATTAGATTTGGAGACTTGGGGAGAAGTATGTTTTTATGGGAAAGACTCAGGACTTCTGTTTAAATATGATACACCTGGCTATGAGAAAGTATACTGACAAAGTAGCTGGACATGGTGATTCACACCTGTAATCCAAAACTTTGGGAGGCTGAGGTCAGGAGTTCAAGACCAACCTGGGCAACATAGCAAGATCCTATCTCTACAAAAAAAAGTAGCCAGGTGTGGTGGGGCACACATATAGTCCCAAGCTACTCAGGAGGTTGAAGCAGGAAAGGATATTCTTGCTATACTATCAAGTAAAAATGTAGAAAACACAATTACATATACATATGTTAAGGAAGCAGGATATATATTGCTAATATATATTTTTGTGGGTGAATGTTATAGTAAATACTTTCTTCATTATAATTTCTGTATTCTCTAAAGTTTTACAATAAACAGTATTACTTTTTTGAGCTAAAAAATACTTTTAAGTCATCACAGGGAAATGTTATTTTGCTTCAATCTCACTCTTAATTGCTTTAATTCAGCTTTAGACTCTTTCCTAGGAAATTAAAACAAAAAACCCAAAACATAAAAGAATAAAATGTAAGTAGAAACATTAAGATAGATAATAAATGAGACAACAGTAGATAACTACTCTGAAAGATACTAACATGACAGGCCCGAAGTCATCCTAGTGCTCTAGAGAAGAATGAGATTCCAGGGGCTAACAAGGGGGTAAGTTCTTAGTTTCTCATCATCATCTACACGTCTTGAGTAAGACAGAATGAAGATCTCCTGGGGCAGAACCATCTGACTGTATCCCTCTTGCAGCTATCAGCTATCGTGAGTTAAAACAGATTCTTAATGCTGATCCCAGCCTCCTTTTCAACAAGGACCCAGGAAACTATTTTCAATCCATTATTAATGAAGTTGGGGGACCTCCATTCTTGTCAACAAGCCTTGATTTTATTCCATTTCAGATGTTGGAGTCATACTATTTAAATCATCTGAGAATTCATGTTTCCTTTGGGAGCTAATGTATACTGTTTTTACACTTCTACTCTCAGGGACTTAATTCTTTCTAACATAGCACTCTTGTTTTCCAGATGGAAATGAAAAAACTAAAGAACAGTACTCTGCAAATGATCTAGTGTGATGATAAGAGAAAGTAAGAGAGGTCAATTTTGGCTAAATAAAACAGAATTTGATGTGTTTTTTAAAAAATGAAATAATTTTGGAGACGCTCTTGCAATTATGAAATATTATTTACTTGTTTAACAAATCCAGATGAAGAACTTTTCAAAACTCTATGGGAAGCAGCAGAGTCGAGTTGAAGGAGCTGGAAGACGGCCATTAGAATGGTCTTTATTCTTCCACCAGTTGAAGGAGGTTGGAAGATGAATCTTGCTGAACTTCAGCATATGGGAAACGACTTCGGGGCTACCTGAGTATTCCATCTTGTAATGTTGATAAAAGAACCAAATGAAACAGCATGCAGTGAAGAATTTTGTAAGTCCTAAGTAAGTACACAAATGTGATGTGGAATGTGATCATAGCTTTAGAAAGCATTGGCTGTTATTAGAAACCTCTATAATGCCAATAAAGAAAGTTGATAGACTTTCTGAGAATAAATCTGAGAAGTTGTTTCTTCTTTTCCTTCTCTTTTCTTATTCTTCTCTTCTTCACTCTTTCTTATCTTAATTTCCAATTTAAATCATGGGATAAATTATAATTGTTACATATCAATAAAGCATTTTTAGGCTGATGAGTAACAAATGTTTAACTCTAAATCTAGGTTGGACAAACCAATGATCTTCAAATGCTGCCTTCTCTTTTAAGCCCTTCCTAATTGTCCTAAAAATGTAATTGTTCTTGCTTTTCTGAATTTTTATAGCAATTTGTTTGCAGCTCTATTTACTATATTCCTTATTTACCTTCTTTCCAGTTTTCCTCCCACTAGAGTTTTGGTTCTTTGAATAGAGATACCAAATCTAACTCATTTTTCTGTACCTTCAGTGACAATCACAAAACAGGAGCTAAATATAAAATTATTCAATAGAATTCATTTTTTAAAACATTGTCAGGAGCCTACTATCTGCTCAGCTCTTCATAGAGTACAAATCAGCGGCTCCATTTGAAACTACATTCAAATTGTCTCATAAAGAGGAGATTTATAGGAAAGAATTCAAGAGTTTCCTAAATTACTATGTAATTGAAGTTTACATTTTTCAAAACTGAAAGCCAAAATCTATGGATCAACATTTATTTCAAGTAACCAGCAGCACCCAGTTGCGGCTCAAAGAGAAGGATGCTGCCTTATACATCTACCAAGCTCACATCATCAGTACCAGACATGCAGCGGTTTTTCATAGGAGTTTAGAGTTTGACCTGACACTCTCTACTCTTCTACGTTAGGTCCCTTTGAGGACATTGGTTAAGGGCTAATCTTCTCTTTGGAGATTGGCCTTTCTGATTTGTTTGTTTGTTTGTTTTCCTCTCCTCAGAGCCCTCACTCTCTGCTAGCCTTGTCTGGGGTGGCTGCCTTAAGGCCAGGCAGGAGGCAGCAGACAGAGAAATAGTAACTGTCCGAAAATTGTTTATCAAGACTCGCAAAGGAATTCCCAAGCTAGTCATGTTTCTCCTATTTTCCCCCTGGTTTCCAGGTAGTACTAAGGAGCTGTCCAACCTTCCACATCAGCATAGGTTTTTTCCAAACCTGTCTTTGAATGTCCAGGCCTTCCTATATCCTTCCAGTCTCTCAGCTCCCAGGCTGATTGAGGAGTGTTGCTCTGCTTCCTTGTTGCCCAGTTCATCCTCTGTCCTCACCTTTGCCCCACACGATGGCAATGGTTGGGCTTAGCTTTGAGCTGTTGAAATCTGGGAAGAAGTCTGTTCCTCTCCCCAGAGTTTAGCATGCATCCTGTGTCATGTGTACACTAGGTATTCAATAAATATTTGTTGAATAAATAAATTCTAGCAACCAGAAGTAGTCTGTCCTTCCCTTCCTATACTCATGCTTCACTTTCATGCCATTTTCTTAAACCTTAGCCCTTTTAAACTGACATTAGACTTTAGCCTACCTGATATCAGCATCCTATCTAATATATCCAACTGAAGAGAAAGTTGTCTGAGCATAGATTCCAGGTCTCTTTAATTTTTAACCTTTAAAAACTTAATCTTTTCCTCAACAAAACACTGTCGAGCTTTTCTCATATGTCAGAAATACATAGAAGTTTGAGCCAGTGGTAGATAAGATAGAAACAGAATTCCTACCCTGAAGGACTATGAAGTCTGTTAGAAGAGACCCGCCTCTAAAACATAATGTGAAGATTATGTGAGTGAGATGCAAGCAGGATTCTACGGGAGCACCACATCTTGTATTAATTCATTCATCATTTCTACAGAGCAGCAATTTTGTCAAACCTGGTGTCAAATAGCTGTGATACAAAAAGTTTGGCATACTCTCTGCCTTCAAGGTGTTTAAAAGAGAGTAGCAGAGATTAGTGCTTACCTGAATGGTTATTTTATGACATTTAATGTATTTTAGTGCTAAACATATGCACCCATTGTTATGGAATGCCAAAGAAGGAATGAAGGAAGATACTTGAGTTTAAGTTTTTAAGAAAGGAACAGATTTACCAGGGAACCCTGGTGGGTCAGCTCATGAATGCTGGTGAGCCTTCCTAAAGGGTTTAAGACATCATCTTTTGAAGAACTGGGAGGCACTGATGGTTTTTAAGAGGGGAAATGACATAATCTGATTTGTGTTGCAGATAGATGGCTCTGCTGGAGAATAAGATAGATGGGTTGAGGGGAGAGAAACCCACAACAGTGACAACAGTTGGAAGGGGCTGCAATTGTCCAGGCTTCCAATAAATATTTGTTTTTAAAGAGACCAACATCAGAAGACCCCGCTGTGCATTGAGGCCCCTGAGAAAGGAGTCAAGCATGTCGGGGTGGCACGTACTAGGCAGGAGAGAGACAGCGTTGCCCTGGCCGCCCCTTCATGCCTGGTGTCCCACAGAGGAAACCCCTGAAGCTCAGGCAAGCTCCATGCCCAGAAGGCACTTTATTGATGTCCCTTTCCAAACATAAAATGTAGTCCAAAATTCCAGGATGATTGGATAAATTTGTAAATATAATCAAAACATGTTTTTACTTGGTTTCCAGGATGAAATTGGAAAAATAATGCTCAAGCGGGTTGGGGCTGTAGAAATTCATCTGTTCTTTATTCTGTCTGCTTTTTTTCTGGTTCCAGGCCAATCAGCTTAGAATGAGAGACAGTTAGAACCAGATTATGCAGCCATTTTAGTTCCTAGGGGACTTGGGCTATAGCAAAAATGTGTACCTCAGACTAGACAGGCTCCGTAGCTTAGAACTAGGATACCTGTGGTTGTTAGAAAGACAGAGTACTTTTCAGCTGGGCGTGGTGGCTCATGCCTGTAATCCCAGCACTTTGGGAGGCCCAGGCAGGCGGATCACCTCAGGTCAGGAGTTCAAGACAAGCCTGGCCAACATGGTGAAATGCCGTCTCTACTAAAAATACAAAAATTAGCCAGGTATGGTGGCAGGTGCCTGTAATCCCAGCTACTTGGGAGGCTGAGGCAGGAGAATCACTTGAACCCAGGAGGCAGAGGTTGCAGTGAGCGGAGATCATGCCATTGTACTCCAGCCTTGGGGACAAGAGCAAGACTTCATCTCAAAAAAAAAAAAAAAAAGAAAGAAAGAAAGAAAGAAAGAAAGAGTACTTTTCTTCCAATCTGAGATCTAGAAATAATTTCAGAGGAGACTGGATAACTCAGATGTCTTGAGTATCGTTTTACGTGTCCAAAGTGTGTGTTACTATGAGGCTTACTCTGACCTCTCAGAACCATTACAAGCCCACCTTGAGGCCCACTCTCAGAATGATATGATCCAGCCCCCTCAGGCTTCCCTACGCCATGGTGTTCATGACATCAGAAGTCAAAGAGGTCATGGGTATGACTTTGACACCTGGAGGTTGGTACACTTACACTGATAAACCTAATTCCTTATGAGAAGCTAGATGAGTTAACATGAATGATGAAAGGAAAACAAAGAAAAAGCAAACAGCATGCTTATGACAGCAGTTCTGCCAAGTGCTTCTCATGGATTGTATTGATTTTTCACAACAATTTACAGAGATTTGTTACTGCCATCCACCCCCTTTTTACAGAGGAGGATACCGAGGGCTAGAAACATACATGATTTTCCCAAGGTTATCAGCCAGTAATTTATTGAAGGAGCCAGGATGGGAACACAGATGGTCTGACTCCACAACTAGGCTGTAAGGTGAAGTTACCATCGAATGTTTAGGGAGAAGTTATGTCATTTCAGTTGTAGCTAGTTGAACTTGTGTCAGGAGATGAAACTTATAGTGATAGAAGGAGGAAACCAAGACACATGACTGTTAGAGAAACAGTTCCTGCTCTTCATTTAGCATTGTTATATTAACAAGTAGATGCAAGGCAAAGTGCTGGTAAGGCTGTCAAAAATCAGTGCAGCATGCAGCCACAGAACCAAGACGTTTTCATAAGAGCTATCAAATGCAATACTGATGATCAAGATTATTCCAAGAATCAAAGAAGCATCCTTTGACAACATTTCTGAAAGCAAAATAAAAAAATGTTTAGAAAGCTGCAGAACCCAGTGAAATTCAGGCAGGAACGTTGACCTTGGAGGTCTTTCAACTGGGCTGAACACTTTATATTCCATGGCTCAGAAGTTCCCTAGCTTGTGTTTGGGAAAAAAACGTACAACACCTGGGATCTCAGCCTTTGTTTTTAAGCTCTAGAACTGGGTGTTCAACCCTTTTCTGTAGGTGACTAGATAGTCACTTTGCAGGCCATAGAGACTGTGGCATGACTGCTCAGCTCTGTCTACTGCTGTAGCAGGAAAGCAGCCATATATCCTAAGGAAATGACTAGGCATGGCTCTATTCCCATATTATTTTATTTACACAAACATGTGGTGGGCTGGATTTGGCCTGCAGGCCATAGTTTGCCAAAACGCCTCCATAACCATGTTAAGGTGGGGTCAGAAAAGAAACTAGTCAGTCATTGAACAAATATTTAGTAAGTGTCCAATGTCCACGATAAGCCCCAAAAAAGTTCACAGTGTAATATAAGAGACAGATGTATAGGAAGTTAATTACAATAACTACAAATACTAGGACTGGAGAAATTTTAGGTGCTGAAGCCTTCTGAAGGAGAGAGCCGATAAATTCTCCTGGGAAGTTAGAGCAGATTTCATGGAGGGAGTGACATTTTAACCAGGCCAACCTTTCTCCCTTCCGCACCCTTGGGAGACAATTCTACTTCCACACTATTCTCATCAACCCCAGACACGGCATCAGAATCCTACTGAACACAGACTCAGGAAAACATTGCCAATCAACATTGCATTTACCAAGTGAACTGTAATCTATTTCCACTCCACTTCTTGAAGGATGGATAGGAGATCCCTAGCAAAGAAGCAAGACGTTAGATAAAACAGGCACATGGCTGGTGGGGAGAGGGGGTGGATAGAAGGCAAGGACTGCCTGCAAAATGTCACTGAAAAAGAAGCATGTAATTAAGAGCAGAGAGGTGCCAGAGGTAATGATGGATGTGAGGGCTGTGATCAAGGTCTCTATGTAGTGCTGTGATTCTGCTTATAGTTATAAAAGTCTGGAGGCAATATAAAAGCTAAAGGAAAAGGCAATCTTGGGGAGTAATGGAGAGCAAGAGTAGCACTGTTTACAGGCTGCTATAATAATCTGCAAGAAATAACAAATGCCGGGCATGGTGGCTCATGTCTGTAATCCCAGCGCTTTGGGAGGTTGAGTCAGGAGGATCACTTGAGCCAGGAGTTGGAGACCAGCCTGGACAATGTAGTGAAACCCTGCCCCTACAAAAATTTAAAAATTGGCCAGGCATGGTGGGGTGCACCTGTAGTCCCAGCTACTCCAGAGGCTGAGATGGGAGGATCGCGTGAGCCTGGGATGCGGAGGTAGCAGAGAGCCGAGACTCCAGCCTGGGTGACAGAATGAGATGCTGTCTTAAAAACATTAAAAATAAAAGGCTGGGCGCGGTGGCTCACGCCTGTAATCCCAGTACTTTGGGAGGCTGAGGCGGGTGGATCACGAGGTCAGGAGATCAAGACCATCCTGGCTAACACGGTGAAACCCTCTCTCTATGAAAAATACAAAAAATTAGCTGGGCATGGTGGCAGGCGCCTGTAGTCCCAGCTCCTCAGGAGGCTGAGGCAGGAGAATGGCCTGAACTCGGGAGGCGGAGATTGCAGTGAGCCGAGATCGCGCCACTGCACTCACTCTAGCCTGGGAGAGAGAGCGAGACTCTGTCTCAAAAAAAATAAAATAAAATAAATAAAATAAATTTAAAAAATGAAAAAGAAAGAAAAAAAGAAAGAAGAGAAAAACAGAAATAACAAAGATCTGTCCTAAGATATTGGTGATAGGGATAAAGAAGAGAAAATCTATTTTAAAAAATCACTAAAGGCACAGAATTTGCAGTTCTTGGCTATCAAATTGGACATGGTACTGAGAGGTAGAAAAGAGCACAGGATCATGTCGCATCCTTCAATCAGATCCGTGACTAGATTGGCACAAGAAAGAAACACAATCAAGCCAATACTCCTAATGTCCTGATGTGTAACGAACCCTTGAAAATCCATGCAAAGCAAAACTTTGGAAAGAAAGAAACATCAGCCTTGGAAGCTGGGGAAAACCTCAGCTGATTTTAATTTTTCATTCCCACTACTTTATACTGCAGCCACAGTATAAGCCACAATCGAATAAGACATTGCATCCCTCCCGTTAGCTCATTAGCAATGAAGGATCTGATCTTTAAAAGAAAAATTGGGAAATTTCGCCACAGATGGGAATGCGTTGATTACATGGTGAGGCTGTTACTGCACACTCAGCAACAGGTGCTGCTGTCTTTGTAGAACCCTGTGTTTCAACAGACTCGCTGAGACTCAGACATGGTTGGTGAATAACAATTCACACTGATTGCAAAACCCTGATCTTGTTTTTCTTATATTTTCCTCTAATATCGAGCAAGTGGAGGTACTATGTCCCATTCCAGCTATTTTAAACATGCACTCATGAGTTTTTTCGGCTCAGAAAGTCTTATCTCCAACCATACCTTTTTATTTCCTTGCCATCTTATGGGCCTCAGATAATGTGCAGATCTCCTTGCAACAATGAAGAGAGAATATCCTTCCAGAGAAACACTGGAAACATGAGATGGTTATCTTTAATAATCTGGAAGTGCCTAATGTCACCTTTTGAAAAAAAAGAAGCTGATAAATAACTCCATTTTTTATTTGTGGGAAGTTAGTGATAAATTCAGAGAGTGTGAGCAGATGCAGTGACAGGTGACAGCCCATTTTTATGTGGATGTGTGTATTGAGGGCATCTCTAGCCTTAAAAACATGAATAGAGATTGCAGTTACATGAACCGAATACAGAGAATGCTTGGTGAATTTAAGAGATATGTATTGTAGGTCTTTCTCGCTTTATAGAAGCAACTGCCAGATTGAGTAATATTGTTCTTCCTTGAAAAATACATATGAGACACAACAGCCCCCATGAATGGCCATCTCTCTTGTATTTGTAGAGAAAGAAGAATTCATTTGCAATGCACTTTTTTGGTTTTTTGTTTGTTTGTTTTGAGACCGAGTCCCGCTGTGTCGCTCAGGCTAGAGTGCGGTGCTGTAATCTTGGCTCACGGCAACCTCCACCTTCTGAGATCAAGAGTACCTCAGCCTCCTGAGTAGCTGGGATTATAGGCGTGCACCACCACACCCAGCTAGTTTTTTGTATTTTAGTAGAGACACTTTCACCATGTTAGCCAGACTGGTCTTGAACTCCTGGCCTCAAGCGATCCACCCAACTCAGCCTCCCAAAGTGCTGGCATTACAGAGGTAAGCCACTGCACCTGGCCTGTAATGCACTTTTAATAGTCTTATCCAGTGGAATCTAAGACATGCCTCACCCATTGACAAAAGTTCGTATGTTTACTTTTAGCATTATATTCTTTCAAAAAGGTTGATGGTCATATTAACTTAAATTCTGAAAGTCTATATGTGCATAAAAACTTGCCCCTCCCCACAAAATCATAAATTTTAAAGTCAACCTTCAATTACAATAATTAACAAGCATCTTCAACACACTTCATTCAAACTTCCAAAAATGCCATTTTATTTAATGTTTGGCTCAGTCCTTATGAGGTAATATGGTCTTGGAGAAGTTGCTAAATCTCTCTTTAACTCAATTTTTGCATTTATATATTGGAGATAATTTCAATATGTACCTTGTAAGATTTTCAGAAGTAGAGAGAAATATCTTAAAAATGGAACTCACTGCCTGGAAGATAGCAAGAAAGCAATAAACAGTAACTATGAAGATCCTCGTGGTGACTGCGATCTAAACAATGAAATTAACAATGTCTATAGACCTTCCCAGGCCTGGTGAGCTACTTTAGTTTACTACTATCTTGTGGATACACATACGTTTTTGGAAGATACAAAGCTAAATGCTCAATGACCACTTCCAAAAAAAAATGTATAATGCTCTTGCTCTTTGCTACTGACCCTTTTTTTAATGACCTCTTTACCTCCCCATTCCCCACTTAGACCCATTAGCAGGATGTGCTGCAATATGCTGCTTGTCATCTGTTTCAAAGACACAGTGATGGGATACAGGTACGCCAGATGGATAAATCTAGTGTGACTAATTATTGTGTATTTGCCTTTAATTATTATCATTTATTACCAGAGGAAAGACAATAGAGGTTCTCTGACTTAGAAGAAACTGTTGGCAGCAGGGAAGTTATTCTTGTAACATTAATGAGTACAGCTAAATGTTCATTCTTCGCAAAAAGCAAAGAAAAGACAAGCATATACATATGATGAAGGAAGGAAGGAAGGAAGGAAATGTTGCTTGCTTTAACATTTAATCTAGGTGGTTTTAATAAATATCGAACTATAACTTTAAAAAAAAATTACAGAGAATTTTAGATGTTGACTCAGACTAGCTTTTCTGGTCTTTTACAGAATAGTACTTCAAATAATTAGGCCAACAAGTGTCTGCTGTTAATTGAGGTTTAGAAAAGGAATTTGAACCTAGAAAGTCATCCTCAGATTTTGAAAAAAATAGGTATTTGTGTAAGTATCTCTTCGCTATTTTCAGTTTTTTCACTATCACATAGTATTTTTAAAGATTTGTTCTACTCATTATTTGATTCAATCATAATAAAGATAATTTTAAAAACATAAAAGGAAGGTTTTTAACCTCAAGTTAAAGAACTAAGCACTTAGTGAGAAACTTTCAGGAGAAAAGTTGATACTTGAGTAAACCTCCTTCTTCTTCTCCTTCTCCTTCTTCCTCTTCTTTTTTTGAGACAGAATCTTGCTTTGTTGCCCAGGCTGGAGTGTCGTGGTGTGATCTTGGCTCACTGCAACCTCCAACTCACAGGTTCAAGCAATTCTCCTGCCTCAGCCTCCCCAGTAGCTGGGATTACAGGCCCCCACCACCAAGTACAGCTCATTTTTGTATTTTTAGTAGAGATGGGGTTTCGCCATGTTGGCCAGGCTGGTCTCGAACTCCTGACCTCAAGTGATCCACCCACCTCAGCCTCCCAAAGTGCTGGGATTACAGGCATGAGCCACCGTGCCTGGCCTGAAGTACACTTCTTATTTAGATATGCATATACATTATAGTGGAGCTTAAAATCAGCATACAGGGTTTGACATATTGACATGCCCAAACCCCAAAATAGCTACAACTCCTCTGACACTGGATAATGAATTGGAAGAAATTTTGATGAGAAAATAACACTCTGTAATAACATGGAACTTGCATTTCATTAAGAGATTCATTTCCTTTCAAGTTCATAAAGTGGTCTGTTTTAGATAAATACCTGTGTAGTTGAGTATTTGGTGAAATAAGAACAGAAATAGTAACAATGAATTCTTCTCTAACAAGTTTTAGTTAATGTTAATCTTTCAATAGACCTTGAGTCTGTATTTTCCCCTTTTCTAGAACCTGAAATCATATGGCTATAAGTCTAAAAAAACATTTGGGAGTTTGCGATAGGGAAAAATACAGAAGTAGGTGGTGAAGCTGGAATAGCTGCTTTTGAAATGAAATCATAGGAGTGTAATATGGTTTGATTCTGTGTCCCCACCCAAATCTCATCTCGGATTATAATCCCCATGTGTCCAGGGAGGGAGGTGATTGAATCATTGGGGCGAGATTTCCCATGCTATTCTCATGACAGTGAGTTCTCACGAGATCTGATGGTTTTACATTTGTTTGACAGTTCCTCCTTCACACGCATGCTCTTGCTCCTGTCCCCTTGTGAAGAAGGTGCCTGCTTCCCCTTCCACTTCCACCATGATTGTAAGTTTCCTGAGGCCTCCCCAGCCATGCAGAACTGTAAGTCAATTAAACTTCTTTCCTTTATAAATTACCCAGTCTCGGGTATTTCTTTATAGCAGCATGAAAAGAGACTAATACAGAGTGGAAGCAGAAGCTGAGATGAAGTGCACTCAGCTATGGAACTACCCAGCATTTCTGCTGGGTAGAAGGGAAACAAGCCCTGTACTAAGAGTGGATGTGTGGGGGCAGAGGAACAATTTTTCCATAACAAATGTATGGTGAACATTTTATTTTCATCTCCCAGTACAATTTTCTTCTTTTTAAGAACTCCTTTATTTTCTCTTCCTCCTCGATGAAAACAGTCTTCTCTTAGTCAAGGAGAATAATTAGAATAATAACTAATAATATTTTTTTCTTTTTTTGGAGATGGAGTTTCGCTCTTGTCACCCAGGCTGGAGTGCAATGGTGTGATCTTGGCTCACTGCAACCTCCACCTCCCAGGTTCAAGTGATTTTCCTGCTTCAGCCTCCCAAGTAGCTGGGACTACAAGCACGCCCCACCACACCTGGCTAATTTTTTGTAGTTTTAGTAGAGATGGGGTTTCACCATGTTGGACAGGCTGGTCTCGAACTCCTAACCTCAGGTGATCCGCCCGCCTCGGCCTCCCACAGTGCTGGGATTACAGGTGTTAGCCACTGCTCCCGGCCAATAACGAATAATTATAACTGGAAGCTCTTGCCTAAAATTTGAATCTTGAGTAGAGAAATGAAAGGATTGAAAATAGTTGAGTTTTATTGCACTCTGGTCCTGACTACACTGTTACAGTTTCAAAATCCTGTGTTTCTTGCTTCCTGGCCTCTGAAACTGTGTTGCGTCACAACAATGTATATGTCTTCTTGTAACAGCAGCAACATCTGAGCTCTGCTTGCCTCTCCAAACTTCCTTTGAGTTCCTGATAACCTTTCAATAAATTCCCTTTCCTTTGGTTAGTTAGAATTGGCTTCTTGCAATCAAAGCCACCTTTGAGAAGGAGAATCACTTGAACCTGGGAGTTGGAGGTTGCAGTCAGCCAAGATCGTGCCATTATCAGTATTACTGATAATACTGCGCAATAATGCATAGATGAACAATAATAATAATAATGATAAAGTTACCCATTATGTTTTTCTATCTCATGCATACAAGTTGCCTTGTTCCTCTGGAACCCAAGATGTAAGAGTCAACAGAGACTTTGAAGTTGATTCAGACATCAGATGTAGTTAGTATTATGATAAGTCTTGTATATCACTCTATAGTTGCCATGCCACAACTGCTTAAAATCTGCTTTTATATTTTGATACCATATCTAAAGCTGTAACATGATTGATTCTAAACCAGTATTTGAATATTATAAATTAAAAGAAAACACATAAATACTAATCAGTCATTGTGGCAGAAGTGTTGACCATTCTCTTCTCTCCTTCCAGCATTGCGCCTCTCCATCTATTTGCATTTAGGTGTGTCCATTGACTTGCTTTGACAGATCACATGAGAGGGAAGAGATATATGACTTCTTTTTTTGTAAAAGCATTTAATTGTTAGTGCCCAACTCTCCAAGTATTTTATCTCATTGCTATAACAATGGGAAATTTCTGGTGATGGAGCTCTATTCACCTGAGTCCTCTAATGAGGACTTTTCTAAGAAAACAGTCTTGTCACGAATGTAAAGATGAACATATTAGATGACTGACAAATAAATCACAGACTTAAGCCACTTAGATGCATGGCTCTTATTGGAGCAAAACTTAGCCTGCCCTGACTAATATACCGTGGCATGACTGAGTCAATGTCAGATGGGTAGTTAGGTGAGAACTGAGTTTATTTCTTATTGTGCTGCTAATTAACTGAGTTGTTTTGGGCAAGTCCCATTTAAGTCCAGTTGAATCATTCATTCTCTCTCAAAATTTATTGGTGAAGGGCTGGGGGAAGCAGAGAATGAGGTTACATCAGTGAAAGAATCCTAGGGATTCTCAGTTTCTGAAGGCTGAGTGGAGAAGCTTCCCAGCAGAATGGACAGCCTGAGTGCTGCATAGAGAAGCCCAGAGGTTGGCACTGTGGGACCTTCACCCTAGGTACATCACAGCAGCTCCAAGGCCTTTGTTTTATATCATGTGAGATACATACAATATTTCATGTTTAATTTTTTAAGTTTTCTTAAACAAAATATTTGAAAACCTCTGGATTTCATCATCTCTAAATTTCATGCCTGGTTCTCTAATTCTCCTCCTACTTATTCCTCATTAAAATGATTGGCCATGTTACCCCCTTCATTTATTAGGATCTTTCAATACATCTATCAGAATCTAAGTGATTCCTTTCTGCTAGGGGAAGAGTAGTGAAGTAGACCAGTGCCTGTCATTCTTAGAGATATTTTCATTCTTAACTCACTCAACGACCTCACTAAATGATAATTTACTTCATCCAATGATGTAGAAAATGAAGCTTGAGAAAATACAATTTCTTCATTTTGGAAGAGACAAAGTCAGAAATTTCAGCTGTCTCTGCTGTCTCTGCAGGCCCCTGATCCTTTGCTTGTGGTACACCTTCCATGTCTGTCTTGTGAATCTGAGTATTTCTCCAAATAATGGAAAGTTTGTAAGACATTTAAATAAACCCAATATCTGGAGTGATATAATTTGGGTTAATCTCAGGCCGAATTGTAATCCCCAGTGTTGGAGGTAGAGCCTGGTGGGAGGCGACTGGATCATGGGAGTGGAGTTCTCATGAATGGGTTAGCGCTATCCCCTTGGTGCTGTTCTTCTGATAGTGAGTGAGTGAGTTCTGATTGTTTAACAGTGTGCAGCACCTCCTCCACTCTTTCTTCCTCCTGCTCCTGCCATGTAAGATGTATCTGTTTCCCCTTTGCCTTCCACCATGATTGTAAGTTTCCTGAGGCCTCTCCAGAAGCAGAAGCTGCTATGCTTTCTGTACAGCCTACAGAACCACGAGCCAATTATACCTCTTTTCTTTATAAATTAGCCAGTCTAGGTATTTCTTTATCACAGTGCAAGAATGGACTAATACATGGAGTTAAATTTCCTTTGGTGTTAAACACAGACAATCCAAGTTTTCTTCTCTCTAAACAGAGATTGTCTTTGAACAGTGATTCTAGGAATTTTGTGCTTTTCCCCATTTCTTCTCTGCTATGAATGGCAGTATAGAAATTTGGTTCTGGATTCTCTTTTTTCAAATAACAGTACCTTCAGCCTAATACAGAGCTGTGACCAAAGGAATGAGTCAGCACACAAACATATTTGTTGGGCTGAGACCACACTGTACTCCAATCCTCACTTTCCTATGACTAGATAAATATCTGCCCCCTGGGAAAGGGTGATTTTAAGAACACGTCCTTACTAGTCTATTTATAACAGTCATTAGAAGGGAGCAGATAGTCTTTGCCATTTGTCAGTCAACATTGAGACATAGCAGGTAAAATAGAGATGGGCGGGAGGATTCAATGAATAATAGTGACATAAACAAGATGGCATGAACAGACGGTGCTGGGATGAAGGACATGACCTTTTAAACTAGGCTGAAAACAGAAAACATTATACCATTGAAAACTGAGTGCTTTCAGAGCAGTCATTTATTTTTATGCAGCAGATATTGATTGAGAACATACCATGTACCAGGCACAGTTTCAGGCCTTAGATCAAATAAGGTTTTTCTCTTCTGTCTCTATGGAGACTTCAGTAGATCTAATACACATATGTAATTGAAAAACTATCAATATTTCTGAAAGCTGCTTCCACCAAATTAGCCTGTAGAACTTTACATCTTCAGACAGCTAGGAGAAACCTCAGAAGCCCTCTTCTTCCCAAGGTTAACCTCCATGAGGGCATTGGTCACTGGGTCCCATTGATGAAGTTGTTCACTCTCTGATTTATTCATTCATTTACCAAATATTTATTGAACATATACTATGTGTTAGCACTCTGAGGGCCAGAAGTGTAACCCCAACTGGATGCAGTTCCTGTATTCATCAGGCATATATTTCAGTAGGAGAATCATTAATAAACAAATCAAATAGATTTTAAAAGTATTTAAGATTTTTAACCAATGCTATATAGCTATAAATTTCGGAGGCCTCTTACCTTTACATATGTAAGATGTTTGAATTAAGGAATGGGCCTTGATGTAGTTCCTTGCCAGCTTAGAACATTCATATACAGATTGATTAATAAGTGCATTCAGTTATTCAACAAAGATTTATTGAATTCTGACTGGGATGAATACTATGTCAGGAATTGGATGCACAAGAGAGAATAAGACTGCCTTTCTGGATAAGGTTACTCAGATTCTAGTGGAAAAGACGGACATACAAAAAATAATCACTCCTAATTCGGATTCGAAATGTTTTGGGAGTTCTGGGGACAAAGTGCTTTGGAAGTAAAGCGGGAGAAGCTAACATTGCAAGTGAAATTGGGAAGACCCACAGAGGCACTGACTTGGCAGTTGGCTCTAACATGTTTTGGAACCCAAAGTACTAATTAGATCATTTTATTTCTGAGATGGGTAAAAGGATCAACCAAGAAAGAAAAAAAAATGAATTTGTATCTTCTCAATCTTCCAAAGCCTGGATGCTAGGATTGAGGCAACACTGGGGGTAAACTTGAGATCCCCTTTTCTTTTCGTGATAAATTCATCGTTCCAGTTGCACATATGCAGACTCCACAAAATCTTTGATAATGCTAAAAGGTCTCACACATGCTGGCAAAACCATAAAGACAAAAAGCTGATCACAGTCTCAAGGTGCTTTTTAGTCCTACAATAAACTGTAACATCATTTGTTCCTGGAACAGGGAAACTGGGGTGCAGTACTACCGAGGCAGAGCTGACCTATGCAACTTCAGGTCTGACAGAGAGTCAGGCAGGACCTCCAGTCATGGTAATTGGGTAAACTCATAATAATGATGCTCCAGTTATGGAAACGTTTTTCAAGTCACCATTTTTTCCCCACCAAATTATATCTTTTATTGGTATTGAGAATTTGGGTTCTTTATCATTCCAGAAAGAAACTATGGCTTTGAAACTTTTTTCCAAGCTAGCCCGTCCCAGAAAAAAAATGTTTGTTATAGAGATGTTACTGTTATTTGGGCTCAAAGATAAGCATGCCCCAACCCATCACACTCTTTCAGTCCTCCCACACATCTCATGAGGCTGTCTTATTGGGTAATCTGCAGAATCGTTCTTTCTAGCTAGAGGAACACACTCTTCAGAGAGAACCACAGAAGCTAATTGAGGAGACATACGTCTCAAAAAGGCTGCCCTTATTGCTCAGGGGGAGATAATACAACTCTGGGGAGATACTTTATAAGTCTTGGCATTCATAGAAACTGTCGTTTTTTGAACAGCTGGAGCTGGTGGCTTGGAAGCACAGAATCCACATGGGGCAGCAAGCAAAGTTCAATTTCCTTGTAGACTTCACTCCTATCCAGCACCAAATAGCATGGATTATGCTCTTTAAAATCCTTAAAAGACAGCACTGAATGCTGCCCTCTGTGTTTCTGGTCAAAGAGACAATCGTTAGCTTCAGAAATAAAGCCCAGGATCACAGTCAACTTATTTATAAGATGCTGCAAATTTATGAAATCAGGAGTAACTAATACTCAGGCTCCATTAACTTTTAAATTTTAGTTGTGCTTTCTACAGCAAGGGTAAAATTTCATCCCAAACTACAGACATCACAGATCAGATGAGAGTGGTTCCAAATATGTCTCTAGAGTGGAGACTCTTTTTCCCATAAAAGAAAAAACTTTTAAATAAATACATGAATGTGTACCTGTGTGCATATGTGTATGTGTGCTGTGTTCTGGTGGCATTGAGCTGATGGTGGGCACAGGGGTTGCTGACAACTTATTATGCACATTGCTTAATATGAATTCCTTTAAGTGGTTTATCAGATGCATTTTCCTTTGCAAAGCAGGCTGGGCTTGTAATTGTGAGTCTAGACACTGCACTCCAACAGATCTTATTTCAAAGTTTGTCTCTGCTCTTTTCAAGCTGTGTCATTGCTGTGTCACCTCACTATCCTCTACATTGTAAAATGGGTATGATAATAATACGTATTTTTCAGGGGATCCTGGCAAGACAAAGCTAGACATAAAAGTACGTGGCACAGTGCTTAGCCTGCAGTAAGGGTTCATGCATGTTAACAAGTATTTTTATCTTCACACAAGTTGATGAAGAGACTACGGTGCAATGACTATCTCACCCTGCAGAGAAAATGGAAGACTGGAGAAACTAAAAGAGCCGCTTAAGATCAGAGAGCCTGTCAAGGCCAAGGGTAGAACTACGATCCCTATCCTGCTTTTAAGCTGATACAGGCTCATATCTGTAAATGATAGTATTTGTTCTTCAGGGAAATCACTTTAAATAAACTATTATTCGTAATTCAGTCTCATACACTACTTAGAAACAATATGTATGATATAACTATAAAGCATCCTTTTTAGGGCCTTGTATAACATTTATTATACAAAATCTATATAATGGAGGGGATAAAAATCTCAATTTTTAAGATATTTGAATTTCAAATTTTGTATACATACACACACATACTCATGTGTAATCAAATTTTATTACAAGTTAATATTATGACTAAAAATAAGGTATGTATTTGGATGTATTAAGAAAGTTACCTTATGACTTATCCAGAGCTTTAAATTCATTCCATTCTCTTAAAAGTTTTTAAAATTGGCTGGGCATGGTGGCTCACGCCTATAATCAACAGCACTTTGGGAGGTCAAGGCGGGCGGATCACCTGAGGTCGGGAGTTCGAGACCAGCCTAACCAACATGGAGAAACCCTGTCTCTACCAAAAATATAAAATTAGCTGGGCGTAGTGATGCATGCCTGTAATTCCAGCTACTTGGGAGGCTGAGGCAGGAGAATTGCTTGAACCCAGGAGGCGGAGGTTGCAGTGAGCCGAGATCATGCCATTGCACTTCAGCCTGGGCTACAAGAGTGAAACTCCTCAAAAAAAAAAATAATAATAATAAATACATAAAATAAGTTTTTAAAGTCAATTTGGTAAAGGCATTCATATTCTACCATGGCTTGGAGATACATATTTATCCATGTATATGAACATATACATATGTGTATATATATATGCATGTTTGTATACTGTGTGTATACGTGTGTGTATATATAGAAATTATACACACCTTTTCTTCTCTCTTTCCCACTCATATGGATCCTCACTTGAATTTTCCTTGAGTTTTCAACAATGATTAGGCACTCTAAATGAAAAAAAATTCTCAGCTGTTTCTTTAATCAAAACAAGCTTAGACTTCTTTTTTGATCCAATTTAGAGAAAATTTCTTTTGTCTAAGTGCGACTGTCATTTCGCACCATCATATCTAGACTTTGGAAAATCAGCATGTAGAGTCAAACAAATAAACCAACATCAGCTTCATAGTCCCAATGAGAAGAAAAATAACTACAATTAATTTTTTTAATACTAAGAAAGATGTATATTGTTTGCTTGTTTACTTTTATCAAAGCTTGTCCTTTGAGGATGGCTGGAATCTCTTCGAACATTTTCATCTCAGTGGCATGCCACTTTGGAATCTGAATAGAAGCTTCCTGAAAATATTATTTTTGGAAAACTGACACTAATTGAAAGTCAACACTAATAATATAAGGCAGTCATCAGCAACGCAAAGTGATTGGAATGAGCAGAGTTTATGAAGTTGAGCCAGGGCATCTGGAGCCCTTTTTTGTGAGCAGGGACTGTTCTTTCAATCAAAGAGCCAGTGCTGGGCCTGGGAAGAGTGTCTGGAATAACCCTTGTCCCCATCAATTCTTTCAACCTCATTGTTTATTATCTTGCTTATGAATTACTTTACTTATTATTAATTCAAGATGAAACATGCCTTGTCTATCTTGACATGACTGATTTTAGAAAAACTTAACAAATCTTTACTGAATGTTGTACCAGGTATGGAAGCTATGGAGTTGAATCAAACATGAATATAGATGTGGGCATAAGTAGCTTCAATTTGATCTGGTATGGTCCAAGTGCAATGGCAATATGGAAGAAGGAAGAGAAGGAAAGATAACTGCAGTCTCCTTGGGAATAAGGGTCCCAACGTTTACTAGCTAATATAATCAGTACCCAGCTTTATGTGTAGAACATAATAGATGCTCAATAAATTTTGTGGGAGAGAAGGAGAATGTAAGGAAGCATTTAGTCACAACTCAAAAGCTCACACTGTCTTGGAGATTCTTTACAGATAACTTGAGTTTCTCCTGATATAAGAGGAGCAGAAAAGAAGAAGAGTTATTCCAGTAAAAACCACCAGTGCTGGGAAATAGGGCCTAGACAGATCATAGCAATAGTAAAGACAAAAGTTTCCTATGACCAGAGAATAGAGTTGGTAATATATATTAGTAGACGTTGAGGTTGTAAAAACTAGAGAACAAAGGTCCTATGTGGACAGTGCTGAAAATTAGGGGAATTAACCTACAGGAAATAAGAATAACAATCAAGTAGTGAGCCTCAAGCCTGGAGACCCAGTGAGAAGGACACTCTGAACAGCTTTCCTATCTGCCAGAGCTGATTGTTTTACTTGCTGGCCTGAGTTCTCATTATCCTAAGAGAGGGAAGTTTTATGGGGCTGAAGATTTCAGTGGGTAGAGTGTGGATTGGCCTTAGATTTACTTAGCAATGTTGGCAACGCACATGAAGAGCTGGAGCTAAGAAATAGATTCAAGAAAACAGGACAAAAATAAATCATTTTTTAAATTTTAAAATGGATGCTCTTCACTCAGGGTGGATGATATTCAAGTCATGACCATGTAAAAGCTGCTTTTGGTGAAGTCCCCTTAACTCCTCCTCTTTCAAACAATGCATACACATGTCAGCAATACCAGGCTTTCTAAATTGTTTTAAGGTAGGGCTGCTAGTGGGGGTTATTTGAAATTGGAGCTTGATTGCAAATGTATAATTTAAAAACACTCTAGTAGCAATTACCTAGTCTTTTACTGAAGAAAGGATGCCCTCCCAAGACACCAGCTTTCCTGAGTGATTGGAATCTGAGATTCCAGATGCAGGATGCTGAGCAGCTCCCAAGGAAGGGGATGAGACAAATACGCTGTATGAATAGGAATAATGATGTGGACTCTACTGTTTTTGTATCAACAATATTTAGGAGGCCTACCCTTATGATACTAGAAAAGAAATTACTTGTATATGAAATAAGTTAAAATGAAAGGGTTAACCTGATAGAAGAAAGTCTTATATTGCCCCTTTAAAGATGCAAATGCAACTCTCAGAATATTGTTGATTACATCACGGTGAGAGGTAATCAAACAGGTAACGTTTGAACCTGTGACTTTCCAAGGGAGGGAAGGAGATGGTGTGATAGTTCCAGTTGACACCTCTTGCTTCAGTTGCTAACTCAGAATGATCACATCTTTGAAAAACCATGATGATAAACAGCGGAGGGCCCTCATATACATGTTCGAACCATGTAACCACTAGCCATAGCTGTGTGATACAGAGCAGGCTCTCCCCAACTTTTTTTTTTTTTCTCATTGCTAGAAGCTACCAAAGCAATGTTCCTGCAGCAGATGGGTGGAAAATGTTGGTTAACTGGTTAAGAACTGGTTCTGCATATTTTGCAAACTAGTTTGCATCCACTTCATGACCTCCACTGTGGCTGTATTAATACTGCCCAGAAAAAAAAAAAAATGTTTCTTTTTTGCTGTTACCTGGCACACTTAACTCAACGTGAGACTTGATGAATCAACCTTTAATAAATCAATAAAGAACTGTCAGTAAGCGTTCTATATCTGCAAGGGCTAGTGCCAGGAAGGCAAGGAGATGCCCAGCAGCGAAACACGTTTGAGACATCAACTAATGAGGAAGCAATTGGAAGCTACCTCCTGTTTCACCTGGGAGCTTCACTGGTCACCTTTCCTTATTCTCTTCCTTCCTGCAAAAGAGATTTGAGGTGGTTTGATGAGGAAATTGTCACCCTTGTGGCTGCTGATTTTGTTTTGTGTAAATCAAGGTGTGCGACCTCTCCTCTCAACTCAAAGAATTATAACATTTTCTGAGATCATCAGATGACCAGGTTCCCCTTTGATTCTTTCCAGAGGTATTGATGAAATGCATGATTCAGTTTCTTTGGCTTCTGGAATTTCCCATACTGTTGTTTTTGGGGAGTAAAGGAGTTGCAACATTGAAACTATGCAGAGTACTGGGTTCAGAGTGAGTTGAGTTTTGTGTTTCATTGAGATGTCCCGTAGAGGTTACCACCTCTCATGGCACCCTGTGGTGGAAAAAAACGACTAGACTAGGAGCCTGGACCACTGGGTTCTAATTGCAGTTTTGACACTAACTTGAGCCAGGGCCAACCTTACTGGACTTCATTCTCTCTGACATAAAATGAGGGGTCCTGTTTCTTTTTGCTCTGGTGCTGCCTTCAACAGCAGCAGGGGAGATGCTGTTAGTCAGTGGATGCAGGAACCGGCCACTACATAGAACTCTGGGATGTGTGCCTTGGTTTAGAATGTTCCTTCTTTATTTTCTTTCCAATTAGTTTTATGTGTCTATTTATTTTCTTCAACAAGTTCATAATTTCATTTCTTTTTTTGTTGTTGTTTATATTCCTCTCTGTTTCCACCCAAACCCTACGGCGCTCCACACTCTGAAAATCTGCTTGATTTTTAAATCCATCTGCATTGAATTATTTATAGTTTTGATAAAGTCCTGTTTTGTCTGATGTTTATTTTCTTTAATAACAAGAAACCTGGGTGAACTTTTCCAAAAGCCCAAAAAAGGAGTCTAGTTTTCCAAGATGCTAAGCAACCCTGGCCAAAATGCACAAAACAAGCCTTGGGTGCCCTTGCTTTCGTAATTTGGGTTTTTCCCCTCTATTAAACATTCTTTCATCTAAATGTGTTATGAGGAGAGAAAAAGTAAATAAATTCTTTGAGCATGGACTCTACCCAGGACACAATTGTGTGCCTCTCATCACTAGCCAATGCCTTTGCTTCCATCGCTTCTAGACCAATAACGATACCTCAGTCTACGAGGGAAATCCTGGATTGTGATTGGCAGGTATGGTCACATGATAAAGATGCTCAGACAATTATTCTCTGTGTCTTTTTACTCCTCATTCTCCATGAAAACAACTTAACTCAATGTCTGCTATTCCTATGTTGATTTCCTTTTGTGGATTTTTCCATTGTTACCTCTCTAGCTAATTTTTCATATCACTCATATCCCTGGTTACTTTGAGCCTTTGTAGCTAAATAGTCCTCAGACTCATGGCCCCTTTTAAGAACACATTTTCCCCTCCTTTGCCTTATACCATTCCATCTAATGGTTCCTGAATTAAATTAGTTAGTTTGGGCATTGGAGCTGTGTCAATAGAGGGTGGGTGGGAGAGGGAAATTTTCAGACTTTAGTATGAGATAAACACACTCCCTAACACACACACTCACATATGCCATATGTAGCTACACATACAGAACTCTAAAACAGGATGATGGCTAGTTCTGCAAGATGACCAAAGATTGGAAAAAAGAACAGAACAAGCACATAACACCAGAGGGTGTAACTTAGCGCCAATCAGAGTAATTGAGAATACTGCATGAGGCAAAAACAAACAGAATGCTCATATTATGAACCGTTTTCATGGTATTTTAAAATTTTTTAGGTGAAAAATATAGTTTTATTTCTTCACCTTGCCTTTTATCTCCTCTTTTCCTCCTTGCGTGTGTGTGCCCACGTGCGCATGTGTGTATGCCACCCCCCCAGCCCCCACCCCTTTCCAATCCTTCCTTTAAGGTTTAATTTAACAATAACATTTGCGATTGGGGTCCCGCGCATCTCAAGGGCATTGCGCTTGAAATTGCACACACTCTGCACCATTTATCATAGGCTGACATGTGTCATGCTTCAGACTGTGGCTCCAAGAGGTTACAGCTGACGACTGCTCCTTTGTTGATCAGCTGCCGAGACAACTGAGGCACCTTTCTTCCCTTCTCCTTTCATTTTTTTTCCTTCTTCTTATTAAAGCTGTCTCAGCCCCTTTTTGAAGGCCTAACACACCCTTCGCAGAAGAAGAAACACAAAAGAATTTGTATTGTGTTGGATGCTATGTCCCTCATTTCCTGAGATTTCTGATGGGGGCCACTTGGTGTTTAATAAGATTGGAATGCACCTCTAATAAACTTTCATCTTTGTGGAGAGAGAAACGGAAAAGGCCATTAAAGCAACAACCTGGCTTTGTTTCCAAGCGGACAGCGGTCTGTGCAGGATGCGAACATTTTGGAACCCTGACCAGATCCCAGTCACGCCGACAGAAGCTACCCACATCCTTTCTTCAGAGTATGCTCTTTCCAAAGTATGGTCCTTGTTTCATGCTATCTTCTGAGCCAGCTTGGATTTGAACTTTACCCTGTGAGCTCCTTTTATGCAAGTTCAAGTATTGAAGTAAAAGGTGCAGGACTTTGTGTTACTTTGTGTTACCAGCAGAAGGCTTCAGCAGTCTCCCCTACCAAACTCACCCCCTTTCCAACCTTTCATGGGAACTTGGGCTGAAGGAGTTGTTTGGAACAGTTTTAAGTGGAGGCTAACTATTAATACATATTTATAGGGTGTCTCCCGTGTGGCCAGTTTTGTCCTAAGGTATTTTAAAGCCAGGACTCCCCACTGTAGGTTTCCTTCTGCTGAAGGACAGAGGTTCAGGCTTGTTATGGTTTCCAAACAGATTTCCCACGAATTCTCCTCATTTCCTCAGCCCTTCCTCTCGAGTTCACATTGGACCTTCCCCTACGTCCCTCCCTTTGCCCCTGCAGCAGGATGGCAGGCCACTCTTTTCCCCAGTGTGCCCCTTCCCATCTTCAGTGCTGTGCTCCGACACCACCTTTTCAGCTCAAAGCATGCTCCCCTCACTGCTCCCCTTGCACTGCCCCCTTTTCTCTGCAGAGCTTGCCCCAGTTGTGATATTCATTTTTGCACTTTATTACGAAATAAAGACTGTGATCTTCTTTCGGTTTTGCCCACCATTGGCCTCTCCATGCCTGGCCCAGTTGCCTAGCACACGGTGGGCCCTCCCTCAAATTATTTGTTGACTGAGTGCATAAAAAATGTTGTGAAAACCCTTCCTAGGGGATACCGAAAGGGAGATGTAGATCTGCAATTCAGCCAGAACTTCCCTTACTTCTTAACTATTTCGGCAGCTGTGGTCCCAACTTCCTCCGGCCATACCACCTTCAGTCATTTTAGTGAGCTCTTACCTCTAAGAATTGAAGCGCTCATTACAGAACCAGGGACTTGGTGAGAACACCAAGGGGTCTTGCTGGAGTGTGTATAGTTTACAGAAACACGTACTCACAAAATTTCTCTTCCACTGCTGAGATTTATCAGGAAGAAAGTGTGCTAGCTTGAGGATAGGGAAGCAGTCCTTTAGGAAGCATGAAGACAGACAAGTTGTCAAGCATCGGGCAAATTTCGGAGACTACACAGATGGTAAGACACAACCTCTGCTCACAAATCGACTTGCTCACAAGTCTAGGAGAGGCAATAGTGAATTTCAAAACAACACAGGGGTCTCACCAGGGAGTTATGGGCAAGTAGAGATAGCCCGCTGACACAGTGACAGACTTCATGGAGGTTTCATAGGCTCACTGAGGCTGAGTCTTTAGGGAAGAAGTGAAGCATCAATGAGGTGGATAAGGGTAAACGATGTCCCCGGAGGAGGGTACCGCCTGGATAAAGGCCTGGGGCTGTGCTAGTGCACAGTGATCAGTCTTTGCCCCATTTCAATTGCATCTTTTGCAGGACTGAAGGCACCATTTGATGTGCTTTGGGATCTTTCAAGGCATAAATGTGAAGTGGAATGGGATTACCCAACCCTCAACAGCAGATAAGAGTCTCCCATAGCTTCTATCTCAGAATTTTCTAAGGGATCATCACCACAATGCATCCCTGAAACCAACAAATAATGACTGCTTCTCTTAAGTTAGGTAAAAATTGAATGTGATGATTTGTGTGTGTATGTATCTCAGGAGGACAGAAAGAGAGAAATAGATACAATAGTGAGTGAGTTTTATATTATAGTGGCAATAGGTACAATTCTTGAGGGTTCCTGCTATGCCAAAACATCGCATCTTAAAGTGAACAATTCAATCATCAACTGGTTGTTTTGTTTCTATGACGCCAAACATCAGGGTTGTTTCCAACCATTTCCGTGTTAGGAATCATTTAGACAATACACTGAGATGATTCATTTTTCATCCAGATAGCTTAGGGTCCTGAAAGATACATCCTAATTGTCATTTAATTTGAGACCAATACTTTAGCATATTGCTGAATAAAAAAGGGAGGCATTGGAAAGACTGGGGAAAGGATTTCAAGTATAAAATCTGAACATATAAGTCAGAAAGAACTGAATCCCTTCTTATTCTGCCACATATTTAGCCAGTTTCATGTCTGCAAAAGTATAATTGTTATTCTTACTTTTATAAAAGAGTGTAATGTCAGAATTATGATTTGCCTCCCCAAACAATGGGGTTATTTTCAAAATTGATAAAAGACCATAGAATCTTTAAGTCAAATGTATCACCATTATCAAGTAGGTGTTTTTTGGTTTTTATTGTTACTTGATTTTCATTGGAATCTTAAAAATAACCTAGAACAATTTCACATTCTTCTCTTATTGAAAAAGGAACCTGGCTGAGATATCAGCTCCTGGGTATTGAGAGGGAGGTGGCTCAAAGACTCAAGAGGTCATCTGATTCCTGAAAGGGGAAGGTGACACCAGAACAAACAAGTAAAATCAGAAAACAGATAAGGCATAATAATAAGCTGGAAAGTATTTAAAAGCAATCAAGTGAAGATGTTGAGAATATTATACAAAAGAATAATGATATTTGTACAGTAGGTAAAATATAGATTACAATTTATAACAGGATACAGGAAGGAGACAGGAATTGTTTATGGGACCTTGTGACAGAATTTCAACAAATCTCAGTTAAAAGCTTTCTCTTTGCCTTGGCATTGATTCCTGGGCAACTCTGGCAGCTACATCAGATGAAATAAAATGCCCAGGCTGGCAAACATCACAGGGTCCAAGGAACAGAACTTGATGTATCCAGATTCAGCTGTGATATCTATGTTTTGTCCAGTTCACCTACTAAGTCAGAAGCCTCATTGCCTCTCAGCTTGAGACCACTTAACAGGGAGAGGCTTATTTTTGGAAAGTTTCTAGTATTTTATTTTTCTTTTTTAAATATCAAGTGGTTTAAGTGAACTTTAAGTTGACCTCTTCACAGTCTCCATCCCAAGGTGATTTTTTTAAGGTACCAGATTAAAAAATACATGTGTAAATGAAGGTAATAATTGAACAATATTATCTCAGAAGCCTTCTTACTGTATGAACCAGACTCGTACTGCAGTTTAATGAATAACATTACTGCTAGTTTGTACCTACTTCATAAGTTGCTGTGAGGATTTAATGAATTAATACATCTAGAGTACTGGGAACAGTACTTGGCACATAGTAGAGGTTACAATATGTTAGCTATTGTTATCATCATTGTTATGGCAAGGGAGTTGATGGATAAATGGGACTGCTATGTGTGTCTCCATACTCCTTGATACAATTGCCTAAAATTTTCCTGGCACAATCCTACCCTTATGCCCATCCCCTCTTCCTTTCTAGGCTAATCTTCCTTTAGACGCTTGACTCTCTGTCCCTTTTATTAGTGATGACCACTAATATTTATTACACACTCACTATGTGCTGGACGCTGAGCTAAATATATAACATGCTTCTCGTTTAATCTCCCCAAAAACTTGTAAGGTAGGCACCATTGTTTTTCTCGTTTTACATGTGAGGAAATTGAGTGATACAGTTTGGGTCTGTGTCCCTGCCCTAATCTCACGTAGAATTGCAATCCCCAGTGCTGGAGGTGGGATCTGGTTGGAGGTGATTGGATCATGGGGGCAGATTTCCCCTTTGGTGCTATTCTCATGGTAGTGAATTATCTGAGATCTGGTTGTTTAAAGTGTGTAGCACCCTCCCCCTTCTCTCTCTCCCTCCTGCTCTGGCCATGTAACTAAGAGATGTCTGCTTCCCCTTTACCTTCCAGCATGATTGTAAGTTTCCAGAGGCCTCACAGCCATGTTTCCTGTACAGCCTGTAGAACTGTTAGCTAATTAAACCTCATTTCTTTATAAATTACCCAGCCTCAGGTATTACTTTATAGGAATGCAAGAATGGACTAATACACTCAGCTTTATGAAGATTAACGAATTTGCACAAAGTTGTACCACTCATATGAGCTAACCTGGGATTCAATTCCAGGAAGGCTAATGCCAGGGCCAGAGTTCTCACCAGCAGCCAGTCCTGTTCCCATTTCCATCCTCATTACCGTGGCTAGACTCGGTGATTGACATGTGCACCTGATGATCACCCTCTGTGTTCCTCACAGACTCAGCTCTTGCTTAATCCCCACTGCCCCCCATATCCTCCGGCTCCTACCCCGGCTTTGGCCTCTTGAACTTGAACCCAGTGGCACCTGGCCCAGCCAGCATCCCAGCCTGACTGGCCATGATGCTTCCAGTTTCTGTTTCTATTATAGAATCGCATATCCCTACAGCTTCCAGGGGAAAAAAAAATCTGTCAAAGGCTTTCAGAACAAGAGAGTGTTTCACACTAAGGTAGAAAACAGTAGTAAAATCTATCTCATAAAATTCACATATAATTAAGTGATAGATATAATTTTACAACTCTGTGAATTTTCTTACTGGAAATCATTTTGTATCCTTACGTAATGGACTGCATGTTTGTATTCCACCATACCCCCAAAATTCATATGTTGAAATCCTAACCCCCAGTGGTGATCGTATTAGGCAGTGGAGCCTTTGGGAGAGAATTAAGTCATAAGGATGGAACCCTTATAAATGGGATTACTGCCTTTATTAAACAGATCCCAGAGATCTTCCTGCTCTCTGCCATGTGAGGTTCCAACAAGAAGAGGGGCCATCTGCAAGCCAGGAAGCAGGCCTCACTCAACATCTGACCCTGCTGGCACCTCAACTTTGGACTTCCAGCCTCCAGAAACTTCAGAAATAAATGTCTGTTGTTTGAGCCACCCAATCTATGCTAGTTTTGTTATAGCAGCCCAAACTGACTAAGACACCTTACACAGAGAGAAAATGTCCATTAACCAAAATTTTTAGGACATGGGGCTCTCTAGGTAAATTGAGATTTTGTTGTTGTTGTTAATTGATTATCAAAAAACTTCCTTTTGTCTGCTGCCATTATTATAAAAAAATTTTCTTAGATGGATAAATCCATGTTCCCACCTCTGAAATTAAACTGAACTTGACTGATCTTTCATTTGATAAGAGTCTTACTGTTCCCCAGAGTCCATTTTATGAATATGTCTTTTTTGATATTTATTATTTTCAACATAGACTATGTAGGAGATTAGGGGATATTTCTGATTTTTGTTTTCATGTGCATATACCTAAAGTATTTCGCCCTTCAGAGGTGACTCTTCTTAATGTGAACTGAAGAATAAAAGAAGTTCATAGGTGTTGTTTGTGTATCAATCATTGCACTGCTTCACTTCCACTCATCCTTTTGCTTCTATCTAGAAACATGATCCTGCTAACTATTCCCTCCCCTCTGTAGCTTTTTCTGTTTTCCCCTCTCTGACTCTCAGGCAGAATGACTTCTCCCTTCTCGGTGTCCTCATAACACCCTATGTAGCATTTATAACCTCGTCTCATAGTTACTGATCTACAAACCACTTCCCTGCTCGCCTCATTTCTCCTCACTCCCTCCTTTGCCCTGACATCATCCGATGCTTTTAATCCCTAAACGTCTTCAGCACCTCCACATGTGGTGCCCATAGACTCCACTTTGATATGAATAACATGGTCCCATGAGGCAAGGGGGGGTGCTAAGGATGACACCAGAGTTCTAAGGCAGAGCCTGCCAATCTTTGCTTAACTGACATCAGCGAAAGTATTCATAGAACGTTAGAGCTGAATGCAATTTGAGAGAACCTGAACCTCTCAGTTTATACATGACATCCAAGCCCAGGCAGGTGAAGTTTCTCACCCACTATCACCACACCATGGTTTGAACTCAGGACTTCTAATCTTGAGTCCATCATTCTTTCTATCTCATCTGTCACACTAGGCCTTTCTTTTTCTTTTATTTATTTATTAATTTATTTATTTTTTGAGACGGACTCTCGTTCTGTCACCCAGGCTGGAGTGCAGTGGGGCAATCTCGGCTCACAGCAACCTCTGCCTCCCAGGTTCAAGCGATACTCCTGCCTCAGCCTCCTGAGTAGCTGGGATTATACGCACGCACCACCACACCCTGCTGGTTTTTGTATTTTTAGTAGAGATGGGGTTTCACTGTGTTGGTCAGGCTGGTCTTGAACACTTAACCTCGTGATCTGCCCGCCTTGGCCTCCCAAAGTGCTGGGATTACAGGTGTGAGCCACTGCCTCTAGCCACACTAGGCCTTTCTTATCCAGACATATGTCAATTTGGGCACAAAATAAGACAAGCTGTTAATGATGAAGGTAGGTGCTTTGATACATGTTGAATGCTAAATACATTAGCACCAATATTTCATATGTAAACAATACAAGCAGACCTACCAAAGCACGCTACACATGACCCAAACTTGTATTGGGAATCTAAGCAGAGGATAATCTACTATTAATGCTTTTGTGAATTCTGCCAGAATAGTGATACTCTTGTCACATTCCCAAAACACATTTTGTACAGCTTTGTCTCTAAGGCAACACAGAAGAGTGGAGTTTACTGATGCTAACCTGAAGACCAATAACTTTTTCTTCCTGCTATGACATAGAAATGAAATGAAAGAAAAATACCAAAGCTGGAGTAAAACAATTACAAAATGACAGGCTGATAAAGAAACTTTTATGCAGTATATTTGTCAGTTAGTCAATCTAAGTGAAACAACAGCAATGTTTCAAATACATATGCAAAACAAACTAAGCAAACAAATAATAAATTACTAGCAGTAAGTACTTTAGGAGAGTCAAGGGTTTTTCCCAGCTGCAGGCAAATGTCTAGGTTAAAATATGGAGGCTAGAGCTGACCTGCGTAGTCTAGAAGGCACAGAGGGCGTACTAAGCAGTGTTTGAGAAATAAAGCTATGAGTAAAAACAAGTCACCTATGTCCTCAAGTCCAAGGACTAAATATGGCGGAACCCCATAAACCATATGGAAAATGAAGAGTCAGGATGGGAGTAGGATTGTCCCCTCATGAAAGATAAGATGCTCACCACTTCCTCTTCCTGGGCTCAAAGCACATGGCCTATGGGAGAGATGCCCAAATTCAAAATTATAAGGCATGCAAATTTCTAATACTTATATAGCCCAGTCCTCAGAAACTCATAAGCTTCCACAGTCTTCCATGATATCTAAATGAAGTATATGTATAAACTGAAGAATTAGTTGCTTTTTAATGCTGGCATCCAATTGCTATACAAGGAGGAAAGGACAGAAATCCACCCCCGGAATCTCTAGGGAAGAAACACCTATATGAAAAAAAGAAAAAAAAAATTTGAATTACATTATTGAACACAAACCAGGTTCCTGGTGGGAGTCTTTTGTCATTAGTGAAAAATCAGTTACCTATTAATATTGTCATTTTCTTTGAATAAAATCTGCTCAAATGGGCTATAGGAAGATATTCCTAATTTGCTTCCCTGGTTGGTGGCCGCCTGAAGAAGGAAAGTGGAACTGCTGCTCCCAGGAAATTAAGAGAGGCGGTGTCAGGGAGCTCAGTAGGAAGCTGATTTGAGACTGAAGTAATTGCCAAGGTGATTAATTATTCCTTTGAGTTGTACACAAGTGTTCCTTTCTCGCCTGCTCACTGGCAGGCTGACTTCAGAAGAGAAGCTTGCCCACACTGGTGGGTCCAGCTGCCCAGGCTCAGTCGGTCACACAGCCTCGTTTTCGCCTGCAGAGCAGTGGCCCGGAGATGTGGGACTTTCTCTTCCCTCCGGAGATCTGCTTGCCATGTCATCTTGTCACAGCTCCGACCATCTTTTTCTAAAAGAAACATTTTCTAAGAGAGTAATTCCTCCATACTTCCAAGATCTTTGTGAGAATATTTGCATTCAGGATGGGTCTTTTGCTATTAGGAAAGAGAGGCGGGGAGGGCATGAGCCTCAACCATAGTACTTGCTTTGAATTAAGGGTTTTATCAGTGTACCTGGATGGGATTCTCACCAATGCCCTGTCAAATTGGTTTAATTTTCCGCATTCTACAGATAAAAGGAGCAGAGGTTAGCAAAGTAAGAATAGGCAGTCACACTTTGGGAGGCTGAAGCAGCTGGATCACCTGAGATCAGGAGTTCGAGACCAGCCTGACCAGCATGGGGAAACTCCATCTCTACTAAAAATACAAAAATTAGCTGGGCATGGTGGTGGGCACCTGTAATCCCAGCTACTGGGGAGGCTGAAGTAGGAAAATTGGTTGAACTGGGGAGACAGGTTGCAGTGAGCCCAGATCATGCCATTGCACTCCAGCCTGGGTGACAGAGCAAGACTGTGTCGAAAAAAAAAGAATCTAAGCTCATACAACTAGGAGGAAGTGAGGCCAGAACTTAAGTCTTCCTGACCCCAGAACACGTCACCACTGCCTTCTATGAGATCCCCTCCCTGATTAAATCACATTTCAACACAGAAGTGCCTTATTGAAGCTGACACACATGATCTTTTCCCAGAAAAAACAATAGAGAATCAATGAGGTACAAAGGTGTGTCTGGAAAACATTTATCAGTTTTTGACTGAATAAATTGAAGGTTCTTGGAGGTTGTTTTCATTACATAATTCTCAAAGGCTTTTTTTTTTTTTTTTTTTTTTTTTCTGAGACAAGGTCTCATTCTTTCTCCCAGGCCGGAGTGCGGTGGTGCTATCAGAGCTCACTCCAACTTCCAACTCCTGGGCTCAGGAGACCTTCCTGCCTCAGCTTCCTGAGTAGCTGGGACTACAGGCGCGCACCACCATGCCTGGCTAATTTTTTTGTAGAGACAGGTTTTCTTTATATTGCACAGGCTGGTCTCGAGCTCTTGGGCTCAAGTGATCTGTCCACCTAGGCCTCCCAGTGGGCTGGGATTACAGACCTGGGCCACCGCATGCAGCTCCTAAAGGACCATTTAAGAAGACAGATCAGTCAAGATACGATAAGAGTGTAGTGGTTAAGAGCCTTGTTCTTGAAAACACCTTGCCTGGGTTTGCATCCCAGGTCTAACAGTTGCTATGTGAGCAGCCCTGAGAAATAGACTGAAATACGGTTTCCTTCAGTTTTCTCAGCTGGGAAATGGATACGTTAAATAATACTGTTAAATAAAACTTATAGGAGGCCATCATTTTGGACTGATGTCCTGCATCAAGACCAACAGACCAAACCGAAACGCAGTTACTCATGCTGAAGACCCATGTCACCAAGCCAAAATGAAGTTGTTTATCTGATTCCACAAGACATCAGGAGAGAGAGAGGTGGTAGCCAAATCCCCAGACTAGTTTTAGCTAGCATGGTAAGAAAATACCTTCTGATATATCCTTTACATGAAAAGTAACTTTGAAAGGACCAATCTGCTTTTTGTTCTCTGTTTCTGCTCTCTTCAGCCCTTTTCTGGCTATAAAACCAACTTTCTCTGCTCAGTTCATCAGGACACTCATTCTATTTTATAGAATAAGGCGCTGCCTTATTCTAGAATTACAAATAACAGCCAATGAAGATCTCTAAACTAAATTTGTTGTAATTTTGTCTTTTGACAGTTCTTACCCCATAAAAGTGTTACGAGGGTTAAATGATACACAGGCAATGCTTACAACTGTGCCTGATACATAGCAACCACTCTATACATATCAGCTGTTTCTATCATCATAGCAGTAGTAAAAATGAATACTCTAACGCATAAAAATAAACTTTTGGCTAAAAATCAGTGACAGAAAAAAAAAACAGAGAAATCAGGGCAGGAAAAAAAATAATTGATTCAACTGCAATTTAAGTAAAGATCTGGAAGTTTGAGTTGACCATTAGCTAAATATGAGCCAAAAGTCTGATGTAATTATTTTAAAAGGTAGTGACGGCAATAAGAAGGCACATGCATAGAAGCAGAGAGCCTTGTGAGTCTTCTGTCTTCTGCTCCTGTTGATCAGCCTTGAGCTTCAGATGGTTTCATTTCTGGGCAAAGTACCCTAAGTAGGAAATTAATAATCTCAAACTAGAATGTGTCCAGAGGAGAGAGAGCAAGAGGATAAAAGGTCTGACAGCCACTCCGTTTAAGGAATACTTGATGAACACAGGGAGGTTGAATTTAGAGACATGACAAGAAGAAAAATCTTGACTCACTGTTCAAGAGCGTGTTTTACCCAGTACAGCTGTCCAGCTATGAAACAGGCTGTTCTGGTTGCTCTTGAGCCCCCATCTCTGAGAGTATGAAGTTGAAGAAGTTGAAAAAGAACTCGCCCCATAGATTTTGCCAAGATTGTTGATGAAAACCTGAATTGCATAAACTGTTTGAAACATCTTACCATCCCTGATATTTTCTGATTTTATGACAGAGAGATAAACCTGGAGGCCGAGGCAGGTGGATCATTTGAGGTCCGGAGTTTGAGACCAGCCTGGCCAACATGGTGAAACCCCATCTCTACTGAAAATACAAAAAATTATCCGGCTGTAGTGGTACATGCCTGTAATCTCAGCTACTCTGGAGGCAAAGGCAGGAGAATTGCTTGAACCTGGGAGGCGGAGGTTGCAGTGAGCCGAGATTGCACCACTGCACTCCGGCCTGGGGGACAAGAGTGAGATTCTGTCTCAAAAAATAAATAAATAAATAAGTAAATAAACCTTCCATAGCCACCTGCGTCCGGTAACCAGCCTCCGCTTCTCAACAGACACACCGTATTAAACCGGTACTCTCCATTCCTTCTGATTTCGGTGAGAACAGAGTTTCCCCCACCAGTCAGTATGCTGATCACCAGGATACCCATGGACTTCTGCTTCTTTCCAATGAGCTGGACACTTGCCAACAACCAGGTGTATTTGTCCCCGTTTCTAGTTAAACTGGCTGCATCTGTTACTGTAATTGCTTAGTTTCATTAAACATTATGTAAACTGGTGAAATATTAGTGTTAGAAGAAAGCAAGATGTTGTGTCTATGAAAACTAAGTTGAATGCTTTGGAAAGATTTGATGAAAGCGATTTGCTAAAAAGTAATTGCTGTTAAATTAGGTGTGAGTTAGACAAATGTATAAGATTGGGAAAGATCATTAAAATTTAGATGGATTCTCTTTTAAGATTGCTCTGCAAGTCTTTAAGTTCCTGCTCCACTTTGTAGAAACTGAAAATCGTGGATGCTGCTTAATGGATGTGATTTATGCAGAATGACGATGCAGAACTATGATCAGCAGGCCCGTATGCAGACAGAAAGCCTTGGCCCTCTATCAAAGGACTGACAAATTAGAGATCAAATTTTATATGTTTCAAGTTAAAAAGTTTAATATATGACATTTCTTTTTTATGAGTCTCTATTGTGATTTGATTTTTAAATTTGCCACTGACCATCTACCAGCCATAATTCCATAGACAAAAAGGCTACTATTGTTCAGTAAAATGACAGCCAAGTGACCAGAAGGCGGGTTCTGCTATAACTGTTAGAATGACTGGCACGGAAGACTTTGACTCTAGAAATCCAGGGTGGGCAAAGGCTGGGACAGGGCATTTCTGTTCTGGAGATATACAGTGTGGTGAGTAGTGTTGAGCAAGATGAAACAGGCAACCAGGAAGGCTGGAGGGCATGGGTCAAAGAAGCAAGTTTAAGATTCATTCCATGAGACGAGAGGTGAGTAGGGTGAAGTCACTACCAAATACTAGATGCCCTCATCAAATGAGCAGTGGAAGTTTATGAAATGTAGCTGAGAAATAGCCAAAATCAGGCCCTGAGACAAGCGAGAGAGGGAGAAGAGAGAGATGCAAGGTGCAGACACTCAATGGCTTTATCCAAATCCGTAAGATAGTGCAAGTCTGACCCCACCGCTCCAAATAGAGTGCTGGTGTCTCAGAAGTGTCCTAAAGCACCTGTCTGTAGGACCAGTTCTTTGTCTTGATGTCGAAATAGCATTTGATAAAGAGGCAGCAGAACTGAGTGGCGTGGGTTCCACGGTCCAGCATTGCTAAGATCTTAAACAGATCTCCCGATGAGAAGATGAGACTCCTAATCTCACCACTTCTCCCCACTCCCAATGGTGAATTGCCACGTCCTCATCTTCCTTCAGTGGAAGTCCTAGGAATCAACAGAACAACTTATGTAAAAACATATGAAAAATGCACTTTGGATGCAGTAAATAGATGTAAGCTTTTACTATTGTTTGCAAAGATTTGGTGCTGGAACCTTCATTTTGCAATTCACTTCAAATAGTATTGCCTGTCCGGTATGGAAAGTGTAAACTAAGATGGAGTACAAGCTGGCAGAACCCTGGCAATGAGAAGATTCCTAATTATTTTTAAAAGTACTGATGTTACTGTGAACTTGATCATTGCCATTTTAGAACTAGTTAAGCTACACTTAATGCTTCCAAACCACAGGGCTAGGTTTTTGTCTTGTTTTGTTTTTTCCTTGACTGTTCTATTGCCAGTTCTTTTGATTTAATTAAAATATTTCTATTTTGTTGCAAGGGTAAATATAATGCAAGATGTACTGCAAATTGAATAAAATAGATGGAAGTATGAGGCAGATCTGGGATTCCAATCTCAGCTCCAACATTATTAGCTGTGAGAACCCGAGCAAGTAAGTTTTCTACCTACGTGATCCCTGGTTTCTTTGCTTCTAAAAGAGGTGATAGCAAAGCTAACCTCAAAGGATTTTATGAAGATTAAATAGGCTCATCGTAATATATGTAATTTGCCAAGTATGATTCTGTGCAAAAAATAAATAGGCATTAAAAATTAGTAGTATCAGTATTATTCAATTTACAAATGAAATGTTTATATACTTGGTGTAAGAAAACAGGATTATCCTTCCAAATTAAATTACGAGGGAATTAGTCACTTTATGAAATGCATTTTTATTTTCCATAGGAATTCATTGTTTGATGGCTCCTTCTAATGCATAGCTCTTCTATAGCCCTTCAAATATCATTTGACTTACAATTATCAGATAAACACCAATTATATATAATAATATATGGCATAACAGTTTAAAGAAGTTATGTGTGAAAATCAACATCAATATCTCATAGCAAATCATGTTAAGGCTGAGATTGGAATCCCCTATCTGCCTTAGACTTCCACCTATTTTATTTCAACCTTCTGTCATTGGAAGGCAGGTATACTTTACTCAAAAGCTCAGACTGTAGAGGAGGGCAACAAGGATGAACATTGAGAATGGAAATAGCTCAGCTTGCAAGACAGGCTCAAAGTAATGGTGAAATGGTGTGAGGCAGATGTTTAATGATTTATTCAATCATTCACACGTGGTTATTTAGCATGTACTATGTGTCAGGCACTGTTGTAAGTGCTGGAAATGAAGCTAAGAATGAAGCACTTACAGTGCCTGCAGTGTTCATTTCTAGCTGTGGAAAGACATGCAACAAACACAAAAATATATGCATAAGTGCAGACTGTGGTAAGTGTTATGAAGAAGATAAAATAGAGCATTGAGAATGAGTGACTTGGGGCTTAGGGAGGAGAGTGGGAGATCAGGGACAGTCTCTTCCAGAAATGACTTACAAGGTGAAGCCTGAATGATGCGAAAGAACTTGCCATGGAACAATTTGGGGGAAGGGTGCTCCAAACCAGGGGAAAGGCATTCAAAGAGCCCACAGTGGGACAAAGTGAGGTGGAAGGAAAGCCAGTTTGGCTGGAGCAAAATAATGAAGGGGGAGTGATAGGAGTTGAGGTCACAGAGCTAGGTTGGGACCCAGTCCTATAGCCATAGTCCTGTAGCTCCAGTAGGGGTTCCCAGTAAGCACTCAATGGGACCTTGAAGGAAGATGTGGGGTCTGAGCTTGTTTGAGGAGAAAATAGTGGAGAAGGAAGAGCAATATATCCAAAGACACAGAAATAGTATAACTGTGACCACTTCATGGCAAAGCGAGCAGCCGGATTTGACTGGCCTGAAGGGCAGAGAGATAAAACATAGACATAGATTAGGGTAAGAGTAAGGGGAATCCCAAACTGACAGCAATGTGGCCTCACAAAGCAGGGGATGAGACTGACTGTAGGTTCATGATCAGAAGGGTATGTGATAAAACTGTCTATTCATGTAGGAAGAGCTCAGCTGGGCAGAACAGGTGCAACAGAGAGGGTGAAAGACTGAAGTCAGGTGGGTCAGCAAAGATGAGCCTGAGTCAGTGCTCTTGAATTTCAGTGGGTATCCAAACCCCCAGAAAGGCTTGTTAAAATTCACAGAGTGCTGGCACTTGTCCCAAGAGCTTCTGAGTCAGTAGATATGAGGCGGAGCCTGAGAATGTGCATTTCTAACAAGTTACTGGAGAATGCTGATGCAGCTGGTGTGAGCGCTACACTTTGAGGACCCTGGCAAGAAACAGCAGAAACCAGTGGAAGGGAGAGGATTCAGGGTTAGGAGACCAGGCTTCGGAGCCCGACATTGCTACAAGAAGCTGTGTAGACCTGGGCGAGTCACCTCATTTCCTGAGTTTCAGCATTCTCATCAGTAAATGGAAATGATACTAACTGTATCCAAAGACTTCTGCGAAGTTTAACTGAAATAATGTATTTAAGACATGTAGCAGAGTGTGTCTGACAGAATAAATGCTTTTTATTTGAGTTGAATCTGAAATGATGAAAATTTGGACTATATAAGAAATGGAGAGGAAGAGATATATTTAAGAGAAAAGGAAGACATTTCATGTGAGGTTGTTTTGTTTGTTTGTTAAATCCATGGCCCTCTTTTGCATGGTATTTGCCAGCTGGAGAGCACCGGAGTGTATTTGCAAGTTAATGCTGCATTTAAGTCCTAAGTGGAAGTTGGGTCATGAGAACAGCTAATAATTTCATAAATAATGACAACATTCTCTAGCACATCATACATAATAGCTCTCAAATATTATAAATGTATCAGTGAGAAGACATGCATTATATGTTTAAAAGACATTTGAAATCATTCTTGATGTTTCATAGTGGTGAAATATTTGAATCAGAATTTATGCCTTAGGTTTCTGAGGAAGAATACTTGTTCAGTTGATAATTCTACAGGGAAAATCTTGGCTTCACATCTTGTTTCTGTTTCCCTTGACCTTACTTAGCAAAAGATAGAAAGAATTCTCCATAATTTTAAAAGTCTATATTTAATTTAAAAAACCTGTCTATCAGCTAGGCCATTTCCTATGTATGTTCAATAATTAGTTCTTTTAATCTTCATGAGTTGGAAATCATTATCACCCACATGTAATAGATTGGGAAACTGAGGCATGAACATGAAGTGATTTGCCCAAGATTATAAAGCATATAAGAAACACAGTCAAGGTGTGAACCTTTACTGTCAGCTCCAATATCTGAACCCTTCCATCTCAGGCTGTCTTTCTCTATTCTGCTGGGATTTTCAATGTAGGAACTCATATTTTACAGGTCTCTTTAGATAAGCCCTTAAGAATTCAGAAGGTAGGAGATGAGAGTATAGAAAGATAACATGAATTAGTGAAGAAAATTCCAAAAAGGCAGGAAGAGTAAACACTATAGTGTAATTTTTAAAAAGTGACCTATCTATATGGAAAGCTGCTGCTCTTCTCTAGGTAGGTTGTCTATTAGAATGAAAGCCCCATAAAGAGGAAATTTTTGCTTTCGGTGATTTTTCCCCCACTCCCCCACTGATTAATGCCTAGCACCTAGAACACAGTTCCTGGAAAACAGCATGTGCTCAAGAAATATTTGTTGAATAAATAAATGCAGACTGCAAGAAGGTTATCCAAGTATAGCCAGGATCTCAATATTTTGTTTTTAAAAGAAAAGCTGGATATCCAAAATTTGTATGCAATTTTCAGATTAATATGTCAGTTCATTTTTCAAAAAGGCTATGTGCGTGAATAATAACATGCTTATAAGCTGGGTTTGACCAGTGGGGAAGATTTGACCCTTGTACAGCTAATTGGAGACCCTACTCCTATAGTAAAAAGCCATTTACTATGTGTGAATAGTAGATACTTAGAATGATGGTATGTTGATTCAGGCATTCTTATAGAATTAGATTTAGCATTTGAAAAAATCTCTGGATACAATTAAAAAATCCATGCGAGAGCATGATTGGGTAGAACAAAATGTCTAAGTTGTGTTGCTGCATTTGCAAGTTATAATTTCAGTTATTGTACAGCTCTGCTTAACTTTAATTTGTTTGGCATAGAAAAATACTTCCATGTCTTTGATTATATAAAGTAGTTTAGAAGATGCATTTAAGAAGTACTAATATGCCTTGAGCTGTATCATCCTCTTTTTAATTTCAAATGCCAGTAGCATGGGAAGGAAGCCAGTTTCTACCTGAAACACCAAGTCTGAGAAGCAAAAGAAAAACGTTTTGTGTAATTTATCACCCTAATCCAACCAGCAGGATAGATCATTGCCTTGACTATTTTTCTAGGTCAAGTATTTTGACGATGTCCATATCCTTGAGCTCTAAAGATGCAGAGGAACAAAAGAAAAGGTAACACCCTAGAAGCTGTGCTTCCACCCCTTATAAATGTACGGTGAATTAACTGACAAGCTAAATTTAGCATGAAGTGGGCAAAAGAACACCTGACTTCAGAAAGATGCCTAGGAGAATAGAGAGAGCAGATTTTCTCTTAGTTATATTTGTAACTTGAGTTGAAATATTTGCAAAATAAATAAGAGATGCAAATCATGGCAAAGACTGGAAGTTCTATCAAGCAGAAGCCAGGTAGAGAAATTTTCCTGGCATCTGAAGGTGAATCTTCTTTAGCTGAGCAAAGTCCTTGTGTGACCTGATGATTTCCCATCATTGCTGAGGGCTTGGTTCCTAGATACCAAACTTACTCCTTGCGCTTTATTGGTTTTGGCTCCTAGTGACCTCTTCTAGTAGAACAACTTTTAAAGTCCTGGAAGCCTCATCATTATCATTCACTTTGAGATGAGATTTTTTTTAAAAAAAGAGTTCAGCACAAAGAAAAGAGGTTGTTCCTAGCAACTCCACCAATGCAGCCAAAGTGAATGACTCAAGCAATCCAATAAAATGCATAAAGAGAAATGAATATCAGAAGCAAGAATTATAAGATGCATATTAACTGATGCCTGATTACTTGAAATTAGCATATTGGGTCTTAGAATAAAAATGCTCAGGTTCTACTCTAGATTTTGTTAACTATTCCTAGCTCATTGCTTACCTTTCATTTCCTGTAAAATCAGAATGATAATTGTTTTTACTTCTAGTGTTATCATAAGTACTAAATAAGATAATGCAAGGCAAGTACCTGCACAGGATGTTCACTTGTTGGTTTATGTATTATCATTATTACCTTACCAGGTCAGGAAATGGATCAACAAACGCCTGCAAATTTAAAAAGAAAACACAACAGAGAATCCAGATATATTACCCAGGGCCACCATGTTGAACACTACCTAAGATGAACATCATACAGCTTCACACTGCACCATCCATATAAACCAGGACTTAAATGGCACCCCCTGGAGTTGTACGTCGTGGCAGGCCATCATCTACTCGGATTAAGAACATAGAAAAGTACATAGACTCACTGAACCGCCAGAGAGCACTGAAAACTAGTCTGTGGCTGTAGGTATGACTAAGGGGTTTGTGCCAACAAAGGTGCTATGAATCCTAATACTTCACCTAGAATAGAAAGTTGCCTCAAATTTTTAATATGACCTCTTCCCTGAAGAAAGATCATTGTTTTGATTCTATTCTTAGGGAATATTTGATTATTTGGGGGAATGGAAGTTAAGGAAAGAAGGAGAAGGCAAGTGGGCTTTGCCTCCTAGGGTTGCTGTGAGGGCTGGATTCTTGGTACAGAGCACAGCTCATCATTAGTGCTCTGTAAGTATTAGCTATTGAAATTGAGATTAGCATGATTTTTTGCCTATTCCAGAAAATCTTAAGGAAAATAAATTGGATGTCATCCAGGTATCAAAATCAAATAGAGTGCTCTTTTGAATCAAACAAAAATAAGTTTTTATATTCTCATCTAAATAAATATTGCATCTCCTACTCCTCCTTCTTCTTGTACCTTCTGGCTATCTCTTTCCACCACTGCAATCTCTGACCCATACACACTCCCCAGAGTTACACATCCAGATGAAAAGATATCAATGTAAATACATAGGAACAGGTAAAACTCATCACATCTCAATGACTAGGGGTGTGCATGAACCATGTTGGGCTTCAGGTTTCTCATCGGTAGGTTATGTGTTCAGTTGAAATAATCATTCATTCAATTATTTACTTATTGGACAAACATTTTTAAGTGCCTACTGTATGTCATGCTAGACTCTGAGGATGTGAGGAAAAATAAGACAGTCTTATCCTTAAACCCCTTATTAAATGAATCAGTTTATATAATAACTATATTTTCTCAGTTGAAATACATCAACAGCATTCTAAAAGGAAGGTACAGTGTGTCAACATACTGGTATCAAAGTAGAACAATATTCACTTGTGTTTTAGTTTCTTCTTATATAAGACACCTACCACGTCTCTCTCATACACTCTGATTAAAGCATATATCTGTTCCTTCAATGTTGGCGTCAGTCTTCCCTATCTATTGTGTAGACTTGGTCTTTTCTAGACTGTCATTCAGCCAAAACTCCTATTAAGGGATCTGCCAAAAACAAAGCTAGCATTTCAGAAATTTAAATGTAGTGACTCGTTAAGACTGGAGAGTTATATAAGACTTTCCTTCCTACTTGAAAGAGTAAGGACTGGTTTCAAAGTGAAAGGTGATGATTGCACAATGCAGCCAATTCAATTTATCAGGCATTGATTGCAGCCTATTCTGTGCAAGACTCTGTATTGATGTTGTGGGTATGAAAGTGACTAGGACCTGCCGTTCCAGCTTGGAGGTTCATTACCTTACAGATGCAGGACATGATTTCTAAGGATGTCATAAAGGTGCTAGTAAATATGGCTATAACATGGTTCAGTCACTGGGAGGGCTGGGAAAGAGGAGGTTACATTTAGCACAAACTGATGTACATATTCTCATTTAGGTAAGTATTAGAGTGTGTCTCCTATTTCTACCTTCCTCATATGCCTTCTCTAAAATGGGCTTCATTCCTTACACATTTAATCAAGAACATGAGAAAAAAGTGATAAATCTTGATATTTGGCCGTGTAGCCACCACCACTTACATGATACAGAGTGTTGCATCACCTTAAAATGTTTCCATGCGCCTGTTTGCAGTCAGCACCCTCTCTCCATCTCCTGGCTCCTGACAACTGCTTTCTCACACTATCGTTTTGCCTTTTCCAGAATTTCAAATAAAAGGAATTATGTAGTGTTTTATTTTTGGCTTTTTTCACTTAGCATAATGCTTCTGAGTTTCATCCATATTGCAAATGTCAGTAGTTTGGATTATTTTATTGATGAGTAATATTCTGGTGTATAGATATAAGATTAGTTAGTCCAATCACCAGATGATGAAGATTTGGTTACCTTCCAGTTTTAGGCTATTGAGAATAAGTTACTATAAATATTTAATTCACATGCATATCTTTGTGTGGTCATATGTTTTTATTTCTCTTGGGTATACGCCTAGGACCAAGATTGATAGGTCTTATGGCAAGGGCATGTTTAACTCTTTCTTTCTCTCTTTTTTTTTTTTAGATGGAATTTTGCTCGTGTTGCCCAGGCTGGAGTGCAACGGTGCCATCTCAGCTCACCACAACCTCTGCCTCCTGGGTTCAAGCGATTCTCTTACCTCAGCCTCCCGAGTAGCTGGGATTACAGGCATGCGCCACCACGTCCGGCTAATTTTGTATTTTTAGTAGAGACGGGGGTTTCTCCGTGTTGGTCAGGCTGGTCTTGAACTCCCGACCTCAGGTGATTCGCCCGCCTCAGCCTCCCAAAGTGCTGGGATTACAGGCAGGAGCCACCATACCCAGCCATGTTTAACTGTTTGAGAAACTGCCAAACTGTTTCACAAAGTGGTTATACAATTTTATATTTTCACCAGCAAGATCTGAGCATTTTTCTGCTCCTCCTTGTCATCAGCAACATTTCATATTGTCAGTCTTTTATTTTAACCATTCTGTTACAGGTATACCAGCATCTCACTGTAGTTTTAATTCTCATGTTTCTAGTAAATGGTTTGTACCACCTGATTATATTCTTTGATGAAGCATCTGTTCAAATACTTTCTTCATTTTTAAAATTGGTTTTTTTATTTTTGTATCATTTAGTTTTATATATTCTGGAAACAAGACCTTTATCAAATATATGGTTTTCAAATATTTTCTTTGGGAACAGCGTTCATAGCAGTATGCCTTAAGCTGGGACTTGGAGAATAATGGTTCTTCAATGCATGAAAGCAATTCCTGTGAGATCACTTAATGCCTGTTTCCCTGGTCAAACATGCTCCATGTGGGTAGAGTCGGAGTCTGCATTATTCACTGCTGGGTGTTCAAAGCCCAGCACACTGTCTGACACATTAGTGAAATTCAATACTTATTCAATAAATGATTAAGTGAATAAGTAAACAAATGATTTGCAAGCTCCCAATGCAACTTATATTAATGAGAAGCAAAAGAGCTTTAGGAGGAGGAGATGAACTTAGAAAGCCAGCCTGGGATCTGACTGTGGGAGGCACTGGAAGCCAGTTCATGGAGATGGGCTGGTGTTTTATTTGTTAAGCAAATGAATGGTCTTAAGACAGGCTGAGCTGCACTGTCTGTGCTAAGGCTGTCTGATGGATGCATTTGAGAAGATAAAGCCTGCAAGCTGAGAACCTGTAGCAGGTTTTTGGTACTCAAAGGGAGAGATGACAAAAGTTGGATCTAAGAAGATATTATAATGTTATAGATGGTATAGTGGAATTATCTGTAGAATTGAGAAACTCATTGAATTGGAAAAGAAAGAAGAATCTCTGAGATAGAGTACAGCAAAAAGTTTTAAAACAAATGTATACAAATCAATTCATGTAAGACACTTACTGCTGAATGAATAGTGCCCCCAAAATTCATCTGTTGAAGCCCTAGACCCCAATGTCACTATATATGGATAGTCTAAAAGAAGGGAAGTAATTAATGATAAATGAAGTCATAAGGTGAGGCGCTGATAGGATAGGATCAGTGTCCTTGTAAGAGACCCTTGCTCTCTCTCCACCACATGAGGACATAACAAGAAGGCAGCTGTCTGGAAGCCAGGAAGAGGGCCCTCGCCAGAGACTGAATCAGTAGAGCATCTTGATATAGAACTTTATAGCCTACAGAGCTAAGAGAAAATCAATTTCTGTTGTTTCAACCACGCAATCTATGGTGTTTTGTTATGGCAGCCTTCACAGACTAATACAACCCGAGAGAAATTCTTTAGGAGTCTGACTCCTATAGAACTAGTTAAACAACAGTGGATACATTTTAGAATTAAGCTGAAAAAGGTCCAGATATAAATCCTGTTTCTTGTAATTAAAAGATGTGTGAATTTTGGCAAGTTACTTATCACAGCTAAAATTTCTCTATCTGTGCAAATACAAATATGCCTTCTCCTTAAGATTGGTGGTGATAATTTTTAAAAAGTTGTGTTTTGTACATGTAGCCTAGCACCTGGCATGAGTTGCTATTCATTAGGAAATGTGAAATCTTTTCCTTGTCCTAACACCACAGCAATGTATCTAGACTAAATTCTGTCCCACTGCTTCCTGAATGCTCTTGAAATGACTAGGCAGAGAAAGATTATGGGCACCTTCATGTTTATGTTAGATAATATTTCCCAGAGGTAACACTGCTGGGTAGAAGTATTAGTCTAACCTTTAGACCTCTTGCCAATTTAGCTCCAAGTTATAAAATGGCTCACTTAATTTTGAACTTAAAAGTTCCAGAAACGATGTCCAGCTCTACTCTCCCTCATAGGAGACTAACACAACTTCATTTATTTCATCTTCAAAAAAAATCTGTGAGATATTTATATCTTCTCCAATGTATGAGTGGGGAAAATGAGGCTGGGAGTGTCTAGGGGACTTTCTCAACATCACAGAGCTAGCAAATGGCCTCATAGAGATAAAAGTCAAGTTGGCTTGAAGGTGAAGTCCCTACTCCTTCCCCAACACTGCACTGTCGGCTATAAAACTTGAAGGGTGTTTTGGGACATAGCTGGAGAAGGAGGGAAATGTTTTCATGAGCCAGACTCTGACGATTGTGTTCAGCACATTTCCTAAGGTGGATTTTCTGCTCTGTGTCTGCCTTTCATTCAGCAGCATGTTGTGAAACAGCCACAATTTAGCCCCAGGTGCTCTTGGCTGAGAATGAGTTCTTAGAAAGCTGGCATGGATGTTTTTTTTCTGTCCCACACTTACAGTAATTACAAATAAGGGGTACTCTATGTGGTTGCTCCTACCCTATAATTTTGTTTTCAGTTGCCAAGATTAGTAAATTTGAGGTACAATCACTGGGTTGGATTGCAAACCTAAAGTTATTTTTGCTGTGAATTCTCTGAGGTTACAAGTAAATTTTAAAATGTTTGTTGTTGCTATAGATCAGTTTCAGAATTTGCTAGCTTAACTTCATCTTTCTTCTCTCTCTTAGTGTATTTCTGGAGTCCTTTGCAGAAGATCATTTGGGTTCCTTTTTGTTTTTTCTGTCTTTCTTTCTTTCCTAAAGTCAAGCTGAATTGAATTATATAAAGACTTAAGAGCCAATGCTTGTGAAAAATCTATAGTATAATTATCTTAAAAGTTGACCCCAAAAAAGCTATGCCAGCATTCATTGAAATATACATGTTTAGGGTAGAAAATATTAATATCGTAGAGATAATCTATAAAGCTAGAAGACATGTGGAGTTAAAGCAAAAATGCATTAGCAAGATTTGAAATGCAAACTTTGAGATTGAAGATATATACCATTCAATCCCTATTAAATGAATTTGCAAGTCAATCCTTGAACTATCATGTATTTATGCAGTTCTAATGAAGTATCATGGATTTAGCTCTGTTCTGTCAGAGAAGGCAGACCAGTAGCATGTAGCAGAATCTCAAGGCTTGTGAGGATAAGAAGGTGGCTAAATTAGCTTATTCTCACAGGTCTTGAGATCTTGACTACTATGAGAAGATGCTTAGGACATGTTTGTTAAATGAGGGTCAACTTGGTTGTAAATATAATCACATGAACGAAACAGTTTGGGACTTTGTAATATGAATATATTTACAGGTTGCAAGGAAGAGAAGATTCAATAAAATGAATTTTTAAAAGTAAAGAGAATGTATCTCTTCACAAAAGAGAAGAGTTCAAGGGCATGGTTGGCCTCAGGTAAGCAACAAGCCTCAGCAGGGACTCAGTTTCTTTTTCCCCACAGTCTTCCTTCCATGATGTTGCCCAATTCTTAGCTCTTGATTGTTGGTGGGCACGTGGCTGCCAGCAGCTCCTGGGACTGCATGTGTTCAGCTTCATGGTCAGTGATACACAGGGAGTCTACTCCCCTGAGAACTCAAAAGAAAACCCCTAGGATTGACAAGTGTTGACACAAATTTTGTCATGGACCCATCTCTGTGGCCCTGCGGATAAAACGGATAAAATAGTGTAACTGGCTTAGCCCACATCAATCGCCTGCTCCAATTCTGGGGCCAGATTGTGACATCTACTCCTCCAGAGTGAGAAAATGGCAGGTCCCTTGAAGAATCAGGGTACAGTTGTTGCAGGAAGGGGAATGAATATTGGATGAGAAATACAATAAATGTCAAAGGACGTGCCACATATACGTTGAGTGCTATAAGCCTTCAAGGAAGGGAAAACCAACCAGGCCAGGTGTGGTCAAAGAAGACTTCACAGAGAGGCCGTATCTGGAGGGTAGATGGTATTTATTTAATTTTACAATAAAGATATGAGTTATTTTGTAAAAACTTTGTAAGAAACTTGGAAAATAGTCCAGGCTCCGTGGCTCACGCCTGTAATCCCAGCACTTTGGGAGCCCGAGGCAGTCAGATCACGAGGTCAGTAGATGGAGACCATCCTGGCTAACACGGAGAAACCCTGTCTCTACTAAAAATACAAAAAAAAAAAAATTAGCCAGGCGTGGTGGTATGCACCTGTAATCCCAGCTACTTGGGAGGCTGAGGCAGGAGAATGGCATGAACTCAGGAGGCAGAGCTTGCAGTGAGCCAAGATCCACCACCACTGCACTCCAGCCTGGGCCATGGAGCAAGACTTGGTCTAAAAAAAAAAAAAAAACCAAAAAAAAAAAACCTTGGACTTTCAGCGTGTCTCTCCCTGAAGCTCAACATGCCCCATAACCTTGACTCTGCAATGAGTCTCCTTCTTCACAGCCACTGTTTTCTTCACTGAGGGCCTTGCATGAGTGGTGGAGAAAGAAGACTGATCATACCCCGATCCCTACACTATCTTCCGGAAAAGTGGATTCCATCCTGGCAACTAAAGAGATGGCGGAATCCACTGTTAAGACTCTTCAGAGTCAGGAGCAGCAAGACATCAAGAAGACCCAGATATTAGCGCCATCTTCCTCACTATCTATACAACCCTGTAAAAAATGCACTTCACTTGTTTGACTTTTGGTTTCCTCAACTGCCACACAAAGGGTGGAGTACATGACCCTGTGAGTTTCTACTGGCTTTTAGAAATTAAGAGCAGATGAGTGTAGGAATTGCAACCTCAGTGCCTTGCAGAGGAGTACCCCTGAACATTAGACATCCTTACAATGTAATGGTTCATGGAGGAATCTTCATCTCCTGTCTCCTTGGTTCAGTCTCCCTACCCCTCCTTTTACATAGGTGTTTTTGAGTCAGTCTGGTATTGTGACATCACAGCTTGGGTAGAAATCCTGGTTCTCTCACTGAGGAGCAGTGGAATTTTCAACAAATTTGTTAATTTCCCTGAGCTTCTGTTTTCTCATCAGTGACAGGGGCATCCTAACATCCCCACAGAATCTCAAAGGGACTATGAGGCTGAAAGAAGCAAGGCATATGGAATGCCTCATCCAGCGATGGGTGCAGAGAGGTGATTTGTGTCTTATGTCCTATAATTCTGATGCTTTCAAAATGTATTCTGCATATGTGTATGTTTGTGTGTGTGTGTTTCTAACTTTATAGATTGCATCAGCACATACTCGTTATCTATGTCATAACACTTTGTCCATCTTTCCTACTGCCCAGTAGAAAGCTAAACACACAAACAGAGTACCTTGATATTGATCAATAGCAATGATATGGCCAGAAGAATAAACATTTCTGCCTGCAGAGAATAGGATCTAGACAGAGTCATGTAGGGGTTCTGCTCTGCGCCTACCACATGACTTTGAGGAGTCATTTAACTATGTCAGTATTCTAGAATATCAGTGTTAAAATAGGAGTGACAAGTGTTTTGAGGAGTCACGTCAATAAAGAACAGTGTTTCATACATAGCTGGAAATGCAGAAGTATAAATTATTAATTCATCTTATAAAGATTTTTCACAAGACAAAACTCCAAGTCTTCTCCTTCTACTAAGTCTTTTAAATCCCTTTTCCACAGCACTCAGGGATTTTCTGCTCACTAACGGCAAGTCCTCAAGGTGATCTGAGAAAGGCATCTTGCAGACTGGGAGATGGAGAAGCCTGCTTTCCCCCATCAGCCCTGTGAGCTGAGACTACACTACATGACACACACACACACACACTCACACACTCCAAGAAAATAAATGACTGAGCGTGGGTCTCACACGTGCCTATGCAGACACCACCATAGTGACCCCAGATCGTTCTCACTTCCAAGTCCCATGCAAAAAAGAGGAGGTTCTGAGGCTGTCTCAGGCTTCCAGCAGGTGCGGAGGAGGCTCTCACACTCTGTACATCCCGAGAACTCTGTTTCCCTTCCATTTATTTCTGTGGCACTGACTGTGTGTGCAACGAGCCGTGCTGCAGCAGAGATACCCCAGAGAAAGAGGAAACCCGTTGAGCTATTTTTCACCATTACATACTTCACTTCCTAATAAATGAGATCCAGAGCATGCAAACAGCCAGTCTTGTAGATCATCATCTTAGGGAAAATCACAGACCTAACGCAGCACAAAGTAAAAAATAAATGAACCCAGAGGAGAGTCATTCTGCTGATATTTGAGACTATAGCTCTCTTCTCATAGCATTCTATTCCTCTCTAGAAGTTTTTGCACCTCAGAAAAGTATCAGAGCTCTAATGTTAGTGGAAAAATAAAATAAAACAAATGCTAGATTCTTCTCTGTCCTTATGCCAGCTTATTTTCACCTCTAGAAAGAGATTGGTATGTGATAGTAGAGAGCAACTCAGTTGAGACCAAGTCCTGTTTCATGGGATTCAGTCTCTGGTGATCCCTGGGTAAGTGGCATGAATTATGAGGATTTCATCAGCTACCTTTGCCCAGCAGCATACCAGACTATATTTCAATACTGTAACAGAACTTGAGCAGGTGAACATGTGACCTACCTATCCCTGGTCTGCAGAGCTCAGGTATGCTATGGTGCCTTGGCTTCCACGGCTCTCTTCCAGTCTGTGTGCTTTTTCTTGGTCCTCTGGCAGAAAAGCTCCACATTTGGATGCAACCGCAAGTGTTGAGGTCACCAGCACTGTTCACTGTGTCAACTAAGGGAATCAATGGACAGTAATACAATCTGTCCGTGTCCACCAGGGAATATAATATTTCACACAGAAAATAGCAAAATACTCCCACGGCCCCGGGGCAATATCCTGAAGTTGTTTGAGGTGAAAGAAAATAAGTGTCTTTTGGGCAAAAGAATGTAGACTCTTTAGCAATAAACTTGTGCTGCTTTCATCTTATGGCATCTGAATACTTATTCTGATTCATTCCAGGTGAGAAAAGGACATGACTCTCCCGGGAACACAAGTGTGTGAGATTTCCTTGCCCACTTTTTTTGGCCTTAAAGTCATCTGAGATGATGAATTAGTCTTGCCAAAAGCTTATGATTTTCTAGTCAATTTTAAAAACTTTACCTAGTAGATCTTCAATCCTCTAGAAAACTCATGATGCTCTTTCTCCTGAGCAGGGTAACAGGGATTGCAGAGATAACAAAATTATCTCTGATAACCTTCATCATACCACCCTTGCTCTCTCGGGCCATTTCGATACTCTCGGTGAAGCTGAGGGGTATCAGAGGAAAATCAAAGAACTATGACTCGAGAAACCAGTTCGAGTCTTTATGATTTCAGGGAAGTCGTCTTACCATTCTGAGTTCCACTTGTATATACAAAATGGGAAATAACATTTACTCTGTGTAGGTCTTGGGTTTGTCGGGAGGAAGATTTGGGTAGAGATTGTTTTGCTGCTTCTGGGCCCAGAGAGGCACAGCATTTCCTAGTCTTCCCTATGGTTTGATCGGGCCGCATGACTTCTAGCCAATGGAACAAAAGTGGAAGAACGTGGCAGTTACAAACCTGTCCTGAACATTCAGAGGGGTGGCTTGGGAACAGTCTCCAAAGATGCCATACCAATGTTTGACAGGACAGCAGTAAAGCCACCCACCTTTAAATGGACCACATAAGCTTTTTGTTTTGTTTTGAGACAGAGTCTCACTCTGTCGCCCAGGCTGGAGTGCAGTGGGGCAATCTTAGCTCACTGCAGCCGTGAACTCCTGGGCTCATGCAATCCTACCTCAGCCTCCCAAGTAGCTGGGACTACAGAAACACACTATCACACCCAGCTAATTTTTGCATTTTTTGGAGAGATGGGCTTTCATTTTTTGGCTAGGCTGGCTTTGAACTCCTGAGCTCAAGTGATCCGCACGCCTCAGCCTCCCAAAGTGTTCGGATTACAGGCGTGAGTCACTGCCCCACATAAGCTTAAGCAATGAGAATCTTAGCTGTCATAATGATGGTCTACAGTCCAGATAGCATTCTGCCATCCCCACTGCCTTGATCCTTGGGTACCTGCACAGAAGTGCAGGGAAATTCCAGACAAGACGGAGATCTAATTTCTCAATTTCTGGAGAGTTCAAGCACAGAGTCAGAATATATTTGATTTGTAAAAACAAAAACAAAGCTGAAAATAAACAAAGAAACTTAAAAACCTCCCATGACTGACCCGCCATTCTGTTTCCCCAAACACTGGCTGAATGCAAAGGTTTTCAAGGCCCCCAAAGAGGACAGAGTTATATGTAAGGAGTCTGGGTCCCTGAATCCCCATGAAGAAGGCTGTGTCACAACCAAGAACACCTGTGTTGGATGTTTACAACAGGGAAAAGAAAGGCATTTTTATGTTAAGTCATACAACTCTCAGGGCTGGGTTATTTCATTAGTTTTGTTTTTTTTTTTTCCCAAATTGCTTTTACACTCTATTATACTATTGGAAATTGTAAAACGCTTTATGGAGGAAGGACAAACTGTTTACTTCATGTTCTCAGTCTCAGAGGAATAGAAGGTAGACAATTCCATGGAACATTCTGTTCATTCCAAGCCTTACAATCCTGATGCTGGACATGACCTTCTTTGAAGTTGTCCTCCAATTGTGGGCAGCTATTTTTCTCTCAAAACTATGCAATTCAGGTAATTGAGTTCTCAATTTTCTTGCATCAGAAGTAACCCAGGGGCCGGGGGCAGTGGCTCACACCTGTAATCCCAGCACTTTGGGAGGCCAAGGTGGGCGGATTGCCTGAGGTCTGGAGTTCAAGACCAGTCTGGCCAACATGGTGAAACCCCGTCTCTACTAAAAATACAAAAAAAATTAGCCAGGTGTGATGGCGTGTGCCTGTAATCCCAGCTGCTTGGAAGGCTGAGGCAGGAGAATTGCTTGAACCAGGAAGGTGGAGGTTGCAGTGAGCCGAGATCATGCCACTGCACTCTAGCCTGGGTGACAGAGTAAGACTCCGTCAAAAAAAAAAAAAAAAAAGTAACCCAGGACAGCCAAAGTCTTGGGTGGATTAGGGATTTGTTGGTTTTTTTTTTTTCCTTATTTCTTCTGTTTTTCTCAAGCTTCAAAGTGTAGTATCTGACATAGTGTGATATGAGCTCCTCTTTAAATATTTTTGCCAGGTGAGGAATTGCTGGAACATCCCATATTGTCAGTAATGATTTTACATTTGTCATTCTTAGCAGGTAGACTGTCCATGGGTTGTGTACCATTTTCACATTCATTTTGGATGCTATTTAGGGTATTATTTTTACTCAAGGGCAGGCATTGGAACTGAGCAGATTATTTATTTTATACACTTTAAACTATTTTGAGCTGTAAGGGATGTTAGCCTTGACCTAGAAGATTTCAGATGCAAAGCCTCCTTTATCAAAAATCTTCTCTTTACGTGAGTAAAGAGTAAGAGGACTTGGCCATTTTCCTCTGGTTCAAAGACCCATCTCCCAGACTTTTGTCCACAGGTAGTCGTAGATGCCTTCCTCAGGCTTGAAAATTCTGGTTTGGTTAAACTTTCTGCTGTTCAGATAAAAAACAGCAGCAATTTTCTGCTTGAATTTCTCTGTGACTAAATCCATTGATCATCCTTTCTCTCTGTGAGTGAGAAGTGTGTTTTCTCCTTAATAACTCCTATTCTTCTCCCTGGGTTATTTTTTCCCCTTCACTTGTTTGTGTTGTGTTGGTCAGTTCTACATGCTATTCCTCTGAGAGACAGAGAGAGCGCAAAATTGAAGTTATTTTATGCTTGGGCTCCCTCGGTCCCAATTTTCAAATCTTCATGTCAATTTTCACACATCAATGTCATGTGGTGAATGTTATGGAAATTTCAGTGGGGTCCTTGGGAGGCAATTTATACATGAATCCCTCCCCCTACCACCATCCTGCTGCAATTCCTGTCTTTTCTCAGAATAAGTGGATCTATAATTAATGTGGATTTTAAAATATAACGGCATTCACAATTCTCATAGCAGGTTTTCCATGCCATGCCTTCTTTGCAGTATAAACACAAAAGCATAAATGCTTGCTAGCTCTCTCTCCTAATAAATGGGCTTGTGTAAAAGAAATAAAAATTACAGTTTGTTGGCGGTAAAGAGCAACTAATTACTCAGGAAGAAGCATGTTTTTATTTTTCAAAACTGCACTGAAAATGGTTTATCATGCAATAAATTTGCTAATCACCAGTTAGGAAACAGAGTGCCATCTCCACCTACCCACAGCGACTTTCTTTGAAAGTTAGTATGTTACAGTTTGGATAGCAAATTATATCCTTTTGAAAATGAACATGACAGAAGACGTTCATTGAATAGCTTAAAACTCCTCAGCAGTCAGCGTTCAAATTGCGTAAACAAGAGCATTCTTAATGGTGCCCAAAGATAGCAACCACTGACCCTGGCTCTGCTTCGCGAGCACACCATCCCTGACCCGTTCGATGAAGATAATCATCGTTTTCTTTTGCTCTTTCTCCTTTCACAGTGAAAGTGGAAGACTTTCAAATGTAGAACACAGGGTCATCCTCCATGTTTTCTCTTTCCTCCAAAACACCCTTTTTCTTAGCCCTTTGACCTCTGACATCTATAAATGTTGATTTCTAATTGATTTGTGTTGATTTCTTTTTTTTTTTTTTTTTTCAGAAGAATCTACAGAATCACTTTCTTACCCAGAAGAGCAGGAGCTCAGCTTGGTGCACTTGAGCTTATACCAGCTAATAGCGGGTCCAGTTCTTCCTTGCTACTGGCCTGCTCTCCTGGTTCCAAGGTAGCAGCATTGTTCTCCCCAGAGAGGACTTCACTGAATATGCTCATCAGTGATGTTGGCTGAACTCCCCTGCTCCAACTGTCACTCTCTCCATGACTCTGTCACACGTTCTTCTTAGACTTCTTAATATTAAAAAAGCATCCCCTGGCCAGGCACGGTGGCTCACGCCTGTAATCCGAGCACTTTGGGAGGCCGAGGCAGGCGGATCACAAGGTCAGGAGATCGAGACCACGGTGAAACCCCGTCTCTACTAAAAATACAAAAAAAATTAGTTGGGCACAGTGGTGGGCACCTGTAGTCCCAGCTACTTGGGAGGCTGAGGCAGGAGAATGGCGTGAACCCTGGAGGTGGAGCTTGCAGTGGGAGGGAGGGGGGGAAGCATCCCCTTTATTTGTGTGTTTATTGGTGTATAATCTGGTTCTCCTCTAGAAGGTAAGTTCTATTAGAAGAAGACACCTTTCCGGTTTGATTATTTCTGTCTTACCAGTGTCTACAAGAACATCTGACATAGAATTACTTTTGAAATGTACTGAATAAATCAACAAACGAATGCATGAATGAACATTTTGCTTTTTTATTTCTACCTCACAAAGCAAGTCATTTTTATACCACAATTTAGCTCACCTGCCACCCCTCAGACATACAGGTGTCTAGAGGTAACGCAGCTTTTGGCATAAAATTTGGGAAGAGGTATTCATGGAATATTTCCTTTTGATGAGAAGAAAGCAGCTGTAAATTTTGTGATCATCCTTCCTTTATTTAGAGTGAATGCATTCTGTGGGAAGTTTATCATTAAGGCTGCTTTGTAGTAGAATGTCACCAAGTCACCAGCCCTAGTGTGCAGTGTTCCTACTGCATCGAAGAAGACACCCACTGGCCAGGACACAGGTGTCTCAGAGCAGCCTTTCTTTTTTCCTTTTTTTTAAAAAAATAATTCTTTTATAATTTTTTTAAGTTCCAAGGTACATATGCAGGATGTGCAGGTTTGTTATATAGGTAAGCGTGCACCATGATGGTTTGCCGCACCTAACAGCATATCACCTAGGTATTAAGCCCAGCATACGTTAGCTCTTTTCCCTAGTGCTCAGAGCAGCCTTTCTCACCAGTTGTGCAACTGTGAGCAACTCACTGGCCCTCTTTGTGTCTCAGTTGTCTCATCTGAAAATTCACCATCATAATCCCTACCTCACCTCTTTGCCCAGATTCATTAGAATGAAATGTAAATGGTGTATATGACACTATTTTGTAAACTATCAAGAGCCATGCAAATAAAATACTTTGGTTAACTGTGTGTGTGTGTGTGTATGTATGTATGTATGTATATATATATATACACACACACATATACATAGAGAGAGAGAGAGAAAGGGCAAAGATGCATTAAAATCAAAGAAAATGCTTTTTATGTGGTGATTTTTTTGTCCTCCCTGAGCTATAATAAAGGAAGACAAGAATTTCACCATTTTATAGACCAATAAATTGAGGGCTAGGAAAGCTGTGTTGTGCCCAGCATCATAGACAGCACTGTCTATGTGTGGAATTATAACAGGCCCAAGATCTCTAAGTGATTGGTGCAGTAATTTTATTTCTAGAGTGGTGCAGTAATATCTGATTTTCCTTCAAGAGGGGAACTGGTTTCTGAGCGCAATGCTGCAGTTGGGCCTTGGGCTGAGGTCTTAGCAGGCAAGTTACCAGGAATGGCTCGACATGGTCAAAGAAAGAAAATAGGGTAAGAACAAACCTAGGTCCAGAAAACGAAATCAACAGAAAACCTAAGTTTAGGACAAACTTGGACCAGGAATGGCAAAGGCAAAACACTAGCATCTGGGAAAAGACGTTATTAGATAGGGAGGCAGAGAGTATAGGTAGGATCAAAGCCAGAAAGTCCACAACTTTCTATATCAATAGCTTTGAGATGGCCAAATATGAAGGCTGGGGCTACAATGAGATCTTTATTTAATTAGTGGCCCAGGCTGATCCAAAGATACAGAGGTAGCTATACAAATTATACCTCACCATAGGTTCTTCCATAAAGAAAGGGAGTCTATTATAAGCCTGTAGAACTTCTCATGTAATATGACTACAGAAAGGGAAGAAGCAAAGACAAACTCCTCTAACCCAATGTCTTCACCCAAATGAAGACTTCCCAGAATGGATATGGTACCTATGGGCATAACTTCAAAGAGACAAATCATCTGGGGAAACATTATTTTAAAGAAAGTTGTAAAGTTTCTGTACTGCAGGACTTATCAGGGCTTTTAATAGTTGTTTAATAATAATTGTGGGCAATAACAATGCTCTTTGAATTTTGAAAAGTAGTTCACAATGGATTCCAAGCAGAGTATGTGGTATTTCCTACAGGTACTTCAATAAGGAATATATATTTTTTGGAATATTTTTATGGACTAGTGTTCCACAGCATATAATTTGTATACATTGCTCTAGCTAACCCGCTACATTGATTTAGGTAACTGTTCTGTATACAGCAAATGAAGTAACACTATTTTTGTTCCTTTTAACAAATTTTGTCATTACCTTCACCAGGCTGTAGGTCATTTAACCCTTTGTGTCATTGTTTCACTGTGAAATGCAGGTAGTTTCACAGTGACAGCAAAAGCAGGGCAGTGAGTGAATCGTGTCTTAAACAGAAAGCAGATGTACTTATCTACTTAGAGTTATTCTAGAGTATTTCTGTTTCCTGTTCACATTTATACCCAGGGAAGATTTCACTGGTCCAATGATAGAAACATGGTTAGAATGTGATAGAGATTCTTTTGACTTTATAGAATCAAAGAGGCTTTCTACTCATTAAAGTTCTCACAATAGCATTCTTTCTTAAGCCTGTTTTCAAATTTAGGATCCGGTGTGAATGAAGTTTGCTGACAGTCTATCATTTAGAGGTAGTTAAGCTGCATTACTGGATGTCAAGTTCAGTCTTCTCTTTGCTTCCATTTTGATTCTCCTCCTACAAAATTATTGCTTTGAATACAGGGAGCTGGCCTTTTCCTTCTTTCTTGTCCCAGTGCAGGAAGATGGAATTAATCCTGTTACATGAAATTACAACTATAAGTTCAAAGATCTTAATTCAAAATGTCCCTGTCTTGATTATGGGATAGTCTCTCAGTGGTTTCTTGTTGCATTTTTTTTTCATTTGTAAAATGGTACTAATGCCTCTTACCTACAATATGGACAAAATGAAAATAAATGAGCAAAATGTGTGCTTTAATTTAAAATTGCCTTTAACTATTCTGCCAAACCAATGGAAGCTTCGGATTGATGTTTTACCCAGGCCAATCATCAGTAAAAATAACAGGATGCTGTATAACGTGGTATGTAAGTGGAGCGGACCCAGGAGTCTGATTGACTGGGTCCATGCTGTGCCCTCGTGAGATTTTACACATGCCATTAACCTCTCTGTGCCTCAGTTTTCTTATTTATAAAATGAGGTTGTCATCATAATTCTTAACTCTCAAGGTTATCGTAAGGTGTAAAGATAATCTAGGTAATTATTGTTGCATGGATTAGTAATACTCATTAAGCACACTTAAGCACTCAATAATATTAGCGATTACCATTATCATTTTTCTTGATAAATTTCACCTATCTATTTGTTCTACTAGAAGTTTGTGAAATCAAAACATGTAGAAATAGGTAAGTAGCCCCTAGAGCATGAAAACATTTGTGCTGTTGTTAATACTAAACGGAGAACACAGATGTACAAGTGAAACACGGTGTCTGCTCTAACCTGAGTTTCTATTGACTCAATAAGTGAATTCATTAATTCAGCCTCTAATTTTGAATTCTATGTGAGCCTGTAGAATTTCATGTGACTATGCCCCACCATTTTTTTCTTTTCTTTTTTTCCATGATGGGCAACCAATCAGGACAAATGTAGTAGGTGTCAGAAATAATTCACCTAAATGCATGTAATCTATTTAGACAAATGTATGAGAAACATATCTCTTCTTTTTTTTCCACATGGAAGGACCATCATCAAGTCCTACTTCTTTCCAGCTGGAAGGGCTCACAAACTGCTAGCTTTGCAGGCTCAGCTTGACATCTCCACTTCCAGGCCAGCTAGTAGTCACTGAACATAAATGTAATGAGAGGAAAAGGTGGAGCACAGAGGAAGGGGCCTGTGTGCACAGTGAGAAGGAAGAGACAGGCAGAGGGAAGCAAAGAGAATAATGAGCCTTAATTCCTTTGGCATTGAAGTACCTGCTAAAGGCACAGGGCATGTGCAGCTGATGGCTCCCCTTCCAGAGGCAGGATGTGTCATTTCCCCTGCCCTGAATCCAAGCAGTCTCCAGCTACCCAATAAACTAGAAAGTCCCACCTGTACCTCTAGGACCCTGCAGGATTCTGCATATCGTGGGAGGTCAGAAGGCAAGATTTCATTCTGAAGCAGTCAACCGGGAAAGTTAAACATCTCTGATCATGTAAAAGGGGGAATTGATGTGCTTACTGCCTACCGCCTGAGCTGGTGTGCCTCAAGTGAACTACATGCGGAAGAAGAGACAAAGCCTTCGGTACATATAGAATTATAGACATAAAGATACAGAGACAGACATAAATATATTATCCATCTATCCATCTATCTCTATCTATCTATCTATCTATCTATCTATCTATCTATCTATCTATCTATCTATCATCTACCTATCTTAGTTTGCCTGTTGCCTGTTCATCCATCCATCCATCCATCCGTCCGTCCGTCCGTCCGTCCGTCCATCATTTCTCTTCCTCTTTCTTTGCACCACTGTGAAGCAAAGATCTTTTTAGTCTCAGGTTTAGCCAGCTCATCACAACCAGCTAGCTTGGCCTGCCCATCCACCCTGGACTCTCACTTCCTTTCCAGACAGCTTTGGATCTTTAAGAATGAGTGTGTTTTCTAGGCCTTGCTTTTCGCCTGTTCAGTGAGTGCCGGTGGAAGGGCTGGCATGACAACCCCTTGAGGCTGAGTCTTGTTGATTAGGGGATGGATTCTGAGCAAGCAGCTGTACTTGCACGCCCCGCTCAGTGACCCTTGCCAGTCTCCCTCACCCACGACCTGGAGGAACTGTCTCCTGGGGAAGCAAGGTCAGGCTCGGTGTCCATCAGGCTGTGCTTCTACGAGCTGTGTGATGGAGCATTTTCTGATGTTGACACCCATGCAGGGCGAGCTGGATGGAGGCTGATTTCTGGTTTCACATTGAGCTGTCATCCAAAAGGCCTGCTGCTTATCCTGCCTTCACAATCCTTCCAAGGCCCTGCTGACATTGTCAGCCTGCTTCTCTGGCCGCTGCCATAACTTAGAAACCGGGGGCACTTTTGTTCAGGCTAACGTCTGGAACATTTTCTGAACCAAAATATAGGTATATGAGTATTTCTTTTCTAATGTATAATTTTCCCGAAGTTTTCCTGTTGTAACATGCATTTCTTTCACTGCCCCTTGTACTCATTTTGAAGTTAAAATAAAACATAATAATTAAATGGACTGGAACACTTTAAATGATTTGATTGGCAGGCAAAATGACTGTGTTTAAGAAGCAACTGGGAAAACTTTACTTTCTCTTTATATTGTACTCATCCAGCTCAGTTTTGCAGGCTCAGTCATGTGGGTTTCTATAGTGGCAGATAGTCCAAATAATTCCACTCTAAGGCAAATAACATCATAAGACATGGTCATACCACTGACATTTGAAGCTAAAATGCAAGAGTTGGTGGTCTTTTGAGTACCTAGGTATTTTCCAAATATTGATTATTTTATGAGAATCTTTTGCCACAAATATATACTTTTTAACGTAGTGCTTTCTGAATTGATTTATCTAGTCAGAAGTTGTGCAAATATCAAATCCCCAAGTTATCTTGATGGGGCCAAAATAATACCATATTTGAAACTAGGATTATCCTTAAAAATCCATGCAATATAATGACTTTTAACAGCAAAGTATTAATATGAAAATAATGTCGGCCAGGTGCAGTGGCTCACACCTGTAATCCCAGCACTTTGGGAGGCCGAGGCGGGTGGATCACGAGGCCAGGAGTTCAAGACCAGCCTGGCCAACATAGCAAAACCCCGTCTTTACTAAAAATACAAAAATTAGCCAGGTGCAGTGGCATGTGCCTGTAGTCCTGGCTACCTGACAGGCTGAGGCAGGAGAATTGCTCAAACTTGGGAGGTGGAGGTTGCAGTGAGCCGAGATCATACCATTGCACTCCAGCTTGGGTGACAGGGAGACTCCATCTCAAAAAAAGAAGAAGAAAAAAAAGTCATACTAGTTTTTTGAGTGCAGAGTATATGTGGATTATTTAGTAGATCATTATCTTTATCAGGTAGAAAAATGCCATGTTTATAGGCTGAGTTCAGATCTAGTTGGGTCAGCTAAGAAAGGAAATCTAATAGCCATCTTTCCTTAGTTCCTTAAGTCTCTTCTCAGTCCCTGAGATCAATTACACCCTTGCCTTCATTCTGCCCCTGGCCAAATGATCAGGGATATTGGGCCTTTTCTGCCCAATTGTACCAGTGTCATCCTTCTTCAAGCTTCCCCTAAACTAGCCTAACCACCTTGCAGCAGGAAAGTCCTGGACTCCCCACCCCCAGGGTTTTTAATGAATCCCTGGGCTGTAAATCCCACAAAATAATTGTGATCTTTTATCCCTCTTTTTCCTGTCCTTTATTAGCTCCAGATCCAATCAGAACCTCTTTCAACCATTATTCAGACCTCTACAAGACAATATCCCTCTCACAATTGCTTGTCAATTACCCATTAAAATATGATGTTGACACCCATGCAGGGCGAGCTGGTTGGAGGCTGGTATAGATACACAAAGACTTTACATGCGTAGTCTGCTTACCACAAAAGCCTTACTGCAGAGATGGGGACTGGGATGTGTGTATGGTTTGACCCTCCCTGAAAAATGCCCCAGCCTGTTACTCATTGCAGGGATTAACATTTTGTGTGGTGTGAATCAGTTACATTGGTTTACTTACTAAAAGGTCTTTGACTTAAATAGCCATGTGTAAATATACTTTTTCACATGCACCTGAAACGTACAATTTCATGAGATAGATGATGCTGTTATAACTATCACCTTTTTCCAGATGATAAAACTGAAGCAGAGAGAATTAGTGACTTTTCCAAGATTATGTTGAAAGTGACTGCCTGAGTCAAAGCTAGAGTCCAAGAACAATTTATGCTTTCATTATGACTTTTGAAAAATTATAATCTAAAAGAGCAAAGTGGCTCAGCAATATCTCAATGCTATCTTTGCTACTTACTTTGGTAAGTAGAAGGCATACAAAAAGCAAATAATTCTTTGCTTCCCGGGTGTAGTAGCAAAACTGAACAATTGTAAATCCATTGCTGTACTGTAAATTCATAGTCTCATTTAGACCTCTCATTATAAGTAAAAGGAGTATTTCCCTCTAATTTGTGAATGCGGTAAGTTCAGAGAGGTTAAGAAGTCACCAAAGGTCACACAGCAAGCAAGTTGTGGATGAAGCTGGAATTTGCAGTTAGCCTATCTTTTGCTCTACTCTATTTATATTACTATGGAATATAAATACACAAAACTCTAAGTGTAGTTCAACAGGCTATGGGATGGACTAACCTCATCCATTAATTCTGCCCCAATATTAATTATGACACGTCTTTATCACTGATAGGCTGCCCCAAGGTGTAAAAAGAGACATTCATCACAAGGCACACTGGATGAAAAAGTAGATGTTCAAGCCTACTGAATAACACCCTTCTGAATAACACATCCAATATTAAGCTGTACAAATCAGAAAATATCATAGATTTGTTCTTTATATTCCACTTGTTTTATATATATATATATTGCAGTGGCAGGATCTCGCTTACTGCAAGCTCCACCTCAGAGGTTCACGCCATTCTCCTGCTTCAGCCTCCCGAGTAGCTGGGAGTACAGGCTCCCGCCACCACACCTGGTGAATTTTTTGTATTTTTAGTAGAGATGGGGTATCACCGTGTTAGCCAGGATGGTCTCTATCTCCTGACCTCGTGATCCGCCCACCTTGGCCTCCCAAAGTGCTGGGATTACGGGCGTTAGCCACCACTCCTGGCCCCATTTGTTATATTTTTAACATTTCTGCTCCTTTAAAATGTATTTATATGTTATTAATATAAAATTCAAAATGTCAAAACTGCCACCCATTCTGTCCTCAAGTTACTCAGTTTTCCTTTCTCGAGGGAACCAGTGCCACCGGGTTATTGTGTATTATTCCAGAGATATTATATGCATATGCAAGCAACAATATGTAAATATAGTGTGTCATTGCCCTGGTGCTTGCTTGGAGATCACTCCATAACAATGCATGAATGAGCTGCTGCATTCATTTTAGCAGCTGCTTTGTATTACACTGTTTCCTTCTACCTTGACTTATTGAACCAGATCTCTTTTGATAGGCATTTGTTTCAAGTAATTTGCTATATCATAATAGGTGGCAGTGAACATTCTTATACATACTTCTTTGCACACACGTCAGTGTGCATGATAAATTTCCAAAAGTGAAATTGCTGGGTTATAGACCATGTATTTTAAAATTGTAAATAGACGTTGCTAAAACTATCTACTCCCATCCTCAACATGAAGTGATGGTAAATGTTTTGACTTTGATCATCTAAAAGATGGAAAATGGTATTGTGATTTTAATTTTTATTTGTTTTAATATGAGGGACAGAAAATATTTTTAAAATGTGATGTATTCAAATATAAAATGTTGTTTTATATTTCTTTTTTCTGTTAATTCTGATTATATCCTTTATACATTTTTCTACAGCCTTGATGGCCGTTTTCTTATTGGTTTGTAGGAATATTTTCTGTATTAATGAAATCATTGCTTTGCCAAATACATCTCAAATACTTTTTCCGGTTTGTAGTTTGGCTTTCCTTTTGCTGTTTTGGTTGTGTAATCTTTAGATACATATCACTAATCCTCAGAAATTATGTTTTATTATTCTCATGTATGGGTGGGGAAACTGTAGATCAGAAAGGGTGAAAGTCTTTCTCAATATTGCCCAGGTAGCAAATGAGGGAAGAAGAGCACCGATCTGACTCAGAAGCCAACGTTCTTTCCATCATACCATATCGCCTCTCTAGAGGACAGTCTCCTCTTCACTATATCATGAGGCTGAGCAAATCCTCCAGGTCCGTATGTACTTAACTGGTGTGAATTGTGTGGTTTAGCAGCCCTCACTGATTAAATGAGTGGCACATTTCCATTTCATTTGCAGGACAGTGGCACATGTAAGTGCAGAGCCCCAGTATGTGTTCCCTTGGCCACTCTTCCACACGAGTTCCCATTTCCAGCTTTTGCACTGCTGGATTGTTTTCCCCTGTCCCCATCATCCTTGTCCCCGCTCTAAGTTCTTTTCCTCTGGAAATCTTCGCTAACTGCACCAAAAGAAACAAGTCTTTGTTCTTCCCCCACTATGGCACTAGTTCTACTATGCCTGGGGTGATGCCATTCTATCCCAACTAGCCTCCAGAGGTAGAGACTGTGTCATGGCCATCACTGTATCCCCATCACTTGGACCAAAGCCTGTCAGATGCTGGACACTCATTCCATCCTTGGAAAATGAATGAGTAGATGAATATATCACATGAAGACTAAGAGCTGGGTTTCAATCCAGCTCCCTCATTTACCAGGAAGGTGATCATGGTGTGTCCGGACTTGGTTTCTTCTTGTGGGTTCGTGGTCTCACTGACTTCAGGAATGAAGCCATGGACCTTCACGGTGAGTACTACAGCTCTTAGAGGTGGTGTGGACCCAAAGAGTGAGCAGCAGCAAGATTTATTGTGGAGAGTGAAAGAACAAAGCTTCCACAGCATGGTAAGGCAACTGACCAGCTTTTATTCCCTAATTTGTCCCCACCCATGTCCTGCTGATTGTCCATTTTACAGGGTGCTGATTGGTCCATTTTGCAGAGTGGTGATTGGTGCATTTTACAAACCTCTAGCTAGCCACAGAGCGCTGATTGGTGCATTTCACAATCCTAGCTACAGAGTGCTGATTGGTGCATTTTACAATCCTCTTGTAAGACAGAAAACTTCTCCAAGTCCCCACCCACCCCAGAAGTCCAGCTGGCTTCCCTTTCAATGGACCAAGTTACTTAAGTTGGCTAAACTTCACACTCTTCATTGGCAACATGATTTTTTTTGTTGTTGTTGTTTTGAGTTGGAGTCTCCCTGTCTTGCCCAGGTTAGAGTGCAGTGTGATCCCCGCTCACTGCAAACCCCGCCTTCTGGGTTCAAGCAATTCTCCCGCCTCAGCCTCCTGAGTAGCTGAGACTACAGGTGCATGCCACCATGCCTGCTACTTTTTGTATTTTTAGTAGAGATGGGGTTTAACCGTGTTGGCCAGGATGGTCTCGAACTCCTGACCTCATGATCCGCCTGCCTTGGCCTCCCAAATTCCCAAATTGCTGGGATTACAGGCGTGAGCCACCACGCTCGGCCAGCAACATGATTTTTAAAAATACACTACTTGCTTCATAGGCTGAACGTAGGGAATATATTAGACAATCTTTGCTAAATATCTGTGATTATACTGAGTTGAATGATTATTTTCTTAGCCTGAAAGATCTCAAGAATGAGAGTCAGAAGACCAAAGTTCTAAAGCTTTGCCCCAAATTGGCTTTAGGAATTCACTTCTCAGGACCTTCTTTGCAACGTGGAGACTGTTCAACTTGCTGGGGAAAATTCTCAAGTCAGTGAATTAGCTGCAGTGTGGCTTGACATACACTGAGCTCCGTCTGCTCTGTTTCACTGGTCGGTGGTTTCTAAATGACTGGAACACATAGTAGCCTGATACATAGTCCAAGTTCACTACATCGTAATAATATAAAATGATTTAAATATATAAGAATATATGTATGTATTATTGCTAACCCAATAAATTATTAAAACAATACTTTTAAAATAATATATATTATATCCTATTTATATCTATGATCTCCTAATACGCATGATGATACTATAATGTAGAGAGAATCTGCTTGTTAAATATGCAGATTTCCAGGCTCTCTTTGGGTTGTCATGATTTTGCTGATGTAGGGTATAGGCTCAGAAGTCTACGTTTTAAATCAGCACTCCACCTGCTTTTCTGGCTTAGTGCAGTTTGAGAACCACTGCTTTGGTTAGAGTGTTTCTCTATGCTTTTGATGCATGGATAATCTCCCCCCATCCCCATATTTTGGAAATCTAGAGAGAACATGATGCTTTTGACTATACAGGGCTTTCTGCATTCCTAGAAAACAGCTAGCAGGAAATTGCAACATTTTACGTGATCTATTGCCTCTGCAGACCTGGCATGAAAGGTGCACTTTATGGGATGGGGTGGGCAAACGTGGGAGAGTTCCTCTTCATCCGATCTGAACCGTCAGGACATGTCAAACGAAGCTAATATAAATGTCAGCGTGCAGCTTTTGGTTGTGAAATCTGAGTTCGTTGTAATGCAGTTCATTTTCCTTCTTCCAGCTCTGTGGATGCTATCAGCTGATGTGTCTGACAAGCATTTCCTATGCCAAAATAAAAGCCATCTCAGCAGTTCTCCTGAGTGAGTCTCCCTGCGTGTGTATGCACGTGTGCCTGTGAAACTCACGTCACATTCTCTTTATGGCTGCAATGAGCTAGTCTCCATGGGCCTCCCAAAACACCAAGCTGGAAGCCCCGGAGCTGTCTCCAGGAGCCATCACACCAGTTCATAATGACCACTAGAGTATGGAGTTATATAGACATCCAGGGGAGGAATTAATTATGGGGAACGTGAAGTCCCTCTAGGAATAGACTGAAGATTTAACACCTCCCAGGTGAATTCTGTGCCATTAGAGTGAGGAGGCAGCTCTGTTGGCTCAAGGTAACACAGAGCCTGTTCTACATAACAATGGCCCACAAGGTGCACCTGATTAAACTAGCTCTGCTCTGGGGATGCCCTTGTCAGCCATGGGTTACCTTTCACTGGAGAGGTGCCAGATTGCCAGGCAGGTCAACCGTTAGCTGAGTTTTTAAAATTCTCACTTGTTTCATTATTTCTTTTTTCTATGTTATGCTTTTCATATTACCTTGGTGGTTTCCCAGAAAAAAATAAACCTCTGAGCCCATCTCAACGGCAAATTACAATGATTCCCCATGCTTTTCACAGGACTCAGCATGTACACTTAACTTGGCTTGTCAAATTCCCATCTAAATATTTTCAAACAGTGACAACTAGGAGTGACTGAGGAGAACATCCTTTGAATCTGCCATATTGCTGTTATTTCTAACGCAGCTGCTTTCATCCAAACGGAAGGTTGATCCATTCTGTGGGAAGTTAGGGCAATTCCCCAAGGCTTCCTTGCAGTTCAGATCAACCTATTAATGTGCTTAATGATTCTAAGTCAGAAATGGTGTCATTGAAATATTTATTCTTATTCTGTGTCTTCTCACACCGATAGACACATGTAAATGACAGATTAGCAGAGGAAAAAAGGGAAAAGGAAGGAAGGGAGGGAGGGAGGGAGGAAGGAGAAGGGAAAGGAGGGAGGGAGGGAGGGAGGAAGGGAGGGAGGAAGGGAAGGATGAAGGAAGGAAGGGAGGGAGGAAGGAAAGGAGGGAGGGAAGAAGGAAGGAAGGGAGGGAAGAACACAGGCAGGCAAAAATGACATAAATCCTACAGTATGTAAATTTCAGTAGGGTTATTTATGAGACTTGCAAATGCTAAAAATTTACTTGAGTTGTTATCTGTTAATAAAACTAATAGAAATAATAACTTTAAAAAAGCCTCTTGTTGCCAACATGGCTAAATTAAAAGTCCTTGAAGCAAAACCTGGATAAGTTTGACAACAAACTTAACACCTTGTATGATTTTTGTGAAGGCAAAGGTAGTTCTCTATTTGAGAATTGTTGAGGAATTAATCACATATGGGGATGAACACACACATGCACACACAGACACATTTCCCTCCTTGCCTGACGTTTATTTCCTGCCTCCCTCCTACCAAAATGATCCTTCAGCACCTCCTCAAAATCAAATCCTGCTGATTGAAAGGTGATGACAGTCAGGTGGGTGCGGGAACCCCGTGCGTTATTGATGGTTCGTGTCAAGCTGCAGAGCAGCAGACAGAACAAAAAGGCCAAATCGCCCTGTTCCCAGACCTCCCACACCCATAGGTGCTGGGGAAGCACACTTCTTTCATTGTTCAATGTGCTTTTGAAAGTGCAGTGCATTCCAACAGGCAAGGGTAGGCACGTGAAGAATTCTTGTGACTCAATACTTGAGAGAGGGAGAAACACGAGACCTTTCTGTCTTTGGATGTTATGAAGAAGATGGGATTGGGGATGGTGGGTCATGTTTGTGTGTATGCTGTTTCAGGGCTGCAGCTTGGGAGAAATTATGGCTGTTTTACACCATCACCCTGAAGATCTACCTTAAGTTTCTGACCGCCCCTCCTATTCTACCCACTGGCCTCTCTTCCTGCTCTAAATCTACCAATTATTTTCTTTAAGTGTCAGCAGTACACCAGACACAAGGAGATATAACCTTCCCTCAAGTTGATGCTGTTAAACCATTACATACTTGAAACTGAAGTCGCAGTTGTCAATTGCAACTTCAGTCACTAATAACTACTTCAGAAGTGCGAGTGGTGTCTGGGCTCTTAATGCTGTGGCCCAGGGCTCCAGAAATGTCTTTACAGGTCATTTAGATCCATCCATCTGATCTGTAGCAAGATCAGTCAATCTTTCAGCCGAATGCTTCCCTCTCTCTTCCCCTTGCTGCCAGGTCCTTTATTTGTTCTCCCAGGGCCATATTGGGGGATGAGCTTAGGCAGCCATATCGACCACTTAGCTTGTAAAGACTTTGAGCTTAGGGCATCACCACATGCTTGGATCCTGAATTCTGTCACTTGCCTGTGAGGATTGTTTTTCTTTCTTTTTTCTCTTCTGCGTTTTCATTGGGCTGTTATTTAAAAAGCCTTTTAACCAGCCCTGCATGCATAACATAGCAAATAAAAAATGGACCCAGCTGTCAATTGACACAAAAACTGTAGGTGGTCTTGATTTGGGATGTTTATGGTCTTATTGGAACTGTGGTTTTACAGAGCCCCATCCTTTGTCTTGTTGATGTTAGCGGCTTTTAAAATTTGTTTTGAAAGTTTAAATAGGCTTTGTAGATGAGGTTAACCTTGATTTTTATTTTAGAGTGTAACTCATAATAATAATACCGCTTACAAGTTATTGCATATTGCTTTGCAATTGTTATATTGCTTAATGCACACACACACACATACACACACACACAAATATGTTCTATATGATGTCCATTTTACAGATGTAGTAGCAGAGTGCTTATGTAACTTTCCTGATATCACTCCGCTGGGATCGGAAAAAATGAGAATCTGAACCCTGTCCTAGACACAGAAACCCACACTCAATCATGACCCAGTATTTCTCCTCTGATAAGAAACAATCATCAATACTGTATGAACTGAAATGTTGTTACACTTATATATGAAATTGCTATGGCAAAGCTACTGCAACTCTGAGACACGGATAAGCCCCATCTTGAGAGTCCGTAAGCACCACTCTGCCATCCAATGCAAATGCAGATAATACATTAGAATCTTAGGATTAATTTTTAATATGATACGGTGCCTGCCAAAAAGTAAGTGGATTGGAGAAGCAGACAGGGACCAAGAGTATTGATAAAGAAAGGTGCCCTTATGTCTGTCTGTCTAATTTCTTCTTTCTGCCTTCTCACCTTCTTAAAAGTCTCCCTGCCTCGCTGCCCTCTATAGAATTGTTGTTATCAAAGGGCAAAGCTCTGATCGTATTTAGGGAAAATTCCTTTTCCTCTTAATGTAAGAGTAATGATGTCAGTGCCGGTACTCAGGCTCTGTTCCAAAGCAGGTAATTATGCTCTGCCTTCTTCAATTCCCTCTGCAGTTTCTGAGGAATCTATTTTTCCTCTCCTTCCTGTCCTAGACAGTTGTGCCACATTGCTGGGCTGCCGTTCAACATCTGCTTCCCCAAAGAAGTACGCTTTAAAAGTGAGTGAAATTATTTCTCTTTCATGACTGTTTTGCTGAAAGGAACCTGATGAATGGCAGGTGCTGGGGTGCTCCTTTGATTTGGGTCAGGGGACACCTTGCAGTTAGTCCAGGGTCACTTGAGTTCCTTGCCTGGAACAAAGTACACAAACGTCCCTTCAAAGAAAATGAGGCTTTATATTGGACAGGAGGATTGACTGGCCCCCCACCGGCATGGGTCGAGGCAGGCACTGACCTCCTCAGCTGATGGGCTTCTCCTAAATGCCTTTGAGATGACATCCTGTGCTTCTCTTGTAGAGAGTCCTCCCAAGCCCACTGGGGGCCAGGCCCAACTCCAGTCTTACTGACCTCAAACAGATCAGGCCTTGGGCCTCCTGACTCTGTTTCCAAGGTCTCACTCTCTCACATTTGATCTCTCCTTTCTTGGCAGAAGCACCCAAAGAAGAGAGGTTTATTTCCAATTCCTTTTCCATAATCACTTCTTACTATTCCTTTGGGACACAATCTTTGCGGAACGACAGCATACCCAGAATGCCCCTTAAACGTTCTCATTGAACCTTCTCATTCCAAGGGGCCCTGGCTGGGACCAGCCATCTCATATTTCCAATACTCATTTTCTTCCACATCCCCTTTCCAATTTCTCAGAATTTCTAGGTGGTATATGTTGATCTTGGTACATTCACTTTCACCTCACTGATATCAAAATTGCCAAATACTGCTGGCCCTAACCCTTTATTATATGTTTACTATTAAATAGTACAATTAAGCTCTGATAAAAAGCCTTGGATTAAAAGCAAATTTAATACAGGTTTTATGCAGGGAAATTCAATTCCTCATTCAGAAACAAGAGCCCAAGAGTAGGGGAAGAAAAGAAAGATCTTCTGTAATAGATGCAAATAGCAAGCTAACATGCAGTTCTTTAGTTTTATATACTAAGAAAAACGAAGTCCAGTTATACCATTTAAAAATTGTAACTTACTCCTCAAAATTTTGTATCAGCATGCGAGCAGGCTTGGCTAAGGAACAGGTATTCAGTAATAATTGCAATTTTAAAAATATTCTTTACAAATTTATTTTTCAGATATATTTTATGTCCAAAACAAGGCAAAACAAAAGCAAGTCACAGGAGGGCCTCTGTTGGCTAGGAGAGCAAACAATTTTGTCAATGGAATAATATTCTTCTGTACCAGTGATTTGGCCAATAGGTTTTCCGAAATCACCTCAGCTAGCTCAAAAGGGAAAACAATACCCTTAAAATATATTAATAACTGAAGATACCTCAGATGCAAGCTTTATCTCATTAGTTAACACGACTGAGTACATTGCCTTACTAATCCCAGTCCCTTCCCAGCAGAGAAGGTAGATTCACTTAGTTGGTTCAAGCTGCTATAACAGAAATACCATAAACTGGGTGACTTATAAACAACGGAAATTTATTTTTCAGTTCTAAAGGTTGAGAAGTACAAGGTCAAAGAACCTACAGATTCAGTGTTTGGTGTGGGCTCCTTTTCTGGTTCAGGGGTCATGTTCTCACTGTGTCCTCTTATGATGGCAGAGAGGTGATGAGTGACCTCCCAGGGACCCCTTTATTTTACTGGGTTTTTTTTTTTTTTTTTTTGAGATGGAATCTTGTCCTGTCACATAGGCTGGAGTGCAGTGGCATGATTTCAGCTCACTGCAACCTCCGCCTCCAAGGTTCAAGTGATTCTCCTACCTCAGCCTCCTGAGTGGCTGGGACTACAGGCATGCACCACCACACCTGGCTAATTTTTGCATTTTTAATAGAGACGGGGTTTTGCCATGTTGGTCAGGCTGATCTCGATCTCCTGACCTCAGGCAATCCACCTGCCTCGGCCTCCCAAAGTGCTGGGATTACAGGCGTGAGCCACCCCTCCTGGCCTGGAACCCCTTTTATAAGGGCACTAATCCCATCCTGAGCACCCCACCTTCATAACCTAACCACCTTCCAAAAGGTCTCACCTCCTAACACCATCACCTTGGGGGTTAGCTTTTCAACATATAAATGTTGTGCAGACACAGACATTCAGCCTATAGCAGAGGATATAGAGCAACTGCCAAAACAGGCAACACACCAGCCACTTTTGTGAACATGGAATCAAGAAAAAAAAAATCATCCCTGTAATTTAAGTCACAGCAGTTTTGACATAATGCTACTTAAAATTGGTTGATAAAAAGGGTGATGAGATAAATCTGTGCATTCTTTTCAAGCATGTGTTGAGAGACTGAAAGCTCTTCCCCTCAAAAACTTCGGCCATTTAATTCTTTAAAGTTGTTTTTACATGAATTAGAGGGTTTGGTAGATGCAATGTCAGTTACAGAACCACACTCTTGTCTCCATCTAATTTTGTCTTAGCAGCTCTTTTAAACTGCTAAATCTGGTTTTAAAGTATGATGATTTTGTTTTCTGATGGTGTTAAACAGCTGCTGCTTTTCTGATGAGAAGCCCATTTTCCATTTTATATCTGCAAGATGTTGGCTACATCAGGCCCAGTGAAGCAGGCAGCTGAGAAGCCTCTTGCTGCAAGAAGCAGTTAAAAAAAAAAAAGGGCAAAGGGCCTTTCTCCAGGCAGCTGTCTCTTAGGATGGGGAATGGAGAGGAGACCACAGCAAAACAAAGCTTCGCACATGTAGTCAGGGCCATGAACCAGCCTTTCACTAAGAAACAGTGTAGTAACTCCAGGGAGGATGAATCACCAGTAAACATCACAATACACATGAATTTTTGGTCCCTGAATAGAGAGGCAAAATAGTCAACTTAGAAAAAAATCCAGCTTGTCCTTGGGGAACACTAGTGTTTGTGCACCTATGCAGTTTTTTGAACTCCTACGAAGTCTCAGAATGACCCTTCCAGCATGGGTCTGCATGGTGTTAAAAATGAGGAACTCAGAGTTTCTGACTTCTGTTTAGAAACCAGGTGAGGCCACCCAGGCCTGCATGCCTGTGAGGCTGCAGCTGAGTGAGGCCAGGCTTCTGGGTGGGAACAGTTCTTCAGCTCACTGCTGTCCTGATGGGACTTGCCTCATTCCTAGACAGTCCAGGCAGGGCTTCCACAAGATCCTGGCTTTGTCACGCCGGAAGTAGGGGAACAAAGTTCACACAGGGCTCACCGGTGTGCACTGCCTCACCCCTGGCTTTCTGGAGACCCTCCACCTGGAGCTAAATAGCAGTGTCCATGGCACTGATAGGACTTCCATGGCACTGATAGGAGTTAAAGAGCGTTGTCCATGGCACTGATAGGACTTCTTTCAAGCAACCATGAAACAGTAAGAGTAGGGATTAAGAAAGAAGGGGAAATACGGAGAGGGCACTGTCAGGCCTCTGAGCCCAAGCTAAGCCATCATATCCCCTGTGACCTGCACGTACACATCCAGATGGCCGGTTCCTGCCTTAACTGATGACAGTCCACCACAAAAGAAGTGAAAATGGCCTGTTCCTGCCTTAACTGATGACATTATCTTGTGACATTCCTTCTCCTGGCTCATCCTGGCTCAAAAGCTCCCCTGCTGAGCACCTTGTGACCCCCACTCCTGCCCTCCAGAGAACAACCCCCCTTTGACTGTAATTTTCCTGTATCTACCCAAATCTTATAAAACGGCCCCACCCTTATCTCCCTTCGCTGACTCTGTTTTCGGACTCAGCCTGCCTGCACCCAGGTGAAATAAACAGCTTTATTGCTCACACAAAGCCTGTTTGGTGGTCTCTTCAAACAGACGCGAGTGAAATTTAGTGCTGTGACATGGATCGGGGGACCTCCCTTGGGAGATCAATCCCCTGTCCTCCTGCTCTTTGCTTCGTGAGAAAGGTCAACCTACGACCTCAGGTCCTCAGACCGACCAGCTCAAGGAACATCTCACCAATTTCAAATCCGGTAAGCAGCCTCTTTTCACACTCTTCTCCAACCTCCCTCACTATCCCTCAACCTCTTTCTCCTTTCAATCTTGGTGCCATACTTCAATCTCTCCCTTCTCTTAATTTCAATTCCTTTCATCTTCTGTTAGAGACAAAGGAGACACATTTTATCCATGGATCCAAAACTCTGGCGCCGGTCACGGAGTGGGAAGGCGGCCTTCCCTTGGTGTTTAATCATTGCAGGGACGCCTCTCTGATTATTCATCCACGTTTCAGAGGTCTCAGACCACGCAGGGACGCCTGCCTTGGTCCTTCACCCTTAGCGGCAAGTCCCGCTTTTCTGGGGGAGGGGCAAGTACCCCAACCCCTTCTCTCCATGTCTCTACCCCTTCTCCACTTTTCTGGGGGACGGGCAAGAACCCCTCAACTCCTTCTCCTTCACCCTCGGCGGCAAGTCCCGCTTTTCTAGAGGGCAAGAATCCCCAATCCCTTATTTCCGTGCCCCGACCTCTTATCTCTGCACCCCGATCCCTTATTTCCATGCTCCGACCTCATATCTCTGTGCCCCAATCCCTTATTTCCGTGCCTCAACCTCGTATCTCTGTGACCTGACCCCTTTCCCATTTTTCTGGAAGGTAAGAACCCCTGAACCATTTCCCTCTGTGTCTCTACTCTCCCTTTTCTTTAAACTTGCCTCCTTTACTGTAGGCAACCTTCCACCCTCCATTCCTCCTTCTTCTCCCTTAGCCTGTGTTCTTAGGAACATAAAACCTCTTCAACTCTCACCTGACTTAAAATGTAAATGCCTTATTTTCTTCTACAATGCTGCTTGACCCCAATAGAAACTCGACAGTGGTTCTAAATGGCCAGAAAATGGCACTTGCGATTTCTCCATCCTACAAGACCTAAATAATTTTTGTCAAAAAATAGGCAAATGGTCTGAGATGCCTGACGTCCAGGCATTCTTTTACACATCGGTCCTTCCCTAGTCTCTGTGCCCAGTGCAACTCTTCCCAAATATTCCTTCTTTCCCTCCCGCCTGTCCCCTCAGTCCCAACCCCAAGTGTCACTGAGTCTTTCTAATCTTCCTTTTCTACAGACCCATCTGACCTCTCCCCTCCTCCCCAGACTGCTCCTAGCCAGGCCAAACTAGGTCCCAATTCTTCCTCAGCCTCCGCTCCTCCACCCTATAATCTTTTTATCACCTCCCCTCCTCACACCGAGTCCAGTTTACAGTTTCATTCCGTGAGTAGCCCTCCCCCACTTGCCCAGCAATTTCCTCTTAAAAAGGTGGCTGAAGCTAAAGGCATAGTCAAGGTTAATGCTCCTTTTTCTTTATCAGACCTCTCCCAAATCAGTGAGCGTTTAGGCTCTTTCATCAAATATGAAAAACCCAGCCCAGTTCATAGCCGTTTGGCAGCAACCCTGAGACGCTTTACAGCCCTAGACCCTAAAATGTCAGAAGGCCGTCTTATTCTCAATATACATTTTGTTACCCAATCTGCTCCCGACATTAAATAAAACTCCAAAAATTAAATTCCAGCCCTCAAACCCCACAACAGGACTTAATTAACCTCGCCTTCAAGGTGTACAATAATAGAGTAGAGGCAGCCAAGTAGCAACATATTTCTGAGTTGCAATTCTTTGCCTCCACTGTGAGACAAACCCCAGCCACATCTCCAGCACACAAGAACTCCAAACACCTGAACCGCAGCTGCCAGGGGTTCCTCCAGAACCTCCTCCCCCAGGAGCTTGCTACAAGTGCTAGAAATCTGGCCACTGGGCCAAGGAATGCCCACAGCCCAGGATCCCTCCTAAGCCATGTCCCATCTGTGCAGGTCCCCACTGAAAATTGGACTGTTCAACTCACCTGGCAGCCACTCCCAGAGCCCCTGGAACTCTGGCCCAAGGCTCTCTGACTGACTCCTTCCCAGATCTTCTCAGCTTAGCAGCTGAAGACTGACACTGCCCGATCACCTTGGGTGCCTACAGGATCATCACAGATGCTCTAGATAACTCTCACAGTGGAGGGTAAGTCCATCCCCTTCTTAATCAATACATAGGCTACTCACTCCACATTACCTTCTTTTCAAGGGCCTGTTTCCCTTGCCTCCATAACTGTTGTGGGTATTGATGGCCAAGGTTCTAAACCTCTTAAAACTCCCCAACTCTGGTGCCAACTTAGACAATAGTCTTTTAAGCACTCCTTTTTAGTTATCCCCACCTGCCCAGTTCCCTTATTAGGCCGAGACACTTTAACTAAATTATCTGCTTCCCTGACTATTCCTGGGCTACAGCCACACCTCATTGCCGCCTTTTCCCCCAGTTCAGAGCCTCCTTCACATCCTCCCCTTGTATCTCCCCACCTTAACCCACAAGTATAAGACACCTCTACTCCCTCCTTAGCGACCAAACATGCACCCTTTAACATCCCATTAAAACCTAATCACTCTTACCCCGCTCAATGCCAATATCCCATCCCACAGCATGCTTTGAAAGGATTAAAGACCTTTATCACTGGCCTGTTATAGCATTGCCTTTTAAAGCCTATAAACTCTTCTTACCATTCCCCCATTTTACCTGTCCTAAAACCAGACAAGGCCTACAGCTTAGTTCAGAATCTGTGCCTTATGGACAAAATTGTTTTGCCTATCCACCCTGTGGTGCCAAACCCATATACTCTCCTATCCTCAATACCTCCCTCTACAACCCATTATTCTGTTCTGGATCTCAAACATGCTTTCTTTACTATTCCTTTGCACCCTTCATCCCAGCCTCTCTTTGCTTTCACTTAGATGACCCTGACGCCCATTAGGCTCAGCAAATTACCTGGGCTGTACTGCCACAAGGCTTCACAGACAGCCCCCATTACATCAGTCAAGCCCAAATTTCATCCTCATCTGTTACCTATCTCGGCATAATTCTCATAAAAACACATGTGCTCTCCCTGCTGATCGTGTCCGATTAATCTCCCAAACCTCAATCCCTTATAAAACAACAACTCCTTTCCTTCCTAGGCATGGTTAGTGCAGTCAGAATTCTTACACAAGAGCCAGGACAGCACCCTGTAGCCTTTCTGTCCAAACAACTTGACCTTACTGTTTTAGCCTAGCCATCATGTCTCTGTGCAGAGGCTGCTGCTGCCCTAATACTTTTAGAGGCCCTCAAAATCACAAACTATGCTCATCTCACTCTCAACAGTTCTCATAACTTCCAAACTCTATATTTTCTTCCTCATACCTGACACATATACTTTCTGCTCCCCGGCTCCTTCAGCTGTACTCACTCTTTAAGTCCCACAATTACCATTGTTCCTGGCCCGGACTTCAATCCGGCCTCCCACATTATTCCGGATACCACACCTGACCCCCATGACTGTATCTCTCTGATCCACCTGACATTCACCCCATTTCCCCATATTTCCTTCTTTCCTGTTCCTCACCCTGATCACACTTGGTTTATTGATGGCAGTTCCACCAGGCCTAATGGCCACACAGCAGCAAAGGCAGGCTATGCTATAGTACAAGCCACTAGCCCGCCTCTTAGAACCTCTCATTTCCTTTCCATTGTGGAAATCTATCCTCAAAGAAATAACTTCTCAGTGTTCCATCTGCTATTCTACTACTCCTCAGGGATTATTCAGGACCCCTCCCTTCCCTACACATCAAGCTCAGGGATTTGCCCCCACCCAGGACTGGCAAATTGGCTTTACTCAACATGCCCCAGGTCAGAAAACTAAAATACCTCTTAGTCTAGGTAGACACTTTCACTGGATAGGTAGAGGCCTTTCCTACAGGGTCTGAGAAGGCCACCAGTCATTTCTTCCCTTCTGTCAGACATAATTCCTCAGTTTAGCCTTCCCACCTCTATACAGTCTGATAACAGACCAGCCTTTATTAATCAAATCAGCTAAGCAGTTTTTCAGGCTCTTAGTATCCAGTGAAACTTTTATATCCCTTATGGTCCTCAGTCTTCAGGAAAGGTAGAACGGACTAAAGGTCTTTTAAAAACATACCTCACCAAGCTCAGCCACCAACTTAAAAAGGACTAGACAATACTTTTACCACTTTCCCTTCTCAGAAGTCAGACCTGTCCTCAGAATACTACAGGGTACAGCCCATTTGAGCTCCTGTATAGATGCTCCTTTTTATTAGGCCCCAGTCTCATTCCAGACACCAGACCAACTTAGACTGTGCCCCCAAAAAACTTGTCATCCCTACTATCTTCTATCTAGTCATACTCCTATTCACCGTTCTCAACTACTCATATATGCCCTGCTCTTGTTTACACTGCCGGTTTACACTGTTTCTCCAAGCCATCACAGCTGATATCTCCTGGTGCTATCCCCAAACTGCCACTCTTAACTCTTAAAGTAAATAATCTTTGCTGGCAGGACTATGCTGAATCTCCTTAGGCACTCTCTAATCAGATGTCCTAGGTCCTCCCAATTCTTAGACCTTTTATACCTGTTTTTCTCCTCTTATTCCATTTAGTTTTTCAATTCATACAAAACCGTATCCAGGCCATCACCAATCATTCTACACGACAAATGTTTCTTCTAACAACCCCGTAATATCACCCCTTACCACAAAATCTTCCTTCAGCTTAATCTCTCCCACTCTAGGTTCCCACGCCGCCCCTAATCCCACTCGAAGCAGCCCTGAGAAACATCGCACATTATCTCTCCATAACACCCCCAAAAATTTTCAGCGTCCCAACATTTTACCACTATTTCATTTTATTTTTCTTATTAATATAAGAATACAGGAATGTGAGGCCTCAGAGCCCAAGCTAAGCCATCATATCCCCTGTGACCTGCAGGTACACATCCAGATGGCCAGTTCCTGCCTTAACTGATGACATTCCACCACAAAAGAAGTGAAAATGGCCTGTTCTTGCCAAAACCGATGACATTGTCTTGTGACATTCCTTCTCCTGGCTCATCCTGGCTCAAAAGCTCCCCTACTGAGCACCTTGTGACCCCCACTCTGACCGCCAGAGAACCCCCCTTTGACTGTAATTTTCCTTTACCTACCCAAATCTTATAAAACGGCTCCACCCTTATCTCCCTTCGCTGACTCTTTTTGGACTCAGCCCACCTGTACCCAGGTGAAATAAACAGCTTTATTGCTCACACAAACCTGTTTGGTGGTCTCTTCACATGGACGCGAGTGAAATTCTCAATATACATTTTATTACCCAATCTGTTCCCGACATTAAATAAAACTCCAAAAATTAAATCCCGGCCCTCAAACCCCACAACAGGACTTAATTAACCTCGCCTTCAAGGTGTACAATAATAGAGTAGAGGCAGCCAAGTAGCAACATATTTCTAAGTTGCAATTCCTTGCCTCCACTGTGAGACAAACCCCAGCCACATCTCCAGCACACAAGAACTTCCAAATGCCTCAACCGCAGCGGCCAGGATTTCCTCCAGAACTGCCTCCCCAGGAGCTTGGTACAAGTGCCAGAATGTACCAGGCCAAGGAATGCCCGCAGCCCAGGATTCCTCCTAGGCCGTGTCCCATCTCTGCAGGACCCCACTGAAAATCAGACTGTTCAACTCACCTGGCAGCCACTCCCAGAGCCCCTGGAACTCTGGACCAAGGATCTCTGACTCCTTCCCAGATCTTCTTGGCTTAGCTGCTGAAGACTGACGCTGCCCGATCGCCTCAGAAGCCCTGTGGACCATCACAGACGCCGAGCTTTAGGTAATTCTCACAGTGGAGGGTAAGTCCGTCCCCTTCTTAATCAATATGGAGGCTACTCACTCCACATTACCTTCTTTTCAAGGGCCTGTTTCCCTTGCCTCCATAACTGTTGTGGGTATTGACGGCCAGGCTTCTAAACCTCTTAAATCTCCCCAACTCTGGTGCCAACTTAGACAATAGTCTTTTAAGCACTCCTTTTTAGTTATCCCCACCTGCCCAGCTCCCTTATTAGGCTGAGACACTTTAACTAAATTATCTGCTTCCCTGACTATTCCTGGACTACAGCTACATCTCATCGCCGTCCTTCTTCCCAATCCAAAGCCTCCTTTGCGTCCTCCTCTTGTATCCCCCCACCTTAACCCACAAGTATAGGATACCTCTACTCCCTCCTTAGCGACCAATCATGCACCCCTTAGCATCTCATTAAAACCTAATCACCCCTACCCCGCTCAATGCCAATATCCCATCCCACAGCATGCTTTAGAAGGATTAAAGCCTGTTATCACTCACCTGTTACAGCATGGCCTTTTAAAGCCTATAAACTCTCCTTACAATTCCCCCATTTTACCTGTCCTAGAACCAGACAAGGCTTACAGGTTAGTTCAGGATCTGTGCCTTATCAACCAGATTGTTTTGCCTATCCACCCAGTGGTGCCAAACCTATATACTCTCCTATCCTCAATACCTCCCTTCACAACCCATTATTCTGTTCTGGATCTCAAACATGCTTTCTTCACTATTCCTTTTCACCCTTCATCCCACCCTCTCTTTGATTTCACTTGGACTGACCCTGACACCCATCAAGCTCAGCAAATTACCTGGACTGTACTGCCGCAAGGCTTCACAGACAGCCCCCATTACATCAGTCAAGCCCAAATTTCTTCCTCATCTGTTACCTATCTCAGCATAATTCTCATAAAAACACACGTGCTCTCCCTGCCAATCATGTTCAGCTGATCTCTCAAACCCCAACACCTATAAAACAACAACTCCTTTCCTTCCTAGGCATGGTTGGATACTTTCGACTTTAGACACCTGGTTTTGCCACCCTAACAAAACCATTACATAAACTCACAAAAGGAAACCTTGCTGACCCCATAGATCCTAAATCCTTTCCCCACTCCTCTTTCCATTCCTTAAAGACAGCTTTAGAGACTGCCCCCATCCTAGCTCTCCCTGGCTCATCCCAACCCTTTTCATTATCCACAGCCGAAGTGCAGGGCTGTGCAGTCAGAATTCTTACACAAGAACCGGGACTGCGCCCTGTAGACTTTTTATCCAAACAACTTGACCTTACTGTTTTGCCTAGCCCTCAAGTCCGCTTGTGGTGGCCGCCACCACCCTAATTCTTTTAGAGGCCCTTAAAATCACAAACTATGCTCAACTCACTCTCTACAGTTCTCATAACTTCCAAAATCTATTTTCTTCCTCACACCTGACACATATACTTTCTGATCCCTGGCTCCTTCAGCTGTACTCACTCTTTGTTAAGTCTCCCACAATTACCATTGTTCCTGGCCCGGACTTCAATCCGGCCTCCCACATTATTCTGGATACCACACCTGACCCCCATGACTGTATCTCTCTGATCCACCTGACATTCACCCCATTTCCCCATATTTCCTTCTTTCCTGTTCCTCACCCTGATCACACTTGGTTTATTGATGGCAGTTCCACCAGGCCTAATGGCCACACACCAGCAAAGGCAGGGTATGCTATAGTATAAGCCACCAGCCCACCTCTTAGAACCTCTCATTTCTTTTCCATCGTGGAAATCTATCCTCAAAGAAATAACTTCTCAGTGTTCCATCTGCTATTCTACTACTTCTCAGGGATTATTCAGGCCCCCTCCCGTCCCTACACATCAAGCTCAGGGATTTGCCTCCTCCCAGGACTGGCAAATTAGCTTTACTCAACATGCCCGGAGTCAGGAAACTAAAATACCTCTTGGTCTAGGTAGACACTTTCACTGGATAGGTAGAGGCCTTTCCCAGAGGGTCTAAGAAGGCCACCACGGTCATTTCTTCCCTTCTGTCAGACATAATTCCTCAGTTTAGCCTTCCCACCTCTATACAGTCCGATAGCAGACCTGCTTTATTGGTCAAATAAGCCAAGCATTTTTTCAGGCTCTTGGTATTCAGTGAAACCTTTATATCCCTTACGGTCCTCAGTCATCAGGAAAGGCAGAACGGGCTAATGGTCTTTTAAAACCTCTCCAAGCTCAGCCACCAACTTAAAAAGGACTAGACAATACTTTTACCACTTTCCCTTCTCAAAATTCAGGCCTGTCCTCAGAATGCTACAGGGTACAGACCATTTAAGCTCCTGTATAGACGCTCTTTTTTATTAGGCCCCAGTCTCATTCCAGACACCAGACCAACTTGGACTGTGCCCCAAAAAACTTGTCATCCCTACTATCTTCTGTCTAGTCATACTCCTATTCACCGTTCTCAACTACTCATACATGCCCTGCTCTTGTTTACACTGCCGGTTTACACTGTTTCTCTAAGCCATCACAGCTGATATCTCCTGGTGCTATCCCCAAACTGCCACTCTTAACTCTTAAAGTAAATAAATAATCTTTGCTGAAAAGGCTATGCTGAACCTCCTTAGGCACTCTCTAATTATATGTCCTAGGTCCTCCCAATTCTTAGTCCTTTAATACCTGTTTTTCTCCTCTTATTCCGTTTTTCAATTCGTACAAAACCGTATCCAGGCCATCACCAATAATTCCAAATGACGAACGTTTCTTCTAACAACCCCACAACATCACCCCTTACCACAAAATCTTCCTTCAGCTTAATCTCTCCCACTGTAGATTCCCACGCCGCCCCTAATCCTGCTCAAAGCAGCCCTGAGAAACATCGCCCATTTTCTCTCCATAACACCCCCAAAAATTTTTGCCGTCCCAACATTTTACCACTGTTTCATTTTATTTTTCTTATTAATATAAGAAGACAGGAATGTCAGGCCTCTGAGCCCAAGCTAAGCCATCATATCCCCTGTGACCTGCAGTACACATCCAGATGACCAGTTCCTGCCTTAACTGATGACATTCCACCACAAAAGAAGTGAAAAGGCCTGTTCCTGCCTTAACTGATGACATTATCTTGTGAAATTCCTTCTCCTGGCTCATCCTGGCTCAAAAGCTCCCCTGCTGAGCACCTTGTGACCCCCCCCCACACCTGCCCGCCAGAGAACAAACCCCCTTTGACTGTAATTTTCCTTTACCTACCCAAATCTTATAAAACGGCCCCACCGGTATCTCCCTTCACTGACTCTCTTTTCAGACTCAGCCTGCCTGCACCCAGGTGATTAAAAGCTTTCTTGCTCACACAAAGCCTGTTTGGTGGTCTCTTCACAGGGATACGAGTGAAAGGCACATTGATAGTTTAGCATTACGGCCATTCCAGTTGTTAAAATACTGGATTATTTCCACTTCAGCTCACAAATAGTTGCTGCTTCAAGCTCTGGGAATCCCTGCCCCACCTCCACTTATACCAGCATCAGTTCAGATTGGGTGCTGCCTGTGCCCTGCTATTATAAAATATTCTTCATATCCTCCATGAGGAAAAGCTAATAAAATCACCTATGACCTGGAGCATTGACTGGGTTTGGTTGATTCTCCCTGCTTCCTCTCTCCTACCCTTGAGAGTCTCTTGTCACCTACTTCTCACCATGTGCCTTCCTGGGACATCTTCCTTCCCAGAAGTTTCAGGCAGTTGAACAGCAGTGGGCTAAACCATTATGGAGATCTTAAACCGCTAGATTATTACAAGCTCAAATTGATTACCTTGGAGCTTGAAAATTTAGGAATGAACTAACATAGCACTTGAACGTGGCTAGAAAACATTGAGTTCAATAGATATAGATTTATGTTTGCTGTTTTTATGCTGTTATTACTGCTTTGTTCCTTCAGTTCCAATATCATTCATTGTATCCAAAGTAGTACAGGCCCCAGCTATTCCTTTTCTTATCTTCTTTTAGTCTGTTAAAAAAATATTGTTTGCCATTTTATAAAAGAAATCTAAGAAGCTTTCCTTTCTGCTAACTAATTTTAAATGTATTTTCCTGGTGACAAAACAATGCTTTAAAATGATCTGACAAAAATTAGCTATTGTGACTCAAAATGTATACGTACTTTCTCGAATACATGTTAGCATCTTTGTCGTGTTCTTTTAATTATCACGTAGTTGGTTCAGATCCCACTTTCCACCCAGCAGTTGCCATTTTAGTCATTGTTTAATTGAGGATATAGGTGTGCAGTGGCACAAACAAGGGTCTGGATTTGCAATCAATAGGCTCTAGATTAATTTTTGTCATTAATTAAGCTGGGTGACCTAAGAAAAGTCACTTTATTTGTGCCTAAAGGTGGTCATCAATGACTTAACAGGATTTGGCTAAATGATAATCTTATCTTCCTGCCAGCTCTAAGGGTCTAGGATTTATTGGTGTTATTTTCCTTTTCTATTATAATAGTAGCAACGATTAGCATGTAGAGAGTGTCTTTTATACGTCATCTCACTTAGACCTTACAGTCACTCTAACAGGTAGGCAAAATGAAAAAATGAACCCCACCAGCTTATAGCCTGCAAAGATAAACAATTAGAAAATTCTTGAATTACCCTTTTGAATTACCCACTCCAATTTCAAAAATTAAACATTGGTTTATGGAAGTCATTCTTCCTGACTCTATCACAGGTGTTAGCATCTGAATGTGTTGGCTGAGCTTGGCATCCTGGTGTGAAATTATAGTTATGCTGCTAGTTGTTAAACATATGTGTTTATGTGTAAACATAAATATGTACATAAACACAGTGGGAGGTAGCAGGGGGTGTAGTCAAGCGGGGGATGAACAGGAGAAAGAGCAGAATTACTCATTAGCCTCCAGATAAAAGGAAGAAAAGAACCTAGCATTTATTAACTGCCCAATGTGTGCAGTTCATGTTATCTTAATCAATCTTCACATCAATCCTATAGGAAGTATGTATTAACTTTCCCATTCTACAGACGCAGAAACCTAAACTCAGAGCAGTTAGCTGGAAGGCTCAACTTCTCATATGTTACACAGCCTAGCATGTCTTTCCATGGCATCCTTAAAGTGATTCATTCATTTATAAACACATTTTTTTTGGGCACTTAGTACATGTCAGGCTCCGTGCTAGGCAATGAACAAAAGCCCACACCAAAAAGTTCTCTGCCCTCCTAGGTCTACAAATTCAACATTCTTGAAACTTACAGCCTCTATGGAGGTGGAGAGGGATCAAAGGTTAGAGAAGAGAAGGGGTCAGAGGTGTGCTGGTAAGTGTTCAACAACTAGCTCTTGCAGATGGGGGGAGCCTTGATGTGTAGCACTTCACAATTTCTGTGTCTAAATACACCCAACATTGCCTGTTTCAATGTCCACCATGACACCCTGAGTACAGGAAAGAGAGGCAGACAGCTTCCTATGCCAGGCAAGCCAGCTCCAGCATATGGTATGGTGAGACAGAACATACAATCATAGAAGAGCCCTTTAATGACTAAGGTGAGGATACCTGACTCTCTCTCTCCCAGTGCACAATATCTAACATTTATAGAGGGTTTTATGTTTAACAATGCATTTTCTCCACACATTACTTATTGTTATCCTTACAAGAACTCCATGAAAAAGGCATTTTGAGGATGGAGTAACTAAGCTTACTGAGGATAAATACCTTTTCCAATATCTTACAGTTTGTAAGGGGCAGGACCAAACTTCAAAGACGATGCCCTTCACTATAATACACAGGCTCAAAAACCCAAGATAGGTTACAAGTGCCTACTTTGAAAGCCTAAGCTAATTCATATGAATGGAGCATGATAATGAGATTAGCTCGATATTCTTCTAGTTATTGTTATTTGCCACACACAGTCAATAAATACGCCCCTAAGACCAATGCATGTCCTTAGTTATCTGCCATAGTACAAGAGTATGAGAGAGGCTAAATAAACATGATGGGACAAACCCAGCAGCAATATCCACTGAAGACTTCAACATATGAGCCAATACTGTCACTTTCACATTCCGAAGCTAGCACTAATCTTTACCTAAGTGGTGGTCTTCTTTAGGGATAAATCATTCCCCGTGGGTAGATGATGGGTTGATGGGTGCAGCAAACTACCATAACACGTGTATACCTGTGTAACAAACCTACATGTTCTCCGCATGTATCCCAGAACTTAAGGTATAATAAAGAAATGTTTTTAAAGGGAAATTGAAAAAAAAATGCCACTAAAGCAACTTACTGTAAGGATGGAAGCCAATGAACTATCAACTTCTCATGCACCCAAAGCAAACTGATGACAGTTCTGTTGCCAGTAGTTAAAACAAAGCATTTTGTAAAATTAGCTTGCCTATACAGGCTTTTCATCAGGTCTTATTGACTGTCTTATTTGAGAAGGACTGAATATGGAATACAAGTAGTGTGATACTTGGGATCACAGGTAAGAGAAAAGAGCAGCTTGTTCTCAGGCTATATAACAAGGTGCAGCTAGGTGTAATTGATCAATTCAGGATGGTCAGCATTTCCTAGATACTCACTGCTTGCTGAGCAGTCTGCAAAAACTTCTTCAATAAAGGCCTAGAAAACTGAATGTATTGGTCACATAGCAGCAATTTAATTGATGGTAATCTTGTTATTATTTTCATTCAATGCCCCTAAAAAGGGGCAGAGGGCACATTGATGAAATTTTATCAGATTGGAATCAAGGATAAAAAAAACTTAAGTGTGTCCAGGGACTTTCACTGAAGTTTGTTTTTGTTTTGGGATTGTTTTTTTATTTTTATTTTTGGTCTTAACTGATCTGAAGTCTTGGAATCCCCCCATTTTATGTCAACAAATGTGCCATGCCCCAAGAGCTGGGTTAGAAGGACCTGTGGTTCAGGCACAGGCTCAGGCACCCTCACTTTGCAAATCTAAAAATATATAAGGAAAACATAGTATATTGAGATGTTTGAAATTAAAGAAAGATGAAATATGAGTTCAAATAATTTCTCTTTTGAAAAGGAAAATAAATACTAGGTTCTTTACAATTCCTTGCTTTCCCATCATGTTTTTTATTTTCCACATCATTTTCTATATATTAATCCACCTGGTTGTCACAGCATCTTTGTGAAGTCGGTAGGGCAGATAGGTATTAATATTTTTCATTTCACAGATAATAAAACTAAGACTTGGCAAAATATGGGTTTAACAACTGATATGGTTTGGCTGTGTCCCCACCCAAATCTTATCTTGAGTTGTAGCTCCCATAATTCCTATGTGTCATGGAAGGAACCGAGTGGGAGGTAATGGAATCATGGGGATGGGTCTTTCCCCTGCTGTTCTCATGATCATAAGTCTCATGAGAACTGATGATTTTATAAAGGAGAGTTCCACTATACAAGCCCCCTTGCCTGCCACCATGTAAGACGTGGCTTTGCTCCTCCTTGCCTTCCACCGTGATTGTGAGGCCTCCCCAGCCATGTGGAACTGTGAGTCAGTTAAACCTCTTTCCTTTATGAACACCCAGTATCAGGTATGTCTTTATTGGCAACATGAGAACAGACTAATACAACAGCTGTTTCATGAGTTTGATTCTATAGCATTGTTTACATTTTAAGATTATCTTTGCATATTTTCTTCAGGAAGATAAATCTGTTAAATAGATATTCTATTGAGTAGTCATTACTTTATACAATGCTTACCATACCTTGGCAAATATGTTAGTAGTAGAAATATATTTTTGCATTAAAATAGTAGCCATAATATATTACATGTTTACTTATCTGTTATTTTCCAAAGAATCTGATATATCCAGATTTCTTCCCTCATCTCTTACACTTTCAAAAATTGAAACACTTCCACAGCAGCAATGGAAGACTAGTAGTAGTTCCCAGTATACCTTTGACATTACAGAAACATATTCTTGTTTAGCGAAAGAATAAAGATGGGGTAAAACTACATAGATACCATCATTAAATAAATTTTAGAATACTTTCTTGCCTCCTGTTATGTATTTGAGTTAATATGAGCATTTGTCAATTGTACCATATTTTTAAATGAAGTTGGTATCTTGTTTCCTGCATGGGAGCCGAATTGCTAGGTCAACAGGCCCTTAAATGTCATGAATTGCAATATATACAGCAGATGACACTTGTCAAAGGCTCAGTGATCAATTCAGATACAAATCTGACTTGAGGACTGAGAGAAACCAAATCAAATCGATGTAAGAGATAAAGTCCAGGTTTGGCACAGTGGCATAGTCAGCAGCCCTTCTCATGGGATAACGCAGCAGGGCCTCCCCTGAGATTGACAGTCCCAGGTCTTGTCAGTTCTCCCGCAGCCTGCAGTTGGATCGCTCTGTCTTCCTACCACGGTGTTCACTGGGCTAGCGATTAGGCAGCTGGGCAGGGAAAAACAAACAGCAACAATAACAACAAAAATATGATACAGCCAATACACCCTGCCTTCTTTACATTTCCGCAACTTTTGCCTTATGATGCCATTTTTTCATACAAGGAGATGTCAAAAATTAAGGCGATTTTCACAGAAAAAAAAGTAATTTAACTGGGAATACCTCCATGTAATTAAAACAAAAAGTGTCTATAAGGATGGTGAGTGTGAAGGTCTGGAAATGACTCAAGGCCATGTCAGTGGAGACCAAGCAGTTTGTAACCGACAGAAGCAAGTCTCAGGCCTCTCTACAGGGAAACTGATCCAGATGCAGATGCAGGGAAGCAACTGTGCTGAGCCCCCAGTCACTGAGGTAGGTGACATCTTCAGTCATGAAAGGGGAGTTTGTTAAAATAGTGTCAGCTCCTGGAACACAAGAGTCACATTTTCTATTGATAGTAATTATCTTTAGGGGGCATTTACTAGTTGCCACACACTTAATAAGACCTTTACATTCATTATTTGAAAGAATACTCACATGAGCTCTCTCAGATAGGTGATGTCATTATTTTCATCTTGTCGATGGAGAAACTGAGGCCTCAGGTCACATAGCCAGGAAAGCTAAGATGAGAACGCAGCTTTGTGTGACTCCGCACTTTTAACCACGGCATAACTTTTTTTTTTTTGAGACGGAGTCTCACCTTGTCACCCAGGCAGTGGCAAAATCTCAGCTCACGACAACCTCTGCCCCCCTGGTTCAAGCGATCCTCCCACCTCAGCCTCCTGATTAGCTAGGATTATAGGCGTGCCACCATGGCCAGCTAATTTTTGTATTTTTAGTAGAGACAGGGTTTCACCATGTTGGCCAAGCTGGCCTTGAACTCCTGACCTCCAGTGATCCATCCGCCTCAGCCTCCTGAAGTGCTGAGATTACATGTGTGAGCCACTGTGCCCAGACTTTAACCATGGCATAACTTTTATCCATCTCTATATCCTCCACAGCACTTGAGGCAGTAGTAGTTAAAGGATTGGATTGGGTGGAAATAAATCAAATGTAAAAGTTTAGACTGTCACCAGAACCTAACAAGGTTCTCAGCAGGAAGGACTTCTGAAGCATTTTGTATTTTTGTTCCAAGCATTTGAGAATTAGAGAATAATTTTCCTGTTGCATCCATTCATTCACTGATGAATTCAACAAAATGTATTTGGTGCCTACCTGGCGTTAGATTCGGTGGTGAATGAGACAGTCGATGTATTGTTTTCATATAGTTTAATAGCTGCGAGGATGACGCAGACAGTACTAAGTGTAGAAGGTTTAAGCAGAGTTACAAAATAGAGAAGGTCTCAGGGAGATGATTTAGGTAGGATTTTCAAGGACGGCCTCTTTGAGGTGACACCTGAGGTGTGACCAAAAAAACAAAAAGAACCAGACTTAAGAAGAGCAGGAAAAGCTTTCCAAATGGAAAAATAAAAATATAAAAATAAAAAATAAAAAATAAAACAGCAAGTGCAAAGGCCCTGAAGCAGAAATGACCTGGGTGTGAGCAAACACTGGAAAAGAGGTAGAGTGGCTTGCATGTCCCAAGTGATGAAGGACATAATACGAAAGAATCATAGCAGAAGCAAGACCAAGTCAGGTGGGACCAAATGGGTCAGGAGCATTAGGTTTGCTGAGTATTCTAAGGGTGCTGGAAAACCTTTGAGAGATTTTAAACAAGAAAGTGACAGGATCTGGATTGTAAGCTACAGACAGAAATGTGATCACGGTATGAAAGAACATAGATGGACATAAAGAAATAACTGGCCGAGGATGGTGGCTCATGCTTATAATCCCAGCACTTTGAGAGGCTGACGCAGGTGGATCACCTGAGGTCAAGAGTTCGAGACCAGCCTGGGCAACATAGCAAAACCCCATCTCTACTAAAAATACAAAAATTAGCTGGGCATGGGGGCATGGGGGCATGTTCCTGTAATCTGAACTGCTTGGGAGGCTGAGGCAGCAGAACTCCTTGAATCTGGGAGGCGGAGGATGCAGTGAGCTGAGATTGTACCACTGCACTCCAGCCTGGGTGACAGAGCAAGAATCTGTCAAAAGAAAGAAAGAAAGAGAGACAGGAGAGGGGAGGGGAGGGGAGGGGAAGAAAGAAAGTAAGAAAGAAAGAAAAAGAAAGAAAGAAAGAGAGAGAGAAAGAGAGGAAGGAAGGAAGGAAGGAAGGAAGGAAGAAAGAAAGAAAGAAAGAAAGAAAGAAAGAAAGAAAGAAAGAAAGAAAGAAAGAAAGAAAGAAAGAAAGAAAGAAAGAAAGGAAAGAAAGAAAGAGAAAGAAAGAAAGAAAACTGACTAACTCACTAAAGGAAGCCAGGGCCCAGCTCTAGGGATCCACCAAAATGTAGAGATTAGCAGAGAAAGTGAGACCAGCAAAGAAGACTCGGAAATATTGGCCAGGGAAGAAAGGACACCCAAGACGGAGCTGCAAGTGACTGTCTAGGAGAGGACCCTGGAGAAGGCAAGAAATAATCAGCTTTGGAAATGGGGAGGCACAGTCCCTGAAGGAATGTTCTAGAGTGTCTCAGCAGTGCAGAGTGTATTTTACCAAGAAGAAGGTAATCAGTCAACTTGATGTCCAAGAAAATTCCATGAAAAAGGAGGCATCAAAATTGTACTGGAAAGTAATTTTATCACTCTTCAGGCTCCTTTGAGTTGATCATCTGAATTTTCATTGGACTTATGATTTATTATTCAGTTCCTGCATAAACAAATTGTACTTTTTAAAAATCTCTGTGGTTGTTATACATCATCTTTTGGTTCACTGGGAAGGATTATTAATCTATTATGAATCAGCTTCCAAGCATTCCTAAATAAGTCTTCTCTTTCCTTCATCTACATATTTTGTCTGCACAGAGACCATCTAAAGAGACTGCGTAAATGATATTCACATAGTCTAGAAGTTGGGCCACTCAATGTGTGGTTGTGCATAGAAAGACATGGCATCATAGCTCTCTAAAGGGTCACCGGGAAGGGCCCGTGCAGGGGGGGAGTTCAGGTTTAGGTTGCCTCTTGGAAAACTCAACAACAATACCAAGGAAAGTGGATGCAGTGATAATGGGACGAGGGTGGAAGGAGAGGAGGGGGTTCTTGGATGACAGGTTGCTGAATCCGGAACCCTGACACTTGTGAAGTACTCTGTCAGGAACATTAAGTATCCAAAAGTGATAAAGCTTCAATTTGCTAGTCCATTAGACTAATTACTGCAATAATTAAGTAACTACTTGATTAGAACTAATGGGTACCTAATTATCCAGGAGAAAAGTATCAGGTGGCAATTAATAGACTGGAGTTAATGTCTTAGCACTGTCTTTGTATGAATTCATAAGCAAGGTAAATAAAACAAACAATAACTTATTAATATTTATTGGTGGCACGGTGTTTTTCAGCTTGTTTCATTTATACAGAACCAATTAGTGGAGAGACCATTAGAGTGGCAGGAAAGAAAGGGACTGAAGCCGACTTAGCTTTTTAAAGGTACAGGATCTCATTAGCAATAACGACTAACATTTAACTGGAATCAACCTGTGATTTTAGCTTTGTTGCCGTAAATCTATTGAAAGGGGATCACAGAGGTGAAAAATCAATAGTCATGATAAAATCAGTGAGAAATTGGCTAATATATTGAAGTCAAGGGCCTTATTAAAGATTTTTCTTGGTCCACTGGAAACCTCTCATCTATTTCTCCCACTGGTATTTTTAAATGGCTGGGGTGAGAGAGGGACAGGAAGAAACGTAACTTAGGCGAAAAGAAACTTTTCTGATGAACACATATCACACAGAAGCCCTGGATTTCTTCCAGCATAAAAGGTTCTCTCTCTAGGCCAGTTATTTTTAAGCATTGACTAAGACCTGCTGCTAATATTAGAAAATATTTGTTCCAAAAATGTGATGTTAGAACAAGACTTCCATCTGTAGTTATGTTGCTCTGTGGTGATAGTCCTGCCTTGTACAAAACCACTTTGCTAGAAAGCATCAGGCAGAGTTTGAAAGGCAACACTCAAGTTTAGAGGAGAAAACAGGTCAGCTATTTATTTATTTATTCTTTAATTCAGGAAAACACATGCTACAAGGTTGTAAGGCTTCTGGGCAAACATAAGAACAAGAACTGAACGGCAGATCAGGAGAGGGAAAAACTGCCCTCCAAATGAACAACGTTCTGAATCCAACATTTCCGCTGTGTAAAGAAAATAATAGCTGTATGCTTAGAATTTTCTTTGCTTAGTTCAATGGTCTTTTTGAAGACAACGATTTTTAAAAATTGAGGAGAGGTTTGGACTTGTGTTAAATTTATTAACATTTTAAAAGTAATGTAATTAACCCTACAGTATAGGAAAACCCCATCTACTTTTATTTTATTTCCTTGGCGAGTATAAATAATTGAAGTGTGTTTTAATCATATTTTTTGGGGAAAAGCAATCACCTTGTATTAGAGTACATACAGTGACAAATGGTGATAAATCTAAAATTTATAGAAAGGGAGCATTTGCATAAACTGCAGAATCCAAACACATAGAACATTAAGAGTAACAATTGTTGAAAAGGGCATGAAAAATTCAACTTTGGTTTCACGATAGGGGCCCGGATTTCTAACATGATTAAGATAATACATCACTTGGCCCTCTCTTATTAAAGGCATAATTGTTGTTAGAACCAGAAGTGGCATTAAAGCTAATCTAGTTTTATATATGTACAAATATGAAGAGAAGTGCACTTGCAGACGGTTGCTTTTGGAGATCCATAGGCATTTTATTAACGTTTGAATAATAACCGCCTAGAGGGCCTGTTATAAATTAAAGGGACGGATTGAGATATAAATTTTTATGAGGACTAGTTATACATTTCCATTATGTGTTTAAAAATGAAGGAATTACTGTGAGCGCTGCAGTACTCACATTTATTTGAGGTGATTTGGACGGGAGGGACGGTGGATGAGAGCTGTAGCGTGGCGGCAGTAAGAAAGATGTATCTGTCCCTTTGAACAGATACATCATATGTCATGCATGAACTCTGTTCTACCAGAGTCGCTCCTCCACTGCCAAATCTGCATGATTATTTCTATGACAATAGCGAGTGATGATATAGCGTGAGTTTCATGCCACTTAAAGGGTTTCCTATGGTTCAATCCTGGAAGACTTGGCTATTATCTCTCTGCTAATGGAATAACAGAAGACAGTGATCACTGGAAAGCAATTCTAGTTCCTCTCTTTGCTCCTGGCATACTTTCTAGGGTTTGATAACTGGCCCAAATGCATTTGGGGAAGCAGATCCCACTGAATGATAATCATCCTTCTTTCTTCGTGTCTTCTGATCAGTTCTAACGTTGTCCTCGGTTTGACAGATATAATGGGTCTATGAATTTTCAATGCTTATAAACTACAACCCCAGTGGATTCAGGAAGACCTGTGCAGACATGCTTATGTGGCTACATGCACACACAGGCACATATGCCCATACACAGATACACATACACACACACACACACACACACAATCATGCACACATGCATGCAGACTTATAGATCTAACCCAAACCCTAAGAATATCAATACATGTTAGAAAGCACTGCATTCTCTGTCACTTATAGCTCCACACAAGTTTTGAAATCAGGCAAGTCCAAAGTTACATCCCAGCCAGAATGCTCACAAGTTGGTGATGTGAGCAAGCTATTTAACTGGTAGCTCTCAGTTCCCATATTTGTATAAGGAAAAGCTTATAAAGCCATTTGGAAGATTAAATGTCATTTAATGCAAGATTCCTGGTACACAATACAATCTTGCTAAACTTGTATTCCTGTGTTAAGTAAGGGCTGCTGTAGCAAAGTAACACAGACTGGGTGATTTAAACAACAGAAATTTACTGTCTCAGAGTCCTGGAGGCCAGAAGTCAGAGATCAAGGCGTTCACAGGATTGGTTCCTTCTGAAGCCTATGAGGAAAGGATCTGTCCCAGCCCTTTCTCGTTGGCTAATCAATGGCCATCTTCTCCTGATGTCTTCACATCATCTTCCTTCTGGGGAAGAGTCACACTCTGGGTTCTTAGCCTCTCTTCTTACAGGGACACCAGTCAATACTAGATTAAGGCCCACCTACTGACCTCATTTTCACCAGATTATCTTTTTAAAGACTCTATCTCTAAACAGTCTGAGCTACTAGGGGTTAGGACTTCAACATATGAATTGAGTTGGGGGTTACAATTTAACATCTAACAAAATGTTTGATGAATGAATAAATAAAAGAATATCATCAAAGATCTTGTGAGGATAAAAAGTGTTTATTCTCAAGTTATCACATCCCCATCTCTAGCCCAATTTGGCAATCTGGGTAAGACACTCAAACTTTCCATATTGCTTGTGGTCATCCACTTACTCTGATAAAATGACAAGAATATTTGTGATTTTTTTTTCTTATTGCAAATTGACATGAACCAATCCCAGGTGTGCTAGGTGATTACAGGCCACTGCATCCAGGTGGTGGGCAATCCAGTACCCTCAGCCACCACATGCTTCCAGCAAATCTGTGGGAGCCCCTTGTGAAAATGATCATTGCTTGAATGATTATAATGATGACCAAAGAGATGCAGCATGTAGAAGAAAATCAGAGCTCTTGTTGTGCTGGTTTTAAAATAGACTGAACTATCCACATACATCTTTTCCAAACCCAGAAAACTTCCTAATGGTAGGGTTATTTGAATTTAAATTCCAGAACATCAGCTCTTCACCAACATGCTGCTATTTACCAATTTTAGAAATAATGTTAAAAGACTACATAAGGTCTTCCTTCCCCATCTTCGTGAATGGTCAATAAAAACCCAAAAGGCAGAGGGGTATCCTCTGAGTCTGCCTGCCTTCTCCCTTCCCAGTTGGCTAATAGGGGGACTTCAGACACGCTTTTTTTTTTCTACTTTATTCTCTTAATCTCCAAATGGTCCTTGTGAAGAAACAATATGTGATGTCCTCACACAGGGTGGAACTTGCAATTATTATTTTAGTATTGTTTTCATATTTAGAGCTGAGAAGGAGCAGGGCCTCAGAGTCCAGCAGGTACTCAAATAGCGTCATTTTCTTCAACATCATTTCATTATAATGTTCACGAGAAAAAAACTCCATTCCTGCTGGGGCCACAGTCTGTGTGGAGTTTGCACGTTCTCCCCATGTGTGCCTGGGGGTTCTGCAAGTACTTCAGTTTCCTCCCACATCCCAAAGCTGTGCACGTTAGGTTATCTGGCGTGTCTACATGGCACCAATGTGAGTGAGTATGGTTGTGTGTGCATGTGCTCTGTGATGGGATAACGTCCTGGCCAGGCCTGGTTCTCACCTTGCACCCTGAACCTGCCCAGATGAGCTCCAGCCACTCACAACCTGAACTGCCACAAGTTGGAGAATTATCTGGTTTTTCACTTTCCTAAAGTATGAATAGCTCACATTTACTTCAATGTTGAATATTAGAAGTGTTTGGGGTCTTTATGTAGAAGTTTGATGATGTTTTTGTGACCAGAAATAAGCCATAGGTACTCAACTCTTGTTTATGTCAATTAGCCTATGGGAATGCTGGTTTCCTTATATGTTATTTCATTTAAAGTCACTGTTTCAAGGAACATAGCCACGATATTAAGTGAGGACTTATTGTAACTGATGCCCTTGAACCTACCTTTCTAGTTTATCTCAAACTTCTGGTTTTAAGTTAGAGGTAAACTGAGTGGCAGGCACCATGGGAAAGTTACGAAGTAGAATGAAAACTCAGAGCCTTAGAACTGTGCCTTTGAAAGCACCAGTGACGGTGTTTCCTCAAAGATGGGCTGAGAGGAGGAGCATGAGTGAGTCAAACCTGCCTCCCTTTAGCCCTACCTAGCCCTGCACCTGGTGCCTGTAGTTCTTGGGCAGTAGGTGCTGGTCCCAAAGAGGAAAGCAGCATGAATTTCTCAGCACGGCATAACAACTAGGAAAAGGAGGAGGAACTGTCTGTGCAGAGCCCATCACTTCTGAAACATTGATGCTTACTCACCCTTCCTACACAGACAAGGTTGTGCCATGGAATAACCAAGGGCAGGAGAGTCAGTGGTTGGCTGATGTGTAATGATTGACTGTCCTACAGTTGTAAGTAGGAGAAACACTCATTCACCAGGCACCTGACACAGGTGGCTTTAGGGTGGTCTCAGAAACCAAGGGCTCTGCTGCCACAGATAGGAGAGAAGGCACCAGAGTATTTCATCTGCCAGTTTGTATGTAGAAATGCCTGAAGCCCAGAAGAGGGGGAGATGAGAGTTTGAATAGGGTGACTGAGCATGGAGGGTAATTCAGTACATTTAACCTAAATGGTGTCTGCTAGAATTTGCATGAATACATGTGTGTGTGTGTGTGTGTGAGTGTGTGCATGCATTCGTGCATGCGTGGGTGTGCATGTACCATGCATATACACCCATCTATACACACATTCATATTTTGGCTTGGGTGGTATCCCTAGGCTCACTGAGATTTATTTCTTTTAGTCTGGAAAGAATACTAGAAGAGGTCTTGTCATTTCCTCATCCCCCTCATATTTCTGAGATTTTCTAGATGTCAAAAGGGGAAAAAATGAAATATAATATGATGAGAAAAGAAATGATACAATGCTCAGATTTTGTTTTTTCTTAAAAGAGCTTGATTTCACTCTGGCTTGGGTGAAAGTTCAGTTTGGTTCTTATTTTATCCACACCATTTGCCCATCCCTCATGAGATGCTCAGCTCCCTAAGTCCCTCTGTCATTCTGTTTGTGTTCAATTCTATCTTCCTCATTCCTATAGAATGCAGTTGTATTATGAAGTGGCCTGGACCTGGCCCAGTATTTTAAACATGACCTGCCTCATATCTTGCACCCTGGAAGAACAAATCCTTTTGGTTCTTTCTTGTTCAATACTTACAAATTCATTGCCCAATTTTGAGCGTTGTTATTTTGTCCTTGCTGCAGTAGTGACCAAAGCTGATTTTCTGGAAGTTGGATTTCTTTCGTCCCATAGCTACTTTTCTCCCGCTTTCAGCTCAGTTACCCGGTTATTTTAATCATGAAACTAAGGCGATGAAGGGACTCCATAGTGAGGTTAGGAAGAGGTTACAGCAAAAACGCATATGAAATAAAAGATTAATTTTCCTACGGTTTTCTTTATATTCAATGAATAGCCAAAAAATTTTATAGAAAATCTAACGGCACTATTATTAGCCTAAAAATGACACTTAAAAATACCCCAAATTTGGGAATCAGGCATCCTTTTATCTATGAAAATAATACAAAGAAAGAAATATATTTGAGATGTTTTTTTCCATCATGATGATGTAAGTGTGTATCCAAACTCTGCCCCACTTACCTTTATAAATGAGGTCATGGACTGATGTGTATCTGAGATAAGAGTGCACCTGTAACCATTTGGAGAATTTCTGTAACCTTGACCTCACTGATCCTCTTCAATTAACTGACCCAGCCCGGAATACCCATGGGGAAAAGAGGTGAAGAATCAGATACTCATTCCATTTTTTAAAAAGTCCTGCTGTTGAATCAAAGAATTTAATCTACCACCACCACTTCCTGTTACCCACACTAGCTCTTAATCTACCATCAGGAAGTGAACAGGGCCCTGGGGGAAAGAACCTAACTCACTATTTCTTAGATGCCTCCATGGAAGCTCAAAAGCATTTTTCCCCTGAATAGATCATTTAATCTCCTTTTACCACAGCCTCCTTTCTTGAAAGATGGAGGTCATAATACTAGCATATTTCAAAGGCTTATTGGAAAAAACTATCTGGATAGCCATTATCAAGCATTTTGTAAATATGAAGTGCTGTATATGGGCTAATAATTCTTGAAATGATACAATTTTATGCAGTTATCAAGTACTATCGCTAGAGCCTTTCAATTTCTCTGGGTATTTATCTTTTCTTCCTCTTCTACCTACTTTTACATTAAGATATAGAGAAATACAATTCCTTTCCTTTCCTCACGACTAAGATTTGAGACAGCCTTTAGTGAAGGAGAGAAAGCTCTTAGAAACATTATCTGTGGATCCAAATGCAAAAGTTTTCAACTAGAGAATCATCACCAACAGATGAATCTGAATATCTTCTAGAGAAATAGGGTACTAAAGTGAGAAGTTAAATTTTTTAAAGATCCAGAAATATATTTTTTAGAAAATAAAAACATCTCCTTAGGAGGGACTGTTGTTACCAGCAACTATGGCAAAAGTATAAATACTAATCATTTGTTGAGGACCTAGTATACGCTAGGTGCAATACATAGAATTTTTATTCTTGGCAACAACATTGAAGACTTGAAATTTTCATTTCATAAATGAAGGACCTTCCCAAATTTTTACAGCAAAGGGACGAGAATATCAAACTTTCTGAATTCAAAGCCTGGGCTCTGTTTCATAGGGCATACCACCTTTCTATTATCTATTGACCACTCAGTAATCCAGGCTAACTAACATGACCCAAATTATCTACATAGTGATCAGGTTTCTACTTTGTACTCTGGGGACATGTGTCATCTCATTGACTTGTTAGACCCCTCTTCAGATAGCCATCCAGTACATGACAACATATAAAATTGAAAGTAGAAATTCCTACTTAAAATTTTTCAAAAGTATGACCCCTAGGCCTCCTCAATGTTAATAATTTTTGGCTGTGTGAAATGTCTTTTGGCAGATAACCAACAAGAGATGACTCTAAATGGGAGCATATGATTGAGAAATTGATGTAGCTCTTCTTATTGTGATCATTACAGGCAGAAATAGAAATCACTTTGCTAAATAGGACTATAACATTTCATACCTGGGATAGGTTTGGCTGAGGGCCCTAGTATGACTGATAAGCTAAAAGAACTATTTATTTGGGGATATTATGATCTGTAAAAGCATTGTAAACCTTTCTACCTGTTAGAGCTAATGTGAAATCATTGCATGGAAAAAAGAGATGTTGAGCTATTAGGATAGATAAAGCTATTTTAAAATTTTAGTTTTGAACATATGTAATCAGAACAAATACACATATGCATATAAATGTAATGACAGTTCTATAAAATCATCTCCACAATTCAAATATCTTGATTATTCCAACATATTTTAATTTGCACTAAATTTTTAGTTATTTGAAGGTTTAGAGAATATATATCTATGACCCAATGAAAACCTCAGCTGTTATCTTTGTGTTAAACACATCTAATATACAGTATCCGGAATAATTATCATGCCACTGGAGGAACTTATTTATTAGTAAGAATTTGTTTTTTCATTTCTAAAACATTAAATAATTTTTCAAATTTGTTCCTATTTTTTCAACATTAAGTAAATATCACCCATGGTCCTATGAAGTGGTAGCTGATCGTGGATGCCTGCTATGGAAATCCCAGATTTTCGATTTCATAGGGTCCCTAATGGCATTAATCAAGGCAGCGCAACTTACTTAAAAGGAACAGATGATTAATCTTGACAATAGAAATGTAAACAGAACTCTAATTCATGAATTGGCGATTACCCACCCCCTCCCCCCCATACACACACAATCCACCACTGGGATATTAGCCCTTTGTTTGAGATTTACCCTGTGCCACATACATATTATAAGAACAAAAGAGAGTTCTTTATATTTAAAAATATCCATTCAGCTCAGCTTACAGAACAGGGGAAAAATTGCTATATTTATCAAGGTTGATTTTGTTTTCCAAGTCTCTAATTCGAAACTGAAGAATGCAAGACTACATACATCAGGTGTTTCCAGCAAAATAGCAGCAGCAGCAGCAAATCATAGACATTTGTCATTCCTTAGAGCTGTCTGACAGTTCTGACAATTCATTAGGCTGAGCTGAAAAGAGGTTTAGAAAGCAAAGAAGGGATCACAGGTAGGAGAGTGTCTTTTGCATGATCCAGTAATGGCTGATTTGTATCATTTTGGGTGATGGATACACTGTTCAGATTAAACCCAGCAGGGTTTTCTCCCCTCTCCCTTTCCTTGATTTCCCCCTGCCCCCAGTTTCCTTCCTTCTAGAAGCCCCCAGGACATTGAGTATAGGTTATACCTTCAGTAGTAGTTCATCCTCAAAGGTAGGTTCATATATATATCGAGGAAGTGCTTTCTTCCAAAGGAAGCTGCTTCAGAGACAGAGGGAGTCACTGAGAAGTAACAAAACCATTCCTTGCTTCCCTGTTTTTACCTGTCATATGAGATTTCATCCCATTCATGCTCATCAAAGTATCTATGTGCCCTACATCCAAGTCACTAACACGTGAGCTCTAACACATCAGCAGCTGACTTTGTCCCAGCCCATCATAATGGCTGCACAATTCTTCATACATGGGTATAAAGGGTTCTCGGCTACCAGTTGTCTGCTCATCCTTGGGATAGGACTGGGGATTCATTTCAGGCATTGTCTTTTGAAACCTCTTGCAATGCCCAGGTTAGGAAACTTTTCATTATTAATTTAGATAAAGAGCAATTGTAGTGAATAAACCATAAAAGGCTCTAATTTGCTCCTGTTTCTTTAACTGTAAGTAAATATCACCAATGGTTCTTTGAAGTGGTAGCTGATCCTGGAAGCCTGCTATGGAAATTCAAGATTTTCAATTTTTTAGGGTCCCTAATGGCATTAATCAAGGCAGCACAACTTACTAAGAAAGAACAGATGATTAATCTTGACAATAGTAATGTAAACATAACTCCCTATACTTGGGGTGCACATAACAGTATATCAAAAAGTATTTCTGGACTTTTGCTACTAATAACTGCAATGTGGGTTACCCAACTCAAGAAGGTGAATTTAATGAAGCAAAATCAGTACTACTTAGGGTCAACTTTGTGTGCAATGGTTTGGGAGAGAAAAAGACAGTAGAGATATAGGCTGTATCTTTAAGGTTTACACTTAAACCAAGACTTAAAGCTAATCAAAAATTTAAAACTCTCCAGACTATGCATGAGACTACATTCCTTTACTTAGTTGCTTACTTTTCAAACATTTCTTAACAATTTCTAAGCATCCAGGAATTTCCCAGGAACTAGAGATTATCCTTAAAGAGAATTGAGACAGCATAGAGACAATTCATCAAATAGTGAAACTCATAATTGACTAAAAATTGTACATTGTGATTAGTGCCATGAAAATAATCAAACAATAGAAAATAATAAAAAAAAAAGTAGAGTTGCTGGCTTGGGTAGAGTCAGAAGGGAAGTCCTGCCTGAAGAGGTAACATTTGAAATGAAAATGAGAATGCGTGCCACGACACCCACGAGGGAGAGTGAATTTCCCATTCATGTATTCTAGGGGGAAAAAATGTGCAAATATGGCTTGAATTAGGTGAGAGGGAAGACTGGAGAAGGTCCCGGACTGCAGGGATTTTTGCCTTGTTCACAGCTGTATCCTCTGTGCCTAAAAAAGTGTATGGCACCTAGGATATCCTCCATGAAGATTTATTACCTATATAATGAATGGAGACCAGAGTGTTGCAGGATGGAGCTTGGGAGGTAAATGGAAGCCAGATCAAATAGGGCACTGTGAGTAGGAAGAGTTGTAAGGAGCTTCTCTTTTGTTCTAAATAGAAAAGGCTTAAACAGAGGAGTGACAGGATTTAATTTATATTTTTAAAAGCCAACTGACTCACAGAATGGACCTTGTTAGGGTGCCCTGCCAGCCACTGTGAGTGTTGACTGTCAGGGGCTCCTAGTGCCCCCCTCCACAGAATTTCCCTCAGTAGCTGGAGGGAAGTTTTGCAGCCCTTCCTGGAGTACTCCATAGACAATGATAGAGTAATAACAGCACAAAATCCTGGCCTCTTTCCCTTAAGGGGTGCAAATCTGCAGTGGAATTTGTGCTTCTGAGATCCCAGAGGATTAGAGCAAGGCAAGACTTTACCTGAGACTACATTCCCATTGTTTTGTTTTGTTTTTGCTTTCTTCATCCTGCTTCACTCCTTGCAGTTTTTATTTTCTTACAAACCTGGTAGTTTTTGTTTGTTTGTCTAAAAAGCACTCCCTCCATCAGCCACATGTGTCCAAATACCTTCCTCAGGCTCTGCATCCAAGGAGCCTAACCTAAGATGGCTCATATAGGGAAAACAAAGCACAGGGGAAAGAACGATCCCAGGGCCATCCTCTCTGCAGATTCTATTTAGAGCCAGGTAAGAATTCAAGAAGGTGCTAATGGACTTCAGGATAAAGAAACTGTCAGCACAGGGTAGACTTAATAAGGGGTGAGTTTTATGACTAGAAATAAAACAGAAAAAATTTTGACTGACAACAAACAACATGCAACTGGAATTTAAAAATATATATATTTGGTCATTCTTTCGCCTGAAGTAACCATTTTGGAAAGAGGAGGAGAAAGGGAGAGGGAAAGGGCAAAAGAGAAGAGGGTGGTAAAGGTGTGTATGTGTCTATGTCTGGAGGGTAGAAGCTATTAGCAAATAATATGGCACTTACTGGGTCATGGTTACAGGAAAATCCTCTTCAAAAATGGGTTTCCCAAGCATACAATGGGAAACAATTCTTTTTTTTTTTTTTGAGATGGAGTCTCGCTCTGTCACCCAGGCTGGAGTGCAGTGGCATGATCTTGGCTCACTGCAACCTCCACCTCCCGGGTTCAAGCGATTCTCCTGCCTCAGCCTCCTGAGTAGCAGGGATTACAGGTGCACGCCACCATGCCAGGCTAATTTTTGTATTTTTAGTAGAGGCAGGGTTTCACCATGATGGTCAGGATAGTCTCGAACTCCTAACCTCGTGATCCACCTACCTCAGCCTCCCAAAGTGCTAGGATTACAGGCGTGAGCCACTGTGCCCTGCCGGAAACAATTCTTATGAATATTTGCTTTGGCTCTGAATACAGAAGGAAATAAATTCTAACCAAATAACTAGGAACATGGCCCTTAAGTCAATGTTACTGTGAGAACAGATGGCAAGACTGAGTAGGATACCAACGACATGAACATGTCATCTTGTTATCAATGTAATTGAAGTCATTCTGTCATGAATGATAGTTCATCAGATATTCTGCCAGTGTGTCACAGCATTATATGTAATGAGAGGCCTCCTAAAACCCAAAGGGAAATGCATTCATTTTTTATGACTTTACTTTTTGTTTCTTGAATTCTCTTGGTACTAGTGTAAAATGTGTGCAATTTTATTAAATATATAAGAAACCAGTAAACTTAGAACTTAAAATACCAATATGTATTTGCTCAAGACATTTTTATGTGCAAAATTTGATTCATATTATTGCCCTTTTTATCCTCACTGATATGTTATCCTATGTCCCATCAAATGTTTGTTCCTTGAGTAATCTAAAAAACAAAAATTTCATGGTACATAAATTTTATTGGTGGGGATGAAGCTGGTAAAAAAGTAAAGATGAAGTATTCCTTAATTTAAATGTGAAAGCTTTGCTATTTTCTGCTTCCAGCTATGATGGTGTGGCTTGAGGCAGACCATCACCCCCATTAAGAACAACTAGTACAACTATATGAAATTCCAAAAATATTCTGTTTGAAGGAATCAGAGTACTTCCAAGAAAGCTAGTACTTGATGGGCCAACATTTTGGAGAAATGCAAAACTTACTATCATGAGGGCAATGTTACTGTACATTTCAATTTTTCTTCAAGAAATTTGTTGGCTTGTAAACTTCCAAGAGAAGATGCTAAGAAACCAGGTAGCTGGCCACTGCCAAAAGGCAAACAGCAGAGCTTGCAACACCCTAATGAAGCTGAAGACAAAAAGTAAAGTTTAGTCTTGCCAGGGCAGCAGAGACTTAAAGGTCTATGATCCCAAAAGAAAGGAAGTTGTAGGTAAGTGAATTTAATATTCCGTGTCAGTTTTCTTCATGAAGAATTTGCTGATTCTAAAGATACACAAGCCAAGATGCCAAAAAGCGAGAGAAAAAGTGGATGAAAAGCTCAACAGAACTTTCTCAATAATGGGAGGACAAATATTGACATCTAGGACCCACCAAGAAAAAAGAAGCCCTAAATGATAACCTCAGGCTCTCAATCAGAACATCTGAGAGCTATGCCCAAGAATTAGAGGTGAACCAGAGGTAGACTAAGTCTTCAAAAGTCTTAAATGCTCACTCAAAACTGCTCAATTTCTTATTGGAATAAGAAGGTGTGCTCTTCTAGTAGCTGCCTACCAGAAAATAAGATGGATTCTTACTAGAAAAAGACAATAGCATCCACAGTTTCTATAATTTTTGTGTACACAAGCCTGAAATTCAATAAATATTTTCCAGATATACCAAGAAATAGGACCAAGAATAAACACTGATGATAGAGGCATAGGTGATCTCGATATTGGAGTTATCAAATATAACTCCATAATAGTAAAGTCTATCAACTGTAGACTTTAACTAAAACTAATATGCTTAATAAGATAGACAATGAATTGGATACATATTGTAAAGAATTAGAATCTATTTTAAAAATGAATGAAAATTCTGGACCTGAAAAAATAGACTTTTTTTGAACTTAAGAACTAAATAGATGGGTTTAACAGCAAATTGAACACAATTGAAAAAAGAATCAGTCATTACATTAGTAGAACATATTCACACAGAGGCATGAAGCATAAATGGAATGGAAAATGAAGGGAAGGAGGGAGAAATATAAAAACATACTAGACTTAGTAAAAAGGTATAACCTACTTGTCATTTAAGTTTCAAAAAAAGAAGAGAAAGCAAATGGGGAAGAAGCCATATCTGATCAAATCATTGCCAAGAATTTTCCCAAAGTGGGGTAAGACATTAAGCCACAAATCTAAGAAGTGCAGAGATTGCAAGGCTTTGGAGAATCATGCCTCAGGAGCAGAAATGCCAAGAGCAAACAAAGTCTTAACAAAATTCCAATCCATTCTCAACCCAACTTAGGGTCTGATTCAATTAAGAGAATTAAACCTTCACCATCTCTGACTAGAAGAGAAAAATAGTAAGCTTTCTGTAATGTGTATTTTCCAGAAAAGAGCTAGGGCTAAAAAATTAATGATCTAAGTATCCACCTAAAAAATTACAAATTAAAAAGTAAATTGTACCAAAATAAGTAAAAAGTAAAAAAATAAATAAATAAAAAGATAAAAAGTGAAATTTATAAGTGAAAACAATATCACAATGTCAAATGTTAGTTATTTGAGAAGATTAATATAATGAACTATTGGAAAGACTAAGAACAAAAAAGAGAATGTACTATTTATTAATATCAGAAAAGAAAAGCTAGAAAACACTGCAGATCCTACAGACATAATCCAGATAAGAAAAGGATATTATATCCAACTTTATGCCAATTAAGAATTTAGATAAAATATAAAAATTAATAGTCAAACACAACCTCAAACTAACACAGATGAAGAAAAGAACTGAATAATTCTATATATATATATATATATATATATATAATCTATTTTAAAATTATAATTTAAAAACTTCTCCCGCAGAATTCCAGGCTCAGATGGTTTCCCTAGTGAATTCTTTTAAAGCCCTGAGTTATAAATAACATCAATCTTACATAAATTCTTAAGAGAAAAGGGAGCATTTATCAATTTGTTTTATTAGGCCACAATAATTTTGATACCAAAACATGATAAGCATTGTAAGATAAAAATAATCATAGGTGTATCCCTCTAAACACAGACACAAAATTCTAAATGAAATATTATCAAATTGAATCCATCCATATTTTAGAAAAAGATGATCACAGCATGTTGACTTTTTTCCAGAATGCAGGATTATTTTAAGGAGTCAATCAATGATCAATGTAACTCTCCAAATTAACATAAGAGGAAAATATGAGCATCTCAAATTTGATAAAATTCTATTCCCTTTCATGATTAAAGCTTCCAATTAGGCATAAGAATTTGGATTAGAAGAGAGCTTGGGAAATCTAAAAAAGAGTATCCATAGAGTCTATAGCAAATTTCAAATTTAACAGTGAAATATTGAAAGCTATACCTCTTAAACTCTGAGATTACAACAAGGTTCCCTGCTATAAATATTTCTATTCAACATTATTCTGGAGATACTAGACAGTGCAATAAGGCAAGAATACAAGAGATAAAGATCTATAATATAAAAAATAAAGCTGTCATTATGTACATAGATAATAGATTATAGGTACATAGAAAATTCACAGTATCTACAAAAAATAAAACTATTAAGTCAATTTAGCAATGCTCTAGACACATGGCCAATATGCAAAGATCATTTGTATTCCCATATATTAGGAAAATAATTTGAAAATTAAATTAAAGAACTAATATTATTTATAACAATAGCAACAAAATACAAAACACTCAGAAATAAATGTAACAAAAGATGTGTGAGACTTCTAAAAACTATTAAAAAAATTGAGAGAAATTTAAATGTTCTAAAAATGATACAGTAATATACCAAGATAACAGATGGAAGCTTCTATACTATAAAGCAGTTAATTCTTTTCAAATTGATTTATAGATTCAATGTCATCCCAACTGAAACCATAAAAGGTTCTTTATAGAAACTAACAAGGTTTCTTTCACAAATGTATATGCTATTTCAAAATACTGAGAATTTTACAAACAATAAAGTTGGAGGATTTAAACTATTACATATCATGATATTATAAATTTTTGGTAGTTAAGAAAATATTACATTTTTGCACACATGAATGAATAGACCAATGGAACAAAACAAAGAGACCAGAAGCAGACAAATGCATACATGGTGACTTGATTTATGATGAAGATGACACTTCAGCATGGTGGGAAGAAAGATGCTTTTTTTTTCATCAAATGATTTGGGATTGAATAGATATTCTTACAGAAAAATGAACTTAATCTCTGTCTCACACCAAATATAAATAAATTGAAGATTAAAAAGTGAGCAGTAAAATAATAAAGCTTCTAGAAGATAATATGGTAGAATTTTATCACAGCTTTGGGGTAGGCAAAGGTTTATTAAACAGAACACAAAAAGTACTAAATATAAAGAACACAATTGAAAACTGGATGGCAGCAATCAAATCAAAAAATGCAAAAGAAATCCAAGTGGCAGATAAATATAAAAGAGGATGCACAGCTCATTAGTCACATAAGTTTATTAAAACCACATTGAGATACCACTGTGCCTTCATCAAGATGGCTAGATTAAAAAAATTAACCATACCAAATGCTGGCAAGGTTGCAGAATTAGAACTCTTATGCACTGAGGGGGAATTTGTGGAACTATCTTGGCAAACTGTTAAACACGACTAAAGCTGAATATATTCGTGCCCTGTGCCTCATGATTCCACTGAAAGCATATTTCCAACAGGTATGTACTAATGTGTACTAAGAAACCCATACAAGAAGGATAATAACAACACTATTTGCAGTTGAAATGAGACAAACCAACCCAAGAACCCATCAACTGGAGATCATATAAATAAATTGTGGCCTAACTAATCCATGGAATACTATACAGCGGTGAGAATGAACCACCACTAAACATAACATCATGGGTACATTTCACAAACATAATGTTGAGTGAAAGAAATCAGACACAGAGGACAAACAGTAGTATTCCACATACACAAAGTTCAAAGCAGACAAAACGAACGGATAACCACAGAAGTGAGGCTGTGACTGGAGGTAGGCATGAGAGGGACTCTGCTGGTTTTTAATTGGTGTGGTAGTTACAAAAGTGTGTTAACTCTGAAAATTATCCAACTTTAGTGATCTGTCCACTTTGCTGTCTATATTTTTATAATTCATTAAAGAGTTACTTTAAAAATTGAGGGCTTTTAAAAATGGAAACAAGTTTTAGACTTACATCACTGTTTTTGGAGCAATTTCTCACAGATGGGGAAACTGTCATGTTCTAGCTATCCAGGATTTTTTCTTTCCCTGTGAAATGTGAAAATTTTAAACAAGAACAAAAAAATTCAGTTTTGCCTAAGGCAAATAAATGAAAATCCTTGGGGTAGAGTTGCTGAAAGTAAAGTGTATATTTTCTCCATGTGAATCACAATGAAAAGACAGAATGTATATCTTCTTAAAATTGGCTAAAATTCTAATTTCACTAACTTTATGACGTGACAATGCCGTGACATCACTACTTATGCCAGTGCAATATCAGACAGGTTTAGAGAAAAAAAAAAAAGACTAGTCTTTTTTAACTTATTTATTCCATCCTATTCCTAAATAAACACATACACACACACATCTTACATAGAGCCTCTTTTCCTTGCCTATAAGATACAAATTCTTAATTATTTACATTTTTACATTTTTTAAATGGACATGCATGTATATTTGGAGCTGTAAAGTTTTTGTGAGTTATATAACCCCAACTCAGCAAATATTGATCAGCCTCTTTAAAAGATATAGCATTAATGAATTCTAATAAACTGACGATAAGCTAATTTAATACCTCCATCTCAGTCCACATATGTATAGATAGAAGCAAACATATGCATATTACAGACATGCTTCAGTAAAACTGGGCAGTTTATCTTGAATAATTCATTGTTTGTGGAACTGGTAATTGGAATTAAATTTAAGCTCCATCTTTGCAGCACTGAACAGTATTTGAAAATAGAAAACTGAACACATCAATCTGTTGTTTCCTCTCCAGAATGTCATCAGGCATATCCACTGGCAAGCTGCATAAGCAATAGTGTCACAGCATAGGACAACCAAAACACTGACAGGTACTTCCAGGCACAGCACTGATGAGGTCAAATACCCCTAAACCTGCCTTGTTTGCTGATCTTTTAATCAGATTCAACTTGACTGTGGCCATAGCACAAGGCTTTCTGACAGTATGTGACAGCATATGACAGCAAAATATTTTGATTTTTCACCATTTGATGATATTTCAGATCTCTTGCAGCCCTTTGTAAACTAGCACAGTGTTTTATGGAAAATGGTACAGGCAGTTAATTGCCTTGGATGCTTGCATGGTCTCTTTTGGATTTCAACTGAATCCTAAGTTAGTGACTGCATCCTACATTTCAAGAGTAATAGGCCTTGTAGACCATCAGTGACCCTTAGTACCTTGCTTAAGAATAGAGGGGAAAAACAACACAACAACAATCGTGAACTCACAAGCCTAGCACCTAAAGTTGACTGAGGCTCCGGGGAAATGTGAATGTCCTTTCACCTTTTAAGCTTCTTCCCAACAATTGCAAAAGGGACTTCTTGGATACAAAAAAAAAAAACAAAAACAAAAACAAACAAACAAAAAAACAACAAAAAATCCTATGATCAAACATATCAACCTTTTTTTTAGACTCTTTTTATAAATTCTTTTCTTTCTAACCTCTGCATCAATGCTTGGGGGAATTCAGCTAACAATGACTCAGGGAGAAAAAGACAGAAAAAATCCACTGGAAAACTATTTTTAATAAGTTCATTATAAACCCTTAGGCATTTCAAGCCACGCTTTTCCTATCAGATATTTACAAGATTTGAAACCTAAAGAAAACAAAATTAAAATTGCATTAAACTTTCATTATCATTGAAATTATTTTCTAATTTAAATTCATATCTTTTTGATGTTGATATTTTTAATTGTTCTAAAATAAACCAGATACAGCCTCTGTGGCTTCCCATTGAGCTTGAAATAATGTCCAAAAGTCCACCTTCAATGTCCTATTGTTCTTCTCTTCCTGCTCACTCTGGTCAAGCTACACTGGCTTCTTTTGCCTTGAGCACACCAAGCTCTTTACTGCTGAAGGACTCTGCACTTGTCCTTCCCTCTATCTTGAAAGCCTACTCCTAGCCCTTATCTGGGCAGAACTTGCCTCTCTGCATGCACTCTGCCCTTCCTAACCACCCTGATTGATGTTCCTCAACCCCATCCCAACCCCTGTCAGGCACTCTCACAATGCCATTTCATTTTCTAATGCGATTCTTCCTTATATATACCTGCTTTTCCTAGTAGGATATCATAAACACCTTGGCACTGAGGACCTTTCTGCCTTCTTTACCTCATATCCCTGGCACCTAGAACACTGTATAGGCATAGTCAATATTCACCAAATAAAGACCCAAGAATTTATTTAATAATATTTTAAGACAAAATGGAGTAAATGCAATCTGTATTGATCCAGACTAAAATGATCATCAGCTATAGTTGCAATTTTGAGGTAAACAGCTTTAGTGGTGGTTTTAGGTGACCATAACCATGGAGATTGTGGCTGAATTCATAGTGCTTTTTTTTTCCAGTTAGATGTCTGATGCATCAGAAGACAGTTATAAGATCTCACTTCATTCAGATACCAATATAAGGCCACTTTCAAGTGTAGAATAGACAATAGTGATAACTTAGAACTTTGGGCAATGAACTTACCTCACTAAGAATTCAGGACGGTTGGAAGAAGGCAGAATATAATTTTCCAGTACAGAAATGGACTACTTAAGTTGATCACCATGACTCCTGTGAAGACGCTTGAATGGACCTGGGTGTCATGGCCTCCGTTGTGTTTTTCACATTTCATGTGGTCTCCTAATTAGCCTCTGTCCTGCCTCCCTGGATGCAAGAAGCTTTTTCAAAAGTACTTTCTCTAAAGCTCCACACAAAATAGAATTACTGAAATAGAAGCAGTAGAATGGAAAATGGCCTCTGTGACCTGATATTTGGAATGCTCAGGACACCAGGCTGAAGAAGACGACAATGGTAAATAAGTGCAAATCACCAAGAGTAGGGGTGTGATAGGTGAGGACTGATTCAAGAGCTACTGTTTCAGAGACAGAAAAGAAAATTTCCCTCCCTTCCTCTTTCTTCCTTCCCTCCCTCCTTTCTTTTCCTTTCCCTTTCCTTCCTTTCTTCATTCCTTCCTTCCTTCCTTCCTTCCTGCCTTCCTGCCTTTCTGCCTTCCTGCCTTTCTACCTTCCTTCTCCTTTGCCTTCTTCCTCTTCTTCCTTTCTTAAATGCTGACTTGCTGGGGAACTATACATAAATAATTTGCATCTCACCCTGCTTGCTCTCCTCTGCACTATGACAAGAGTAGTGCTAGTCAGATAAACAAAAACAAAACAGAGAAACCAAAACACACACACACACACACACATACACACACACACACACACAGACACACATGAGATAACTTAGGGTTAATTTAGCATGAAATGCTTCTTACCATGTGTTAGTCCAATCAGACTTTGCTATCCAGAAATACCTGAGACTGGGTAATTTATAAAGAAAAGAGGTTTAATTGGCTCTTGGTCCTGCAGGCTGTACAGGAAGCATAGTGGCTTCTGCTTTGAGGGAGGCCTCAAGAAGCTTCTAATCACGGCTAGAAGCAAAGGGGAAGTGAGGTGTTTCACATGGTGGGAACAGGAGCCAGAGAGAGGAGGCGGGAGGTGTTGCACACTTTTAAACAACCAGATCTTGTGAGAACTCACTCAATATCACAAGAATAGCACCAAGTGAAGGGTGCTAAGCACTGATGAGAAATCCACCTGCCATGATCCAATCACCTCCTGTTAGGCCCCACCTCCAACATTGGGAACTACAATTCAACATGAGATTCAGGCGGGGACACATATCCAAACTGTATCACACCACTCAAGTGTCATGAGTTATGAACATTAAAAAAATTGTACAAAACAGTTAAGTTGTTTCCTAAAGCCTCACCTATAGAAGGTTTAAAGGTCTTTTTTCTTTCTATCAATGGTGAAATACGTTTCTGGAACTGGCGCCATTGTTGAGAAGCCATGGAGCCATCTTGCCTAAATCAGATCATGGTTCTGCTAATTCTTGGTTGTATGACCTTGGCTAGTAACCAAAACTCTCAGTGCTTTGATTTCTTATTTCGTGAAGTGGGAATCATAGCGTTCAACTAATGTAGCAGATGTGATTGAAGCATTTAATGCAACCATAAGTAAAGCTCTTAGAACAGAGCTGGCATGTTGGAAATTTTCAATAAATATTACCTATTGTTATTCTTCTTCAGATAAGTCAAAATCATAAGCGGTGCTTGATCTCATTCTCAATCCACACCATCATGGGTAATTACAAGGTTAACATGATTGGTGTAGATTTATAACATAATTAATTGCCCACAATGTAGTAGAAAGGGCATCATTTTACAGTCAGACTGACGCAATTCAAATCTCTGCTTAAGTATTTAATATTTAATGTAGTTTTATGAACTTGTGAAAGTTGTTTTTTCACGTCTCAATTTTATCTATAAAGCAGAGATAAAGTTGTTTACTTTGTGCTGTGCACATTTGAAATAATGTGTGTACAGTACCCAGCCCAGTTTCTGGCATCTAGGAAAACACAATATTGAAGTTAGTTATTATTCTCTAGATGGCAATTATCTGAACAGAATTGTACTTCCTCTTTAAGTGTCTACTTAAGCAAAATGAGGTAAATAATTTACACTTTAGAAAGATAGTGCCCTGGTAGTTCTATAAATGATTCTTCATGACAATGTAAATCTTATCATAATCTATTGATTGTGTAAATTTTTCTGAAGGTATTACTTCTTACATATCATGTATTTCCTGAGCACCAGTGTGTGCTGGTACTCCAGTTAATTTGTATTGGCATAGATAAGCATAATATCTCATTCTGCCCTTCGTCAGTATTTAATGAGCATCATGCATGTATGTGTATGTGCGTTGCAGACAATAAATATATAGAAACATGAGAGCTTACAATCTTTTTGTAGAAATAAGGCATAAGCAGCTAACAAGTTAAATAAAAACTGTTGTGAACTATATTAGTTCAAAATAACAGCAAAGGAGCACCCCCAAGTTCAGGGCAGGAGAAGTAAAGAGCAGAGATGGGAAGGAATGAGAATTCAAATGGAGGGCATCCTCTGAGTGAGCTGGAGAGAACTTAGTTGGAGGACAGTGAGCTGAGCTCTAGGCACAGGCCCTGGTTGGGGGACGATTGTGTAGGGAAAACACAGTAGATGGAGGAAATGGTGTCAACCAAGGCAAGAGCTGAGTAAACCCTAAGTGTGGTCCCAGAGCAATAGATATCCTGAGTTAGTGGATGACCAGGAAGGTAAATGGAACGTGGAGCCATTTGGGAAAAGGCTGTGAATCTTGGATTAAGAAGTTTGACTTTCTGCTCAACAGGTAGTAAAGTCACTCAAAATTTTGGACGGAGAGTCAAATGGATTAAATAGGGCATGGATTAGATAAGTCTGGCTTCAGCAAAAAGATTAGACTTGAAGCAGGAGCAGTTAGAATTCAGAAGGCATTTAAGATGTCATTTTAGTAGTCTAGAGATATCATTAGACAAGGAAAGTTGAAAAAAAAAAGTCAAGGTTAAAACCATCTTAGAGAACAATAACCAATAGCCAGTAATTAGGAATTTGTTAGATAACAGAGGACTTGGAGGAAAAAAAAATGCAAGGAATAAACAGGACTGGTGACAGGGAAACATGGAGAAAAACACTAACCTTACCATGGGAACAGGACCGTGGAAATGCTGGCTGTCTTTGAAGGAAAGACCATCGTTTACTGGAGCACTCGCTTCTTTCTCCACATGTCGTGTTTGCACATCCAGTCATTCCAGCTCTTAAAGAAGTAGAATTTTACCTTCCTTATGATGAACCCTCAACAATTGTTACTTGTACAGTGTAGGCTCTTAATTTGTTTTTTTTTGATGGATTGGAAGAAGGAAGAAAGAGGAGAGGAAAAAGTTGTGTCAAGAAAGATGGGCTGATTTAACGTGAAAGTCACAAAAAACAGGCTTAAGAATTGAGATTTCAGATGTTAATTAGAAGGGAAGTGGTGATGTTAAGGAATCTTACATCAATGGTAGAGGTATGAGTGAGTCTGTAAGGTAATCAGAGAAAAGAACAAGCTACAGCAGATATTGATGACTCATTCTGGTAGTGAAAACAATAGAAAAATAGACTAGCAATTAGAAAAGCTCATAGACGAAAATTGCAGTTTTCTTTTTATTTCTAGTAAAAAGGAAATATGGATGTAATTAATAGCAGAAATCTGGAGAGAGGAGGATACTTAAGAAATTATAAAGGGACAATTTCATACCACAGATCGTTTTAGAAAAGAAGAGAACCACCAATTTCTCTAAGACAGAAAATAATTCAAAGATCTTTCTCTCTGATAGATTCAGAAAGAAAGAGAGCTGTTTGGTGGTTAAAAAAAGAAGAGATGTATTCATATAAAGTCTAATACATTCAGTGAAGAATTATGTGGTGATTGTGGTTCATAGGTACTTATTAAAGTGTTATGGATTAGCATAAGTAGAAGTTATTAATTGATTGAGGTACATTACTTGGAAACAGTGCCAACTCATGTCTTTGAAGCTCAGGCTGAAACACGCAGCCCGGGTTCTGAAGAGCTGTCCTGTGCATTACCAATTGGCTATTGCCCAATAAAACATTGTAAAACCAATAGCTGTCATAACCCTCCATCATAATTTCAATCAAAAATCATGGTAGCTTTTGGGAGTGAAAACAATGTAAGCTGGATTAGTAGTAGTAGTGATCAGTCAGACACATTTAACATGGTTTTGGTTAACTGGTAGTGTTAATAAACAAGTCTGTAGTCCTTAGTCACTTGGCAAAATACAGTTTGACAAAGATATTCATCTTCTATTGATTCTGAATATAAGTTTCATGCAAATATAGTGACCTGGGTAGTAAGAAGTCATCATATGCGGGGAAGCTGGGCAGAGAGGGAAGTTGGTTGTTTCTCTCTGACCAAGCACAAGGAGGTGGCTATGGAAGTGAGGATCGGGAAGGTACAATAAGGCCAGAGTTAAACTTCAACTCAATCAAGACAAAGAACAGTGGGAAGGTGCCATTTGTCCACATGGGCAAAAAGACCATTATCTTGGAATCAGGATCTCAGATGGGAAGCTGACATAAAGCTTAGGGCTCTATGCAAAAAGCTTGTGGGCTAGAAATCAGACTCCTAAAGCACTGACTCATAATTGCAGGCAGCAAGAGCACTGCAAGGCACCTCTATAGCAGACCTAAGACTTGAGCAACGATAATGCCAACAAAAATAGTACCTTAGATGAGCACAGTGCTTCATGCTTATAAACGCCTGTCATATACACTATATCATTCCATACTCTTATAACAAAGCCAGAGAGTTAGATGACTCATATCCACAAAGTGAATTTGGCAGATAAAATCAGGACCTGGGGCTTCCATTTTATTCATTCATTAATCCACTTACTCAATCAATTTAATTTTGCTCAACCTTATACCTAAGGGCTTGGTAACCCTGGGGCACCTGTATCTGAGTGCTGGCTGAGTTCCCAGGTAAGAAGCAAATAGGTACACTTGGGAAGTGGGAGCAGGGGACATTAGGTGTCAAGGACTAAGGCAATTCCTGGTATGCTTGTGTTTCCACCTCATTTATGTAGGCTTATATCTTTTTAAACTTATGAGCAGTTTTTAAGATTTGGTAAATCCTACAGCTGGATAATAAACTCGAGCATATAAATTTATGATTTGGATACTTTTAGCTTTATGAATGTATTAGTGTAGGTTAGAAATTCATGTGGAAAAAAAAAAACTACCAGATGAATTCTCCTCTACCCCTTTCTATAAAACCATGTAAAATGGAAAGAACTGTCCACTAATTTCCTGTAAGTTACATAAAATTGTCTGTTGTTGTTATAATTCTGTAGGCATCACACTACCCTAGTAAAATGATGTATGGAGCAATCGTCTGGTAGGGGCTGATGGGATGTAAATGAAACTAATTAAGGAAATGTCAAACATAATTAATAAAACAGGTTTAAGTTGCAAAAGCCCTGTCAGTGGAATGAATGGGGAAGAGCACCGCTTGCCCATTGTTGGGTGCACTCTCTCCCCTCTTGCCTCTGCTCTCCAGGCTTTATTTAGCACTGTTCAATTAGATCCTGGAAAGCTACTTGAAGCTCACTTTTCTACCTCACCTTCTCTTAGCTTGATCCCACAGAGAGGGAGGAATATAAATTTGCCTGTCGGCTTGCAGCTTGGAAAAAATTAATTGCCAACTCCTCGTCTTTTCCAAGTACTACAGGACATTAACATAACCAATTTGCTTGAACTCCTCACTGACTGCCTAATAGAGCATCTGACCAGCTGATAAAACCAGGGTGTTGCTGATGCTACCTTGTTATTATTAGCATTTGCATAATATCCAAATATTACAGTGGCATGATCCAAGGGCTCCATTTATTATTGATAAGAACAAAAAAGCGGGGGGGTGGGAGTCATTGAAAATAACAAAGCGGGTGAGTGACCTATAATTGTGGCAAGCAAATTAAGGTATGCGGTAGAGTCAGTTACATTTGCCTAGGAGTAATGATGCCCAAGACCTTTTTCTTCCCCGGGGACTGGAAAAATAATGGATTCCCTTGCAGCTGCAGATGGGGTAGGAGAATGCTGTCATCAGGACATGTTTACATAAGTTAGGCCGAGCGTGTGGCTGTGAGCCCTGCCTGTAGTGTTTGAGTCAGCTCCAATCATTTCAGCCACTGAAGCATAAGTCACTCAGAAACCCACTGGTTTCCGGGAGGGGTGGGTCACAGGAGCAGGAGCCAGGGAGAAGATCCTTGTTTGAAAGTCAACAACTGCATTTGCAAGGAGCGTTTCAAGCCCCTTCAGTTCGCAGACAAGGGTGATAACCTTGAAAATCAGAGGCCAATCAGCTTTTAAGTGAAAAGATAAAGATGAAATGTGGTTTCTGTTAACTTACAGACCTCCTGGCATCCTCACTCTGGGGTATTTCAATTCAGTTCATGTATGCACGCACACACACAGGCACACACACAGACAGAGCTGTGCAGGTATTTAATGTTGTTTAACAAATGTTAATTGAGCATCTACACTTACTGCACCTAGTACCGGGACAAAGAAGAATAAGATGTAGTTCACATTCTCAAGAATCTTAAAAAGTCAATTTTGAATTCAAATGAATTAAAACAAACACGTAGAGATTTTATTGGTAAGCAAATTTCTCTCCACAAAAGCCATTTATGACAGACACATTGAGGCTTGATATGTATCCGCTATATTCAGAAGTCTAATTTCAAAAAATAACATTAATTAAGCAAACACTGGTAATAGCACGAAAGGTATGTGTTTGCTTTCAGTGAAATGTTAATAGTCATTATTTGTTCTACTTAGTAAAGAAATCACAGGAGCCTATCATGTTATGCCAGAGAAGCAAGCAGGTGCTCGAATGCTAAGTGGGTCAGGCCAAGTGGACACAGACTCAGCTTGCAGAGGAGGCCATTGGCCACATTTAAGATGGTAATGGATCATAACATGATGAATTTCAAAAATCTATGGTGATTGGGAGGAGGAGAAGAATATCAACAAGTGTTATTTATGTGGCACATAAACAGATAAACACGTTGATTATATTGTTCTTTCAACACATTTATGCTTAAAATTTTCTAATATTAAAAGTCTGGAGGAAGAACTATTCTGATCTATGTAAGGTAATTAATTATGTAATTTGGCAATAATCACATCATGGACTAGTTAGGTAAGGTCCATTTTTATTTCATCTGATGAATCTGAAAGACCTAGATTTTGGGGCTAAGAATTAGGACAAGTGTCATTCCCCAAACTTTTTCTCTCTCTTTCTAAAAGATTATCTTCATTAAACATTGAAAAGATTTTTAAAATGGTACACAACATAAGGAATAATTATATGCCCAACTCAGTGCAGGAAATAGAAAACTAGGAAATTGCCATTACCTTGGAGTCCCTTATGTGTCTTTAGTCAATTGCACCCATTCGCAGGCCTTTCAGGGGTAATCACAATTCTGAATTCTGAACTTTGTCTTTCCCCTGCCGTTTAATTTTCACATATATGTTTGTGACCTTGACAATGTAGTGTTTGCTTCGGGTATTTTGAACTTAGTATTAATGAGAATCATACATGCAATTTGTTGTTGTTGAGTTTTGTTTTGTTTTTGCTTAAAATTATAATATTAGACTATTCCATATTGTTCCACATATAGAATATACATGTAACTCATTTATTATAAGTGTTATATTCCATTGTATGATATAATATTCCATTGTATGACTGTAACACATAATATTTATCTACTCCTTTTTTGATAGACATTGGTGTTATTTTCAGCTTATATATATTTTTTTCAGCATGTGTGTGTGTATATATATACATATATATGTATATATACACATGGTTCTTCTATTCCTCTTTCATACATTCACATGGTTCAAACATACACATGGTTCTTCTATTCCTCTTTCAGGTACATATACCAAAGGCACATATATATATATATATATATATATATATATATACACACACACACACACATATATATGTATATATGTGTGTGTGTGTATATATATGTGTGTGTATATATGTGTGTATATATATATGTGTGTATATATATGTGTATATATATATGTGTGTATATATATGTGTATATATATATGTGTGTATATATGTATGTATATATATGTGTGTATATATATGTGTGTGTATATATATATGTGTGTATATATATATATGTGTGTGTATATATATGTGTGTGTGTATATATATGTGTGTGTATATATATATATATATGCCTTTGGTATATGTACCTGAAAGAGGAATAGAAGAACCATGTGTATGCAAGTGTGACTTTATTTTATAATGCCAAATTATTTTCCAAAGGTTGTGTATCAGTGTACAAACTCAAAGTTTTTATTTGGTCCTACTAATGTACATTCTAGCTAACATTTGCTCTTATCAGACATTTAAATTATCACTAATCTAATCTTAAAATGATCTCCTTATGATTCTAATTTGCATTGCCTTATTTACCCATGAAGTTGGACACTGTTTCATGGGTGTATTGACCATTCAAACATTACCTGTTTTGTGAAATGGCATTCATCTACTAGGCTGTGATTTACTTGTCAATTTCAAGGAATTAAATGTGTGTGTGTGTGTGTGTGTGTGTGTGTAAGTTCTGGCTTGTGTTTTCACTCTTTTTTATATCTTTTGATGAATCTGTTTTTAATTTTAATCATATCAAATTGATAATCTCTCATTTTACAATTTGCATTTTCAGGGTAATGTTTAAGAAACCTTAATTTACTTGGAAACATAAAAATTTGCCATTTTTATTCAGGCACAATGGCTCATGCCTGTAATATCAGCACTTTGGGAGGATGAGGCAGGTGGATCATTTGCATGTGCTCGGGAGTTTGAGACCAGCCTGGGAAACATGGCAAAACCCCATCTCTACAAAAAATAAAAAAAATCCTTTTATTTTTCTTTTAAAATTTATATCCCTTTGCTCTTTACTTATGGAAAATGCAGAATTAATTTTTTCTAATATGTTTTATTTTATTTGTATAATCAACTTTTCTTTGAGCATTTATTGAAAAGTCCATCTTTACCTGACTAATTTGCCATGACATTTCTGTTACCCATTTTACATATATATCTATATCCATATGCAATAGAATGAATTTTGGCCTCTGTCTTACACCATGAACAAAAATTAACTCAAAATGAATTAAAGACCATTAAATGTAAAACTCTTAGAAAAACACAGGTATAAATTTTCTTGACTTTGAATTAGTAAAAAATGTATTAGATGTAGCTAAAATACAAGCAGAGAAAAAATAGATACATTGGGCTTCAAAAAATTTTTGTGTTAAAAGACACTATTTAAAAAGTGAAAAGACAACTCACAGAATGAGAGAAAATATTTCCAAATAATATATCTGATAAAGGACTTGTTTTCAGAATATTTTAAAAACTCTTACAATTCACAATAAAAAAACAATCCAGACAATCCAAATAAAAAATGAGCAAGGGATCTAAATACACATTACTCCAAAGATGTACAAATAGTCAATAAGTGCATGAAAATATGTTCAACATCATGAGCCATTAGACAAATGCAAATCTAAACCACAATAAGATACTACTTTGCACCTATTAAAATGGCTGTAACCAAAAAACAGATCATAGCAAGTGTTTGTAAGAATGTGGAGAAACTGGAAAGCGTGTATATTGCTTGTGGGAATGTAAAATGGCCCAGCCATTGCAGAAAGCAATTTGGTGGTTGCTCAAGAAGTTAAACATAGAGCTACCATGTGATCCATTAATTCCATTGCTAGATGTATACACAAGAAAATTTAAAAAATAACCATACACATGAATGTGAATAGTAGCATTTATTCATAATAGCCACATAGTAGAAACAACCCAAGTGTCAGTCCACTAATTAAAGGATTAACAAAATATGATATACTCTTACAATAAAATATTATTCAGCCATAAAAAAGAATGAAATACTAATATACTCTACAATGTGGAGAACCTTGAAAACACATAATAAGAGAAAGAAGTCAGAGAAAAAAGACCACATATTGTACGTGTCCATTTAATTTAAAATGTCAAGAATAGGCAAATCCATAAACACAGAAAGTAGATGAGAGTTTACAAGAACTGGACAAAGGAGGAATGGATAGCAACTGCTAATTAATGAGAGATCCTGTGTGATGGCTTGAAATCATTCTGGAGTTGGTGATGATTGCACAAATATGTGAATAAACTAAAAGCCACTAAATTGTACACTTTACAAAATGGTGAATTGTATGGTATGTGAATCATATTTTGATTTTTTAAAAAGAGAAGAAAATAATTTTTGATTACTGGTACAGTAGTTCCCCTCTCCTTGCTCTTATTTCCGAGGATTTCTGGGCTGTTGGTGGACTTCTGATCTTCTGTTTAATATTCAGTTTGTTTTATATTCAGTTTGTTATTAAATATTCAGTTTCTTTTATATTCAGTTTGTTAAGTTCCAAGTAAAATATTATTGAGCATTTAAGTAGAATTCCTTTGAGTCTATTGATCAGTGTGAATGGAATAGGTATCCCCATGATAATAAGTTCTCTAGCCCATTAACATATATCACTTGATTTATTTACAGCATCTTTAATGCCTTTCAATAAAATGTTTTAACTTTATCAATAAAGATCTTACAAATATGTATTAGATATTTCCTTAGTACTCTGTATTTCTCAGGTTAATGTAGATCAAATCTTTTATACCTGTGTGCTGCCAGAATATAAAAATGCAATTGAGTTTTGTGTGCTGATTTAGTAGGCAAGCTTGTTAAAAATACTTTTTGATTCTGAAAAATTATCTGCAGGTTATGAATAATTACAAGTTTTTTGATGGTAAATAATGAAAACTTTTGGCTGAATTATTCATGCTTTTAATTTCATTTTTCTTGCCTTATTACACAAGCTAGGAATTCTAGAACAATGGTGATTATAAGCAGTAATCAACTAAGCAGACATCACTGAATTGTATTTTTATAGGAAATAATTTCAATATTTCGCCAATTATTATAATATTTGTTATAGGTTTTACAACATACATTAGTAACTCCTAAATTTATAGTTCTAATTTGTAGTCCTAATTTGTAGTTCACTAAAAGCTTTTTTTTTTAAAGAAAGGCGTGAAATTGTATAAAATAATTTTCTTCCATCTATTAACATAGTTACTTTTTTTCTTCTCTAATCTCTAAATGCATTAACATGTATACTTTGATTTCCTACATTAAATTCAACTTGATCATAATAATGATAGTATGTTTGGTGGTTAGAGATGATCTTTAGCTTGATCTGAATTTGAGCTGTAGCCCTCTCTGTTATATTTAGCAAGTTATTTATATTTTTATGTTTCAGATTTTTTATCTTTGAAAATGGAGATAACAGTATCTACCTCATAGGTTTGTTGGGAGGAATACATAATTAATATATTTAAGGCACTTTCAGCAATGCCTAACACATAGGAAGCACTACAGAAGTGTTATCTGCTATTACTATTATCATTATTTTGAGACAGAAAATAATAACATATAACAAATGCATGAATGTAACAAACTGCATTCATTTAAAGGTGAGTTTTAGGCCGGGCGTGGTGGCTCACACTTGTAATCCCAGCACTTTGGGAGGCCGAGGTGGGTGGATCACTTGAGGTCAGGAGTTCAAGACCAGCAAGGCCAACATGGTGAAATCCCAACTCTACTAAAAATACAAAAATTAGCTGGGTGTGGTGGTGCACACCTGTGATCCCAGCTACTTGGGAGGCTGATGCAGGATAATCCCTTGAACCCATGACGTGGAGGTTGCAGTGAGCCAAGATCGCACCATGGCACTCCAGCCTTGTTGACAGAGTGAGACTCTGTCTCACAAAAAAAAAAAAAAAAAAAAAAAGACTTTTGTTACATACACTGACATCATCTCCAAAAGATTTCTTCTGATTTTTAAATTGTTAGAACAATTTCCTTAGAGATCATTTAGGTTTTATGTTTCTCTTAGAGTGATGTTATATTTTTCTAGGAATATTTACGTTGCATCTATGCTCTCCAATTTATCCATATAAACTTGTTCATAATAACTTCTTATATTCAAATGTCTGCAACAAAGAGATGTGATTTTTCTGATAGCAGTCCTTTGCAACTCATTAAGACTTGTTTTACAGTCTAATACGTATTTAATTTCCACAGGTGTTCAGTATTTCCATGAGAGGACAGCATATTCTACAGTCATTGGGTATAGTATTTTCATATATGCCCATTGGATGAAGTTTTTTTATTTGTGCTGTTTAAATTGTTTTTATACATAGCAGTTTTTTAAACATCAAATCTCCCAATAAAAAGATGAATGAGTTTATTATTCCCTATGGTACATGGAACATATGTTATAGAATCATTTCTTTGGGGCAATGTCAATATTTGTCAATATCTGAATACTCTGATTTTAATAAAGTTTTTAACCTGATATTTTGTTTGGTTTTTCTCTGATACTAATATAGCTATGCAAACTTTTTTTTTTTCTTTTTTTGAGTCAGAGTCTCGCTCTGTCGCCCAGGCTGGAGTGCAGTGGTGTGATCTTGGCTCACTGTAACCTCCACCTCCTGGGTTCAAGTGATTCTCCTGCCTCAGCCTCCCGAGTAGCTGGGATTACAGGTGCCCACCACCATACCCAGCTAATTTTTGTATTTTTAGTAGAGACGGGGTTTCGCCATGTTGGCAAGGATGGTTTCGAACTCCTGACCTCAGGTTGACCTCCCAAAGTGCTGGGATTACAAGCATGAGCTGGGGTGCCTGGCCTAGCTATACAAAGTTTATTTTCATTATTTTACTTCTATCCTTCTGGATTCTGATATTTAAATGTTTCTCATATTAATGGCATAAAGTTTGGATTTTTAATAAGTCTGACAGTCTTTATATTTTAACTGAAGCACAATCCATTTGCAATTATTTTGAGTGTTGCTATATTTAGATTTATTTCTACTTTTTAATTTGGAACCCTATCCTTATCCTTCCCTTGCTTTGTATCTTTTCTTTCATTTCTTGTCTTCTTTTACATTGATTTAATATTTTTTTCATTTTCTCTATCAGATAAAAAGTTATACACAAAATGTCAATTCATTATTGGTTATCTTAGAAGTTTTATCATACATACTTAACTTACCAAGGTGTAAATTCATCAGTATATGTATTCAAACACCTTAAAACACTTTCCCTTAGATCACTTTCCTCTTAATTTTTATATTGTCCTTTAATATATTTTAATCTTGTCTCTCAACTCCACGAATGATATATCAATATATTTATTTTATACACCTAACATTTATTTAAACTATAATATGTGTATTATAGGCATTTTCTATGCTCATCATTTGTTTTATATTTCACAATTTCCATCTGACTTTTTTTATCTGAAGAAATTCATTTTTTAGCATATTCTCTTGGATTTCTGCCTTTCATTTGGGCTGTTACGAAGTTAGTTGCCAGCTTTATCGTTGCTCTTTTGAAAGTAATCTCTCTTTTCTTTGTGAATGCATTTAAGATTTTTATTTTATCTTTTATGTTCAGCAGTTTCACTATGATGTGTCCAACTTGCATTTTATTTTTCAACTATCTTACTTTGACTTCCTGAATCTGTGAATTGGTATCTTTTAGCAGTTCTGGAAAATTAACATCTTTTTCTTCAGATATTGCCCCTCTCATTGATTCTCTCTTTTCCTTACTGCATTCAAATTATATCGGTTAGATCCTTTTAACTTTTCCTCTGTTTTTAAATGTCTTTCTCATATCTCCCCTTCTCTATCTCTCTGGACTGTATTCTGGGTGCTTTCTCCAACTTTTTCTTCTTTTTAATAATTCTCTCTTTATCTGTGTCTTATTTGGTATTAAACTGTCCTGTCCAATATTAAGAGTAAATTCTCTCTTTAGCTTTGTCTTATCTAATATTTAGTGGATATTCAACCCATTCAATTTTAATTTCACTTTCTATATTTTTCACTTGATAAATAATATTTGGTTTGTTTTCAGATATTCTTATTTATCTTATCATATAACCCCCTTTTTCATGTTTTTAACCTTTTATTTCTTTAAACATATTATGCATATTTATTTTATAGTTTGTGGTTAACACTTCCAAGAAATAAAGACTTTTGAAGTCTAATTCTACTCTTTAGCTCATGGTGCCAATGTTTTCTTGTGTTGTATGTGTATGCGTGTGTATGTGTGTGTGTTTTTTACTGCAAACTCATATTTTTTGAAACAGTATCAGTAGAAATTTTTTGAAGCCTGGTTTGACAGTGAAGCCTTCTAGAAAGAGGTTTTATTGGTTTTGCTTTATTTTGTTTTGGTTTGGTTTGATTTGGTTTGGCTTTGTTTCTGCAAGTTGCCTAAGGAAACCACACAGTCAGAAACAACATTAAAATAAATTATCAGCTTGAGATTATTTTTGGATAATTGGATATCACAAATTCATGCTTTAAGTCCACAGGAGGATCAGCTTATAAGTACAAATTCTGTGGTGGAATATATTTTCTGCTTCAGTGCTAAGATTTGAAAAGTGATTTTCCTTACTAACTACTGAGTGAGGAATATTTATATAAAATAATATTTCTTATTTATCTTAACAGTGAAGTGTAGGCCCACGGAGTCCCAGCTAGTATGTGAGTGTCTCATCAGACTCTCCCTCCTTGGTTGGACTCTAAGATTTGACTCTTGATTGCCAGACCCAATGAGTCCCTACAGTTTCAAATTCAAATTTGCCTTGTTTTGCACAAGCTTTCAAAGCTGAAGGCCAGAATAGTACTTTACTGTTTTCAACTTCAGTGAGATTGTAGCTTCTAAATATCCCTTATTTTCTTTTCAGTTTATAAAATTATGTTGCTGAAACACCAGGGGTTTGGTCTAGATCCTAAAGCTCACTGCACAGAAAGCCAATCACTGAGGCAGCAAGTATTGCCAAGGAAGAAGGCTTTAATCAGGTGCTGCAACCTAGGAATTGGGAGCTCACTCTCAAATACATCTCCTTGACTGACTAAAATGAGGGGTTTATATAGCAGGGAAGAAATATGACAATGTGTAAGAAAACAAGAACTAGGAAGGGGCAAGGAGGCATCTAGTGTGTGATCTGGTGAGCTTCAATTGTTTGATACTTTTTTTGAAAGGCTTAAAGTTCTTTTCTTGAGGAAGGAACTCACATAAAACAAATACAAATTTCAAGCTTTAACAGCAGAATCTTTTCTATGTTTATCCAAAAGAACAGTCTATGGGAGTATTGGGCCAGTTTCAATTATTTAAGAACACTTAATAAACGTGGGTTTCTGTATAATATTTTATATATATTTAACATGTAAAATATAACAAAGCAGTGTCTTTTATGTATTAATATTACATAACAAAACAACACAGATGATGTTATAATTTAAAAATCCAGTAACTGTCTGCAATATTACAAGAAGTCTCTTTCAAATGTTTTTATTTCAATCCTCCACGAAATTTTTTTTCTTTTCTTTTCTTTTTTTTGAGACAGAGTCTCACTCTGTAGCCTGGGCTAGAGTGCACTGGTGTGATCTCAGCTTACTACAACCTCTGCCTCCCAGGTTCAAGTGATTCTCTTGCCTCAGCCTCCTGAGTAGCTGGGATTACAGGCACCCGCCACTACACCCAGCTAATTTTTTGTATTTTTAGTAGAGACAGGGTTTCACCATATTGGCCAGGCTGATCTCAAACTCCTGACCTCATGATTCACTTGCCTTGACCTCCCAAAGTGCTGGGATTACAGGCATGAGCCACTATACCCAGCCTCCTCCATGAATTTCTAAAATTGAAGAAGAGAAGCTTCAATAACTACTCTAAGTAGCACTTCTCAATGCCAGGTAATTCTAAACTAGTCAAATATTTTTATAAAGTAGAATACATAAATAAGGTAATATTTGTAATGGTCTAGCACAGCACCTGACAAAACACGAACTGATAGCTATCATCATCATCATTGTCATCTACATTTCAGTGCCTTCTCTCCTGATGTCTCAGCTTATTTTGTAAGTTCAAAAAAATATTCTGCATGTTATGTTTTCAATATCCAACATTCATCTGAGAAGCACTTAGAGAGATGTATTTTTTACTTTTCTGTTAAACGAGAGGGTGCATAATACTTGTGGTAACTCTGTTGAGGAAAACCATGTCTCTAATGGGGATTGAGGGACTTTGAGTTAACACTAACTATGTTCTATGTTTTGCTGTCAACATGTACTATTCTCCAGCAGAGTTGTATGGAGCAGAATTGCAGTTTAATAAGAGGCTTATTTGCAGGTGCACATCCCACCTATTGAATAGCAGCTTTAGTTTTATAATAGTCTGACTGGAGTCCTGTGGAGGTCTAGTCTTCTGTTAGCAGCTCTCTTTAATGGAAATGAATTGCATCCATTGTGACCCTCTTACTGCACATTACCATGTTAATATAAGCCTGATAAGAGACTTAACTTCATCACTTGCAGAAGCTTGTTTAGTTTCTTGAGCCAGTGTATAGATTGTATCATTCGAGAGCTTACTTCATTTTCTAGTACATACATATTGAGGTGGTGCCGAAAGGAATCTTCAAGTTAACTTTTTATCTTGTGTTTGACCTGAAAGAAGCCATGAAAAAATTTTAACGTGTAACTCATCCCTTTTTGTTTTTCCCCCTCTGCCTCTTCTCACATGTATTACAAAATGTGAAATATTTGTACAAGGAGAAATTCGTTTCCACTAAATATTTACTTTGGCTATAATCGAAATTGCTTAAACAAAGGCAGTCATGCATATTGGGGGATCATTTAGCAAATTAAAAGGATTTTTAACTGTTAGGTAATATCTCAGCTTATGAAATTATATCAATTATTGAATAGTTGATATTAAGCCTTGTCAATTTATGACCATATAAATGTTTATTTGCTTAAAATTAAGCAATATAGACACTGTTGACTATTATATGGAGAAACTCCATTTTTTCTTACTTTCTCTTAAATGGAAGAATCTTTCAATATACCTACTGTATTAGTCCTTCTAAGTTTCTGTAAAAAAATACCTGAAGCTGGGTAATTCATTAAGAAAAGAGGTTTATTTTGGCTTATGGTTCAACAGACTTCTTCTAACTTCTGCTTCTGGTGAGTCCTCTGGAACCTTATGATCATGGCAGAAGGCCAAGAGGGAGACAGGAGTAGCACGTGATGAGAGAGGGAGCAAGAGAGAGAGAAAGAAGTGCCACATTCTTTTAAACAACAAGATCTCACGTGAACTCAGACCAAGAACTCATTTGTTACTGCAAGGACACCAAGCCATTCATGAGGGATCTCTGTCTATGACCCAACGCTTCCTACCAGGCCCCACCTCCAACATTGGGGATTACATTTCAACATGAGATTTGGAGGCGACAAACATCCAAACTATATCAACTATACAAAGTGTTCTCCTTTCAGAAAAAAAAATGGTCCTTAAAATTATACTGAGGCTTTTCTAATAATGATGGTCTGACCTTATCCTATATTTGTAATCATTTATTATTCATTTCTAGTATCAAGATGTCATGGCCAATTAGAGAGCTGAATTAGAAACACACCTGTTTTAAATAAGTGGTAAATATCAGTCAACTAATATAAGAATTGATGCTAAGGAGGATGTCCATTAAAAATGGTGAATTTGGGGGCGTTTCAAGTGCTGTTCAGTTTTGTAAATATCCATCTCTAATCCTTTGTAATCTTTATGGGGCAAACTATCAAAAGAATTATATGAAAATTCAAGGGCTTTGACTATGACTGACTATTTCAAAGATCTTATCTACTTTCAGCATAATTTACCTACACACATAATACTTTAATGTTGGGATCCCCCAAAACTGGTGAAATAGATGCTTGAATAGACAGGTTGGTGTAGCAGGTAAGTAGATTTGCAGAGGGAAGCCGACATTGACAGAATACCCACCCACTACGTTCTTGTCTTTCTATCAGATATTTGATATGTCTCATCATAAGATGTTCTCAGAAATCCTACTCTCTGCCTCTCTTCATTGGTCTATCTGTCTGACAATTTTTCTAACAGTCTGTTAATCTACCTGCATTTATGCCCATTTTGCATGAGCTAAAGCTCAGAGAGGTTGAACCTTACTGTGAATCACCAGTGAGTAAAAGAACCAAAATTTAAAGGCTTTTTTTCATACTGTAAAGATAAGCTCTTTCTACCTGCAGCATATTGTCTCTTCCTCTTAACTATAATATTATCTTTTTCTAAGGATAAAAAACCGTCACGTTTTAGGAATAAAAATGGAAAATATCATCAGTATAGGGGAAAACTGAATTCAGAGCGATATGTGGGAATAGCCTTGAGCAAACCTAAAATGTATTCCAAGCCTATCTCTTGTGCCTTCTGTCTTTTTCTCAGGCTCTTCTCCTACGTCCTTCTCTGGTCTTCAGTGTCTTTTTTATTCCATCTCTTCTTGTCTCCTATAACTCTTTCCTCTGCATTTAATCCAGTATTTATGTTACCCCTGTGTCAGTTTATGCTTTAGCTTCAATTGTGAAATAAAAAGTTGTTTCTGGGGCCAGGAACATCTGTAATGCCAAAAAGTAAGGAAGCACCTCCTCCCCAAAATTCCATAATGTTACGGGGAAATCAAAGGGACACAGAAGCCAACTGAAGGAGCCCCTAGTGATCAAAATGAGCAATTCTGATCCGGTGCAATGGCTCATGCCTGTAATCCCAGCACTTTGGGAGGCTGAAGCGGGTGGATCACCTGAGATGAGGAGTTTAAGGCCAGCCTGGCCAACATGGTGAAATCCCACCTCTACTAAAAATACAAAATTTTAGACAGGCATGGTGGCAGTTGCCTGTAATCCCAGCTACTCTGGAGTCTGGGGCAGGAGAATCGCTTAAACCTGAGAAGAGAAGGTTGTGGTGAGCCGAGATCGCACCATTGCACTCCAGCCTGGGCAACAAGAGTGAAACGCTGTTTCAACGACAACAACAACCACCAAAAGAGCAATTTGAGCACAATAAGCAAAGTACTACTGCATTCTAACCCAAAGTATAAAATAAATACCTGAGTCCATATCGATATAAGTAATTTAATAAAACAATAAATAGGGGCTGGGAAGAGAAAATTCCCCCATAAAGAGGAATTCCAAATAATTTCTGTAGGAGCTCCATTCTCAAGAAAGTGGAGCATAATTCCCCATTTCTCAAATATAGGCTATATATAGTACAGCCTTTCAAAGAGTACAATGCAAATATGTGGGAAGTGATAGAGAGTAAGTTTACAAAGGAAAAACTTCACAAACCTTACCTCAGTCCGGTGATTAAGGTCAACATCAGCAACAGTAAGTCACATTCATAATATGTACCCTTAGGCTGAGTGCAGTGGCTCACGCCTGTAATCCCAGCACTTTGGGAGGCCAAGTGGCCTGGATCACCTGAGGTCAGGAGTTCAAGATCAGCCTGGCCAAGATGGTGAAACCCCATCTCTACTAAAAATGCAAAAAAGAATTGGCCAAGTGTGGTGGCAGGCGACTAATCCCAGCTACTCGGGAGGCTGAGGCAGGAGAATCACTTGAACCCAAGAGGCAGAGGTTGTAGTGATAGGAGATCATGCCACTGCACTCTAGACTGGGTGACAGAGTGACCCAGTATATTATAATAAATAATAATAATAATATGTACCCTTGATACAATGTGATGAAGATGACTTTTACCTTTGTGGTCTTCCTCCCAAAAATGCATGGCTCCTGTTTAATCATTTCTGTTTTGTTTGTTTGTTTTTTTAACTTTTATGTTAAGTTCAGGGATACATGTGCAGGTTTGTTATATAGGTACACTTGTGTTATGGGAGTTTGTTATACAGATTATTTTGTCACCCAGATATTAAGCCTAGTACCCATTAGTTGTTCTTCCTCTTTCTGTTCCTGCTCCTACCCTCCAGCTTCTGATATGCCCCAGTGTGTGTTGTTCCCCCATGATGTGTCCATGTTTTCTCATCATTTAGCTCCCACTTGTAAGTTAGAACATGCAGTATTTGGCTTTCTGTTCCTGCATTAGTTTGCTAAGGATAATGGCCTCCAGCTCTACCCATGTTCCTGCAAATGGCATGATCTTATTCTTTTTTATGGCTGCATAGTATTTCATGGTATATAGGTACCACATTCTCTTTATCCAATCTACTATTGGTGAGCATTTAGGTTAATTCCATGTGTTTGCTATTGTGAATAGTGCTGCAATGAACATATATGTACATGTGTCTTTATAATAAAATAATTTATATTCTTTTGGGTATCAGTAATGACATTGCTGGGTCGAATGTTATTTCCATTTCTAGGTCTTTGAGGGATCCCCACAGTGTTTTCCACAATGGTGGAACTAATTTACACTCCCCCTAGCAGTGTTTAAGCGTTCCTTTTTCTCTGCAACCTCGCCAGCATCTATTATTTTTTGACTTTTTATTAATAGCCATTCTGATTGGTGTGAGCTGGTATCTCATTGTTGTTTTCATTTGCATTTCTCTAATGATCAGTGATACTGAGCTTTCTTTCATGTGATTTTTGGCCACATGTATGTCTTCTTTTGAAAAGTGTCTGTTCGTGTCCTTTGCCCATGGGGTTGCTTTTTTCTTGTAAATTTGTTTAAGTTCCTTCTAGATACTGGATATTACACCTTTGTCAGATGCATAGTTTGCAAACTTTCATCATTTTTTTTTAAATCAGAACAATTTCACTTAAGGGGCATCCTACAAAATATCTGTCCAGTAATTCTCGAATTGTCAAACTCATCAAAAACAAGGAAAGTCTCACAAATTGTCATAACAAAAAGGACCCCACAGGAGACATGACAACTAAATGTAACTTGGCATGCTGGATGGGATCCTGGGACAGAAGAAGGATATTAGGTAAAACTAAGAAAATAATAATAATGTGTCAGTCTTGGTTCATTGAATGTTACATAAAATGTTAATAATAGAGAAAACTAGGTACAAGTGTGTGAGAACTCTATGTACTCTTCAAAGTTTTTTTCTGTTATTGTTCTAAAAATAAAGTTTAATACGTTTTAAAAAGAAAAGTAACAAAGAAAAACAAAGTAGCTCCTGGGTAAAGGAATTATTTAGGGCACTGTGAGAGTGAGAGTAGCAGTATTTTGGAAGGAGTTTGTGGAGACAGAGAGAGTGGCATGGTAGGGAGTTGTACTACTGCCTGCTGGATTTGACAAGTCACTCTGTAATTTAAATGAGGGGCTACCCAACCTAAGATTAGCCTGGGTTTTATATACACTTTATTTCTCTAAAAGAAGATTTCAGTGAATTTGCAGGAAGGAAAAATAGATAGCTATAGTCCTTTTGACTATATTTGACACAGAACCAAAACCTGGGAGGCGAAGGTTGCGGTGAGATAGTGTTTTAAAGAAAAGGACCAATGTCTCCACATTTAAAATGATGGAGCCAAAGTATAGATGAGCTTATCATTTGGGATCTATTTATGGTGAGCCTGGCTTTCCTCAGAGCTAACTTCTCCACCTTAGATAGCCTCCTAGGATTGGCTAGACCCCACAAAGCTGAAGACCTTCGGTGGATTTATATTCTAAGATCTCTAGTAACAGACGAGGATTGTAGAAGGAGTCCCCCTAAAGATTGCTAGTGGTTTACATTGATTTCCCTGAAGAAAAAGAGGGAGGAGGAATGGAAATGAGGAGGAAAAGAAGAGAGGAGGAGAGGAAAGGAAGGAAGAGGGAGAAGGGGGTGAAGGAGAAGGAAGGGAAGGAGGAGAGAGGAGAGAAGAGAAAGATAAATCACAGAACCAAAACCATTTTTATGAAACTCACATGAAAGCTGCATTTTGCACATCTTAATATTTTAGTCCCAGTAGTCATTTTTAAGGCCACTCTCCGGTGCTGTTGTCAGGCATAGAAATGACCAGAGGACCATGATAAAAGAGGAGCGTAGAAAAAAAGAAACAAAAGGCAGACTTGACTTGCTTTAGGAGTTTTTTGTACATTTCCTTGGCAGTAGTGTGCTGTGGAGAGCCAGGCAGAGGGGCTGTGGCTCACTGGTAGAAAGCAACATGTCACAGAAAATCAAGCACAGAGCAGCCCAGGCCCATGACTCCCACCATGCTTGGAAACAGAAGAACGTCCTCTGTTTGCTACCTGCCTATGTACATAAAGAAAAGAGAGCAGGGTGACAAGATCATGGCAAATCTTTCTATCTCTCTCCCTCTCTTCCTCTCTCTCTCTCTCCCCCCACCCTCTCTCATCAGCCTTCATTCTAATTAACCTGCTCCCTTCTCATTTCCCTCCCGTTCATTTCTGTCATCTCCATTTCACAGTATCACTTGCCCAGTGAAAAGAGGCTCGACACATTCTATTTAGAAAGTGAGTGTCTCACTAGGGGTGACAAGTCTTTTTTGAGGTCATTTATCTAATTGCTCTTTGCAGATAAGAATTAATTAGCCCGATTATTTTTCTTAGTTTTTGGATGGGTTCCCCACCTGAAGAGAAGAAATTCCTTGGTGTCAGTGATTAATTGCTCAGCCAGAAGCTTACTGCCTCGCATTTGTAATAAATGCCGACTAGCTCTTCAGGTCACATTAAGAGCCAGGCAGGTTGTGGTATAATGTACAGGATAATAAAGCACTTGTATAAATAGGGGCAGCAGCATTTGATGTTGATTAAATATTTTAATACTTCAAATGGTGAAGGAGTTTCAAGATGCTGAAGGTAAAGAGTCCCCATTTGGGGCAACTTTTCTTTCTCCTTCATGAGGGACAGAACATCTCCAGGATCCAAGACAGCAGGTGGCATTTCAGTTTAGGGTTTGTCTAAAATGACCTCAATGATCTGTGGGGTTGTTATTATTGTTGTTCTTTGTTTTTGGCTATCTCTTTATTTTTCTGTCACAGAACACCTAAAATTACAAGCACATTCAGATTCTAAATCACTTTTATTTCCAGAAGAGAAAGAAATGAACTTCTTCTTAGTTGACTTTCAAATTAGATTTTTAAAAATATTGTTGTTGTGATGGTAGTGTCTATGTGAAGTCCCCAGACCTCAAAATAAACCCATTTAATTCAAAGGTGAGCAAACCAAGATGTGATAAAAATCTGAAAATGTGGTGGCGGGCACCTGTAGTCCCAGCTACTCCAGAGGCTGAGGCAGGAGAATGGCGTGAACCTGGGAGGTGGAGCTTGCAGTGAGCCCAGATAGCGCCACTGCACTCCAGCCTGGGTGACAGAGCAAGACTCCGCTTCAGAAAAAAAATAAATAAAAACCTGAAAATGTGAAATAAACCTGTAAAGAAGAAACTCAAACACATTAGTGAATTTAGAGAGCAAGTCTTATATTCTGTGGAGAGTTCAGTTGAAGAGTCAGGGTTTTAAAATAATCTGGCTAAGAGTACTGCTTCATATTCCATGTTTCTAGTAGAATTCTACAGATACAGATATTGTGATTATCTTAAGGATAGAGAATAAAGGAAAACAAGCCCCAAAGTAATTAAGGGCTTTATCAAAGGAGAGATTCTGTGAGCAAGTTGGGCAGAGCCTGATCTCAAACTAGGCACGGTAGCTCATACTTGTCATCTCAACAATTTGGGAGCCCAAGGCAGGAGGATTGCTTGAGCTCAAGAGTTGGAGACCAGCCTGAGCAACATAGTGAGACACTTTCTCTACAAAAAAAATAATGATAAATTAGCCAGGCATGGGGGCACAAGCCTGTAGTTCCGGCTACTTAGGAGGCTGAAGGTTGAGGCTGCAACAAGGCATAATCGTGCTACTGCACTCCAATCTGAGTGACAGAGTGACACCCCGTCTCAAAATAAATAAATAGAGAAGTGTGCTTCTGATTTCCAGGACAATTTGCTATGTTTTTGTTAACAACACATATATATATAACTAAATGAAAAACTCATAAAGAAATTGGACAGAATTTGGCTGGGTTGGGTGGTCCACACCTGTAATCCCAGCACTTTGGGAGGCCAAGGCAGGCAGATCACCTGAGTCTGGCCAACATGGCAAAACCTGTCTCTACTAAAAATACACAAATTATCTGGGCGTGGTGGCGGGTGGCTGTAATCCCAGCTACTCGGGAGGCTGAGGCAGGAGAATCGCTTCAACCCAGGAGGTGGAGGTTGCAGTGAGCCAAGATTGCACCACTGCACTCCAGCCTGGATGACAGAGTGAGACTCTGTCTAAAAAAAAAAAAAAAAAAAAAAAAAGGACAGAATTTAATTTTGATTTGGTGATGAACAAGATATTATCAATCTGGCAGTGCCCTGTAGTGTTCATTAAGATAGAAATCTTGAATAAAAACAATTTTTGAATAAAAAGATTGTCCAAGTAAAGAAATACTTTCTCTAAAAGGAAGATCTCTATATACTGGATGATTTGATTCGTAAAAGAAGTGTTTTTTTCTGAAGATGATAAATAACATACTATATCATTTTCTCTTGCTAAGTGATATTATTGAAAAGAATCAAATCTAACAAGTTTTCTTCCCCTTTAGGGAGACTGAACAATGTAATTAAGAAGGTTGTATGATTACCTATCTAATAATTTTTGTATTCTGTATTCTATCTCTCTCAGTTTGAAATTCACTAAAAAACAAGGACTTGTACATAGTGGATCCTTAATAAGTATCTTATTTGTAAGTAAACAAATGAATTATTGAATAGTTAAAGCTATTAAAAGTGACTGATTGGACAATGGTAACTTCCTTAGTATTTTAACTTCTTTTACCCATCTCCTATCTCTAGGCCCTCTTCTCCTAAATTACATAGAAAAGAAACTCTTGTTTCAGAAGGCCTCCAGTTTACCAATTTGTTTGAACATTTTATTGGGTGCAATAATATTACTACTTGATGTCTGTCCTGTATGATTCAGATAACACAATAAGAAGATTCCTTCTGTGTCAAATGAGGATGTTCTATGAATCCTTTAATATGCTGAGGTCACTCACCTACCAATTTTAGATTATTTAGATCCATTTAGGGATATTTGCAATGCCATTTATTAGATTTGCTTATCTTCAAGTGCCCATTTTTATGCTGCTTTGTAAATCTCCCCATAATCTCTGAGCTCCTGAATAATTGTAAATAAGTAAGTTTTCTTCTTCAGCCACCTGTCAAGATTTCTTGGGCTCTTCCACAGAGTGAATGTTCATGTTTTCTTTCACTCTGCTTTTACAAAAATGATGAAATTAGCTAGCAAGCTGTTGAGCATAGATATTTCCTGCTGTATTCTCTTCCTCTTGGGTTGTTGTAAGGGAATTGTGGGCAAAGGTGACATCGTTTACAGTTCACATCAACATGTTTCAATTTGCTTTATCCTTTGGGAGAACTAATTGTTCTGTGGCAATTCAAACTGGACATTTGTTCCATCTTTTTTTTTCCTTTTTGGTTTAAATTGATAATTTATTCACAGGCAGTATTCATAATGCCTGAATTCAAAATACAGGCAAATCTGTTATGGGTCTATAAAAACCAAAAGAATATGATTCAAAGAAATTAAGTGGTCAAAACTATGGAGCAGCTAATTTATTAAGCTAAAATTTTATGCAGAGTTTAAAGAAAAGCCATATTAGCAAAGGACTATGTTTCTTTCTCTTGTGACTCTCTTCCCAATTCATTGCCTTTCCCCATTAAATTTCAAATAAGTTCCTAGGGAGGAAAAAAAAAAGAAAATCAGATTGAGCCAACCAGTGTGAAGCTTCAAATAGAGACAATAATAGTGCCTACTTCAAAGGATTGGGATGACGATTAACTAAATTGTGCTAATAAAGTCCTTAGAAAAGGGTCTCACAGGCCAGGTGAGTTGGCACACACCTGTAATCCCAGCACTTTGGGAGGCCGAGGCGGGCGGATCACGAGGTCAGGAGATCGAGACCATCCTGGCTAACACGGTGAAACCCCGTCTCTACTAAAAATACAAAAAATTAGCCGGGCGTGGTGGTGGGCGCCTGTAGTCCCAGCTACTCGGGAGGCTGAGGCAGGAGAATGGCGTGAACCCGGGAGGCGGAGCTTGCAGTGAGCCGAGATCGCGCCACTGCACTCCAGCCTGGGCGACAGAGCGAGACTCTGTCTCAAAAAAAAAAAAAAAAAAAAAAAAAAGAAATACAAAAACTAGCCAGGTGTGGTGGGTGTGCCTGTAGTCCCAGCAATTTAGAAGGCTGAGAGGTGGGAGGTTTGCTTGAGCCCAGGAGGTTGAGGTTGCAGTGATCTAGGATGACACTGCTGCACTCCAGCCTGGGGGACAGAGCCACATCAAGAAAGGGAGGGAGGGAGGGAAGGAAGGAAGGAAGGAAGGAAAAAGGGAAGGAAGAAAAGGAAGGAAGAAAGCAAGGAAAGGAAGGAAGAAAGAAAGGAAAGGAAGGAAGAAAGGAAGGAAAGAAAGAAGAGAGAGAGAGAAAGAGAAAGAAAGAGAGAGAAAAGAACGAGAAAGAGAGAGAGAAAGAAAGGAAGGAAGGAGGGAAGAAAGAGTCTGGCATTCATAACCACTATTTAGGCCTGTGTTAGAGAAAAGTCAAGGAATCCTACAAACCACTCCTGCATTCACTCGCTGAAACTACATGTCATACGTGGAAACTAGATTTAATCTGTAAAGTAGATCATTTTGAACTTATATTTTACAATGGAAATGAATTATGTGCACTGTAACCAACTATCATATTTACATGGCTTATCAAGAAGTATAAGCCATATAAAAAGGGGTTTTACTATCCTATCAAAAACATTCTCAGACATCAACTATGTCCTGAAGATGCAATAATACATTCTGGGGAGTCATAGTTTTGGTAACTAGAAGCTTCATCCAGAAATATGGCAAAACACAATCTATGCCCTACTCCGTGCTGTGGTCTGAACATTTGCTACCTTCCCCGACCCCAATTCATATGATGAAACTTAATCCTCAATGTGATCCCGTTGAGAGGTGAAGCATTAATGAGTTGATTAGATCTTGAAGTTTCCACTCTCATGAGTGAGCTTAGTGCACTTATAAAAGAGGTTGAAGGCAGTTGCCTTGCCCTTCATCCATGTGAGGACTTGCAAGCAGCACACTCCATGAGGAACGGAGACCTCACCAGAAACTGACTTTGATGGTGTCTCCATCTTGGACTTCCCAGCCTGCAGAACTCTCAGCAATAAATTTCTGTTGTTTATAAATTACCCAGCCTAATTTATATGTTGTTATCATAGCCTGAAAGTTCTAAAACACTTTCCTTTCACAGGAATATAAGTCCTAAAAGTTCCAATGAACAGAAAATTTGTGAATACTTTTTCCTGATATTATATGTTTTTTAAAATCCAACTTAGAGGCCAGATGCGGTGGCTCACACCTGTAATCCAGCATTTTGGGAGGCTGAGGCAGGTGGATCACCTGAGGTCAGGAGTTCAAGACCAGCCTGGCCAACATGGTGAAAGCCCATCTCTACAAAAATACAAAAACTAGCCAGGCATGATGGTGGGTGCCTGTATTCCCAGCTACTCAGGAGGCTTAGGTAGGAGAGTCGCTTGAACCTGGGAGGCAGAGGTTGCAGTGAGCTGAGATTGTGCCATTGCATTCCAGCCTGGGCCACAGAGCAAGACTCTGCCTCAAAAATAAATAAATAAATAAATAAATAAATAAATAAATAAATAAAATCCAACTCAGAAAAAACACTAGTTCATTAGAACTAACCTGTGTTCTGACCTCTCCTGAGTGTTGCAAGTGGGCCTGTATTCTGGCCAGGGATCTTTCTCCTTCGTTGGAAGTGAGTGGCCCAGAGATAAGGTTTCTTCAGGAGGCTGAGAGTTACATTTCTCACCCTGAAATCTAACCCAGCAGAACGTGCAGGCAGAGCCCAGAGCTTGCCCAGAGAAGAAAGTTCCTGGGCTTATATAACACAGAGATCACTTACCTTTAGAGTTGAGCAATGCCTGGACAGGGAAAATTCTTGAATGTTTTCAAAAGACCTGTTCAAGGAACATAACCTAATAGCAAACCCTGAGTAAGAGAGAGAAATATCTTCAAAGATTTTCAACGCTTCTCATAGAAATGAGCTTTCTGAAGCTTTCCTTAGCTCTCTGACTGCCGTAGACATTTTTGCCTTGCCTGCTTTGAAGCATCCTGATCCAGGGTTATTGAACCTTTTCTCCTGTTGTGAAATTGCTTCCTGGAGTCTACCTGACATAATATCCTCTCTATCCCTACTCTGCAGCCCTGTTGATACAAAGTAGACCCCTTTGGTACAGAGCAAGAAGAAATAGTACTAGAAGCCAGCAAGAGAGTTTAGGAGGAGTAAATGGACACCAAACAAAAGATGTTGAATACAGCAAATGTTTAAAACCAAGAATCTTGCATCTGTGATTGCAGAGGGTGCCCTGTCATCCCGCCTCTCACAGCGTGTGAGTGAATGCGTTCTGTCACCCAGGATCATGCTGCGGTTGTCTCACTAGTAGCAGTCTCATTTTAATAAACTCCTGCCCAGTGACCTGTGGCCAGCTAAGTGTTGTCACTGTCTCCTGCTCTTCATATTCCTGCCTCAGTGCTGTCTCTAGATCCTGTTCTCTAGTCCCAAGTCTTTCCAACGATGCTTCTTGGTAAATTTCCATACCTTTTCCACCTCAAATGTCCTGACCTGATGAAGCCTCCAAGCGAGGTGAATGTGAGCATTCAAAATTCTCCAGAATCCCTGATGTGGTGGGAGCTTGGGCTCAACCATCCAGTCAGTGAGAATCTCTTCCAGCTAAGCAAATATTTCAGCATCATTATTTTCCAGATAGAAAAAAATTCAGCTGGGCAGCACACTGTTACTAGTAACACATTCTTTTAGTGGACAGAGCTAGGAAATATTATACATGTAATATATATTTGTACATATAATATACAACATAAAATAATATATAAATATATATAACATATAATGTAATATATAAATATATAATGTATAATACATATTTACAATGCACATATAATAAAACATATGCATAGGCTGGGCATAGTGTCTCACACCTGTAATTCCAATACTTTGAGAGCCTAAGGCAGGAGGATTGCTTGAGGCCAAGAGTTTGAAACCAGGCTGGGCAACATGGCAAGATCTTGCCTCTACAAAAGTAAAAAAAAATTATCTGGGCATGGTGGTGCAGGCCTGTGATCCCAGTTACTAGGGAGGCTGAGGCAGGAGGATTGTTTGAACCTAGGAGGTCAAGGCTACAGTGAGCCATGATCATGCCACTGCACTCCAGCCTAAGTGACAATGAGACCCTGTCTCAAAAAAAAGTATATAATTACATAAAATACTTACGCATTTAATTACATGCAATACATATACATATATACACACAATTGTATAATTTCTATATTATATATAATAATGTATTTTGTGAAATACATATGCATGTTATATATAATACATATGCATAATATACACATATAATCATATGCACATATATGTACAATGTCTATTTATATATCACTATTTCTTCATCTGTATATACATTTATTAGAAAAATATTAGTTCATACTGACATTCCCAATTTCAATTCAACGGAACAGAGTTCTGCTTTTCTTTCTCTTTCCCATGATTGGAAATAACCTCTCTTGACAATAAGAGGCTTGCCTTCCTTATTTTTTGATACAATTCCTGTTTTTGCTTAATCATTACGCTTTCTTGTTTAACGTAACCAGACTCAACTCTGCAGGTGTTCTCCTCCCCCAGCCAGCATGGCCGCCTACCCTGCCTTTCCTGGCCTCAGCGTGGCTGTGTTCCTCTTCAGCATTCCATGTCTCCCGTCTGCTATGCTGGTTCCTCTGTTCAGGGGAAGGGAGGGAAGGGGAGGAGAAACTAATGGTCAGGGAATAGAAAATGTGAAGGGAAGATGTGAAGGAAAAGAAAGTTGCAGTGAGAAAAAGAGAAAGGAAAGTGATACTTCTTTTGTAAAACACAAAAATGGGCTAGGTGTGGTGGCTCACACCTGTGATCCCAGCACTTTGGGAGGCCGAGGCGGGTGGATCACGAGGTCAGGAGATCGAGACCATGCTGGCTAACACGGTGAAACCCTGTCTCTCCTAAAAATACAAAAAATTAACTGGGCTTGGTGGCAGGCACCTGTAGTCCCAGCTACTCAGGAGGCTGAGGCAGGAGAATGGTGTGAACCCAGGAGGCGGAGCTTGCAGTGAGCTGAGATTGTGCCACTGCACTCCAGCCTGGGCAACAGAGCAAGACTCCATCTCAAAAAAAAAAAAAGAATTATTAAAAAGAAATGGAATTTTAAAATCTTAGCTGCAATCATTGATTATTAGATTCAATAGACATCAAATTACTCTCTCAAATTCCTATGAGGGTTTACAAATGTTTTCTCTACATCTCAGTATTTATCCCACTGCAGAAGCATAACCCAAACAGTTCAGGGACTAGCTCAGCAAAAGCTAGAAACTTCAAAATGATTTGTATATTTTGAATTCCAAAGGAAATTTTTATCTTGGTTACATTAGTTTCTGCAGGTAGGTACATTAAATTAACTCCGTTTTTGAGTGGGTGGGTTTATAAAAGCAAACCGCTCTTAAGTAACTATCGCAAAGAAAGGCTGGAAAATATTAGTTATACAGTCAAATGATGAATCTGATTATTTTATTTTTTTACAGACTTGTCAACTAAATCTTTAAAAAGTTGTTTGCAAATCTGATAGAAAATCTAATGTCTTCAAAAATTTGCATTCTTCTGCTAACAAGAGGATAATTTATTTTAATAGTTGACTTCAAACTTCTTACTTTTGTGTTTTTTCCTTTTCTTTCCAAGCTTGCTCAGGTTCTTTGACACTTTTTTAAAAAATAGAAATATTTAAAATTGATTTGTAGGAATTTTTTCTATAGCATGCACATGAACTCTGCATCTGAAGTATACCTTGCAAATATTTTCCTAGTTTATGGCTTGTCTTAAAATAGAAGTTAAACATTTTTATTTAGCTCAATCTCTCAGTTTTCCCTTTCTTTATTTCTGACCTTCCTATCATGCTTTAACAAGTCGTGCCTACAACTACATTATAAAAATATTCTCCAAGGCTTTTGTCAGTACCTCCCCACCCCATTTAAACATCTAATCTACTAGGTGTATTTTTGTGTCTGATGTTCCTTCAGAGGTTGTGGGTGATTCTTAATTTGATTTCCAAATGCCAAATCAATTATTGAATAATCCATCTTTCCTTCTCTACTTAAAAATGTAATCTTTATGAAATACACAGTCCTACTAACATGGATGGATCTCTGAAATTTCTATCATTTTCTAATGATTGATATGTTTATCTTCATATCTATAACATGCTGTTTTAATTACTATAACTATACATTAAATTTTGATATTTGGAAGAGCAAGTCCTTTCTCATTATTTTTATTCACAATTTTCTTTCCTATTTTCGTGCATTTATTCTTCCAGTTACAAGTTATTATAAAATTGTCAAGTTTTTTTAAATGTACATTAGGTTTTTGATCTGAGTGGCACCATGGTTATGAGAGGATTTGTGGGGAAACTGACACCTTTACAATTTTTAGTTATCCTATCAAGGAAGGTAATATTTTTTCAGTGATTTGGGTCATATTTTATGCCCTCCAGGAAAACTTTATTTTTTATGAGACTTACAATATATGCCCAACTTAGTTTGCTTCAAGGTATTTCATAGCTTTGGTTGCTATTTTGCATGTTCTAAATATTACATTTTATAACTTGTCATTAATTTTAATAATGAAATCTAATTTTTATTATATTTGGCTACCTTACTGTCCATTTTTATTAGTAATATGTTTTCAATTAATCTTGGAGATTTTGTCTGAGAATATAATATCTTTAAATATTAATCACTTTTTCTTAACCTCTCCAACATTTACTTCTTTTTTTCTCAACTTATCGCATCGTTCAAAAACTCGAAAATCATACTGAATGGTAAAAAAAAGAAAGCTTAAATAAAAATTAAGTCTCGTAAATATGTATGATGCTCCACCAATGCTTTGTAATAAAAAGTATTTTATAGCATAATTAGACAAATAAATGTTGGCCTAGTTAATCCAACTGTATTTACTTAGCTGTGCTGAGTGGGGATGTCTTCTCTGCACCGAGACTGGAAGTCTTCAGGTTAACGTGTCCAAGGATTGATGAGGAAATAAAGATGATAAGTATACTTTCCCCCACAGGCTGAAGGTTGGAATAGTTGGAGAGTGATGTGGTTGTCAAATGAACCGAGGCCCTTGTGTCCTTGTGTGACAAACTACTTCACACAAACCATTTTTGTGTCCCTTTCATATTAATTTTCCTATTACAAAATTCTTACTTGCAGTCTGTACCCTTGCTCTTACAAACTAATTTTGGCCCAGCTTCTCAGAGTTAAATCTACTAATTTCTTCCAACAGCAAACTCACTCCTGCCCATCCCCTACCAGTTCTGTGCCCAACATTCTAAACCAGAAATCACATAGAAAACATTGCAACTGCACTCGCTGGTTTGAGAGTGGTGGCTTCACTCTTGTATTTCTCCATGTCTCCCTCACCAAGGGCCAGATCCAGGACCTGACTCACAGGGCATAAAGGCCCTAAGTGCTCAGGTAGCCCAAGATACCATATTCCCCACAATACCCCTTAGCATTGTTCCCTTCTGCAGATGCTATGTTTATAGGAATAATTCTGCTGAGATTCACTCCTGCCTTTGTGGCAGCATTACACATTCTTTGGATATTATACATTGTTGACTTGGCTTCTCCCGTAAATCAACTCCTTTAGATATTTAGATATTACTTCTCTGTCTCCCTTTAATGGTTTTGTTGTTGTTGGTTTTTTGTTTTTTTTTTTTTTTTTTTTAGATGGAGTCTTGCTCTGTCGCCCAGGCTGGAGTGCAGTGGTGTGATCTCAGCTCACTGCAATCTCCACCTCCTGGGTTCAAGCGATTCTTCTGCCTCAGCCTCCCAAGAAGCTGGGACTACAGGCGCGTGCCACCATGCCTGGCTAATTTTTTGTATTTTTAGTAGACAGGGGGTTTCACTGTGTTAGCCAGGATGGTCTCGATCTCCTGACCTCATGATCCGCCCGCCTTGGCCTCCCAAAGTGCTGGGATTACAGGCATGAGTCACGGAGCCTGGCCGGTATTTCTTTTTATACCACCGGCCACTGAACCCTTCCCATTGGCCTTAAGATACTGAGGATAGATCATGCCTGTGCCTTTATTAGAGCTAAAATGACCAACTTAATTCTGTTCCTTCCGTATTTACACCATTAGTAAGAAAAAGAAAAAGGAGAAGGAGAAAGAGAAGGAGGGAGAGGAGGAGGAGGAAGAGGAGGAGGGGAAACGTGACATGCGTTATTGGAAAACCATTGTTGCCATGTCAGAATTCTTACTATAACAAACTTCATTTGTACATCAATTAGCTTTTGCTATGTTCACAACATTTTGAGGCTAAAACAACACTCATTCACTTTAATTCATAATTCTCTGAGTCAGTTGTGTGATTCTTCTAGCCTGAGTCGGTGCTGTGCTGCTTATGCTACTAGCTGATCATGAATTGCTGAGTTGGCTGGAGGATGGAGTGGCTCAGTTCTCTTATACATGGCTTCTCATCCTCCAACAGCTTAACTCTGACTCATTCTCATAGTGGCATGGTGGTCTCACAATTCCAAGTACAGCAAGAGAGGATGCTTTTTTTTTTTTTTTTTTTTTTTTTTGAGACGGAGTCTCGCTCCGTCGCCAGGCTGGAGTGCAGTGGCGCGATCTCGGCTCACTGCAACCTCCAAGAGGATGCTTTTTAAATTTGCATCTTATGTGCTGACATTCAATTAGCCGAAGTCATATGGCCAACCCAAAATCGAAGGGTGAGATAACATATTCCACCTTGTGACAGGAGGATCTGCAGCATCACAGTACAATAGTATGGATGATAAGAGAGAGAACAAGCATTTTGGTCATGTTTGACTGCAATGAGCAAGTGACATTTTTTTTTTTTCTGAAGATAGACCAAACACAAGAAAAGATGAGATCTCACAATTTGTAAGCACCTACAATGTGATAGATTCTTTGTTAGGCAGTAAATTAAATATTCTTGTGTTATTCTCACAAAGTTGACATTATTAATGCTACAAACGAGGAATCTGAAGCCAGCCTATATCTTGCCCTTAATGATGTAATAAGTCCTTAACTGGGCAAGGGTTTACACCTAGCTCTCCCTGACTTCAAATTCCAGACCTTAATGAATACAATGCTTCATGACAATGCATTAAGGCAAAGATCATCTTTTTTGAGTATGTCCTAAAGGGTCCCAGCTCCTGGTTCTATCAGCATTATCCAAAACCCTAAGCTACTCTCCAGTTATTTTCTGTTTTTGAAATTCTAGAGATAAGCAATGAAGATGAAAATGCAGAAATTTCCAATGTGACTGGAACTACATTAAGAGTTTATTGTAAACTAGAGTGAGCAGACATATTTTGACCCAAATTATAGATATGTGTTCCCAGGACCACGAATTACAGGCAATTTGCTCACATTATAGTAATAAAGCTATATGGTTGGTGAGCACACAAATCACTAATAGTGCTGTGCAAAGCATGCTGTTTACAAACAAAAAGGTGTTCTTAGATGACAGATTTTGCTCTTGATACACTTCCTTTGTTCGCTAATTTGACCATCAAGTTCTGGCAGAAATTGAGAAGGGAAAAAAAAAAGAATATCACATGCAAACATCATCTCATAAATAGGAGACCGAAGCATGCTTATAAAAAGCATTATGCCAATATTGCGGAATATGGTCACAGGAATAGGCCTTATGTCAACTTCACTGGGCTTTTAGTGCATCTTAATCCTACAAACTATCTATGCTGAGGTGATTTTTCAAAACTGATATGGCAGAAAATATTTATTTGGTACTTCCTATGTGCTTATACATGCTGATCTAAGGTGTGGTGGCATTTTCACTTTGAATCAGAGAACATATTTCTTATGATTATGATTTTAGCAAAGTTGAAAATAGCCTGTCTTTTCAATTATCTAAGTAAAAAAAAAATGGATAAATATCAGACAATGTAGTACAGGATGATATATTGAGAAGAAAAAGAGGCCGGGCACAGTGGCTCATGCCTGTAATCCCAGCCCTTCAGGAGGCCAAAGTATGCTTGAGCCCAGGATTTTGAGACCAGCCTGGGAAATATGGCAAAACTCCATCTCTACAGAAAATACAAAAACTAGCCGGGCATGGTGGCACATGCTTGTAGTACCATCTGCTCTGGAGGCTGAGGCGAGGGAGGACCACTTGAGCCTGGGAGGCAAAGGTTGTGGGAACCATGATCGTGTGCTCCAGCCTGGGCAGCAGAGCAAGACTGTCTCCAAAAACAAAACAAAACAAGAGACATAAAATGTGTGTTGAACTCCTAAAATAGAATATGTATTATCCTATAGAGGACTTTTTAAAAGATACCCCCAACCTTGGCTCTATAACGCACACACCTGAAGATTCTGTCATTCATCATTCATTAGTGGAATTAGTGGATATAAGTTCCTGTTTTTCTGATTAATGTGCATGATCAGACAAGAAAGTTATATACAGGAATCTTAAACTAATCATTGCTACAGAAAAGAATGGGAAGAAACCTTTAACAACTTCTGGAAATAATACATCTTCTGATAAACTAGCCATTACTAAGTAATTAGTCTCCAAAAAGATACATGAGCACCATAGATTAAAGAGCCCCTTCACAAAGAGAGAAACGGGCTACAGCTATTTTCTGGGATTATATTCTTAAGGGATTAAACACCGAAAGCAAATGATGTCCAGTGAAAGAGATACTTCTGAGTACTAAGAATTTTATAGCTATAAGGATTAATATTTCTCCCTTTTAGGGACACCATTTTGATACTTGGGCAGCCAGGAAGACTTTGACATTTTGACAGGACGGAGAAAATCATTTTCACTATGATTTGCCCCTGAGTGAATGAAAGCAGAGGCTCAACGTAAATGAGAAAGAGCAAGCTGATCTTCAATCAGGGGCGTAGCATTTAAACAAGATGACCCTTATTAACTAAAGTAAAATGGGGTTGAATGGTACTGATATGGGCCATTGAATGAAAGTTTCGTCTCAACAAGGTAGTCTAGGTGGGCATGAAAAAAACGAAAGCATTGCTGTGACTAAAACTATCTGAACTTTTAAAAATTGGGCTGTCATTTACATAAGCAATTTCACTGAAATACATAAACAAGAAATCCTCTAATGTTCTCAGAGATGGTCTCTCATGCCCTCTGGGACCTCCTTGGTTAGAGGTAACCACTATGGGTCAATGGACCAGTAGGAGACTGGTACACTGTCTTTCTGATCACAGACTCAGAAAGAATGATTACTAAAAGTTGGATGATTTATAAACTGAGACTATTTAAAAAGGAATAAGTAGGATTTGAAGAACCAACAAAGTATAATGAATTATTTTAGAGTTAGTAACATTTAGCCATTGCCACTCCTGCATCTAAAGGGCAAGAGGAGGAAACAGTTAACTGAATGGAGAAAGGGTCAGCTGTATGGAGAGGGCTTTCTGTGGGGAAGCAATAGTGGCTCGGAGATGGAAACATAAATACTCCCATCTCTCATATTCTTCCTTCCCTCTAATCCTTAGCCATTGCATCCTCTTGGCTGAACCCAGTTGGCAGCCAGAAGGCCAGGAGCCTATTGGTGCATTCCATAGGAGTCGGTCTTTCAATCCAAAGAGGTCTGCGAGGGGCAGAAAGTGGGTCTGGAGTGACAAGTGGAAAGTATCCAGCACTTGGATTTAATTCCACCATGACAGTGACTTCCCAGAGCACAGTACTCTGACTTTTCCTGGCCTTCATGCATTTCTCAGCTACTGATAGAAAAATTGAATTAAAAGGATACTTTCCCTTTGCTTTCCTCAGCTCTCTCATGACTGCATTCTAAAACACAGTCAATCTTTCATCTTCTTGACTCCTAATTCCAGGAAAACTTTTACTCCAAGACTTTGACTTTGCTCTGTCGCCCAGGCTTGAGTGCAATGGCGCGATGTCTGCTCACCGCAACCTTCACCTCCCAGGTTCAAGTGATTCTCCTGCCTCAGACTCCAGAGTAGCTGGGATTACAGGTGCCCACCACCACACCCGGCTAATTCTTTGTATTTTTAGTAGAGACGGGTTTTCACCATGTTGGCCAGGCTGGTCTCGAACTCCTGGCCTCAAGTAATCCACCCGCCTCGGCCTCCCAAAGAGTTGGGATTACGGGCATGAGCCACCGCGCCTGGCCGGCTTTTAAATTTTTAAAGATGGTGTTTGCCATTCTCTGTTTTCAGGATCCCTTGGCCTCTTGTTCTGGGGGTCTATTTCATCATAGTATTGTCTGTCAATGGCAATACTCTGTTTTGGATATAGTTACCTGTTCCCTACTCGTTTAGGATGAAGAGCCAAAACACTCAGAGCCAAGCAGACTGTGGCAGGAGACCCACCTTCTAGACCGGTAGGTTTATCATTAATCGCCTTTCGATGGTTGACAATTTATTTCAACTCTGTGAGACTTGTTTTGTTTTTGTTTTTATTTTTAATTTTCAGAATAGGCATAATAATTCCTACCTTATTTTCTTTGCATGGAAGAAATAAAATACTCTGTGCAAAAGTCCTTTCTAAACCGTAATTATAAAACATAATTTTAAAACACAAGTTGGCATCTTCGATTATTTTCAGTTTTAAAGCAACCAGAAATAGTCATAGCAAACCAGTTAACCATGGCTAATTTTTAAGGGAATAAAAATCATAAATGTTGCCGTCTAGTAGGGTAAAAACATTACTGAAATTCTCAATAAATGGTTCCATCTGTTTGCTTTCTGAATTCTTTTGGCCAGACTGTTTGAGTTTTTCTCCCCAATCATTCAACAGTTGCTACTTAATTTAGACATTTTTAAATGTCTCAACAATCCAACCAAGTGTAAAGAAATAGCTGCTTCTTTTGCCTTTATTTCCTGTCAATCACTCAAAACTCAGTGAAATGCATGGAGAGGATGAGTTAAGATTGTATAAAAGTGCCCAGAAGACTGAGAGGTTTGAAATTTAACATATTTCTAAATACATCTGTTATATTTATGACCTTAGCCCCTTCCCTAACAGCTGGGAGCCCCTTGCAAGGGAGACCTTAGCAATGAGAAAGAATGAATATATCTTAAAATACTGGGTGTTTTATGCTTACCTAAGAATTATACACACTCTGACATCTGTTCTTTTGCTGTCTTTCTAGTTTCATCTTTACTCAACCCCCAGCCCTGAGTGGAGCATGCTTCAGTTGAGACATCTTTACCCCATAAGTCAACTGGAGGATACTCCACTCACGATGCTTCAGCCTCCCCTACACCCCCAGTCTCTTTTCTTTTCCCTGAATGTGCCTTAATATGTCATGCCTCGGCAAGCACAGTGGCTCATGCCTATAATCCCAGAACTTTGAGAGACCGGGGTGAGTGGGTGGCTTAAGTGCAGGAGTTCAAGACCAGTCGGAGCAACATAGTGAGACCTCATCTTTATTAAAATTCAAAAAATTAGCTGGGCGTGGTGGCATATGCCTGTAATCCCAGCTACTTGGAGGGGCTGAGGCAGGAGGATCTCTTGAGCCTGGGAAGTCAAAGCTGCAGTGAGTCCTGACTTGCCACTGCACTCCAGCCTGGGCAACAGAGCGAGATCTTGTCAAAAACAAAACAAAACAAAACAAAACAAAACAAAAACCAGTCAGGCCTCAAGGCTTTGCTCAGCCTGTTTCTGCCGTCTAAAATTCCACCACCATCCCTATGCCCCTGGAAAAATGCCTGTTCATCTTTCAACTATACTTTATCCCTGAAGCCTTATCTCATCCCTATCAAGAAGTGACGACTCCCTTTTATGTGCCCTCCACATCACTTTGCATGTTCACCATGCTTGAAACCTTGACTTAATTTCTGTATTTGTGTGTCTTTCTTCTCAATCAAAACACAAGCTCCTTAAGGACAACATTTATGTCTTATGTATCTTTTGTCACCAATTGCATAAGCTCAATTTCTCTCTGGCTTGCTGAGTGAAGCAAAGTAAGAATGAATGAAATAGCCTCAAAAAGAAAATGCACAAGAAAAATCAACTTTAACTCTGTCCTTTGTCAGAATAACTATTTCTCCACATGTAAAATAGTGAAAGGACCTGACTTCATAGGTTTATTATTTATTTGTTTGGAAAACAATTATTAAGTACCCAATTAGTAAGAAATGGAGGTTCTGGAGTCAAAAGGAACATTCTACTCATATTTCACTCCTGCTTTGCTGACGACTTTTCAAACTTTGAACTTCTCAAGAACCTCTTGGTGAGGTACACATCCTTCATGGCAAATTTCAATATCATTGATATGCCTGAGACTCCCACATTTATCTCTTTCTCAGATTTTGAACAATGGTCAGGTGTATTCAACAGCCTACTCAATATATCTATTTGAATATCCTGGTACCTGAAACTTGCCAAGTCCAAAACTGCTCTCATCCTCTTGCTCCTACCCTTAAACCTGCTTCTTCTCCTATATTCCCATTGTAGTGGCAAATCAATTTTACTGTGATGACATTAGTCACCCAAGACTCCATCGCCCTCTCCCTCCACATCCAATCACTCACTAAACTTTACTTTTATTTATTTATTTTTGCTTTTTTTTTGTTTTTGAGATGGAGTCTGTTGCCCAGGCTGGAGTGCAGTGGCTCAATCTCAGCTCACTGAAACATCTGCCTCACAGGTTCAAGCAATTCTCCTGCCTCAGCCTCATGAGTAGGTGGGATTACAGGCGCCCACCACCACGCCCAACTAATTTTTGTATTTTTAGTAGAGACAGGGTTTCACCATGTTGGCCAGGCTGATCTCAGACTCCTGACCTCAGGTGATCTGTGAACCTTGGCCTCCCAAAATGCTGGGATTACAGGCATAAGCCATCGTACCTGGCCTGAAAGTCAGACATTTTTAAAATATACTTTATGTACAATAAAGTGCCCCCAGACAAACACTGATCTTTCTATCACTATTGATTATCTTTTACTATTTTATATATTATGTAAATAAAGTCACACACTATGTGGTCTTTCTTATGTGACGTCTTTTACTCTCTCTATATATTTTGAGACAGTGTCTTTGTCGCTCAGGCTAGAGTGCAGTGGAACAATAATAGCTCACTGCAGCCTCGAACCCCTGGGCCCACATGATGCGCCCATCTCAGCCTCCCCAGTAGCTGGTACTGTAGGTGTGTAAAATTTTTAAATGTTACTACTTTAAAAATTAGCCACCATGCATGGCTAATTTTTAATTTTTTTGTAGAAAAGGGGTTTTAGTTATGTTGCCCAGGCTGGAGAAGGATATTTCTGAGATTCTTTCATGTTGTTGTGTGTATTAGCAGTTTCTTCATTGTAGGTGCAGAGTAGCATTTCTTTGGATGAATATATCACAAGTATTTATACATTCTTGTGTCATTTCCAGCATGAACACTATAAATAAAACTGTTACAAACATTTGCATTCAGATTCTTTTTGTAGATCTATATTTTTATTTTTGGGGGGTTAATATCTGGAAGTGGAATTTTTTGGTCATATGTAAAGCATGTATTTACCTTTGTAGAAAACTGCCAAAATGTTTTTCAAAATGGATGTGCCATTTCACTTCTGTCAGTAAATAAGAGTTCCAGAAGTTCCACATTCTCAACACTTGGTGTTGTCAATCTTTTTAATTTTAGCTATCCTATTGAGTGTGGAATTGTTCTTCACTCTGGTTTCCAATTTGTTTCCCTGGGGGCTAGCGATGTTGAGCATTTTTCATGTTCTTGTTGGCTATTTCTATTTTTTTCCTGAACTTTTTGCCCCACATTTCATTGGGTAGTTTGTCTTATTAAGCCTCAAGAGTTATTTAAGTATTCTGGATACAAACTGTAAATATTTTCTCTAAGTCAGTGGCTTGACTTTACATTTTCTTAACGTTGTCTTTTGAAGAGCAGAAGTTTTCTTTCTTCCCTTTCTCATTCCCTCCCTTCCTTCTTTTATTCCATTCTTCCTTCCTGCCTTGTTTCCTTTCTTTCTTCTGTTTAATTACTTGGGATTTAGAAGATCTTATTATCTTTTAAAAATAGAGATGCTTTGATTTCAGTACATATGACTTTTATTTCTTCAATTAACTTATTGCATTGACAAGACCTCCAATACAATGTTGAATGTGAAAGGTGAGAAGTGTTATCTTTGCTTTGTTTCCAACTTAAGGAGAAACTGCTATATCTTTGAAAGTAAAGTAGGATAGTAACTATAGGTTTATTATACATGTTCTTTATTAGGTTGAGGGAGTTTCCTCCTATCTGTAGTGTGTGGAGATTACTTACCATGAATGAACATTGAATTTTGCTTTTTCTACATCTATTGAGATAATCCTTATTTTTAATTTCTTTATTCTGTTAATAGGGAGAATTACACTGATTTATTCCTGAATGCCAAACTACGCTTGTGGCCATGGAACAAATTTCATTTAGTACTGACAGAAATTTTTATATATCGTTGGATTTGATTTGCAAATATTTTGTTAAAGGTTTAAAATTCTGTATTGATTAGGGATATTGATCTCTAATTGTCTTGTCTGGTAATGTCTGTCTGGTTTTATAATCAAGATAGTGCTGGCTTCATAAAAGGAGTTAGTCATTTTTTATTTACTTTTTCCTTGTAGAAGTGGGAATTAATGAGTCAAAATATGAATATTTTTAAGGCTTTTGATACATATTACCTAATTGCTCTCCAAAAAACCATACCAATTACCTTCCCAGAGTAATATGTATTAATATTTCCCCTATATCTTCTATAACACCAGGAAATAGCATTAAATATTTTTAAATGAAAAATAAAAATTATCTTTTATTAATTTGAATCTCTTTGATCACTAGTGAAGGCAAATATTATTTTATATACTTATTGTAGTCATTTGCATTCTTTTGAGAATTGATATTCACATTCTTTATACATTTTTCTCATGAGTATTTCTTCTTTAATTTTTGATTTAAAAGAGCTCTATTTATACACTAAGCATACTAATCTTATGTACCAAATAGTTTTCCATTGGGTGGTTTGTCTTATTCAGCTTGTTATTTTCCAGCTTGTTATTTTCTTAACTAAAACTTCTAAGAACACAGATAGAAGTAATATAAAAACTATATAGTAAAGTGAAAAGTGGTTTCCACATGTAAGAATCCTTTAAAATAGTTCCAGGAATTCTAACTTAAACATTTGTATTCCTGAATGCAGTGGTGCATTTTTTTCCTTGTGAAAATGTTAGTGAAAGGAGGCAAACAAATTCCTAGTCCGACAGGGACGGTTCCTCAGTGAAACCCGACCTTCAAGCCAAAGACAGCCTCAAGCCTGAAAACTGAGCTTCCAGTTCCGGGTAGAGTCCATGACTGGAGTGAAAACTTCCTCCATGCCTTTTAACCAATCAAAAGGTGATTTTTGCAGGCCCATCTATGGGCCAATCAGCATACACTCCCCCATTCTGAGCCCATGAAAACCCTGGACTCGGTCAAACACGAGGCTACCCACTTTCAGGCCCCCTCTCACACAGAGGGCTACCCACTCTTGGGTCCCCTCTTTGCTGAGAGCTTTCCTTCTGCCACTCAATAAAATTTTTCTCTGCCACACTCACTCTCTTGTGTCTCTGTACCTTATTCTTCTTAGTCATAGGACAAGAACCCAGAAACTGGCTAGCTGTGGGCAGCGGGAATGAGCTGTAACAAGACCCTATTTACTGAGCTGTTGGCGGCGGGAATGAACAAGAGCTGTTAACACTTCCTTGGGGCTCAGACCTCGGGACTCTCCAAGCAAAAGCTGTAATACCCCTAAGGGGCTCCATGGTTGCTGGCATCTCCAAGTTTTTGGGCACTGCCAAATCCCCCTCACCTGGACATCAGCACCCAGCACAGAAGCCACTTGCGGCATGCCTGGACCAGCTGCAGGCTGAGTGCAGAGGCACAGCAGGTGAAGGATCTGGGCCGGTAGAGCTAGCTGAGCGCAGCCTGCTGGGCTGAGCAGGCAAAGCGAATCCAGCGTGCAAAGCCAGTGAAGCCCTGGCAAAGGTACCACCAACCATGAAGATTTCCAGCTGGTGAAGTGGCACCAAAAGAAATCTGTGTCAAAAATAGCAATGAGTAAACTTTGAGAAAGGTGATATTAAGACTCTTTCCTTATAGGCCCTGGCCACAGATACTTTGTTAAGGAGACAAGATTTATCTTTGGCAGCCTCACTCCTGGTCCACCCTTTATCTTCCCAGTCTTTTTATATCTGTCTCCTATTTCAGGAAGTATCATGGTTCACCCGCAGCTCACTACCTTCTACTCTTCATGTAGCAGCTATGTACACTGGCCTAGCATGTACAGTCATTGCCTTCTTCACTCTTGTTACTCCCATGGCTGCTCATACTCAAATGTATTGGTCTTCCATCACACTGTTTTATGTTCCAGGGTTCATGTACAATAAATGACTCTAGGTGAACATGTTGAATGGAAATTTTCTTGCAAGTATCATTTATTTTTCCCAGTTACCCTGTCATATGGTTTGGATCTATGTTTTCATTCAAATCTCTTTGAAATATAATCCCCAATGTTAAAGGTGGGGCAGGAACCAAGCAGATATTGACATCATGTTTCCTGTACAGCCTGCAGAACTGTGAGCCAATTAAACCTCTTTTCTTTATAAATCACCCAGCCTCAGGGACTTCTGTACAGCAGTGCAAGAATGGGCTAACACACCATGGCAAGATGCCCCAGAAGTAGAATGGTATTGATACAGGAGTGCTGGGAAGGGAACAGTGTGGTCCCTTTAAATGATGCAGAAGTGGGGAAGGGAAGTGCTGGGTAGAGAAGGGCGTGGTCCCTGGCTAGGGCTCTACCCCCATAGACCTTGAGGAGAGGACAGGCACTTTTGCCTTCCTGCCCAAATGTTGCATTTTCCAAGACCACCCTAGCCTGCCACACCCCCATCCTGGACCTATACAAACCTGAGACCCTAGCAAGGCAGAGACAGAAGCTACTGAATGGCAAGAGGAACACATCGACAGAAGACACAAACGGCTGATTGTCAAGAGCACGCCGGTGGAAGAGCATGCCAACAAGCACCAGCAGGCCAGCAGGCCACTGACTGATGGAATGACCGCAGTTTGGCCGGAGCAACTGGAGAAGAGTCGGGCCACCAAGTGGCCCAACTCCAAGGGAAAACAATCTCCCTTTTGGCTCTCCCATCAGCTGAGAGCTATTTCCACTCAATAAAACCTTGCACTCATTCTCCAAGCCTAAATGTAATCTGATTCTTCAGGTACACCAAGGCAAGAAATGCTGGGATACAGAAAGCCCTCTGTCCTTGTGACAAGGTAGAGGGGCTAACTGAGCTGGTTAACACAAGCCACCTATAGATGGCAAACTAAAAGAGCACCCTGTAACACACGCCCACTGGGGCTTGAGGAGCTGTAAATATTCACCCCAGACACTGCCGTGGGGTCAGAACCCCACAGCCTGCCCATCTGTATGCTCCCCTAGAGGTTTGAGCAGTGGAGCACTGAAGAAGCGAGTCACACCCCCATCACACGCCCTGCGAGGAGGACAAGGGAACCTCTCCCATTTCAGTATCCTTGACAGCGTATTGGACTTAGCATCAGAAAGTCCGAGTTTCAGTATTAGGGCTCCTAACACATCCTTGTGATTTTGGATAAGTCGTTTAGACTCTCTGGGTAGCAGTTTTTGATTCATAAAGCAGGAAACATACTATCTGTCTTGCCTGCTTTATAGGTTTGTTGGAAACATAAGATAATGTGAACAAAATTTGTTATCAAAAAAATTGGGATGGAATTATTACCTCATGAAGGCTGATGGAGCTGTCTTCCCTGTCTTTCAGTATCCTTCCTTAATATTCTAAGAGTTTGAGAATACACCAGGGCCAAGACCAAGCAAAAGTATTTAGAATCACTCAGAGGTTTACACTACTGACTTTTGATAACCTTAAAATCTGGGTTGAATACGTCGGTGATTACCAACTTTCTAAGAGATATTTTTTCGCCATAGCTAGTACTAATTTCTTGCTGACAGAGTATATCCACAGAATCCACCTGCACATTTACAAGAGATTTTCCTCTCCAGATCAGGCTTCTGGCAAAGTGGGAAAGTATCCTGTTATAAAACTTCTTTTGCTTCTCTTAGATAATGACTGTGAACAAAAGTCAAGAGAAAGAATCTCCAACATGGAATTTTAGAGTACTGTAAATCAGATGGACTTACCTATGGACAAATGTCCACAGAGGTTAGTTAATTAGAGCTAAGATCACTCTCTGGTTATTTGAAGGAAGCCATTGGTCTATAAGCAGAACTCAAATCTTTACATGTTACTTATACTGATAATTGAATTCTGCTCTGACCTGCCCTACCTGGCCAACTGTATGAGAGGTGGAGCATCATAGTAGCTGCTTTGCAATATAATCTCACCATTCTGGGATTAGTCCAGAGCTGCCCAACCCAAATCACTTTGGGAGCTACATTCTAAATTTCTTCTGACATGAATACTTATTGCCTCATTTATGATGTGAGCTTAGCTTTCATCTTTGATGAAGTACTTTTTCTTTTGTTCCCTTCCTATGATAAAATCCTTACTTCTGGCTACGCTGTTTCAGGTAGCCTGGAGTAAATATTTACTCCTATGTCCTGGGCCCCAGTACCACCTACTTTGGTATAAGTCCTTGTGATCACTACTCCCATTGAATTCACATAGCCTTGTGATAGAGATCTGGGTACAAGCCTATGTGTAAAGGGTGTATTTTTTCCCTAAATGTTAGGTATACCATACAAATAGAATACAGATGAAATGTGTAAGTTAAATGCACAGGTGCAGATATACGTGCGAAAAATACTATTAAAAAATCACCCAAGTAACTATTATCTGGCTAAAGAAATAAGACATTGCTAATATCCCAGAAGCCTTCCCCAATACAGTCCCATTCCTCCCCAAGACATACCAATCCCTTGCCTAGTGTGACAGCTTCCTTCCTTTTCTTTACAGTTCAGGTCAGCAGTCAGTAAACCTTTTCTGAAAAGGACCAGATAGTAAATATTTTAGACTTTAAGGACTGCATATGGTTTCTGTCTCATTTTCTTTGTGTGTCTTTTTTTTCTCATTTTTTGAAAACAACTCTGTAGACCGTAGTTTGCTAATCTCTTGTTTAGACCCTCAAACAATAGTGGTTTTGTTTTCCTGCTTCTTTTCTTTGAAATTTATATAAATGGAATGAGAATTGGATTTTTTTCAACAGTCATCTGTATCTGCACTTCATTTATTTTCATTGCCGTATAGCATTCTATTGACGGAATTGACCAATAGTTCTCCATCTATTCTATAATGTGGTTTTGGGTTGTTTAAAAGGTTTTGCTTCTACAAAAATGTTACTAGGAACATTTTTATATGTACCCTGGGGCTCATGTGCAAATGTATCTGGGGTATATACTTTGGAGTAGAATTGCTGAGTCAACTGTTCGCTTTACCAAACACTATTTTCTGACAAAGTAGTAAAGTTTCTGCTCTCAGTATTGGAGTTCCCAATGTCCCACATCCTCAGCAGCACTTGGGATTGACAACAAATGGTTTTAATCTTTGTCAGTGTTTCTAATTTGCATTTTTCTAATTTTTAGTTGTGATTTTTATTTTTATTTTTCTGAATGCTAGTGATATCAAGCACAGTTTGGTCATTTGGATTTTCTGTTTTAGGATGTGGCTATTCGAAATCTTTTGTCATATTTTTCTTGGGCAGTGACAGGGCTCAGAACACACTATCCCAAAATATGGCACCTTGGCATACGGAATGTTTTAAGTTTAAGGAAACTGAGAAAACCCACAGAATCAGGAAGGTCTCTCTGACCTTCTCTCATCTTTTCTCCTGAAACAGGCCATAAAACCTTGCTGACCTTCCCCTGAAGTATGTCATAAAACTCATTCCAGAGGGTTTCTCTCTGTGCCCCAAGGAAAGGAATGTCCTTATCTCAGAAGACACAGAGACCCAGAGAAGAATCTGAACAAACAAGCCTTGCTAAATTCCCCCAGTTTATTACCATTAGCTCATACCCCCTTTGTCAAATCATATTTCTCCACAACTATCCACTTCTGCATCAAATACACAGATCTCTCTGCTTCTTTGGGTCTTCCTTTTCTTAGGAAGTTTCTCATATCAGGTACACTTATTAAATAAATTTATATGCATTTTTTTCTTGTTCTCTGTTGGTTTTATTTTCAGATCCAGCCAGGGACCCTAAGCAGGTTGACAGGTTGAGGAAGACCTTCCTTCTCTATATCAGTCTGTTGATATTGATTTGCAGAATTTTTAAATATATTCCAGTTAACAGACTTTCTGGATTTGTGTATTCAGGATAACTCCCGCCTGTTTGTGGCTTGTCTCCTCATTCTTCATGTTATCTTTGAGTAGATGTTATCAATTGTAATTCGGTGGAATTTATTAAAACTTCCCTACATGATTACTTATTTCTGATTCTTATTTTAAAATTGAGGACGGATGAGTTTTGAAAGCAGCTATAGCCAAAAAGTTTGGTTAGAAGACCCATGGAAAAGGGGCAGGGAAACCACCTTCTCTGTGTTTTGATCCCGTGTCGTTGTGGCCACAGGCTCACCTCTGGCTCACCATCTCAACAGGCACGCCAGCAAAGGCTTGCTGATACAAGACGGCAGCATCATCACGCTCTTCAGCTAATGCCACTCTGAGTGTGTTGTGCTTCCCGTCCATCCCTCCTTCTTAAAGCTCTCTCACAGTGGTCTGCTAGTCCTTCACTAACCTTCACATCATGCGTCAAAGATCTTCATTGGGAGTCTTAAGACTGTCTGACAGTTTTCATCTTCTTTTTCCTTAGTTTCTCAATCCAGTGAACCTGTTTACTCTCTCTCAAGTTGACATTGTTGATCAATGCAGCTCTCCTCTTTCTTGGCTTCTAGTATGCCTGATTTTTCGCCTATGTTCCTTTTTTAAAAATATTTATTTATTTTGAGATGGAGTCTCGCCCTGTCACCCAGGCTGGAGTGCAGTGGCACCATCTCGGCTCACTGCAACTTCCGCTTCTGGGTTCAAGCCATTCTCCTGCCTCAGCCTCCCTAGTAGCTGGGACTACAGTCACCTGCCACCACGCCCAGATAATTTATTTTTAGTAGAGACAGGGTTTCACCATATTGGTCAGGCTGGTCTCGAATTCCTGACTGCGTGTTCTGCCCGCCTCAGCCTCCCAAAGTGCTAGGATTACAGGTGTGAGCCACCACGCCCAGCCTTTCCTATGTTCTTCTTAGTGTTTCCTCCCCTCCTTATTTGCCAATCTTAAAATCAGTAGTTCTTTACCTTTTAGGGATTCCCGAACTTCTTTAAAAAGCTTTTCTTTTCCTCAGAAAAATTGATATATGTAAATAAATACTATTTTCCATAACATTTCAGAGGGTACGCTTCCTTGACTTCATTTGATCCTCACAACTGTCTTGTGAGAAAAATAGACAAGGTTAATCTTTGATATTATACCCATTTCATAGGTGGAATCAAGGTACAGGGAGTTTAAATGATACAATGACGAGACGGCAAACAGTATGGAATGAGGTAGACCAAGCTCAGTCAATAATCGAATGTTGTGATTGTGACTAATTACGAAAGTGTGCAACAAATTAGTTGATAAAGTCTTTGCAGTGATGGTGGCAATTAAAATAATTTTAGGCCAAGCATGGTGGCTCACGCCTGTAATCCCAGCACTTTGGGAGGCTGAGGCAGGGGGGGTCACCTGAGGTCAGGAGTTTTGAGACCAGCCTGGCCAACATGGTGAAAACCCATCTCTACTAAAAATACAAAAATTTGCTGGGCTTGGTGGCAGCCGCCTGTAATCCCAGCTACTCGAGAGTCTGAGGCAGGAGCATCGCTTCAATCTGGGAGGTAAATGTTGCAGTGAGCCGAGATAACACCACTGCACGCCAGTCTGGGCAACAGAGCAAGACTCCTTCTCAAAAAATAATAACTTTAATTTTAATTGCCCTCAAGACAAATGAATGTGATTCCTGGGGCAAAAGATCAACCTTCACACCATATTGGTCTTTTCATCACATTACGTTTGGTCATTTTGAATTTTTTTCTGAAAATTTTTGCATATTATCTTAAGATTCCTTTACTTATAGAACCAACCTATCTCATGCCTGTTCAAATATTATATTTCTTAGGTTAATCAAAATAGCATATTTTAGGAGAAAATATTTTAGTCAGATGCAGAAAGATTCAGATTGTCTTTCACTCCGTCACTCATTCCCTCATTCATTTACTGTTATAGCAATTTGTTTACTTGAATTATTTTTATATATGATATTATTATTAATTAACTAGCATTAAAATACTGTAGGCTGGGCACAGTGACTCACGCCCATAATCCCAGTGTGTCCAGAGTTTGTTCCTTCTGGCTGGTTCGTGGTCTCGCTGACTTCAGGAATGAAACCTCAGACCTACATGGGGAGTGTTACAGCTCTTAAAGGTGGTGCGGACCCAAAGGTGAGCAGCAGCAGGATTTATTGTGAAGAGCAAAAGAACAAAGCTTCCACAGCTTAGAACCAGACCTGACCCAGTTGCTGCTGCTGGCTGGGGTGGCCAGCTTTTATTCTCTTATTTGTCCCAGCCCATGTCCTGCTGATTGGTCCATTTTACAGAGTGCTGATTGGCACATTTTACAGAGCACTGATTGGTCCATTTTACAGGGTGCTGATTGGTCCATTTTACAAACCTCTAGCTAGTCACAGAGCGCTGATTGGTGTGTTTTTACAGAGTGCTGATTGGCACACTTTACAAACCTCTAGCTAGCCACAGAGCATTGATTGGCACGTTTTACAATCCTAGCTACAGAGCGCCGATTGGTGAATTTTACGATCCTCTTGTAAGACAAAAAAGTTCTCCAAGTCCCCACCCGACCCAGAAGTCCAGCTGGCTTCACCTCTCACCAGCACTTTGAAAGGCCAAGAAGAAAGGATTGCTCGAGGCCAGGATTTCGAGACCAACCTGGGCAACATAGCTAGACCCCTGGCTCTACAAAAGATTAAAAAATAAAAGTAAGCCAGATGTGGTGGCTTGCACTTGTAGTCCCAGCTACTCAGGAGGCTGCTGCAGGAGGACTGCTTAAGCCTGGGAAGTTGAGAATGCAGGAGCCATGATCACACTATTGCACTCCAGCCTGGGCAACAGAGTGAAACCCTGTCTCTAAGAAAATAAAATCAAAGCTGTGGAAAAAAAAAAAAAAAGAAAACTTCTCAAGGTTAAATGTATATAGACAAAGTGAAAGAACATTTAAACAAGGACCTTAATATAATAAATTTCACTGGGATCATAAAATCTTGAGGACCAGTAAATGAAATTCCCCCAGGAAATCTGTGTTATGGTTTATAAATTACTTTCTAATCTATTTACTTTTACTTTTATTTGAGATTTTAAATTTTGGTACAGAGATGTTTCTCTTTGAGGATTGTGATAAAGCAATCAGAGAACTGGGAAGTTTCTGGCAGTGGGACAGGGTTTAGATTATAAAAGTGAAGAAGGCTGGATGCTTTCTGTTGAAATAGACTGTTAAGAACTTTGTCAAAGAATGAACCCTTACTGTAACCCACACCTCATTTGTCACCCTGATGGGCTGAGGAAAAGTGACATTTACAAACTGAGAATGAAAGCACATCCATTTCACCAGTCTGACACCCTGATATAATAACTATTTACCTTGAGAAAGAGGCACTGAGATTTCCGATTCTTGTGAATCTTCTCACTTTGGCACTTATTTTCTCACTCTGTCAAACAGCCCCAGATTAATGGAACAATTTGTTCAACAAATCATATTAGTAGAATGTGCACAGGGTAGAGAGAGAGAGGTGGGGGAGCAGAAGATTTTTACTCATTCATAGCAGTGGTATCTCTGCAAATAAAAATGTAGTTATGCCTGACATTTACAGAGGGACAATGTGAAAGGGAAAGGGTGTAATGACTTCGGGCAGTGGAGAGATCACTTTGTAAGAACAGTAGTGCTCAAAGGGGAATAAGATAAAGTTACACGTAACATCTAGATTGAGCTTCTTTCTAGAGCATATTTGTCAAATACAGCAAGATCTGCCTTTGTAAAAAAAAAAAAAGTTTTCCATTAAAATTAAGCATCTTGTTTTCTGTGGTATACAGACATGTTCCTTTTAAGCCCACACCTGGGGAACCTCAAAGAATTCCAAGAACATCTTACTACAAAAGGGACAATTCAGGTCCTCAGAACAGATCGCAGGTATGGGACGTGTGATAACTATGTGATTAGGACTGAGATTGTTAATTCTGCTAGGTATTCAATTCACATTACACAGGCAAATAAAATAAAGTAATCGGCACAGCCTCAACATTGTTTGTTTCATGTCTTTGTGCCAGAAGTTTGAATGAATATTTAGAATATAGAGAGCTAATAAATATCATCTACAACAAATCATGTTTATTTAACTATGCTTCTAACCTATTACTTCTCTTCACACATGCAAAAAAATACAACATAATACCACATTTTTCACTAACTTTTGAAGGACACTCAAAGTTGACTGTGAGGTTCATCTTTTTGTGTTAGGGTTGTCACACTGCTATTATACCTTACATCCACAACAGAAATTGACACTCACTTGTCCCCTATATCTGTATCCTGTGGCCTTGGGTGTCAAGGGAAAATATTGCTTTGCACTGTTGTACTGCTTTGATTTCTCTTTCCTTTCTCATCTTCTTTTTCTTTCTTTTTCTTTAAGATTTTTACATATTTTTGAGCCACAGGAGAGAACCCAAACACCTCTCGACACAAAATTAGTTCCTGGAAATTCCTAATTAACATGGAGAGAATATTTTCTCTTTACTGGAATGGAACTTTCTACTGGGAAATGCTTTTTTATCCCAAGTTTATTCTAGAAATATTTTAGTGTAAAAGTGACCTGTTTGAATCATTAAGGAGTAATGACAGCTCAACAAAAGATTCATTTCCAGTCCTGCTTCAATGGTAAAAAACAACAGGAAGCCTCCTTCCATATTGCTGATATGACTGCCTCCAAAAACATTAAAAGGCATCTATACTTTTAGGTATTTATTCTATAGAAAAACATTCTGTTTCAGAGAGTTTAGGCCATTCTGACTGCTTTTTTTTTTTTTGGCCCCACTTTTCATGTAGAAAATATTTTGCCAAGATATTGCATGTACTTTTTGGAAATTTGGGGACCTAATGTTCCAAAAAAAATATGTTCATGTTAGAACATTTTAAATTTATACAGATGATAGAAAATCTCTCTTCTAAGTGCATAAGTGTGTATATATAGTGTGTGTCGTTTATATATATACTACATACATACATATATACATCTGTGCATATGGATATATCTATGTATCTCTCCATCTCTCTAGGATATAAGGTCAGAGATGACTGTCCCATGTCACCTCAAATAAGTGCTGATGGCCAGGTGCAGTGGCTCATGCCTGTAATCCCAGCACTTTGGGAGCCTGAGGCAGTTGATCACTTGAGGCCAAGAGTTCGAGATCAGCCTGGCCAACACAGCAAAACCCTGTTTATTCTAAAAACACACACAAAAATAGCCAGGCCTGGTGGCTCATGCCTGTAATCCCAGCTACTTGGGAGGATGAGGCAGGAGAATCACTTGAACACAGGAGGTGGAGTTTGTAATGAACTGAGATCATGCCCCTACACTCCAGCCTGGGCAACAGAGCCAGACTGTCTCAAAAATAAATAAATAAATAATAAATAAATAAGTGCAGATGTATTTTAGGGATACATGTGAGCTAGAATTTGTAGTAGAAAGCCCTCAGGGGCATAGAAAACTCTATATTTTTATCATGGTTATAGTCATGTGATTTGTCTATTCTGACAGACTATTCCTAATCCTTGTAGAAATTAGGGTAACTTAACACAATGGAAGTTCCACTCAAGAATCAATGCAGATATCTGATAGTGGCAGGAGGCAGACAAATGCCCCTGCAGATAGAGGTGGGTCTCCGGTGACACCTCACCTCCAAGCCAAAGACAGTTTAAAGCCAGAAAGCCAAGCTACAAGTCAAATCCACAGACCGGATTGAGAACCTGTCTTCCCATTTGGCGTGCTTTTCTCTGATTGAAGCCCCACCCTTCACCTATTTTACATATACCTACCCTTTCCTAATTGGTTTTCTACACACTCCCAGGCACACCTTTGAGTGGTGCTTCTGCTTTAGCCTTTTTCAAATACTCACAAACTAATCAGCAGACACTCCCTTATTCTGAGCCCATAAAAGCCACTTTATGAGCCCATAAAGCTCACACTGAGTGAGCCCATTCAGCCACACTGGGAGAGAAACCACTCAACTACCGGGGGTGGGAGACCACCCTTATGTCCATTCTCTGCTGAGAGCTGTTCCGTCACTGGATAAAATTATTCTCTGCCCTTCTCACCCTTCAATTGACAGCATATCCTCATTCTTCTTGGATGTGGGACAAGAGCTTGAGAACTGCGAAACACAGGTACAAGATATAACACAAGCAAGCTGGGGCTCAGCAGCAGTCTGAGCTGCTGTGCCAGCCAGACTTGGCCCAGGCGAGCTGAATAGACGGGGTGCTCCCTGCTGCAAGCCTGGCAAAGGAGCCAAGAAAAATCCTGCATCATAGCCACGTTGCCAAGAAACATTCCTCCCATGGTGACTCAGGAAACCAGGCTCCTTCCTTCTTGGTGCTTTTTGGTCTCTTAGGGCTTGAGGTCTTTGGTGTCTAGCCTGTGTGAAAGGATAAAGAAAGAGGAGTCACTCCCACACCCTAAAGATTCCAGCCCAGGGGTAACACACACTATTTCTGTGGATGCAAAGAAGACTGGAAAATATTGACCCAGTCTGGGCAGCTGCCTTCCAAGGATGATAACTCATTGTGGAAAAGGAGCTACAAAGCAGTCTCTGTCACATAGCGCTGTGGCCCATTGGTTTCCTTGACGCTGTTTCACTTTTTTCTACTCCCCCTTCCACTTGCTCATTGCTCACACTCCTTCATGACTTGGGTTTGTCCTGATTCTTCAGGTGCCTAACTCTGCCTCTCAGTGCCCTCTAAATTTTTTGAGTGTCTACTCTCAATTCTTTGACTCTTCTCTATTTTCCAATTTGAATTTCAGAAGGAGAATCTGATTGTTCTATTTGTCATCTTTTTATCCATGATAGGCTACTCTTTGGAACTGGTGTCTAAATGTCTGGTGTCCACCTTTAGTCTAATTAACTGTGCTTTTATTCATGGAGAGGTGGGAGGGTGGTACTTGAAGTTTTTCTTGGAAAGGACTGTGGCCATCAAGGTTTTACTTGTCTATTATGTTTTCTTTTTATAGTTCTCCCCCGACACACACTTATCACACATCAGATGCAGTGTAATAGAATACTAAATCCTTGTCATAGACTAAAAAGAGACAACATTCCAAGAAATGTTAAGGAAGCACTTAACCATGTGGATTTCTTTATTGGATTCCTGAAGCTTCTAATTTCTTAAGCTCCACCAATGATTTCACTTACAGATGACAACTAACATTCTTTTCTCCATGTACAGATTTAGCATTTTAGTTTGGGGAATATGATTCCTTTCTTTAGTCTTCAGCCACTTCAGGAAGAATATATCCAAGTTGGAAGAAGAAATTCTGATTTATTGTGGTTTCTTTAAAAAGAAGGAATCATGGCCAGACGCGGTGGCTCACGCCTGTAATCCCAGCACTCTGGGAGACCAGGGTGGGCGAATCGCCTGAGGTCAGGAGTTCCAGACCAGCCTGGCCAACATGGCGAAACTCTGTCTCTACTAAAAATACAAAAATTAGCTAGGTATGGTGGCAAGCGCCTGTAATCCCAGCGACTCAGAAGTCTGAGGCAGGAGAATCACTTGAACCCAGGAAGTGGAGGTTGCAGTGATCTGAGATCATGCCACTGCACTCCAGCCTGGGCAACAGAGTGAGACTCCTTCCCCACCCAAAAAAAAAAAAGAAGGAATCATAGCATCATAGCATTCAACTTGTCTGTGAAATACATTACTGCACATTATGGTTATAATTAGAAGCTTAGTTATTTTGAAATGTCTTATTGATAGGTACCATTGATTGAATGTGTTCTTTCTGTTGGGCAGTGCTTATTGTTTTCAGTCGTCACAATTTTCCCAGATAAATGTTTTAATCTCTTTGTTCAAATGAAGAGGTAGTAGTGGTTCAAAGGGATGGTTTTACTTGGTCTAAGACACACAGCTAAATACAGACCCTAAAAGTTAAATTTATGTCTGCCTCAAACTCCTGTTTCTACTATATATTCGTAGCCTCTCAGTTTGGATATCTTACACTATCTTGCTATTTCCCAAGTATTTACTCCAAATAAAGAACAGAATACAATATAAAGTCAACCAATATTCCCTAAGCAAGAGATGCAGTAGCAGCAGTTTCACAAAGACTATCTCATTTATTCCTTTAATAATCCTGGGCAGGAAATTATTAGCAGTCCCATTTTATAGCTAAGAAAACTGAGGCTCTGAGGATTAAGTAACTTGCTTGGGCCACAATCTGTAAGTGGCACTATCAGGACTTGAATAGTGATCTGGCACTAATTCTGGAGCTCTTCCTACCTCCAATTTTTTATTAGTTAATAAAAATAATTCAGAGAGACAATAAGTGCCTTGCATTAGCATACCACAGTCATAACCCCTCAGGTAGTGCTCCATATATGTAATGAACAAATTAATGGATTTACCTCCTACATCTGATTGTGAACTAAAATTGTCACTAATTTTTTTTTCCTGCCTTTCCTTCCTGTTTTCCCTTTGATTTGTGATACACATAACTGGAAAGCCTGTTAAAAGATAATTTTCAAAAAACGATAAAATCATGACTCTCATACAGATACAAATATGAAGACATATTAAAGAATGTCTGTTACTGCTATAATACGAAGGAAAGAGGCAGATATCATAACCAGTTCAAAGGAAAAGTCAAAAGAACATAAATGTATATGGAATATACATAAATGTATAAAAGAATGTTGAGATGAATTGTAAATGGAGACGAAACTTTTCCACCAGGGAGGTGGTGGTGTTCGGTTAACTATATCCTAGAAAGGACACTGCTATCAGTTACCTATAATTTACAGAGTTACCAAATAGCTCAAAGACGGTGAACAAACAGGGCTAGAACTGGGCAGCCAGACAGGTGTGCTATAGATGATGAATATTTTTCCATTGAGACATTTGTATTTTAAAAGGCCCTTACTGTAGTAGAGAAGCTCATTTAGAGTATTACATGCAGTAGATGATAGACAGGTTGTTTGAAATAAACATAATAGGACTAGTCCAATATATAATAGATGTATGAATGAATGGGATGTTCTTTTCTATGCTATTTCCGTATTCTGTGTAAATGATCAGTAACGAACATCCTTGTAGAGCTGGCAAACACACAGAAGCAGCCAACATAGAGAGAATGGGCTTGAAATGCTGCTACCCTGAAGAAAAAAAAATACACATATATCAGCTCATCCTGGTTCCGGCCTGGGGCATGGGTGGGGGGTAAAGGATTAGAGTCCCTTGGTCCTGGTCTGCCATACATAAAGAGTCTCAAATTTATACTGAAAACGTCAGTGACCTCCAAATGAGGTTACACGGTCTCAGCTATACACTCAACGGAATGAAGAAAGAAAAAACACATCACGCAACTTTCAACATGTGTCTCATTTCCAACCACAATTGCTTGGAATTTAAAGCTGGCATTTTTAAAAATCCTGCTAGTAAATAGCAAAATTATATTTATGTGTGTCCCTCGTGTATGTATATTAAGCACATTAATTTGTACAACATGACACTTCTTGCTTCCACATTTCATTTTTCTTTTTGTAACTTATTAACCAGGAGGCTCATAAACGCAAGTGGCCTTGACTCTCCCAGAACTGAGAGGACCTGCCCTGGCCCGAAGCCAAAGGCATTTTCCCCAGCAAATAGCTGGACTTAGGATCCGTTTAACAAAGCTCCTTTAAAAGTCCTTTGGAGTGCGCCGGCCGGTGACACCCAAGAGGCGACCCCTCCGCCCTTCCGCTTTTGGAGGGTGGGCGGCCGGGGGTGGGGGTCACAGTGGCCAGCGTCCCCGGAGGGCGCCGGCTTCCAGGTGCGGGTGGGGCTGCGCGCCCCGCCGGGCCCGGAGAACTTTCACTGGGCGTCCGCGGCGCGCAGACAATGGGCCGGGGAAGCGCCTTATCGCGGCGCGCAGGCCTTCCCCGAGCGCGGCGGGAGGCGGCGGCGCTTCCGCGGGCCCAGGGCCGCCAGTCCCCCGTCCCCCGGTCGCCCGCCGCCCCCTGGCCAGGCCCCGCCGCCGCCGCCCGCTGCTTCCTCCCGCTCTTCCTCCCTGCGACCTCGCGGCCTCCTGGCGAGGCGCGGCCGGCGGAAAAGCTTGGTGGGGTGGCCGCGGCAGCGACACGCGCGGCCGGCCCCGGGAAAACAAAGGGGGGATGTGTGTGGCCAAGAGTCCGGAAATGGGGCGCCGGTGGGGGCCGGGGCGGCGCAGCTCTGCCTCCTGGAGCCTATTGTTTGCCGGGTGCACATGCACACGCGCTTAACAAGAAATTAACACATCCTGCCGCCGCTTATCTATCCATCGATGGCCAAACAGACGGCGCAGTCACTTTGCACGGAGAGGGCTTTTAATGTAATGACCAGGCCGGAGAAGAATATCTCAAGCCCTTCGTAGAAGTTCCTCTTTGTTTCCGTACGGCCCTTGATACCATTTGTGATTCTCAAGCTACTATGACAGCTTCTTAAAAAATGTATTACTTTTTTTTGGTAGGGGGCGTCTTTGAATTTCTTAAAAGGGGGCATTCTGAAGATCCCTTGCCTAACAGATTTTTTTTTCGTCTTTTTGGTACTAATTCTAAAATGATGTAGTTTTATAGTGTGCCAGGCACTATTCTAAGAGTTTCAACTGTATGAACTCTTTACGCTCCTTAACAACCCTGTGAGTTCCGTGGTATTTTTATCTTCATTTTCTAGATGAGGAAAGGAGGACATAAAAGAAACCACGCTGGTAGAGAGGTAGTAAATGAGGCAGCCCAGATCAGAATCCTGGCTTGCCAGCTTGAGTCCATACTCTGAAATGAGGCCTTCCAACTTATTTTTTCACCTCTGGGTTGCCATGATTTGGGTTTTAATTTAATTTTTTTTTGATCACTGAAGTGCAGGACGTTTGTCTAGCCCTTGCTGTTCCTGAACGGGTTATCTAGGGAAGCTTGTAACCGAGCCGAATTTCATAGATCAGAGGAGCAAATGACTTCATTACGCATATGCTTTGCTGTATTAATGACTGTCTGCACGATTTAGGATTTAGGCTGTCTCTGGGTTTTTGATGAAGGGCTGTGGAATTGAAGTGGAATTTGTCGTTTCTATGAAAGGGACATGTTGTCATGTCTATGGCAAGTATTCAAGCAAAATGAGCACCAATAAATTTGAAACCGATTAATCAACCTGGACAATAAGCCAGAATTTCCATTTTCTGGAAATTTTCATCCAAGTTGGGTGAATGTGGCCTAAATTACCCTTTAATGAATGATTGGGTCTCTTTTGTGTAAAGCTGGGCCCTGTGTGCTGTTCTAGAGAAATGCCAACCCAATCTCCTACATTATTCAAACCCCCCGCCCCCCAACCCCAGCAGGTGAGGTCACCCCAGTTAACTCATGCTGAATTCTCAGTAAGGTCCAAATGCTCTTTGGGGACAGAGGATGCACGGATGAATAAGACACTCTTCGTACCTAAAGCAGTAACTCACTGAAAGACAATGACCAATAACTAAAATTCGATTTGATAAGTGCTATATAATATGGGGGAAGAATACACATGAGAAATCTCATATGTGTACTTTCACCTTGGGGTCAGATTACTACAGAGAGGTTCAAATGTTGGCTGGGCGTGGTGGCTCATGCCTGTAATACCAGCACTTTGGGAGGCCGAGGTGGGTGGATCATTTGAAGTCAGGAGTTCCACACCAGGCTGGCCAACATGGTGAAACCACATTTCTACAAAACATACAAAAATTAGCCAGGTTGTTGTGGCGTGTGCCTGTGATCCTAGCATCCGGTGGAGGCTGAGGCATGAGAATCACTTGAACCCGGGAGGTGGAGGTTTCAGTGAGCCGAGATCCCACCACTGCACTCCAGCCTGGGCAACAGAGTGAGACTCTGTCTCAAAAAGAAAAAAAAAAAAGGAGAGGTTTAAATGCTTCGAAACACTCTTGTCTTTTACAAAGGAGCTAAGAAATCATTTGTTTAACAAATGTTTATTGAACCCCATTTTTGTGGCAGGTACTGTTTTATTTTCTTTTCTCCCCCGAGACGGAGTCTTGTTCTGTTGCCCAGGCTGGAGTGCAGTGGCGTGATCTCAGCTCACTCTGTCTCCCGGGTTCAAGTGATTCTCCTGCCTCAGCCTCCTAAGTAGGCTGGGATTACAGGCGCCCACCACCACACCAGTGTACTACCCAGTGTACTCTTCTACTCTTGCTTACAGTAGAGGAGACATCTGTCTTGCATGTAGGATAATTCCATCCCTTCCCACCACCCACCCCAAAGATCCACTTGATGACATCTTGGACACTCAAAGCCATCTTAAATTCTACATGCCTAAAATGTACCTCGTAACTATCCCTCCTACATCTGATTATCCTGCATTTTTCCCACTCTCAGGAATGACCTTGCCTTTCATCTGGATGTACTCACAAGCATGGTGGAAGGCAAGGAGGAGCAAGTCACACCTTACATAGATGGCAGCAGACAAAGAGAGAACTCGTGTAGGGAAACTCCCATTTTTAAAACCACCAGATCTCATGAGACTTATTCACCAACATGAGAACAGCATGGGAAAGACCTGCCCCCATGATTCAATTACCTTGCACCGGGTCTTTCCCACAACACATAGGAATTCAAGATGAGATTTAGGTGGGGAAATAGTCAAATCGTATCACCCATGTTTCAGGGAAGTAATAAAAGGAAAGAGCTGTTGTAAAAGTATAAGGAATGGAGTCCAAGGAAGTAAGAAACAGTCAAAGTCAAAGTGGTTACACTTGAAATGGAGAAAGATCATGTGTAATGGTTAGAGAGAACATGGCTAAATTAGTAAGCCAGTGATGGCTTGGGCCAGGGATGGTCAATGACGGGAGTGAATGAAGTGAAGTAGAAAGGAGGTCATTGGAGATGAACAGCTTACGATGTTGAGTGCTCAGACTCTTGGATAGTCTTCCACACACAGACTGGATTAACTCAAGATGACAGCAGGACTGGCAATGAAAAGGAAGACTGCCAGTCATGTGCTGTTATTTTTGAAGACAGGGAGTGGCGAACAGGTCTCTCAGTGGCAGCAGCAAATAGGGAGGAATGCGGCATAAGGAAAAGGCAGGATATTCAAGAAAGGGGGGCGTAAGGCAGATGAATGATAAGTTGAAAACATTTTATCTCTTCTGCTGCCCTCTTCCTGCCTCCACCAGATTCTGTCCCTGAGAAAATCAATAACATATGTAAATATTTGCATCTTTGAAGTATTTCAGGAAAAATTTTTCGTCATCATTTTTTGAATTTCAAGTTTTATTTTAGCTACAAGGAGGACATGTGAAGGTTTGTTACATGGGTATATCGCACCCAGGTAGTGAGCCTAGTACCCATTAGGTAGCTTTTCAACCCCCCTCCCACCTCTAGTATTCCATAGTGTCTATTTTCCCCATGTTTATGTCCATGTGTGCACAATGATTAGCTCTCACTTGTAAGTGAGAATGTTCAGTATTTGATTTTCTGTTCTTGCATTAATTCTCTTAGGAATATGGCCTCCAGCTCCATCCATGTTGCTGCAGAGGACATGAGTTCATTTTTTTTTTTTTTTTTTTTTTGACGGAGTCTTGCTCTGTCACCTGGGCTGGAGTGCAGTGATGCGATCTCGGCTCACTGCAAGCTCCACCTCCCAGGTTCACGCCATTCTCCTGCCTCAGCCTCCTGAGTAGCTGGGACTACAGGCACCCACCACCACGCCCAGCTAATTTTTTCTACTTTTCATAGAGACAGGGTTTCACCGTGTTAGCCAGGAGAGTTTTGATCTCTTGACCTCGGGATCCACCCACCTTGGCCTCCCAAAAGTGCTGGGATTACAGGTGTGAGCCACTGCACCTGGCCGAGTTCATTCTTTTTTATGGCTGAGTAGTAATATATCACATCTTCTTTATCCAATCCACCATTTATAGGCACCTAGATTGATTCTATGTCTTTGCTATTGTGAAAAGCATGGTGATGAACGTATGAGTGCATGTGTCTTTTTGGTATAATGATCTATTTTCCTTTATGTGTACACCCAGTAATGGGATTGCTGTGTCCGATGGTGGCTCTGTTTTAATTTCCTTAAGAAATCTCCAAACTGCTTTTCACAGTAGATAAACTAATTTACATTCCCACCAGCATTGCACAAGTGTTCCCTTTTCTCTGTAGCCTCATCAACTCTGTTGTATTTTGACTTTTTAATAATAGCCATTCTGACTGGTATGAGATGGTATCTCATTGTGGTTTTGATTTCCTTTTTTCTGATGATTAGTGATGTTGAACATGTCTTTATATATTTGGTGGTCACTTGTATGTCTTCTTTTGAGATGTGTCTGTTCATATCTTTTGCACATTTTTAATGGGGTTATTTGTTTATTGCTTGTTTAAGTTTCTTATAGATTCTGGATATTAAATCTATACTAGATGGTTTGCGAATTTTTTCTCCCATTCTGTGGTTGTCTGTTTACCCTGTGAATAGTTTTTTTTTTTTTTTTTTTGCTCTGCAGAAGCTCTTTAATTGATTTAGATACCCCTTGTCAATTTTTATTTTTGTTGTAATTGCTTTGAGGGATGTAGCCATAAACTCTTTGCCAAGAAGTGTATTTCCCAGATTTTCTTCTAGGATTTTTTTAGGTCAAGGTCTTTTGTTTAAATCTTTAATTCATCTTGAGTTAATTTTTGTATATGGTGAAAGGTAAGCATCCAGTTCATTCTTCTGCATATGGCTAACCAGTTATCACAGCACCATTGAATAGTGTGTCCTCCCTGCATTGCTTATTGTGGTTGGTCTGTCAAGAAGTATATAGTTGTAGGTGTGTTGCTTTGTTTCTGAGTTTTAAATTTTGTTTCTTTCTTCTATATGTCTGTTTTTGTACCAGTACCATGCTGTTTAGATTACTGTAGCCTTATAGTATAGTTTGAAGTCAGGCAATGTGATGCCTCCAGCTTTGTTCTTTTTGCTTAGGATATCTTTGGTTATTCGGGTTCTTCTTTGGTTCCATATGAATTTCAGAGTAGTTTTTTTTTTTCTTTTTCTAATTCCATGAGGAATCATATTGGTAGTTTGATAGCAGTAGCATTGAATCTGTAAAATTGTTTTGGGCAGCATGACTATTTTAATGACATTGATTCTTCCAATCCATTAGCATGGAATGTTTTTCTAATTATTTGTGTCATCTCTGATTTCTTTCAGCAATATTTAGTAGAGTTTTCATCTCCTTGGTGAGCTGTATTACTAGGTATTTCATTTTCTTTTGGCTACTGTAAATGACATTATGTTCTTGATTTGACTCTCAGCTTGAACGTTATTGATGTATAGAAATACTACTGATTTTTGTTCACTGATTTTGTATCTTGAAACCTTGATAAAGTTATTTATCAGTTCCAGTAATGTTCTGGCAGCATTTTTAGGGTTTCTCTGTATAACATCGTATTGTCAAATGAAGAGAGATAGCTTGACTTCTTCCTTTCCTATTTGAACATCTTTTATTTCTTTCTCTTGCCTGAATGCTCTGGCTAGGACTTCCAATACTTTGTTGAATGGAAGGGGTGAAAGTAGGCATCCTTGTCTTATTCCAGTTTCCAAGTAGAGTGGTTCCAGCTTTTTCCCATTCAGTATGATGTTGGCTTGAAACATAATGAACGTTTCTTCAATGCCTAGTCTGTTGAGGGTTTTCATGAAGAAGGGATGTAGGATTTTATTGAAAGCATTTATCAGTTGAGATGGTCATATGGTTTTTGCTTTTAATTCTGCATATGTGGTGAATCATCTTTATTGATTTGCATATGCTGAACCAACCTTGCATCCTAGGAATAAAGCTTACTTGATTGTGGTGTATTCATTTTTGCTGTGCTGCTGGATTCAGTTTGCTACTATTTTGTTGACGATTCTTATGTCTATGTTCATTGGGGATATTGGCCTAATGTTTGCTTTTTTTCATTGTGTATATGGTGTAAGGTAAGGGTCCAGTTTCATTTTGGTATTAGACTGCTGCTGCCTTCATAGAATGAATTAGGGAAGAGTCCCTTCTCCTTAATTTTTTGGAATTGTTACCAGTTCTCTTTTCTATGTGTGGTAGAATTCGGCTGTGAATCCATCTGATCCAGGGAAATTTTTTGACCGGTAGGATTTTTATTACTGACTCAATTTCAGAAATTGATGTTTGTCTATCCAGGGTTTAAATTTTTTTAAATTCAAACTTGAGAGACTGTGTGTTTCCAGGATTTTACCCATTTCCTCTAGATTTGCTAATGTCTGTGTATAGAATTGTTCATAGTATTCTTTGAGAATCTTTTTTATTTCTCTGGGAACAACCATAATATCATCTTTGCTATTTCTGATTGTAGTTATGTGCATCTTTTCTTTTTCTTTGTTAATCTAGCTAGCAGTCTATCAATCTTGTTTATTTTTTTCAAAGGACTAACTCTTGGTTTCATTGATCTTTTGTATGGATTTTTGCATCTCAATTCTGTTCACTTCTTTGCTAATTTTAGTTATTTCTTTTATTCTGCTAGCTTTGAGGTGTTTTCCTTTTTTTAGTTATTTTATCTACAATTTTAGATTGTTAATTTTAGATCTTTCTAACTTCTTGATGAAGTTAGGGCTATAAGATGTTTAGGGCTATAAAATTTTCTCTTAACAATGCATTAGCTGCATTTGAGATTGCAGTAAAATGTGTCCCTATTTTCATTAATTTCAAATAAGTTTTTATTTCTGCCTTAATTTCAGTGTTTGCCAGGAGTTATTCAGGAGCAAGTTATTTAATTTCCATGTACTTTTGTAGAGAGATCTTCCTGATATTGATTTATATTTTACTGCACTGTGGTCTGAGAGTGTGTTTGGTATGATTTCAATTTTTTTAATTTATTGAGACTTGCTTTATGACTGAGCATGTGGTCAGTCTTAGAATATGTACTGTGTGCAGATGAGAGGAATATATACTCTGTAGTTGCTGGGTGGAGTGTTCTGTAGGTGTCTGTTAGGTCCAGTTGTTCAAGTGTTGAGGTTAAATCCAGTTACTTTGTTTTTTGCCTCAATAATCTGTTTAACACTGTCAGTGGGGTGTTAATCGCTATTGCTGTGGTTGTCTAGGTTTCTTTGTAGGCCAAATAGAACTTGTTTTACGAACGTGGGTGCCCCAATGTTGGCGCTGCATATATTTAAAATAGTTAAGTCTTCTTGTTACATGGTACCCTTTATCATTGTGCAATGGCCTTCATCATCCTTCTTAATTGGTATTGGTTTAAAGTCTACTTTAACTGATATAAGAATTGCAATTCCTGCTCTTTTTTTGTTTTCCATTTGCATGGTAGATCGTTTTTCATCCCTTTACTTTGTGTTTGTGGGTGTCAGTACATGTGAGACAGTTTCCTGAAGATAGCAGATGGTTGAGTGTCTTTTTATCCAGTTTGTCACTTTGTCTTCTAAGTGAGGGTGTTTAGCCATTTACATTCAGGGTCAGTACTGATATGTGAGATTTTCATCCTTTTATTATGATTTTAGCTGGTTATTATGAGACTTGATTGTGTAGTTGAGTTATAGTGCCTGTAGGCTATGTGCTTAAGTTTTTTTTGTGAGTGTGGTAGTCAGTGGTGTTTCGATTACATGTTTAGCACTCTTTTAAGGATTTCTTATAAGCCTGGTCTGGTTGAAGCAAATTTTTTTAGTGCTTGCTCCTCTGAGAATGATTTTATTTCTCCTTCACTTGGGAAGCTTAGTTTCGTGGGATATGAATTTCTTGGTTTGTATTTCTTTTATTTAAGGATTCTGAAAAAATATGTCCCCAGTCTATTCTGGCTTGCAGGGTTTCTGCTGAGAGGTCTGTTGCTAGTGTAATGGATTTCCCTCTGTATGCAACTTGACCCTTCTCTCTAGCTACCTTCGGTTTTTTTTCTTTCACCTTTACCTTGGTAAATCTTATATAATATTAGGCAGAGTTCTCTGTATTTCTTGGATTTGCATGTAAACCTCTCTAGTAAGATTAGGGAAATTTTTGTGGCCTATATTCTGAAATATATTTTCCAAGTTGCTTGTTCTCGCTCCTCTCAGGAATACCAATGAGTTGTAATTTTTTTTACATAATCTCATAATCTTCTCTCCAAGGTTTTGCTCATTTAATTTTTTTTTATCTTACTGAGTTGATTCAAAGAACTTGTCTTTGAGCTCTGAGATTCTTTCCTCGATTTGATCTATTCTCTGTTAATACTTCAGAAAGTAAAGTATAGTATTATGAAATTGTATTCTGCAATTCTTGTGGTGAGATTTTTTCAGCTCTAGAAGTTCAGTGTGGTTCTTTCTTAAAATGACTATTTTGTCTTTCAGCTGTTGGATCATTTTTCCAGATTTCTTGAATTTCTTAAACTGGGTTTCAACTTTTTGCTGAATCTTGATGAGCTTTCTTGACATCCAGATTCTGAATTATATGTCTGTCATTTCAATCATTTCAGACTGGTTAAGAACTATTGCTGAGGAGCTAGTGAACTCATGAGAAGGTAACAGGACACTCTGGCTTTTTTAATTGCCAGAGTTCTTGCTGATTCTTTCTCATCTGGGAGTGCTGGTGCTCCTTCAACTGTGGTATAAATTGCGTATAGTCGGTTGGCTTCATTTCTGCATGCTTTCAGGAGGCCAGGACTCTGTATATGATCTTTATTTGTGGGTGAATTATTGTGCTTAGTTTCACAGGTGTATATATTAGCAGCATAATTTTTGGTATTTTAGTTTGGGCTGTGAGGCAGTAGATGGCAATTAAGAGCAATGGCCAGCAGCTAGGCTAATACACAGCTGCATGCCTCTTTTGTACTTTCTTGTGTTCATAGGCGTGTTCTGTGGTGGGGTGGAGAGACAGATGGCCCTGCCAGGCCTGCTCCTGGGCCTTGAGGGGAACTTCTCTGGTCACTGGTGCCCCATCTGCATTTCTTTTGTGAGAAGTCCCAGGCTGCAGGGTTCCCTAGGGCTGAGGCTGTGGCAGGGAGACAGGCCACACCCTTTGTGGACCAGCCCTGTGGAGGGAGGCATGCTCCATGAACATCCTGGCCCAGGAACCTGCACATCTCACCCCTTCAGTGCTCTGAGAGGCTCCTCCTCTGCTCAAATGCTGGCCACAGATTTGGGCTCAGTACTCCTGAGCTATGAATCACAATCCTGTGGGCAACAGGATGTCCTGTGACTTGGAATCAGGCTCCAATTGCACTGGGAAAACCAATGTGTTCCCTGGTTACCCAAAAAGTACTCTGGTGGAGCTATGCGTCCAGACTGGGCTGTGAGGCTGCTCTATGCACCCGCTCCTACAGGGTGGCTGGGCATGGGCCTTGAGATGGACCAGCAGGCAGAAGGGTTTTCAGAACAGATGTGCCCCAGTCCCACAGGAGAACTGGCCATACTCCCCGTTGGCTCAGTGGTCAGCTGGGGTGACAGCCTTCCAGAGGCAGATGGGGTACCCTGGGGGATTGATGTCTATGACTACACTCTGCCAGAGCTTTTCAGTATACGAAAGCTCCCAAGCTCCACACTGTCCAAACACCTGTCTCTGTTTGCTCCTCAGGGACATCCTAATACCAGCTCACACAACTATGGGGGGTGTGAGGCCCCCTGTATCTAGGATTCCAGAGGTCTTCAGCAAGAGTGAGGTACCCCTCAGTTCCCTAACTCATCTCTTGCCCAGGAGCTGTTAAGGGCCAGGAACTACTAACCCTAGTGTTAAGCGTACCCCACACAGGGTTCCCATCTCCCTCCCTTTCCAGCATGGGCTTCAGCATTACCTCTATCCACTCTCAATGTTTTCTCAAAAGACCTGCCCAAATTACGTTGGTTTGTTTGACAATTTGATCTCTTTTAATGGGAGCAGCACTTTCTGGCTGCATCTAGTCGCCATCTTGTCTTGTGTCTGTCTTCATATTTTATTTTCGAAGACTGACAGACGTCATTGAACGGTTAGTTCTCAAAAGAATTACGTCAATTATGTAAACTGAAGGGACTGACAAACAGCATTGGATAAATACCATAACCTTTGTATTTTATATTAAATGGAAATTTGTAAGTGGGATTTTTGCTTGGAATGTGACTCCTTTCTTACGTTATCAGTTCCATTTCAACAACTTTTCTAATCCTTCAAAATCTCGCCTTCCCGTGAATACATATGAGATACCTCTTTCCCACCATGGCTGCTCATCTCTTAGTCTTGTATCTTGTTATATCTTATTTGTTACATATTCTTGTATTTATTTGTTATATAAAGGAGATCCACATTGTGAATTAATGAACTCAGTGTTATGCCAAATTTTACTATTCATAGCACATTTTTCATGTTTCTGGTAGATATTTTTAAGTAACTTGATATAATAGATTAAAATGTATATATTTCAAAAGAGAAAAGGAAGCAGTAAGAAATAAGATAGAGGAGGGCCTTTGACAAGATGGCGGCAGGAGGCAGTGGCGTTGGTGGGAAGCACAGCTCGAAAAGCGATAACGATTCTGGTTTCCTGGGGCTGCGGCCCATTTCGGCGGACCCAGCGCTGAGGCGGCGGCGGCGGCGAGGCCCAAGAAATAAGAAGTGGGACTGGCGGAGGCTTGCGCAGGAGCCGCTGGGGCTGGAGGTTGACCAGTTCCTGGAAGACGTGCGGCTACAGGGGCGCATGAGCGGTGGCTTGTTGAGAGAGGCCCCAAATGAAAAACTCTTCTTCGTGGACACCGGCTCCAAGGAAAAAGGGCTAAGAAGAGAACCAAAGTCCAGAAGAAGTCACTGCTTCTCAAGAAACCCCTTCGGGTTGACCTCATCCTCGAGACACATCCAAAGTCCCTGCCCCCAAAGACGTCCTCGCCCACCAGGTCCCGAACGCCAAGAAGCTCAGGCGGAAGGAGCAGCTATGGGAGAATCTGGCCAAGCAGGGCGAGCTGCCCCGGGAGGTGCGCAGGGCCCAGGCCCGGCTCCTCAACCCTCCCACAGCCGGGGCCAAGCCCGGGCCCCAGGACACCGTGGAGCGGCCCTTCTACGAACTCTGGGCATCAGACAACCCCCTGGACTGGCCATTGTTTGGCCAGGATGAGTTTTTCCTGGAGCAGACCAAGAAGAAAGGAGTGAAGCGGCCACCACGCCTGCACACCAAGCCGTCCCAGGCACCCGCCGTGGAGGTGGCGCCTGCCGGAGCTTCCTACAACCCGTACTTTGAAGACCACCAGACCCTGCTCTCAGCGGCCCACGAGGTGGAGTTGCAGCGGCAGAAGGAGGCGGAGAAGCTGGAGCGGCAGCTGGCCCTGCCCGCCACAGAGCAGGCCGCCACCCAGGAGTCCACGTTCCAGGTAGCCGTGCGAGGGGCTGCTGGAGGAGTCAGAGGGTCCGGGGGAGCCAGGCCAGGGCGAGGGGCCGGAGGCTGGGGATGCCGAGGTCTGTCCCACGCCCACCCGCCTGGCCGCCACAGAGAAGGAGACGGAGCAGCAGCGGCGGCGGGAGAAGGCTGCGCGCAGGCTGCGGGTACAGCAGGCCGCGTTGCGGACTGCCAGGCTCCGGCCCCGGCACCGGGAGGTGTTCCTGCTGCGCGGGATCAAGGCCCAGGTGGCCCTGAGGCTGGCGGAGCTGGCGCGGCGGCGGAGGCAGCGGCAGGCACGGCGGAAGGCCGAGGCTGACAAGCCCCGAAGGCTGGGGCGGCTCAAGTACCAGGCACCTGACATCGACGTGCAGCTGAGCTCGGAGCTGGCAGACTCGCTCAGGACCCTGAAGCCCGAGGGCGACATCCTTCGAGGCCGGTTCAAGAGCTTCCAGAGGAGGAATATGATCCAGCCTCGACAGAGAGCCAAGTTCAAACCCAGGTACAAGGTGAAGCTGGGGGAGAAGCGGGCGTTCCGCGAGATCCAGTTGTAGCTCCCATCAGAGGCCGGAGCCTCGCCTTTCAATAAAAAGTCCCTTCTAGCTAAAAAAAAAAAAAAAAAAAAAGAGGAGGAAGAATTGCAAATAAAATGGCAGGCATAGTTCTAAGTGCTTTACATATGTATTCACAGTAAACCTTCGAAAATAATACTATTATTGGCTTCATTCACATGAGGAAACTGAGGCTCAGAGAGAAAAGTTAGGCAACTTTTCTGGATTAAATGGTTAAGTGGCAGAAACAAATATAAACTAATAAAATCCAATTTTAGATGCAGTATAACCCTGCTGTCCAGTTATACAGATAGGTAGAATTGGTGAGATTGAGGAATTATCAATAGAAAACAAAGTAAAGAGAATCACAGAGAAAAATAAGGCAGGAGAGGCAGAGAACAAGTTAGACGCCTAGAATATAAGAATAGAACATGTTGGAAAACCTGTAGATTTAGGGATAAGAGAGACCTTGGTTGACATGAAAATTAAATGACTTAGCTGAAGGAAAATTAATTATCCAATTAATGCTTGTTTCTTCCTTTCTTTCTGAATTGTTAGGTGAATTATCCTTGCCATACTATGTACATTTTCTTCCTTGAGGAGAAATCTCCTCATCTCAACTGTATTGTGCTGAGAAATATAGAGCCAGAATGCTAATGCAGAGGTGAATGATCCATTTACAATCTGCACCAAGTGTGCATGCTTTTGTGTTTGTTCATATGCCTCTGTGTGTGTGTGTGTGTGTGCGCGCGCACATGGGTGAGCGTGTGTGTGTTGATGGGATGGGGGGTTATGCTTCCATCCCTTTATTTAGGACAGTTCTTTTCTCAGGTGAAAATATACTGAGTGGATAGAAATCTCCTCTCATTATTTCTGTGTATCATTGCTCTTCTGCCTCAGAGGCTCATCTAGGGATAGAACTGTTGTTGACCAATATTCTTCTTTGAACTCTGCATCTACTTTTGTATGTTTTTGAATACAGCAGTAGGAAAGTGAAGTTGGAAAAACAAAAGTTCATAGTTTTCTGCTTTCATACTCCTAATTTGAGCTCACTAGGTTTTTGTTTTGTTTTTCACTAAATCTGAATTAAACAGAATCGCTAGGTTTTTCTTATTGTTTCACAAGACCTGTACAGCATTAGAGTTAAACACAATCACCAACATTAACTTATTACCCAGTGAAAACGTTTCTGTGTTTAACATTCCAGATAGACATCACCAAGTCCTAGATTGATAGGAAACCTGGGAGTCGTCTGGGCCAACCTCCTGTCTGAGGCTGGATTCCCGAGACTCATCTTGAAAACGTGAAAAAGGACTCGCTATTTTACAAGACAGACCACCTCATCAATAAAGAGTTTCACTTCAAATCCAAGAATGTGAAGAATTTAAAGGGATTTCAGTAGTCATCAAGCATTCCCTATCCTTTTCATAAGATCTCTGGCACTCATCATGCATTCTACTTGAATTTTTTCAATAATAGGACACTCACTAATGTGTGAGACAAGCCTAGTATTTCTATAAGTTTCTCCCATCTCTGAAAACTGTTCTTATGACCTCTTCCCACACCTAAAAATCTCTTCTCTGAAGACCATGTGTTACTCATTTTATTAACCATTTCTCTTTCAATATTGTTTTAAGATCTCTCATTGTCTAAATTGTCATTCTCTGCATGATTTATGTAAGGTATAGAAAAAGGAATTTGGCACAGTAAATACCTCAGGTGTGTTTGACAAATACCACGTAAGAACACGGGATGGAGAGTTAAGGCTCATCTACTCACCAGCTGTACAGCTTTAAAATGATCACTTAGTCACTTTCAAATACAGAGCATTCTTTGGGGTTGTTCTGGGGCACAATTTAGCCAAAACATTCAAGAATATCACTGTTAAGTCTCTCAATATAGATATTCAAGTTTTTAAAACACAGCCAAAATGTGTGTGATTCATTTGTTTGGCTGCTGATGTTGTGTGTTTGGTTTCATTTTGTATTCACTGAAACTGCAGGCTCACATGATACTTCCAGGTAACCAAAGCCTTGGATTTTTTTTTAATTCACCTTTTCAGATTAACATGAAGCAAATTTCACTCTTTTTGATGTGCATTAATAACCACTAACTCAATCAGGATATTAAAGAGTCTGTCACCATCCCCATTCCCCTGTGCCACTCTAGAGTGAACACCCCACCCTCCACCCTCTACCTGGCAGTTCCTGGCAACCACTGATGTATTATTTTCCTGTAAATTTGCCTTTTCTGGAATGTCATATGAATGGAATCATGCAATATGTAGCTTGTGTCCAGGTCTTGGCAACTTTGGTAAAGTTGCTATAACCATTGTGTACACACTTTATGTAAGCATAGATTTTATTTCTTTATGGTAAATGCCACAGAACAGTTGCTAAGTAATATATGCTTAGCTGAATAAAAAACTCAAACTATTCTCCAAAGTGACAGTATCATTCTGCATTCTGCATTCCCACAAGCACATATGAAGAGATATTCTATGTAACTCCTTATTATTATTTTAATATTCATGAGATGAGTGCAATGACCTCTTTTATTCCTGTTGTTGGTAATTTATGTCTTTTCTCTTTTTGTTAGGGTAGGTTGGCAAAAGTTTGATACATTTTGTTGATATTTTCAACGAAACTGCTTTTAGATTTATTTTCTCCATTGTCTTTCTTTTTTTAGTTTTATTGATATCTTCTCTACTGCTTCTTATTTCCTTTTTTAATGCTTTTTCTAGGTTTAGTTTGCTCTTTATTCTTTAACTTCCTGAGGTGGAAGCTTACATTATTGATTTTTAGATATTTCCTTTTTCCTCTTATGTGCTTTTAGCGCTTTACATTTCCCTCTAAGCATTTCTTCCGCTGCTCCCCACAGATTTTGAGAAGCTATACTTTTATTTTCATGTATTTTACAAATATTTTAAAATTTATCTTTAAACTTCTTATTTGACTCATGGGTTATTTAGAATTTTTATTAATATCAAAAGACATGGGGATTTTACAGCTATCTTTCTGTTACTAATTTCTTGTTTGAATCCATTGTGTTCAGAGAATGTATTTTGGTTTCCATTCTTTGATATTTGTCAATGTATGTTTTATGGCTAAAGGTGTGGTCTATTTTCATAAATCTTCTATGTGCTCTCACGATTATGATGTATTCGTCTGTCATTGAATGGAGTGTTCCATAAGTTACAATTAGATCAAATTGATAAGAATGCTGTTCAGGTCTTCTATATCTTTACTAATAATCTGCCTCCTTGATCTACCAATTATTGAGAGATGGGTGTTAAAGTCTACAAATATAAACGTTGAATTCTCTATTTGTCCTCTAAGTTATGTCAGTTTTTGCCTATTACATTTTAATTAACTGTTGTTAGAAGCATAAAAGTTTAGGATTGTTATATCTTCTAGAAGAATTTACCATTTTATCATCATGCAATGTCCCTCTTTATCCCTAATCACATGACTTGTTCTAAAGTACTTGTTCTTTGTTTGAAATTAATATATCTACTCCTACCTTTGTTTGATTAGTGTTAGCATGTTATTTCTTTTTATGTCCTTTTACTTTTTTTTTTAATTTTACTTTAAGTTTTAGGGTACATGTGCACAACGTGCAGGTTTGTTACATATGTATACATGTGCCATGTTGGTGTGCTGCACCCATTAACTCGTCATTTACATTAGGTATATCTCCTAATGCTATCCCTCCCCCCTCCCCCCACCCCACAATAGGCCCCGGTGTGTGGTGTTCCCCTTCCTGTGTCCAAGTGTTCTCATTGTTCAGTTCCCACCTACGAGTGAGAACATGTGGTGTTTGGTTTTTTGTCCTTGCGATAGTTTGCTGAGAATGATGGTTTCCAGCTTCATCCATGTCCCTACAAAGGACATGAACTCATCCTTTTTTATGGCTGCATAGTATTCCATGGTGTATATGTGCCATATTGTCTTAATCCAGTCTATCATTGTTGGACATTTGGGTTGGTTCCAAGTCTTTGTTATTGTGAATAGTGCCGCAATAAACATACATGTGCATGTGTCTTTACAGTAGCATGATTTATAATCCTTTGGGTATATACCCAGTAATGGGATGGCTGGGTCAAATGGTATTTCGAGTTCTAGATCCCTGAGGAATTGCCGCACTGACTTACACAATGGTCGAACTAGTTTACAGTCCCACCAACAGTGTAAAAGTGTTCCTATTTCTCCACATCCTCTCCAGCACCTGTTGTTTCCTGACTTTTTAATGATCACCATTCTGACTGGTGTGAGATGGTATCTCATTGTGGTTTTGATTTGCATTTCTCTGATGGCCAGTGATGATGAGCATTTTTTCATGTGTCTTTTAGCTGCATAAATGTCTTCTTTTGAGAAGTGTCTGTTCATATCCTTCACCCACTTGTTGATGGGGTTGTTTGTTTTTTCTTGTAAATTTGTTTGAGTTCTTTGTGGATTCTGGATATTAGCCCTTTGTGAGATCTAATTAAACTAAAGAGCTTCTGCACAGCCAAAGAAACTACCATCAGAGTGAACAGGCAACCTACAGAACGGGAGAAAATTTTTTTTCTTTTTTGAGACAGAGTCTCGCTCTGTTGCCCAGGCTGGAGTGCAGTGGCGTGATCTCGGCTCACTGCAAGCTCTGCCTTCCAGGTTCACGCCATTCTCCTGCCTCAGCCTCCCGAGTAGTTGGGACTACCGGCGCTCGCCACAACACACGGCTAATTTTTTGTATTTTTTAGTAGAGGCAGGGTTTCACCGTGTTAGCCAGGATGGTCTCGATCTCCTGACTTCGTGATCTGCCCGCTTCGGCCTCCCAAAGTGCTGGGATTACAGGCGTGAGCCACCGTGCCCAGCCTGTCATTTTACTTTTAGCTTATGTGAACTTTTATATTTAGAGTCAGTTTCTAGTAGATACCATATTGTTTTGTTTTGTTTTGTTTAATCCGACTGACAATCTCTTTCTTTTATCTGGTGTGTTTAGACAAATTCACATTTAAAGTGATTATCGATATAGTTGAATTAAAGTTTAACATCTTTTTAACTGTTTTCCATCTGTTACTTTTGTTCTTTGCTTTTTCTTCTTCACTATACCTCTGTGCTTTTCTTGCATTCTCTGGTTTTAATTAAAAAGTTTTTATAATTCCAATTTATCTCATTTCCTGACATATTATCTGCACATTTTTCCCCAACGTTTTAAGTTGTTGCTCTGTAGTTTGTAATTTATATTTTTCACTAATCTAAGTCCACCTTCAAATTAAAATTATATCACTTTACATGTAGTATAGGTACCTATAAAAAGTATTACAATTTTGTTTCTTATTCCTTGTGATGTTGCTGTGATTTATTTTAGTTATCCATATTCTTTAAACACTTAAACACGTTTTTACTATTATTGCTTTAAAGAGCAGTTGGTTGTCTTTTAGATCAATTAAGAAAATAAAATAATTTATTTTACTTTTATTCATTTTCTAACCCTCTTCCTTATTTTTATTTTATGTAGATACAATCTAATCAATATCATTTTTCTCCTACCTGAAGAACATTTCTGTTTTTTAACTTTCTGTGACACATGTCTACTAGTAAGGAATTTCCTCATTTTTTGGTTGCCTGAGAAAGTCTTTATTATTCTTCACTTTTTGAGGATAATTTTACTGGGCATAATTCTAGGTTGGCAGAATATTTTTTTTCTTTTTTCTTTCAACACTTTATATGTTTCACTTTACTTTATTTCTACCTGTATAATTTCTGATGAAAAGTTGCCCAAATTTGTATTGTTGTTCTTCTGTGGGCAAGGTTTTTGCTTCTCTGGTTTTCTTCAAGATTATCACTTTGTCTTTGGTTTTCTACAGTTTAATATCATATGCGTAGGTATGGAGTTTTTGGTGTTTCTCCTTGTTAGTATTCTCTGAACTTCTTAGACCCAAAGTTTGGTGTCTGTCATTAAGTTTTTACAGTTTTTGGCTATTATTTCTTGAAAAATTGTTTTTTCCTGCACTCTCATTTCTTTCTAACATTTCAATTGTACATATGTTACACCTTTTACTATTGTTCTGTAATTCTTAGATGCTCTGTACTGTTTTTATTTCTTTGTGTTTCAGTTTGGAAAGTTTCTATTAATCTATCTTCAAGTTAAATGATTATTTCATGATGGTCAGTTGTACTAATGAGCCTATTAATGGTATTCTTCATTTCTGATGCTGTTTTTAAAATTTCTAGCATCTCTTTTTGATTCTTTCTTAGAGTTGTCATCTAGCTTCTTACATTACTCATCTGGGCTTTTATGTTGCCTAATTTTTCCATTAGATCCTTTAAAATATAATATGAATTAAATGTTTGTCCTCTGTAAAACTTATGATGAAATTTAATTGTCACTGTAGTAGTATTAAGAGGTGGGACCTTTAAGAGATGATCAGGCCATGAGGGCTCCACTCTTGTGGGTGGGTTTAATAACTTATTTCTTAGCTCTTCTGTCTCCTGCTATATGAAAATTCAACATTTCTCTTCTTCAAAGGATGCACCATGCATGGTGCTATCTTGGAAGAAGAGAATGGCCTCACCAGACACTGAGTCTGCTGGAGCTTGACCTTGGGCTTCCCACCCTCCAGAACTGTGAGTCCATAAATTTCTGTTTATAGATTATACAGTCTCAGATATTCTGTTATAGTAACACAAAATTAACAAAGACAACTGTGTTAGGCCATTCTTGCATTGCTATGAAGGAATACCTGAGATTGGTAATTTATTTAAAGAAAAGAAGTTTGATTGGCTTACAGTTCTTCAGGCTGTACAAGCATGGCTCCAGCATCTGCTTCTGCTGAGGGCATCAGGAAGCTTACAATCATGGTGGAAGGTAAAGGGAGAGCAGGCAATGTCACGTAGCTAGAGAGAGAGCTAGAGGTGGGGCGGGGTAGTGCCACACTCTTTTAAACAACCAGATTTTGCATGAACTACCAGAGCAAGGACTCACTCATCACCAAGGGGATGGCACTAAGCCGTTCATGAGGGATCCGCTACCATGATCCAAACACCTCCCACCGGGCTCCACTTCCAACATTGGGTATTACAATTCAGCATGGGATTTGGAGGGGACAAACGTACACACTTTATCAATAATGTATTAATCATCGTTATTTTAAGTTCCTGGTCTGATAATACCAATATCTGAGTCGTCCCTGAGTCTGATTATGACGACTGCTTTATCTCCTTGGCCTATGTTTTTCTTCCTTTTTGACATACATTGTGATTTTTCTTCTTGTTGAAATTTACTGGGTAACGGAAACTAAGATAGACAGGCTTTTAGTGTGAAGATTTATTTTAATCTAGCTTGGAAGTGGATAGTGTTTAATGTTGTAGCTATAGGCACAAAAAGCTTCTAGCTCATGTTGTGTTTTTGTTGTAATCTCCTCTTGGCTTTGTGGCTTCTTTTCATATTGCTCCTCAGAGTCTGTATCTTGCAGCACTTCCTGTAGTAATTTACTGTTGTTACTCCTGGAGGGTTGTTAATGGGGTGGTAGAGTGTAGAGGAGAAAGCTAGTTCTCTAATATTCTTAGTAAGCCTTAGTCTTTTAATGGGTCTGTTTCTCAAAAGTATGGATTTCAGCAGTGTTTTTGTCCCACCTTTTGGGGTAGAGATTCCCCTTGCTATTGCCTCTTAGTCTATTACCCAGCTATTCCATTCCCAGCCTATATATTTGACCTGTGTCCTCTGTAAATTATGGTTCTTATGTACTTGATTTTCCTTAGGCATAACAGAAAGGCTGGTGCAGGCTGGAGTGGAGCAGAGATCACCTCCCTCAGCTAGGATAAGGTCTCAGAATTGCCCTCTAAAAAGTTCTTCCCCATGGAAACCAGGCCTTTGTTAGGTACAAGAGTCTGGAAGGGCTTAACTATCTCTCCTCTTCCTCTTTTCTTGCCAGGGTCACATGGGGAGCTTTCTCCTGTCTCCACCGTGAAAATTTGGTGGGGTTCCTGGAGGGAAAGCCCACAAAAGTTTACAGTCTTACCTATGACTGTGGCCCTCAGGAGCTTATCCTTCTCATACTAATGTGCACTTAATCTCCAGCCATTCATCAGAATAATCATTTAGTTGTTTCTACAGGTTTGTTTTGCCCCAAGTAAGAAGATCCTGAGTCCTGTATATCTCTGAATGGGCCTAACACTCCAGATTTCATGGTGGTAGTCTGTCCTGCAACCTCATCTCTCTGATGGAGCCAAGAAATGTCATTGGCTTCAGGTTTCTTCTAGTTTTTACTTATTATGAGGGCAGGAGTCATAACTTTTAAGCCTTTGATATGTCAAAGCTAAAACTGGAAGTCTTCTCATTGATTGATTTTTTAATGTTAAACTAACCTTGCAGGTCTAGGATAACCACCACTGGTCATGATGTATTATTCTTTTTATACATTCACTGTTTTGATTCACTAACATTTTGTTAATCATTTTTGGGCATATGCTTATTGAGAATATTGTTTTATAATTTTCTTATAGCCTTTCTCCTTTTGGTGTATCAGGCTAATATTTCCCTCAAAAAATTAGCTGAGATTTCTGAGAGGATCTTTTTATGTTGGACTGGGATTATTTGTTTCTTAAATATTTGATATAATTTATCAGTGTGCATGCTTCTGTGTTTGCATGGTATGTTGTATAAATGTCAATTAGTTCAAGTTTATTTACAATAGCATTCAAGTCTTATATATTTTACTAATTTTCTGTCTGTCTGTTCTATCAACTTTTGAGAAAAGAGAGCTTAATGTTCCAGCTATAAGACTGGCCTATTCATCCTATCTGTTAACTTTTAGTATACGTATTTTGCAGCTCTATCATTTGGTATGTGATTATTTTGACTTTTTCATGAATTAACTTAATAATTGTTATTTATCCCTGGTTATATTCCTTTAGTGTGAAGGAATCTTATGTTTTTTGTTTGACATGCAGCTTTCTTATAGTTAAAGTAATTTATCTGTGCTTTATATTTAAAGTGTGTTTATACCATCACTTTGTCACCAGGATATAGTTGGCTCTTGATTTTTATTTTATATATTTTTACATAGATAGGGTCTTGTGCTATCACCCAGGCTGGTATGCAGTGGTGCAATCATAGCTCACGGTAACCTCCAGCTCCTGAGCTCAAGTGATCCTCCTGCCTCATCCTTCAGAATAGCTATGATTATAGGAACACACCACCATGCCCAGGTCATTTTTAAAAAGCTTTTCTAGAAACCTGTTCTTGCTGTGTTGCTAAGGCTGGTCTCAAACTCCTGGCCTCAAGTGATCATCCCACCTTGACCTCCCAAGGTGTTCGGGTTACAGGTGTGAGCCGCTGCACCTGGCTAGTCTTGATTTTTTATTTGGGTTAATGGAGACTCCAATCTCTGTCTTTTAATTGGAATGCTCACAGCATTTACATTAAATGTAAGTATTGATATGGTGGTTTAAAAGATACATTTTGCTATTGCTTTTCCATTTTTTCATATGTTCTTTGTTTCCTCTTTTGTCTGTTTCCTTCTTTTTGATTAATTTAGTATTCCAGTTCATCTTCACTCATACCTTCTTATATTACCTTTTAGCTACAACTTTGTGTATTACTCTTCAGCTGTTTTCTACATTTAGCAATGTGTGTCCTTAACTTGTCAAAGTTTATCTTCAAGTAGTGTTATTTCATAAATAATACAATAATTAAAGTAGTATACTTTCATTTCTCCTGTCCTTTTCTCTCTTTTGCTTTTATCATATATTTTACTATATGTGTGTATTAATTCCTATAATGTGTTTTCCTTTTAATTTTCAGAGCTGTAAATATTTAATATATACAACTTGAGGTATTTGGAGATAAGTATATACCTGTGAAACCATTGTAACTATCAATGCCATAAACTTATCTATCATCTCAAAAAATTTTCTCCTGCCTTCCTTTTTTTGTTGTTGTGGTTAGAGCACTTAACATAAGATCTACCCCCTTAGCAATTTTTAAATATTACAATACAGTATTTTAAATTATAGGTTCTATGTTACTGATTAGATTTCCAAAACATATTTATTTTGCATAACTAAACCTTTAATTCTTTAACGAATACCACCCTGTTTCCACCTCCACCAGCTCCTGGAAACTATCATTCTACTTTCTGTTTCTATGTGATGATTTTAAACTCTACATTTACGTGAGATCACACAGTGTCTCTCTTTCTGTGTCTGGCTTATTTCTTTTAGCATAATGTCCTCCAAGTCCATCGATGTTGTTGCAAATGACAAGATTTCTGTCGTTTTTTGGGGTAATAATATTACTCTGTATGTATATACCACAGTTTTTAAATCCATATTTCTGTTGATTAACATATAGGTTGTTTCCGTATCTTGGCTTGGCTATTGTGATGAACGTTGTGTATTAGTCTGTTCTCATGCTGCTAATAAAGACATACCTGAGACTGGGTAATTTATAAGGAAAAAGAGGTTTAATGGGTTCACAGTTCTATGTGGCTGGGGAGGCATCACAATCATGGCAGAAGGCAAAAGGCATGTCTTACATGGTGGCAGACAAGAAATGGGCATGTGCTGGGGAACTCCCCTTTATAAAACCATCAGATCTCCTGAGAGTTATTCACTATCACAAGCACAGCACGGGAAAGACCCACCCCCATGATTGAATTACCTCCCACCAGGTGCTTCCCACAACATGTGAGAATTGTGGAAACTACAATTGAGATTTGGGTGGGGACACCGCCAAACCATATCATGTTGCAATGAACGTGGGAGTGCAGATATGTTTTCCAGCTCTAGATTTCAATCCCTTTGGATATATAACCACTAGTGGGATTGCTGGATCATATGGTAGCTCTATTTTTAATTTTTTAAGGACACTCTGTATCATTTTCTATCACAATATGTTGTTTATTAATTTTGTAACCTCTAATGCAATTGATTGATTTCCCTTGGAAACAGTTTTAATTTTTTGTATTTCCTTATTTTATCCAGTCAGCTGAAATACCATGAGGATATTGGATATAGCCCTCTTGATTTTAAGGACAGAGAAATTGAGGGAGATAAACCTCAATGTGGACAGCTCTGCGTAGGGTTAAATATGGTGTATTAGTCAGTTTTCACACTGCTATAAAGAACTACCTCAGACTGGGTAATTTCTGAAGAGAAAAAGTTTAATTGACTCACAGTTCTATAGGGTTAACAGGAGGCGTGACTGGGAAGCTTCAGGAAACTTACAGTAATGGCAGAAGGCTAAGGGGAAGCAAGCATGTCTCACCATGGCAGAGCAGGAAAAAGAAAGAGAGCAAGGGGGGAGATGCCACACACTTCTTTTTTTTTTTTTTGATGGAGTCTCTTTTTGTTGCCCAGGCTTCAATGCAGTGGTGCGATCTCAGCTCACTGCAACCTCCATCTCCCAGGTTCCAGCGATTCTCCTACCTCAGCGCACCGAGTAGCGGGGACTACAGGCGCATGCCACCACACCTGGCTAATTTTTGTACTTTTTAGTAGAGACAGGGTTTCACCATATTAGCCAGGCTGGTCTTGAACTCCTGATCCTGTGATCCACCCACCACAGCCTCCCAGATTGCTGGGATTACAGGTGTTAGCCACTGCAACCAGCCACCACACACTTTTAAACCATGAGATCTCATGAGAACTCACTCACTATCATGAGAACAGCATGGCGGAAATCTGCCCCCATGATCCAGTCATCTCCCACCACGCCCCCTCCCCCCAATTTGACATGAGATTTGGGTGGGGACACAAATTCAAATGGTCTTATACAGTTAATTCCTTCTCACCTGTCCTAGTCTGTCTGGGCTACTATAACGTAAATAATATAAACTGGCGGCTTCAACAAGAAACATTTACAGCTCATAGTTCTGGAGGCTGAACATCTGGGATGAGGGTGCCTTCATGGTTGGGCTCTGGTAAAGGATCCCTTCCTTGTTGCAGACTGCCATCTCCTTGTATCCTCACATAGTAGGGAGAAGGCAAGAGAACTCTCCGGGGTGCCTTTTATAAGAGCACAAATTCCATTCATGAGGATTTCACTGTCATGACATTATCATCTCCCAAAGACCCTAACTCCTCATATCATTGCATCAGGGGTTAAGATTTTAACATCAATTTTGGGGGCACATAAACATTCAGTCCATAACAGCATTCCCTTAAACAACTTAAAGGCTGGGCACAGTGGTTCACACCTATTATCTCAGCACTTTGGGAGGCCACAGCGGATGGATTGCTTGGGGGAGTTTGAGACCATCCTGGGTAACATGGCGAAACCCCATCTCTACAAAAATACAAAAATTATCCAGACATGGTGGCGCATGCCTGTGGTCCCAGCTACTTGGAAGGCTGAGGTAGGAGGACTGTTTGAGCCCAGGAGGCAGAAGTCATAATGAGCCATGATTGCACCACTGCACTCCAGCCTGGGTGACAAAGCGAGAACCTGTCTCAAAAAATGCAAAAGCAAAACGACTTAAGTAATGTTGAAAACCACTGTTATAGTTCTTTTCATCTATTATCTTTGGTAATATTGGGTTATTCTATCTTAGTATAATGGTGTTATCTTCTCCATCAAAATTCAGTTTAAAGTGTTTCTTGTCCAGCTTAGCAAATCAACTGCCAATCATTTCATTCTTACTGGTTTTTCTAAGGTGTGCTCTATTTCCCTGTCACGAAGTCCTGGCGAGAGGTTCAGAAAACTAATTCTTATAACAAGCCAACTATATTTCAATACAGAACTTTCCAAAGTATCAGACTTAAGTCAGCAAGAGAGTGTGTCTAGTTTATTTTCTAAGTACATTATCAAAAATATTATTTGGGTTCCCTGTTGACCTCTTAAATTCTGTAATTTACACAAAAATACCACACTGCATAAATTATATGAGTGAGAATAAATATTTAGTTTATTGGAATTCTTGAGAAACAGGACAGACTACAAAATTTTCGTCACAGATTGTAGTATATCAAGGACAACCAGAAGGTGCGCTGACATGGATATTGAGCAAAGTGTTCAACATAGCCAAGCGAAAAATTTACAATGACAATAAAAAATTTTAGGCATTTGTGACATTTGCCAATGGCATAAAAATAAGCTTCGCTAAGTTTATACCTGGAAGAAAAAAAATGTTTCCATATGACACTCCTACCCAACATAACATAAGTTATGTTATCATAACTTCAGCTGCACATCTCATGAGTGCATGCTTGCTATGCAAATCATTGCTAGAAAAAATATTGTAGAGCAAATAAGTAGTACAAAATAATCAAACCAGAATTTAAAGGTAAGAAAATTATTAACTGTGTTGTGCCAATACAGCTATTGTAGTGAAAGGTAGGTACAACAATAATTTTTAAAATGTATGCATCACAATACTTGTTTCTGTGTGCACACACAGATATATTAATACCAAAGTTTCATCCTTTTATACCTTGAGCTAGGCAACTAGAAGAACTTATCTAGCAAATTATGCTATTCATAGTAATTTAATAACTTGCAAAATCTTCAATGTAACACTAAAATAGTATGTGAATGATTAGCTATATTTATTTCTATGTGTCACACTTATTTTTGGCTGATAGTAGTAGTGATGGGGGATATTTTATTTGACCTCATGACAACTCACTCAACTTTTCTTCTTGGCTGGAAAGCTTTCTAGGTCTAAGGTTACTGAAAACAGTGATCATTTAGGTGAGAACCCTTGTTTGTGATACGGCGTGTCAAAATAGCCATATATAAGAAAGTTGTACATAAAGAAGTAGTTATATTTTGGAAGCTCATGTATTTTCTGACAAGGTGAAGCAAAGTTTACTTGCAAGCTCTTTCGGCTCATTTGCTTTCATTGCCTGTCCACCTGTTTCAGCTGGTTTGTTATCTTTAGAGCCATGGAATTGCAGTCCATCTAATTCAACCTGCAGTACTCAGTTCATTTAACTAGGTCAATGGCTGGCTATGTCAGAGGGTATGTGTGTGTGTGTGTGTGTGTGTGTGTGTGTGTGTGTGTCATTCGTGTATCTGTGTGTGGTGTTGTTGTTGGGTGTGTGTGTGGTTTTTTCCACTGAAAAGAGAACTAACCAATCAATTTTTTAAAAAGTCTCATAGAAAATGTGTTCATTATAAATCCCTAGTCAGATTTAGTCAGACTTAGTAAGTTTTTCTGGAAGTGTCATTAGTCTCAAACAATGACAGTGTTTTCCTAAGTAAGACCTCAGATCCTCCAGGGAGTCACCCATCACTAAGTGACACAGAAAATCATGGCTAAATGTGAACAGTAGTTATTACTGAGGCATGAATATTGAGGAGGTCTTTTTTCTTAATTTTTACATTTTTAAAAAAAGTTTTACTTCAAGTTCTGGGATACACATGCTGAAAGTGGAGGTTTGTTACATAGGTATACATGTGCCATGGTGGTTTGCTGCACCTGTCAGCCCATCATCTAGGTTTTAAGCCCTGCATGCGTTAGGTATTTGTCCTAATGTTCCTGGGGAGGACTGTCTTTAACCATGGTATGCACTATTCTATTATTTGCATTTTTTAATAGTGAGACTTATTTCATTTGAATTACAAAATAACAACAGAAAAAATAGTTAAGGAGACAGATGGTTTTACAGTGTTTCTGTGTAACTATACATTGAGCCAGGCCATGAGATGATGGAATTGAAGGGACCACATAGATACAGCTTTAGTTGTACTTTGCCATTTTGAACAGCCGTGAGCAACCCTGAACCATTCGCTTCCTTTCTTTTGCCTATCTGCCTTTCTTCTCATTGTTATTCCTTTTTTTAACTGAAGTGAAATTCACCTAACATAAAATTTGTACATTCACAGTGTTGTGCAACCACCATGTCTACCAAGTTCCAAAACATTTTAACCACCTCAAAAGAAAAGCCTGTACCCAATAAGCAGTTATTTCCTATGTTCCTTTCTCCCTACCCTTCAAAACCACCAATGTGCTTCCTGTCTGTGTGGATTTATATAACATGGATATTTCCTATAGAAGAAATCTCACATGGCTCTTTGTGTACCTTTTCATATAGCATAACACTTCCAAGGTTCATGCACATTGTGTCATGTATCAGTACTTCATTTCTTTATATGGTTGAATAATGTTCCATTGCATGGATATACCACAATTTGTTTATCCATTCATTCTTTAGTGAACATGTAGGTTGTTTCCACCTTTGGCTGTTATGAATAGTGCTGCTATAAACATTCATGTAAAAGTATTTGTTTGAATGTGTTCTCAGTTCTTTTGGGCATATACCTAGTAATGGAATTGCTGGGTTGTCTGATAATTTAATGTTTAACTTTTTGAGAAATCACCTGTTTCCCGAAGGGTGCTACTAGATTTTGATCCTTCATTTTCTGTTTTCCATTTTCCTCTCCTCTTTTTACCTGACAACTCTGCTCTTCTTAAGGGAGGCAACTGTTATGTTGTAGAGAAAGCACTTGTGGGTCAGGCCTACATCTTACTGTGAAGTTGGGCAAATCATTCAATTATCAGTTCTCTGAGACTCAATTTTGTCCCTGGATAATGTAGGACACTGATAATGTCTACTTCATGCAGTGTTGGAAAGATTAAATGTTATAAAGTATGTTAAAGTGCTTGGACATTTGATAATTATTGAAACATGAGTTGAACAGAGTCAAATAATTTTCTAAGGCATAGGAGAGCATTTTCCAGTCTCTTGAACTCCTCCGTTTCTACCCCATTCCACATTAGAAGTCTGCATCCATTATGACACAATTATGCAATTACAGCCACATTAAAATTTAGCTAAGAAAGATACAGAAGAGAAAGAATGAATACATTAGCTGGGTAGTTATGCTTTACTTAACTTTATTCCTTCTAAGGGCTGTAAGTGTCAGTCTGTTAGGGAAGAAAGTCTGCTTTGATACTCTGCAAGTTCTGAATGATGAACATTTTGCTTTCTAGGAATTTTATTCTGTATTCATCTAAAATCATCATTACTCCTCTGCCTAGAATACTCAGAATCTACCCCTTCCAAGTCAGAGGACAATCTGGAGTCATCACTATGGTCTGGGAGGCCCTTCATGATTCGATGGGCAACACCTCCCTGACCTCATTCTCTGCACTCTCCAGTAGCTCATTCTGCTCTAGTGACACTGGTTTTTCAATCCTACCTCCAGCACACCATGTACACTCCAATGCATCCTTTGCATTTCTTCCTTCTGGAGTGCTCTATCTGCAGAAATCAACATAACTAACTCCACAGTTCTTTCATGCCAAGTCAATGGGTACCTTAACAGAGAAGTTTTCTCTGAACACTTCATATAAAATAATTTCTCTATCCTACTGTTACTTTCTATTCTCTTAATCCAAGTTTATTTTTGTCTTTGTCATAACACTAGTCATCTTCTGCAGTGTTATTTGTTCATTTATTTATTTACTTATTGCATGTCTTTTCCCACTACAATATAAGTTTCTGAGGGCAAACCCTTTGTTTTCTTGCTCACTGCTCTTTACTTGGTACCAAAAAGAGTGTCTGGTACATAGTAGGTGTCTTAATAAATATCTGTGCCAAAATGACTATTAATACAAGTAATAATACTATAAAACATCTTTCTCAGAAATATTACACGAATTATGCAAACATAAATTTGCTCATTGAAGCAAAATTAAAACTTTTGTCAAATTCGCCCCTTATATCCCAATGAAATGTGACAGATTTAAATGTAGAACATATTTTTATGTAGGTTATAAGCTCTCACAGGCTGCCCTTTTATATTTGTTATAGGAAATAGCCTATTATGAGTGTTGAATTAATATGGATCATGATTGATTTAAAATGCATGGTGTTTTGTGCTGGTATTCAGCCAACATCTATATTCAATTAAATAATCATTACAGTTGCCAGCAGTTGTGCATTACACTAATGGCAAGAGATACACTTGCAGGGGCTGAATTTTATTCTGGGATGATATAGGTGCCATCCCAAGTCTGAGAGAGATGCTGAAATGTGAAATTCTGATCTCATAAATTAGTATGTGCAGAGTGGAGAGTCAACTCATACGAGTACCTAATTGTAAAATCTCCGTGTGCACATAAAAAGAAAACAAAGGGATTCCTTGATTTTATTGAGTTTGAGGGATAAACTGGAGAACAGATTTGCATTAAGTTTAACTGCAATATGTGTCACTTTTCCTCCTAGTTAGATCTGCAGGCAACATCTCATTCTGGAGCTGATTCACCTGCTCTGCCAGGTGTCCTCACCCACCATATGTATAAATATTTGTCTAAATTCTTCCTTTTTTGTCATTCTGTTTATGTGTATATTAGAAGAACCAGAGCCAATTTGCTAGAGAAGAGCAGCTTTTCCAGCTTTCTTTTGGCTGTTGATGTCTTTGGTCGCTCTGAATAGTCCCTCTTATACTTGGCTGGTAAGAGACAAATTTTTCTGAGCTAAAAGCAGCCTTGGTGCATTAGAAACTAAAAGAAAAAGGTAACCTATTATCTTTCCAAGAGTCTCAAGTCACATATATGTGTTAGCATCTTTTCAACATGCCTGTTTTGCTGGGAATCATTTTATGTTCACATCTTTTTTTGTCGTGGCAAGATTATTGGTTTTGAAGTCAGACAGGTTTGGATTTGAATTTCACCTTTTTCGCTCTAGTTCTGCCATCTTGAGCAAATTGCTTGATCTCCCCAGACCTCAGCTTGCTCATCCGTGAAATGTGTGAAACTGTAGTGCAGAGGTACTGTGCAGTTTTCTCCTTCAGATTCCTGCTCACGGGTCACCTTTTCTGAGAGACCTTCCCTAACCACACTCCGCAGAAAGACACCCCTGCCCCAGTGCATAGATAGTATCTAATGTGATGTCTGGTCCATAAGGAAGGCTCAGTTCATAAATACACCCTTATCTTTGTGGAGTCAACAGAGGAGGTGCTGAGATTCAAGAACCTGGTGGGTTAATAGTGTGCTTGGCTGGATTAATGAAATCAAAACATTGGACCCAGTGTAGACACATATAGTCTTGAAAATAAGATAAACTTGTCCATTTGCAGAGGGCTCAGAGGAGTAGACCAAGTTGCTTGCTAACAAGCCAACAAGCAAGCAAACAAATAAAAATCAGTGTGGGCTCCACAGAAGGCAGAAAGTTGAATCTCATCAGTCAACATTCAGATCAAATCACAAAATCTTTCTCGATTATTTTATGTTATGTAATGTGATTGTCATGTGGATTTTGTGTAGAAGCAGTTTGGCATAGTGAAAATGTTGCTAAGCTAGCAATTAAAAATTAGGAGTTTAGTTCCTTCTTCCATTAAGTAGCTAAATAAAATTAAGAGGTTTGTAAGTCATGTCCCTGAAAAATAAGCTTGCCTCCTTTCATTTTTAATCAGTATTATTATTTGAGAGAGACAGAGGGATGGTTGGTCTGTTTTATCATTTAGGCCTCCAGCAATCCTGACTTTCTGTGCTGATTTGCACCTAGAAAGTTCAAAGTAATTCCAAAGAGGATATGGTCAACCCTCATCCAGCTTGACCTATTTAGTGCAAACATGATAGATATTTTCTTGGACCTATTTACTGTTAAAATATATTTTTGAGGTCACTATTACAGTTCTAAAGATGTAACTTACTAATATTAAATTACATTTGCAGGTAAAATGAAAATATCTATAGAGGCAGAGAGGCAATTTCCTTTATACTCAACTGGTAAATGTGTTTCCCTGAGTTCTGTGAGCTGCTCCAGCAAAATAATCAAACCCAAAGAGGGGGTTGCTTTACCAGTCAGAAATTTCCATGTTTGTTCATTTGTTTCTGCCCACTGCATACTTCAGCAAATGGGGACTTACCCAGCTTATTTGGTCTGCTGCACCACTCTAGCCCGCAGCTCCTGGGCTGGCCCTGCTCCGCTGCCTCTTCCTGTGACATGAGTCAGCTGCTTGGTGCCAGTGGTGGGTGGGAGGGCTACTGTGGTATAGCTCCTTTCCACCTGCCATTTGGTGAGTCCCAACTCCTTGTCCCACATCCAAGAATAAGATTATGCAGACAACTGGAGGGTGAGCAAGGTGGAGAAGAGTTTTATTGAGCACCAGAACAGTTCTCAGTAGAGAAGGGACCAGAAGCAGGTAGTCCCCCACCCAAAAGCAGGTCATCCCCACCCAAAGGTGGGTGGTTTCAAAGTGTGGCTCAGTCTGGGGTTTTTATAGGCTTAGGTGTGTGCTGTAGGTAGCCTTGGAAAAGGCAACATTTGATTGGTTTATAAGCATTATTCGGGAAGAACTAATCAAGAAAGGGGGGGCAAACAGGAATAGAAGTTCTCACTCTGGTCAGGGACTGCATCTGGAACCGACAGCCTGGTTTTCAGGCTTCAGGCTGTCTTGGGTTGAAGGTCAGGTTTCACCAGGTACCTGCTCCCATCTGCCTAGGATTTTGTCTACGTCCTGCTGCTATCAATCCCCCTTCTGAAGAAGTACATCTAACTGCCATTAGGATAAGGACAGTGTGATGGTTAATACTGAGTGTCAACTTGATTGCATTGAAGAATACAAAGTATTGATCCTGGGTGTGTCTGTGAGGGTGTTGCCAAAAAAGATTAACATTTGAGTCAGTGGGCTGGGCGAGGCAGATCCACCCTTAATCTGGTGGGTATGATCTAATCAGCTGGCAGGGAACATAAGGCAGGCAGAAAAATGTGAAGAGGAGAGACGGGCCAAGCCTTCCAGCCTACATCTTTCACCCGTGCTGGATGCTTCCTGCCCTCGAACATGGGACTCCAAGTTCTTTGGTTTTGGGACTAGGACTGGCTCTCCTTCCTCCTCAGTTTGCAGACAGCCTATTGTGGGACCTTGTGATCATGTGAGTTAATACTTTAAAAACTGTCCTTTATGAATATATATCCTATTAGTTATGTCTCTCTAAGAGAACCCTGATTAATACAAATGTGACTACCCTTTACTGCTTCATGCTGACAGGAGGCATTGTTTTGGGAGAACAGCAGTCAGATCTCTCTCAGATGCCTACCTAAGCATCCCCAGTAAGAGGGAGCCATTGTCCGGGGTTCTATTTGCATGACCAGTTGGAGTTTGATGGTCTGAAGGTGAGAAGAGGCAAACTGGGTTATTAGAAGACATGGATCAAAAAGAAATAAGGGGGTAAAGGACAGCTCAAAAATCCTAAGCCTGCTGACACACCTATCTGGGGCTGTAGTTATGCCTGGTAAGACTTGGGTGCATGGGGCTTGGCTTTGGTTAGCTCCCTTGGTCTTATTTTCCCAGAAAAGAAGCCTCTGGGTTATGGGTACCCCATTTATCCCCATCAACTGGCATGATTTGCAGGATAATTGCCCAGATTTAGGGTTTTGATCCAGATTTTTACGTTACCCATCCTTTCTGTTTCTTCTGAGCTGCAGCCATAGATCACTGGTTGGATCACAGGAATTAGCAGTGTTAGTCTAAAATGCAAAAAAAAAAAAAAAAAAAAAAAAAACCAGAAAAACAACTAATAAGATTAGAATTCAATGACAAGTGTATGATAAGTTTTAAAGCATAATTTTTGCTTTTCTAGTTCTTATTTTTAAGCAAATCATGGTAGAACTGAGTTGTTTGCAAAATAAACTTTAGACTTATACTTGGCCTGATTATTTGCATAAAGAGCAGCAAGAATAATCATTTTCACATAGGCTTTTAAAATTGGCTCTAATGGAATTCTATTCCATAAGGAATCTCAGATAAGACTTTTTGAAGCTGAGCCTAGCCGTGGTCTTGTACCCTTAGATACCTATGAGTTGGGTGCACTTTTCTCTTCTTAAGGTCCCAAGATAACTTGGGGATCCTGGACCTATTAGAAAGTGACATTCTTTACTCACCACAGGTTAGGAACCCTGTACAAGGACTGCAGACAAGGTATGAGGTCAGTTTTCCCAAGGGGCTTTTATTGGCTCTACAAGTCAAGCTTGATTTCTTAAAGGGAAGTATACCCTTCCAGTCAAAGCCTTGATAAAACAACCAGTTTCTCCAGTTGAGTGCTGTTGCAAAAGAAAATGGATTCTTATTTCATGTATGCAAATAACTATATTGCCATAAGTTAAGAATACTCACAAATAGTTTCCAAATTCTTGAGAAACCAGGCAGAGAGAAACAAACATGCTCCAAATTTTGTTCACAGGAGTATACTTTACCGAACTCTTAAAAGCTGTAAATTGCTAAAAATAAGTTTTTCTGACTCTGAAAAACAAAACAAAGGATCAGCAATGTATTAAGCCAAATCAAAAAGATTACTTCAGTCTTCGATTCAGTCCATTCAGTTAACTCTTCTGCTTGATATTCATGAACATTTCAGCTCTTCATAAGTCCTGAACATTTTTCCTTTATTCCAGTGTCACAATCTCCAAAGTTATCAGAAACCTTCATTTAAGAACACCTGTCAAAGTCCTATACCTGATTATAAACCATTTTTCAAAGAGGATCAAAACAAGACAACATTTGTCTATGAATGACAAAATGTCTTAGGGTAGTCACAGTCAAGAACACGATTGACAAATTTGATTATTTCTGTGGTTTATAATAACTTAAAACAATAACCCTAATTATGATTAATAAAATATACTCAGACATTAAAATTTTGGAAATGCCATGCAATTTTGGAACATATATTATTATTCACTAAACTATAACCTGAAGAGGATTAAACATTATTTTTATTTTGACAATTCCAGGTAACTAAACATGTCAGATAAATTTGTTTACCTCTCTTTTGGATGTTCCGGGGGCCCTCTCTAGCATCACAAAGTTAGGGGCCGGGAAATATAATTTTGAAACTGAAATTTGATTTTGGAAAGTCTATCAAATATGTTAAAGGTTTAAAACACTTGCTATTATGAAATAGAATTGAAGGTTACCATAAGTCATTTATTTAGTCAAAAAGATGACTCAAAATTTTTTTAAAACGCAAAAACCTTAATTTTTTAAGAGGGAAGACGTAGCTTTCCAAACCTTCTGTCTCTTGTCTTTCCCTTCTTTTTTTGGCAGTTTATTCACAAGGCAAACAAAAATCTTTCATTATCCTTTAATATTACATAAAAATCTTGTTCAAGAGAGGGAAAGCCAGATTTCACCCTTGCATGTAAATCTATTTTCAGTAGTCTCAATTACATGTTATAATGGTAACTCTTAAACATTTCTAATTTTCTAATCTTGTAAGTTATTTTAATTATGTTCTAGTTACAGATAAGGTCTAACTCCTAACAGCATAGTTGGGGTGTGGTTAACTCCGCATGTCCCAGGCCTTACCAAACTTTAAAGCAGGCAAGTCAAATAATTTGCAAAAGCTGAAGAAGCAGTTTATGACCTTAAAGCATTTAGTGAACCTAATACCTGACCTGAATAATTTAAGCCACATGTCTACATTTTGAAGATGCTTTTATTTTACCAATAATCTTTAAAGCTGTCTTTATTTCTCAAACGTTAAAGTCACATGAACTAAAAGGAATTATAGCTTTCATTTTTCTTTTAAAAATACTTAATCTAAGTGCTTATTTTTCTTTAAGCCAATCAACTAGAGCTCTTTTATGTTAACATCACACACATAATATATATATATATACACACAGACACACATATATATATATAACTACACAGACAGAAGAAGATGCAATAGTTGTAAGATTTTTTATTTGCCAGTTTATTAATTGGATTATAGACCTTAGGGTGGCATCCTTCAAGAAACAAGGCAGTTAGTATGGCTTAATAAGCAGCCACAGCTGGAAGACAAAAACGGATCCCCAAAATTAAGGGTCCCATTTTTAACCAGATCCTGGATCCTAAAAAGAGGGAGTCAGCCCATCTCCCATTGGAGTCTTTGAAGTAATTTTCTGATGCCCATCATAACTCAAAATTGTCAGATAAGACAATGCAAAACAGAACACAGCTTTAGATTTTGAGAGGGATCTATCTGCTTTCAATTCCTGGAGTTCCACAAGTAAAACAGAGATTTTCCCCAAAATGGGGTCTGTGACTTCTCCTCTGTTTTCCCAATGAGTCCCAGGCTATCAGAATTTGCTTGGGGCATTAAGAGTAGCAAGACAAAATGGAGAAAATAATTCAGTCAACTGAGAAGAAAAAAATACCTTTTTTCAGAAAAACAAGATCGACAAAGAGAAAAGATATAAAGGCCTTTAAAATATACCTATAGCTTGAATATCCACTTTTAATTAAGCTGACTTTTAACCATAGCACTCCCTCCTTAAAAGGTCCTTTTAAATCTCTTATTACCCAACCTTAGCCATGCCAAATGGCCAATATTTCTAGTTTTTGAACTTATTGGGTAGGCAGAGAATACAGTGATTTTTACCATTCCTTCAACCAGTTTGCACAGAGAGAGGGAAGCCGGAAGTCTGATGGGAAGAATTTTTACCCTTTGCCAGCAAATCAGGCTTCTGGGTTCCTTTCCCCCAAGCTATGGAACCCTATTGACCCTGGAGTCTGTGAAGGGGGAGCAGACAAAGAGATTATCTCCATACTGTAGAAGTTGTTGATCTTCAAGAGATTGCACAGTTAGATTTGTAATTTCTTCCCAGTTTGTTTTTAAGCCAAGCAGTTTAATGTTTGGAGAAATTAAACTTTTTGCAGTTTGGGGGATGCATCCAAGGGGAGTGTTCCGTGGTATGGAGACATAATTACCCAACTGCGAAGAGAAGACAGAGGAGGAAAAAGAAGGCTTTTTTTCTTTTTCCACAGTCTAAGGGTCAAAGGAATCCCAGTGATTCAGGATGCAATCAAGAAGAGTGCAGGGTGAAGATGATTGGTTACCCATCTAGAAAGAGGGGGAAAAGGCATCCCTTTGCTCCTTTCTCTTTCCAGTGAATACCTGGAGCATGTGAGGGAGAGAAATAGTGTCCCCTTTTTTCTTCTGTCTTTTCTTATCCAAGTCATGGCTGCCACGGGGGGTGCCACTTATGGGTGCAAGTGTGATCTTCCAGCCATTTAGCAGGGAGACCTAGAGGGTAGGGATATTCACACTTACCTAAGCTGCTCTATCCTCCCACTGTTTGTAGCCTTTTGGTTCCCGAGAGCTCATCTGTGCCATGGATGCAAGCAAGTTCTCCACCCATGAAGTGGGAAGGCCTAATCTGCAGGGCTAATCAATTATGCTCATCTGTTCTGCACCCTGGCCTTCTGCCATAACTGCCTCTGGGTCCCCCAGATCTAGTCTTCCCTCTGGGCCTTCAAACCAAAGCTTGAAGTAGAATTTGGGGCAAAAAGATGCCTCAGGAGACTCTGCGGACCCATTACATTAGCCCCAGATGGCCCTCACTAAATTGTAGCCAGCAACCAGTAGGGCAGCTCCTCTGTTGCTTCCCTATCATAAACAGAATGCTAAGGTGAAGCTGTGGAACCAGGTCCTCCTCAAACAAGGGATAGAAAAGGAGTCCCAGGAATTTGAGACCTGGCCTAGTAAGATGCTACCCAAAAGGAAAAAAAAATAACCCCTCACATAGAAAAACTCCCTTTATTCACAGGACTATGTTAACTCATGTCGTGCTGGAGAAAAAACAACAACTGCAGAGGAGGGGAAGGTGACGGGGAAAAACTTCTCGCCCTATGCAAATGGGTTCCTTTAACAAGGGAAAGAAAGCTCTCAGTCGCTGATTGCATCCTTCTTGCTTCTAAGAATGGACAGAAACCACATTGTTCTGAATTATATTCATGATGACTGAGCCAAGGGCTCATTATACACAGTAATATTGTCTCTATGGTTTGCAACAACACCCTTAACATTGTATATAAAGAAGGGATAGGCACCATGAGAGCCACAGGAAAAAAAGAAAAATGCCATAGGAAAGATTAGGGTCCATAGTGTTGACACCCTAACAGGCGGCTGGGGACTGGAATCAGTCCAGGGACCTTTGAATAACACCAACATGAATCTTAGCCAGATACCCTTAGCTGCCCCAGGACCTCCAGCCATTCCCACATAATGGCTAGAGCTACATACAGGGAGACTGAATTGGAACAAAGCTAACATTCTCAACACCCAAGAGTGATGGGGGTGGGTTAACAAAGTCCTCCTGGGCAAGCATGTCCTCTGAAGCCACACCATTCGCTCTTAACTGGCTAACAGAGGCTCAGTGCATCATCTGCCTGCAGAAAATAGTCTGAGAGCAAGAAGACTTGGAAACTAAAGTCAAAGAGTTTTAGGTCCACACTTATTCACCCTTCTGCAGATCCCAAACAAGCCCCCAGTAATGACACAGGATGTTTTCGGGTGCCACTTCACCAACCAGTAATTTCCATGGCCTGTGGTGTTCCAGCCTGGGCTTCGCTATGCTCCAGGCTCACTGCTGGACTTGGCCTGCCCACGTGGCCTGGCAGGGTGCGCTCAGCTCACACTACCAGTCTGGATACCATGCTCACTTCAGGATCCACACCCAGCCCATGGCTGGCCTAGGCATGCTGTGACCTGCTTCTGCCTTGGGCACTGGAGACGACAGCAACCACAAAACCCCAAAGTGGGTACAGCATGTCACAGCTCTTGCTTGGGGAACCCCGAGGTCTGGGCCTCCAGAAGGGTCACAGCTCATTTGTGTTACAGTTCATTTGTTCCCATGGTCTGCACACTTCAGCGAATGGGGGTGTGTCCCAGCTTGTTCAGTCTGCCACCCAGCTCTGGCCCACAGCTCCTGGACAGGCCCTGCCCTGCTGCCACTTTCTGTCACGTGGGGCAGCTGCTTGGCGCTGGTGGAGGGTAGGAGGGCTACAGTGGTACAGCTACTTTCCATCTGCCAGTGGGTTCCGAGTTCTTGTCCTGCATCCAAGAAGAATGAGGTTATATGGACAACCAGAGTGTGAGCAAGTTGGAGAAATGTTTCATTGAGTGATGGAACAGCTTTCAGTGAAGGGGGACCTAAAGCAGGTAGTCCCCCACCTGAAGGCAGGTTGTCCCCACCTGAAGGTGGATAGTCCCAAAGTATGGCTGAGTCTGAAGTTTTTATAGTCTCTGAATGAGGGTGGTGCAGGCTGTAGGTAGCCTTGGACAAGGCAACATTCGATTGGTTAAAAAGCATTATTCAGAAAGAACCATCAGGAAACATGGGACAAACAGGAATAGAAGTTCTCACTCTGGCCGAGGACTTCATTTGGAACTAGCAGCTCATTTTTGAAGCTTCAGGCTGCTTTTGGCTTGAAGGCCAGTTTTCACTGGGGACCCACCCCTGTCTGCTTAGGAATTTGTCTGCCTCCTGCCACTAGCAATGGGAACCCATACTTGAAGCTGGTTGGTCAGAAGTTCCAGAAGCCCCAACTTGCAACTGGTGTGGGACTTAGGGACTGAGCCCTCACCCTGTGGGATCTGACACTATCTCTGGATAGATAGCATCAGAACTAAATTAGAGGACACCCAGTTGGTGTCTGCTGCTTGGTGTGTGGAGAAGAAAACCCTATACATTTTGCCACAGAAGTCTTCTGTGTTGGTGATCATTGTGGTGTGAGAGTAGAGGAAACACATGCTTAGAGAGAGTTCTCCTTACACAACCAGTGACTCCTTTCTCCCATTTTCTCCCTTTTGGAATGGGAATGTCTGTAACTGTTATATTATGCCTATCTCATCACTGTATTTTGGGAATAGATAACCTGTTTCTAGTTTCACAGTTTCAGAAATATAACATATTTTTCTTCAGAATGGATTATATGTGGAGTCTCAGTCATGCATGATTTTGATGAAGAGATTTGGAGTTTTTAGCTGTTTTTATTTAGACAAGATTTTGGACTTGAGTTGATTTTGTAATGACTTGAGACTTTTGAAGATCTTGGGATAGGGTGAATGTATTTTGTGTGAGGGATGGAGGAGAATCTTTTGGGGTCAGAGGGAAGACTCTGGAAGGCCAAAATGCCGTTACCCCAAAGATGTCATATCCTCATCCCTGAAACCTGGAAATGTGACCTTATATGAAAATGTAAGGTCACATTTGTAGATGTAATTGATCTTGAGATAAGTAGATTAATCTAAATTATTAGGTTAGACCCTAAATGCAATCACATATATCCTTATAAGAGGGTGTTAGAAAGAGATTGACACAGACAAAAAAAGGAGAAGGCAATGTGAAAATGGAAGAGTGATGTGGCCAAAAGCCAGGGAATGTTGGCAGCCACAAGAAGCTGGAAGAGACCAGGAGTGAATTTTCCTTTGGAGTCTCCAGAGGAAGCATGAAGCCACCAACGTTTTGATTTTGTCCTAGTGATACAGATTTTGGACTTCTGGCCCCCAGAATGGTGAGAGAATAAATTTCTGTTATTTTAGGCACCCAATTTCTAGTGATTTTTTACAGTTGCCATAGGAAGTATATGCAATAACACAATGCATTTATCCATTCTCTGCACATTGGACACAGGGATTGCTGTTGTGAGTAGTCTTGTACATGTTTCCCAGTGCAAATGCACTACAGTTTTTCTAGCATAGATACCTGGGAGTGGAATAGTTTGGTCATAGCGTATGCAAAGGTTCAATTTCATAAGGTAATAGCAAATTGTTTTCCAGAGTGGTTGCACCAATTTATACTCCTACCAGCACTACATTTTCTGCCGATCCGTTTCTTATACACCACTTGGTGCCATGAGATTTCTTAATTATTTATCAATCTTAGTGAATGTAAAATTGTGTCTTATTGTGTTTTTCTTTGCACTTCCTTGATTACCATTGTGGTTAAGCTTGCGTATATTTTCAAACTTTTTGGCCGTTTATAATTCCTTTTCTGTGAATTGCATGTTCTTGTCTTTGCTCATTTTTCTAATGCATTATGTTATCTCTTTTTATTGACTTTTAGGAGTTCTTTTATATTCCAAATACTAAAACGTTATTTTTATGGCTTATCTTTTTACTTATTTTATGGTGTCTGTTGATGAAAAGAAGTTTTTGATCTTAATGTCAATTTTATCAATCTCTTTGTTGATGGTTAGCATTTTTATGTCTTTTTAAAAATTCTTCCCTTCCCTGATGTAAAAAAAAATAATTTGCCTACAATTTATTTTAAGAGTTTCGTCTTCCACATTTAAATTATTAATCTATCTAGAATTCATTTTTCTGTATAGTGTGAGGTGGTTTCATTTTTTTATCCATGTAGGAATGACCAATTATTCCACACTATGTATGTTATTGTCCCTTGTTTCTCCACCTATCAGCAAGGCCATCTATGCATCTTCAAGCTCCAAATATGTATAGGTCTGTTTCTGTTTGCAATTCGACTTTATTAGTCTATTTGTACATTCCTTAGCGAATATCATACTGTTTTTATTGCTAAAGCTTTATAATTACTCTTGATAACTGGAGGGCACGTGCCTTCTGTTTTCTCCTTCAGGGGTATCTTAGATATTCTTAACTCTTACTCCTCTAAATTTTAAATTCAGAATGTCAGAGTTCAAGAAAATCCCTTTTTGAATTTTAAAGGCAATTGCATGACATCCATAAATCAAGTTGCATAAAATGGACACCTTTGTGAAATATCCAGTTTTATAATTTGCATCCAGTTTTTATGTATTTATAAATATAATAATTTAGATTATATAATAATCCATATTAGAATGATTATAATTTTATGATTTGCATTCAGACATAATTTTTTTCCATAAGACTTGCACATCTTTTGTTAGATTTATTGTAGGTGCTTATCCTATATTGCTATAGTAATAATATATACTTAAAATTCTATTTTCTGTCCATGCATGGTGGCTCATACTTGTGATCCCAGCACTTTAGAAGGCCAGTGCAGGATGATCGCTTGAGCCCAGAAGTTCGAGACCAGCTTGAGCAACATAGTGAAGCCCCTATTTTTACAATAAGTAAAAAACAAAATTCGATGGGTGAGGTGGCATGTCCCTGTAGTTTCAGTTACACAGGAGGCTGCGGTGGGAGAATTCCTTGAGCCCAGGAGGTAGAGGCTGCAGTGAGCCATGATTGTGCCACTGCACTCAAGCCTAGGCAGTAGACTGAGACCCCATCTTAAAAAAGACCAAATTCTGCTTCCCAACTGTTGCCAGTATAGAGCTGCAAATGATTTTTATATTTATAGTAGTCAACCTTTATGCCATACTCTCTTATTATAATGATTTATCTATGGAGTCTTTTGGATTTGATATGTAGGCAATCATATAATCTGTGAACAATGATAGTTCTGGTTTTTCTTTCCCAATCTTTATGTTCTGCATTTCTTTTTCTAGTCTTACTGCACTGGCTACAATCACCTGTAGTATGCTGTTAAATAGAAGCAATGAGAGCAGTCATGCCTGTTTTTAAAAGAATGTTCATAGCATTTCACCATTAAGAATGCTTTCTGTGAGGTTTTGGTGGATGCTCTGTAAAGTTAATGAAGTTCTCTTTTATTCCCAGATTTCTGAGTTGTTTGTTATTGTTGTTGTTGTTTTAAGTAAATTGGAATTGAATTTTTAAAAAATAGACAAAATAATATCTAAATTTCAGGATCACAGGTATGATTATATTAATGACTATATCTAATATATCTAGCCCAATGTATCTGGATTATTTTGTATCTTATTATTTTTAAAAGGAATGAAGGGAGCTGATAGAACTTATATTGTATATTTTTGAAACCATAACTTGATACTGATGTTTCCCAGAGATTTCAGACTCTTGATTTTTCTTGTAAGATACAACTTTATCTTATTTAACCCTTACAGCAAAACACAAATCTACTTATATTCACTCAAGTCATAGACTTACAATAGCAAAATATGAGTAACATAAACTTGTGGGCAGGCTAGATACTACATTAGAACTCTTCATGTATCAAATTACCAGGAGATTTCCTGGTTATCTTATAACAAGAATGATTTGAATGTCCAAATATCTGTATTTAGGCTTTGCTTTTATCCCTTTCTATAGTCTAGTGGTATTCTCAAGCATGGTGTGCCTGAGAATTCCTCTGTAGGTTGTGTGTAGGAGATTTGGGGAGGCTCTCAACTGTGTTTATTTATTTATGTTTACAGTAGTTGATTTTCATCATCTATGCATATTTTGAAATTTAATTCTCTTGTAAGATATAACATTCTATCCATATAATTACAGCCAATAATTCCAAATATAATAGTTCCAACTCTGCAGGAATAGATTTGCAGCATTTTTTAGAGTCTCATGACATAGTCTTCTATTAGCATCAGTCCTCTTGAAGTGAGGTCCATTTGACTTTTTATTTGTCTAAGTTGACTATTTCTGATATTAACTCATTTCTAAATCAGTTCGAGCCTTTCGTCTCATCTTCATTTCTCCCAGCATCTAATTCCTTGTCTTAATAACCTTCAGTTTCCCAGAGTCCCAGAGTCTTGTCCTGATTTTGCGGCTCCCCACCAGTCAAGGACTCATTCCCCTAGTTACTGTCCCTTCAGCCCTGTTCCAGCAAAGCTGGACTTAACTCCATCTGACTGTCAGCCTCTCTGGTACTCTGCATATTCCTATCTCTAGAGTCTCTGTTGACTCCATTAATTCTGGAATATCTCTGGGGTCACACCAATCTCCTGCCTAGCCTACACACACATTCCTTTCTATCCCTGACAAGTGAGAAAAAAGAACAGATCCTAGAAAATGTCTTCATTTTCTTGGTAGGCTTATCTTTTATGTAAGTATGATAATATTATATATATTCTGATATACTATATTATAAGTAGAGCTTATAATTCCACTGATAAGCAGAGTAAGGAAACCCTACCACAGAGTGCTGCAAAAGAATAAGCATCTGACAGCTTCAGTGAGTCAGCTTTCTGTGTGATACTAACCTGAGTGACTTAAGCAGCCAGATTTCAAAAAGAAATAGATTTGCCTCTAATTATTCTAAATGCATCTGTTTAAATTGGCTATAATACAGCAAATGTCATGTAGCTTTAATGGTACACATTAGGACATGTAACTTTATGACTGGAAATAGGTATGTTATTAATTTAAAAATCCAGTTTCCCATATCCCCTTTGATACAGTAATGGGCTCTTGGAGTGAGAGACTCATATTCCAAAAGATCCACGTGCAATCCAACTACAGGTTAGAAATCAAATAATACGCAGCCACTTTCATTTTTCAAAAATCTCAAACAGGGCATATATAGGTTGTTACTTTATGATGACTTGCTAAGATGCATTGTTTATAATTCTTTAGTTTCTGTTTTCAGATTTCAGTGTCTTCCTTTGCCAAGTTTCAAAAGGAAAAAAATAAATTAATCGTCTGGAGCTGAAACAGAAACATTTGGTCTCCTGTAATCCTCAGTTCTTAACCTAATGTGGCAGCTCATAGGGAAACTGTCAGATCTGCAATCCTAATTGCTATAAGTTGCCTCCCATGTGTACACATGTAATGGTCAGGAGTGAATATGCGTTGACAACTTATCTTCTCTGTTCCATAGTTCTAAACATCCTTAGTGTGTGTGCGGTTTTACCTCTGTGACTCTTGGGTAGGCTACATATGGGTGTGTAAAGTAGCTGTTGCCAGCCTGGAAGCTAGCCTCTTCTGAGAACATTCCTACTCATATAGAGACAAACATGAGAAACTATGGCATTAAAATGTTTTGTGAAACATGGCGGCATGAATTCAGTTGAACATTGTGTCTTCATGGCCACATTTAGTGAGACTGTCAAACACAAGAGCAAAGGACCCCATCATAAATGCTGTGTAAAAACTCTTAATAATTTCATGATAAAGAGAAAAATAACCAAGGAATATTCTCATTAGCAATTATTCGTATCTTATTAAGCATGGGTTTTTTATTCTCATTTTGACAGTTCATGTGCTATTTTTGCATATGTGTGTGTATATCCACGCACATGTACACATGTATGCACACACGTAGACTCACTGCAGGGTCCTGTTATTAAATCACTGTTGGCAGATGGCAAGTCATCAATAGATGCTTGTTGAATTGAAAATGATACCACATGTAATTGACCTTCTGTAACAATTTTTTTCTCATTTTATTCTAATTGTAATTGGTGGAGGGATTTTTAATAAAATTAACATGGTCCCTTACACTAAGCTGGAGAACTTTTCTAATCTATTGGCAGTAAGTGATGGATTTGAAATTTATTGCAGAAGGATTGGGACTTTGTGCTAATTTCACCTTTGAAAAACTTTGATTTAGAGGTCAGTGATGTGATTTTTCATTTTCTAATGAAAGGTTGATCCTTTATTGACAATAGTAAAGTTAGTAGGTCTCCTGTATAACATGATAAAGTACTAATAAGCCAGCCGGTCTGGAAGTTTTTAGAATCAGATGGGGAGAGCAGTCCTTACCCCATTGTCCCTGCCATTTGTTCTCAAGCCCCTCCCTTAGTTTTTACAGTCAACCCTTGCAGAAAGTAAATGTTCATCATCAGGCCCTCTTAATCTGTTTCAATAAAATTGTTCAAGTAACAGAAGAAAACGAATCTGTTCTCTAGAAGGCAGGAAGGCAGGGAGGGTGTGGTATGTGCTGCGCCTACCAGGAGAGCAACATTTCTTTGAAGTGTTATGTAGTATTTTAACACATTCCTGCATTTTTAAAATTCAACTTTATTACAAATATGTACACTTTTACATTACATAATTCTCCTCCTTCTAACTAAAGGAATTTGAGAATTTGCCTTTTTTTTTTTTTTTTTTGAGACAGAGTCTGACTCTGTCACCCAGGCTGGAGTGTGGAGTGCAGTGGCGCGATCTCGGCTCACTGCAAGCTCCACCTCCCGGGTTCATGCCATTCTCCTGCCTCAGCCTCCCGAGTAGCTGGGCGCCCGCCACCATGCCTGGCTAAGTTTTTCTATTTTTTTAGTAAAGATGGGGTTTCACTGTGTTAGCCAGGATGGTCTCAATCTCCTGACCTCGTGATCCGCCTGCCTCGGCCTCCCGAAGTGGTTATTTGGTATTTTTTGATGGACGTTAGCAGAAGAATTGACATACACCAACTTAAAAACCCTGACTTTGGTTATACTTGCTTCTTATCTAACATCATAAGTTAGCTTTGTGGTAATCCTTGATCTGTGGGTCAATCCCCAGATTTTCTTTGCTAACCAACCCAATCTGGGGCTCAGTTTCCATTTTGTCTTACAGCTAAGCCCCAAGTTATGATAAAAGAAGAATGGTCTCTCTCCATGACTTGTTCCAATGCCAAGGAACCTAGACCCAGTGAGCACACTCTGTTTTTGCATCAGCACCTCAGGGTCCTATGTCCTATGCCAGGCAAGGGCTCACCCTTAAAATCTTCTTTCCATTTGATGAAACCTCCCTTTATGGATCACAATGGTACTTAGTGTACCTGGGATCCTACTTTTGATCACATCAAAGATAGTACATACAGCCTGATTCCAGTAACAATAGTGCTTGCCAATACACAATGAGTCATCGTAGTCTTCATATTGTACATCTCAAATGTCCTAATTGGCCCATGCAGTTGAACCGTATTCACTGATAAGTTCTCACTTAATAATAACATCAACTGCTTCACAAAGAGATTTATTGTGGTTTTCCATTCATTCAAAATTCTGAATGACAAATGGGTATGGCCTCTTTTGAGGAGTGCCTATTTAACCTATGCTTGATTGTAGTTATTTCACAAAGTGGAGATAGAGTTATTTAGAATGAAAATTCCAGATCATTTTTTTTTCACTCAATCACAGGACTGCAGGATATCCCCAAAGAAGACCACCCCAGAGTTTCCACCCTGTTTCCTCATGAATTTCCACTCACTCATCTCATACCAAATCTACCTGCAAACCTCAGCTCCTCAGGTTTCTTGAATCAATATCCACTTCAACAAGCCTTGCTGAAGGTTTGAGGGGTCCTGAGCTGAGGCCCATCATTCATCTCACAGCTTTCTGGGGCAGTGAAATAAAATAGATAAAAATGAAAACTCTAAAACTGAGGTTCTCACACTGCCACTTCTCTCTCTCTGACCTTGGATAAATTACTTTACCTCTCCTCTCCTCAGTTTCCTCACCTTGAAAGTGGGAATACAAATAGATTTTGTCTCATAGGGTTGTGGTGAAAAGTTAATGAATTGTTACAGTAGAGGCATTTGGAACTTTCTGGGTCCAGAGGAAATGCTCAATGCAAGTAACTTCCAATTATCTTATGGTTTTCCCTTCCTTTTCTTTTCATACTCTTCAGAATCACACAGTTTTCCCTCTTTGCTTTAGGATATTAGTTCAAACAAGATTTCTTCTTAATTGAGCATGCTTTTAGGGTCTCACCAGCCATGCAAGAGATTTACAGAAATATTTATTCAAATTACTCAGAAAACTACTCTGGAAAATAAAATTGGATTTTTCTACTTCATTTTTACAGTGGCTTCGATAGCTAGTTTTATTCTTCTCTTCCTCCTGCTTCTCCTCCTTCTTCAATAGTTATAAGATGACTATAATATTTGCCCTTCCTTTCAAACTGTCAGTGTTCTCCATCTCTTCCCTGAATATACTTTGCACACTCAGGCTTTTGTACTCACACACATCCCATTATTTCTGCCTGAAGTGCCATTTCCCACACTCCTAATGCCCAGGTAATATACATCCTTTAAAACCCAGTTTACATACTATCTCGACATATATAAATAAGCATTCTCAATTCTGCAATTCAGTGGCATTGCATATATCTTAGGCGGTGTTTATGACTTCATATTTATAATTTGGCATTCATGTGTTTATCTTCTTTTTTTGACTGAAAGCATCTTTAAGGCAAGAGTCTTGGATTTCCATTTTGGTTCTACTATGTCAACTGCAGTGTATACACACCCAGATAAATGTTTATTGAGTGGAGTAATATTAAGGTGTGAAAGGGAGAGTTTCCATCAAGTTCCCATACTGGGAACGGGGGAGAGGACAGTAATAAAAGAGAATTAGAAATACGAGGTTTGTGGTCAGTCTTTAAAGTGCTGTGTTCTTTTGTCAGATTCCAGGTGCTTAGATGGAGTGACTCTGCATGCCACCCTAACACTCCATCATCTCTTCCATTACTTCCAAGAAATCCACACTTCAACTGAATCAAACGAATCCAATAACCTGAATGTACCAAATCATTTTGTGCCTTTTAGGCCTAATCATCTAGCATTCTCTAGCCTACTAGAAGATAAGGAGTTTGCCTTTTATCTCTGTGTTCCCAGCATCTATAGTGTCTATTCTTACTGGATGCTCAGTAACTACTTAGGGATGAATGGATGAATGAATTCATGTTTCTAGATGCTCTTAAATACATATTTGGCAACACTCAGGCCTAATGTTAGAGGAAGACTCTGGCAGTGTACAGCCAAGGATTCTGTAATTATAACTAAACTGACTACTATCCTCCCTCTGAGGTAGGGCAGAGATGCTGATGAACAGTTTAGTATAATTTGTAGGTATGTGTATCAGTCCATTTTTACACTGCTATAAAGAAATGTCTGAGATGGCTTATTTATAAAGGAAAGCAGTTTAATTGGCTCACAGTTCTGCATGGCTGGGAAGGCCTCAGGAAACCTACAGTCATAGCAGAAGGCGAAGGGGAAACAGGCACCTTCTTTACAAGGTGATAGGAGAGAGAAGAGTGAAGGAAGAACTTCCAAACACATAAAACCACCAAATGTCAAGATAACTCATCCATTATCACAAAAAGAGTACAGGGGAAACTGCCCCCATGATCCAATCACCTCCCTCCCTCTACACATGGGGATACAATTTGAGATAAGATTTGGGTGGGGTCACAGAGCCATACTATAGCAGTATGTGACATGAGAGCAGTTACATGGGTAACAAATCTTCTTTGATCTCCCCTGCTGGAGGAGATAGAGCTGAGGAAGAATTAGTATTCATATTTATTGTTATCATTATTCTTTGAATAATTAAATTAATTTATGCCTGAATTAACTAGACCTTATGTAAACCATAAAATAGACAAACCTGGCTAAGAACAAAATTGATGTCCAAGAAGATTTCAAGGATCTGCTGTTATATAGAGACTTTAGGTTTATCTAAGATGTGCGCAGAGTGTGGAACATCATATATCCTCTCTGAAAAAAAAATCCTAAATGCTATGACATTAGCCACTTGCTTATAATTAAAGGATGTTGCCATTTCACCAAGCTTTCATTTACAGGAGAAAGTGCAAATTCCATTCCCCTTGAACTTTAGCTATTTCCAACTTTTTTCTTTGTTCTTTTCTTTAAAGCCTTGCAACAAATGCATCCCCATATGCTTATATTAGTTAATCTAGTATTAAACATATTGGCTGCGCAAAATGTTGGCACCCATTAATAAATGTTTTCATTTTTTCATTCTCTCTCTTTTTTTTAACTTTAGATTTTTCCTTTGACTACACAAGCAACAGCTGTCTAGCTGCCTGAACAGGACTGGATCTAATGCCTCTACAGAAATCTAGGTCAAAACACTTGGAATGCATGAATATCAAACAGAGTTTTCAAAACAGCAAATGAATACATCTTTAACTGGTGACATTTTCCTGTAGCATATGGCTGCAAGCTCAGGGGACTGGATGCTTTTTTGATGAATATGTTCCATGAAAAACTAAGGGATGGCAGTAGGCTTTTTCCACCTTCTGTTTTGCCTTATGAAATGATAATGCAAACTCATAGATAGACACAATGATCACAAGTCTTTTGCCTTCAAACCTATTCTAAAGATGCATTTTCCCTTTTGGATGAGTTGCTTTATATTTATATGGGTTTAGGTTTTATACATAGTCATTAAAGGTGACAGCCAGTGGGGTGGTTTCTTTTCCTGGGTAAAATGTGATTGGTGGAAAGCTTCAGAAAATTGAACCGAAAAGCAAATACTCACCAAAGAGGGAGACTGGGGAGTTTGGTCACATAAGTAACTTATACTCCCAGTGGCAAAACATTGAATCCCAATCCATTGTCAATGTCAATATTGAGGTGCTAGACAATCATTTACCAATGAGTAAAAGAGAAAAGCCTTGGGAAATTGGAGGCTAGCTCCTTAGTTCTGGATCTGCCAACAATAAGCCAAAGGTGACCCTAGACATGCCTTATCATCTCTATGGCCTCACTGTCCCTCTCATGTGTCGAATAACAGGACAGGACTATATTATTTCGAAGGTCTCTCCTAGATGTAAACTTCCAGCTATGTGTAAGTGTATTAAGCTGTTTTGTTGTTATTATATCATGTTGTTTGGAATGAATGTCACAGCAGAGAAGAGTAGGCCTTGATTTCTTTTTTGATTGACTGTAAAATTCATTTTTTATCAAAGAAAAATTCTCCAGAATTCTACCTTTTCCCCACCAATAAAATAAGGCAACAATGGAGCTGTTGGTTAAGCAAGGGGAAGGAATTAGGATGCCCCCTTGGCTTGGTTTGTCTCCTACTTCTCAGGGCAGCATCTGAAAACTAAGTGTGAAAAATCTGGGTCTCCACCAAGCCCAGTGTGAAAACCACTGGCTTAGAGGATGTGCGTATTAGTAATGGTGTTGGCTGTGGAGAGAGAGGTGTCAGAAACGCATTTCTTTCTTTGTGCATTTAGCTAAAGTGTATTTAATCAAACTTAGTTCATTTCAGTGACAGCTTAAACTTTAAGCCTGATATTCGCTCTTGGTTTGGCTTTTGTTTAAAAAATAACCAGCAGAACCTGTGATTGTCACAGGAATCTATAAATGGATTGTTTGATTCACAAGGTGAACTTGGATATATGTTGCCTTCATTTGGTAATGCCTTACAAGAGTCTTGAAAAACTCATTTTAGAGGTGAATTCTCCCTCCCACCACAGATATTCTGTTACCCAGTTTTATGCCTCGAAAGCTACCACTGTTACTAGGTACTTGAGTAAGTGTTCAAAGTAATCTATAATTATATATTTATACGCATATGTATATGTGTGTGTGTGTGTGTGTGTGTGTGTGTGCGCATGTTTTACTTTTTAGTGAAGTGGTAGGGTGTGGTATATACATAATAGCCCTTTGTTTTTTTAACCTAGTAATACGTCTCAGATATCATATCTTAGCAGACCTGTATAGCCTGGTTCTTTCTTTTAAAAGACTTCATAATCCCTTATTGTGGACATATAATAAATTTTAAAATAATCCGTCTTAAAATACTTTTACTTGAACTTACTTGTTTTTTTCCCCATTTACTGACAAGATAGTGATGAATATCCAAGCATGTATGTATTTATGAATAGATATGAGAACATCTAAAGGCAAATCTCCTAGAAATAAAATTGCTGGGTCAAAGGATATGTATACATTTAATTTAGGTAGATAGTGCCAAATAATGTTTAACTATAGTTATTATTTGCAGTTTAAAAACTTGACTGTAGTTGAACATATTTTCATATGTTTAAAAATTAATTATATGTAAAATCTCTGTTCATCTTGTATGTCCATAAATGGAGTTAAGACAACTTAGTAGCCATCTGGAAAAAAATAAAATAGTATTTCTACTTTATTTGCAGAACAAAAATAAACTCCAGATGGACCAAAGATTTTATGCTAAAAATAAGTACATTAAAGTACTATTAGAAAACATGACAGGATGTTTTCTTGTAAGTAATCCAGAACTAAGGAAGATCTTTCTAAGCATAATACAAAACCTGCAAGCAATGACTCTGAAGGTGTGTAAGTCAATAAATCAATAGATATTGAAAAAATTTTAAAAAGGAATGACCAACTTTGGGTAATGACAATGACACATTGGACCCAGAGTTGTTCACATCGAATAGTTTGTAGCAGACGCCCATTTAGGCTCAGTTTGTAGAGACTTGAAAAACTGTTGCTTTCACCTGAACAGTGAAAATAATCTGGATAAGCTACAAAATCATATTTTATTTAAAACCCATCAGAGGACCAAGAACACAAAAAAAAGCTAAATGAAATTAATTCTAGAAAACAAATATCTCTTCATAACTACACTAGACCCACAGCCACTCTCCTCCCTCATGCAGCTGCAGAAGAAAAGGCCAGACCATAGATAAGAATAAGGAGAAGCCAGCCTAACCTATAATGGTCTTTTAATAACTCTGGGTGGCCTGGCATGACAGATGAGAATTCTACAGGGCCTCAGCCACATAGCAAGTCAGTATCCATCCTCCAACTCTTCACGCCCACCATTCCAGGTCTTCACTGCCTGCTTGACTGCTGAAAGGTAGCTCACTGAAGGCTGGTGACACCTTAGGACAGCCAAGAACAATTTCTGCTGATCAGGAGAAATGAGAGAAACTGTCCAGCCATACAGCCCTTCCAAGAGAGTGAGGCAGCCACACACACAGATATACATACATCTCAATTAATAACATATTATAGAGTTTGGCGTGTTTTAAATTTTATAAAAAGAGTATGTCATTCTGTAGTTGGTCTTCTGAATTTTTATTTTTCATTTAAATTACACTGACAGCCATTCATTATATGAAATGTGGCTGTGTTTCATTTCATTCATTCATTCTTACTGCAATTCCTTTTTGTGACTATACCTTAATATTTTTAGCCATTCCCTTCTCTATGAACAAGCATTGTTTCTGGATGACCAAAATGCTGCTGTAAACATTCTTGTACATTCTTCTGGTACTTATGTGCTAAACTTTACATTGTGTAGGTACTCAGGTATGGACATTCTGAATAAAGAAATATTTAACTTTACAAGATTATGCCAAATTATTTCCCAAGTGGATTGTAGCAATTTACACCAGCACCAGCAAAATATGAGATCGTATTGAGCCATAGCCCCTTTAACTCTTGGTATAATCAAGAATTCTTAATTTCTGCAATTTGAAATTTGTAAAAAGCATCTCACTTTTGTCTTGACTTTCATTTTGCTCATTGCCAGTGTTGTTTAGTGGACGTATGTATTTTCTCTTCTGTACAATTTTTCTGTCTTTTTCCCATTTTTCTACTGGATATTCCTTTTCTTGATTTTTAAGAGTTCTTTATAATTACTTGATAGTAACTCTTTTGAGATATATGTATTACAAATACCTTCCTCCAGGATATAGCTTGTCTCTACTTTCTCCTTTCCTTGAATGAAAGTTCCTTTTCCCAATCGTCTGCACACATTTCTGTTACACATCAAAGTTCCATATGTCCATAGGCTATTTCTGATTTCCTATTTTATTCCACTGTTCAATTTGTCTATCTTTGCATTAATGCTGTATTGCCCTAATTACTATAGCTTTATAATATGTTTTTTCCATCTGGTAGAAAAAAGTCCCTCTAACTTTTCTTCTTCAGTGTATCGTGGTAATCAATGCTTTGTTTTCCACATAGACTTTTAAACAAAACTCATCAAATTCCCTAAAAAAGGTTGCTGGGAATTTGAGTGGGAATGCATTAGATACATAGATACAATGATCTTTTCAGATTATTCCTTCTTTTCATAAATATGTTCCATTTCTTCATTTATTTACAGCTTTTTAAATGACTTACAATAAAATTTTAAAATTTTGTACATAGATGATTCCCATTTTTGTTGGATTTATGATGATATTTTATAATTTTGGTTGTTAGTATAAATAGTGTATTTCTAAAATGTTTTTAATTGCTTATTGCAATGGAAAAACAACTGGGTCTGGATATACAGACATCTTGCTAAATTCGCATGTTTTTCTTAACAATCTACTGATATATTAGGAGTTTCTACATAGACCATCATATCAACTGCAAAATAATGTTTTATTTCCTCCTTTCCTATCAAATTACCTTAGAGTTTTTTCTTTTCTTATTGTTCTAGCCAGTATCTCAAGACAATGTTGAATACAAGTGATGATATTGGGCATCCTTTTCTTTTTCTTCGTATTAGAGGAGATGGTCTCAATATTTCTTTGTTATGATATTTGTCATTTTTCAGGTTGAGAAAGGAATATTCTATTTTAGGAAGAAAATTATGTGTAAATAATCTCATTTTGTTCTAGTAGCTCTACCTCTGTTTTATTATATGTTGCTCTAAATATAGCATTGGAAAAATAACTCATTAATATCGGTGACATTGGAAATTCCTCTTTTATTTGCGATAATGCTCATTAGTTGTGTTGGCACTCAGAAACTGATATTCCAAAATATGGTGCTTTCTAAATGCTGAACTGAAAAAGAAGCCTCCAGGTCTCTCTGATCTTCACCCTACGCCCCTCTCCCAAAGCATAGCATATTGTCCTTTTTAAAAGTTCTCTTATCTGCTTAAGTCTGAACCTAACAAAGAATAATACAGTTACCTCTGATCTCTTCTCTGAGTTTTCATTAACTGAACCCATATTGTAGGAAAGAAAACTAAAGTCTGTCAACAAACCTGGGCAAACTTTTATCACAAATTATTTTCTGCTCTGCAGGCCCAACACACTCTGCCCCAGACCATTGAATCTTCCCCAGTAATCATTTATTGTCCCTCAACAGAATTCCTCTTCTCCCCCTTTCCATCACATGTTTTGCCAGGATCCAAGCCCTCATTCTTTCTCTAACCTGAAAACAGCATCTGAGCTTTTGCCTTCTGTACCCCAATGAGGGGCTGGGCCTTAATTCCGATTTTGTATATATATACAAAATTTCCTTATTAAAGGGATAACTTTTCTAATATCAAATAATTAGAAACTAAAAATAAATTAATTTTTATATTATTCTGTTTTCAAGAGTTTGTATAGTGTACAATGTAGTTTTTCTTGAAAGCTTAAAATAATTCACTCAGAATACTTTGTAGCTCAGCATCTTTTCTTCTGAAACTAATTTTTAGTAAGTGTAAAAAGAATGCTCATGTGTTCGGCTCCCTTTTAGTCAATTTTGAATTATATTTTCCCACGAATCTTTTTTCACTGTTAACTTTTAAATTATTTGGCATAAAATTATATGTAGTGTCTTATACTTTTAACATCTTTTCCATATCTTTTATTCTTCATCTTTTGATGATTTTTTTCATTTTTCGATTATACCTGTCGATAAGTTTTTACCCCTAAAAAAGCAAACTTACAAAGATTTTGGGGGGATTAGGTTGGCATCAATATTTGCTTTACTTTTATGATAAATTTAATTGTCCTATTAATTTATTATTTTAATTCTTTCTTTTAATCTTAGGCTAGTTTTAGTCTTTATTTTCGAATGTACTTTACCTTAATGTAAATGTTTTCTTCACCCTCCCTTGTTTACTTGTGAAAATATCTTTAATAAATGCTTAAAACTTTGAATTGTGTTGAAGACCAGTGGTTCTCAAACAGGACATTTGGCAGTGTCTGAAGACTTTTTTTTTTAATATTATATGACTTGAATTGGATCTAACTGTCATGTACTGGGTAGAGGCCACTAAACATCCTACTGTGTTGCTGCCAAACATCCTAAATGCATAGGACTGCTCCACAGAACAAAAAATTATCCAACTCAAAATGACAATATTGCCAACATTGAGCAGCTCTTGTATCCAGGAATATACACGTATTTTGATATTTGATATTTAGATAATATTTGTTCAGTATTATAGGCAAGCCGTACTAAGAAACACACAACTTTCTCCTTTTTCCTTTTCATAATTTGCTAGAGAACAAAAACTAGTGGCATTCACATGTGCTTTATTTGGCTGGTTCTATATTTTAAAAAATAATCATATTCTACTGGATAGATAAGCATGTTTCACATTTTTACAGTTTCTGCTATTTAATATTTCTCATAAAAATTTGGTTTATAGTATCTATCTGATCAATGCAGAAATGTAAGTTTGTACCCCTGAATTATATACCAAATGGTCATCAGTGTCTCTTTTTAAAATTTTAGTTTGCCTGAAGGAGACAACACATTTCCATTGACAATAGTGGCTCACTAAGTTATCGTAGCTGTTTTCCTCAAAGATATGCCAGCCACAGAGGGTCAGTCATATTATGATCTTTTGACATGGGATGGGTGTCTCTGATAAGATCCTACCTCTGTAGGGTGACGTAATGTCTATTTCTCCCCTATCGGAGTCAAAACTCATTGATATATACAAATTACTAAATTAAATATGTAGTACCGGATCTTTGTTTTATATTTTACTATGTAGACAAAAGCCCTGGGTTTCTGACTTTGAAATGCTAATAACCGATGCTCATTTATTTCAAAACAGGATGCAGTATGTTCTTATGTAGCATCAGGCTCACTAAATATTACTTTGCTGTGATTATTAGGGATCCATTGCATTATGGAATTATTTTCTAGGCTTTACTTAAAATATTCAATAGATTTAGATGTTCGGTAAAATTTTATTTAAGTTTATACTTACGTATCAGAAAAGAATGAAGTTTCCTTTTACAGAAACTACATTGATACCAAACTTTACCATTTTCCTGGAAAAACCAGTTTTCCATAACTTTGGCTTTTCCTTTTTGATTGAAAAAATCTTTCATGTAGGTGGGTTCATAAGGTCAAAATTTAGATCACTCTAATTAATTAAATTTCAGAGAATATAACCATTGTTAAGAAAAGAAATAGAGCCAGGAATATTTTCAGACATTGAGAATAAATGCTGGTAAATTTTGTTTTATTTTTCTTAGTCTGGCAATCCATACTGTCTAAAATGTTGACTATACGAGAAAATACAAGTCGTAGTTCATTTGGAGGAAAGTCGTATCATCATTTCTTAGGAAGTCTGAGAACTTCCTCGGCTTTCACTTGATAATATGTCATTTTTTTCTCTTGGTGGGAGGTAGTAGGGAAGGGATATTAATTACCATTTCATATTTTAAGCTTTATAAACTAATTTGGCAAATACAAAGTGATACGGTTTGGATCTGTGTCCCCACTCAAATCTTGTTCAGTTGTAATCCCCAGTGTTGGAGATGGGGCCTGGTGGGAGGTGATTGGATCATGGTGGTGGTTTCTCATGAATTTTTTAGCACCAACCTTCTTGGTACTGTCATCAGAGTAGTGAGTTCTCAGGAGATCTGGTGGTTTAAAAGTATGTACCTTGCTCTCTCTCTCTCTCTCTGTCTCTTGCAATGTAAGACATGCCTGCTCCAGCTTTGCCTTCCACCATGATTTTAAGTTTCCTGAGGCCTCCCCAGAGGCCTAGCAGATACCAGCATTGGTGCTTCCTGTACAGCCTGTGGAGCCTGTGAGCCAATTAAACCTCTTTTATTTATAAAGTACCCAGTCTCAGGTATTTTTTTATACCAATGTAAGAATGGACTAACACAGTAAGTGTTTTTCTGAAGTTCAATAAATTAACAGCATGATAAAGACTTCCTGTTTATGTAAGAAAAAACAGAACAAGAAAGCAAATAAACACAAGGCTTTAGTGAACTAATGGATCAGTAATAAGCCAGTGATGTAGTGTGGTTACCAGAAAGGTAAAGGGATATAAATAGCATTAATAGAACAAACAGACTTAGTTTCATTCTCACTGTAAAAGTCACATCTGGAGTAAAAATCCCAAATATTTGTCTCTATGTGCCTTGCATTCAACTAGGCATTTTGCATACATTATATTTAATCCTTTTCCTGAAAAATAATCTCCCTCATTTTGCAGATGAGAGAAGGTAATTGGCTTGCCCAAATCACTTGGCTCATTAATGGATGAGCGGGGATTTGTTCCCTGCCCTATCTGGTCCCCAAGCTGACAGCCTTTACACTACGCACCTCTGGCCTTAACTGTGTCTTGAATCTCACGGGGAGAATTTAAAGATTAGAACAGGTCCAGAGGAGGGTGTCTAGGATGACCAAGCATCTTAAACTATGACATGTGAGGAACAGTTGAAACAAAGAGTTTTGCCAGTGAGCAGTAGCATTAGAGGCCATGAAGAAAATGGTCTCCTTAATACTTGGTAGGGTAGAGGAGGGTTGAGATTTATTCTGTGTAGTGTATGAGCACGGACTTTGGACCAATTATTAGAATCTGGTGGAGAGATTTACTTAATACAAGCAATAATATTGTTTTGGTTTTTTTCTGTAGGATGGAATTGGGATGAAGAAGGAGAGATATTCTTTAAACATTTTTTAATAGAGAAGAAGAAAAATTGACTGGAAGTGCTCAAACTGCAGCTAGGTGAATGGGATATTTTGCACTATTTCTGCCTTGGGCATGATACTGAAGAAAGTGAATTTTAAGCTCCCCTCAACTGTAATAAATCATGGGTCTACTTTTTACCACAGGTGTATCAGCTTAGCAGGGTCAAGATCCTTGTTTAATTACACTAGTTTCTTACCTCTCCACCTCTTCACACCTTGAATGCAAGAGTTGTACGTTAATTTAATGAGCAAGTGAATGCACAGAAAAGTCAAAGATAAAATTAAGTAGTGTTAAAGTGGTGTGAAAATACCTTTACAACCAAGAAGAATCTTCTTATTAAAAGACCTAGAAGGTATTAAAATGGAACAAATTATTTCCATAAAGCATTACTGACTTTTTTATATGTTAATGATATTTTGACATGTAAATGTAACTTAGGAGTCTGATTGTAATGTGTTAGATTATTTCCAAATGAGGAGAGATTTTAGAAGAAACACAAGTTTCCCCCACCACCTTTCAGAGCCAAAAATCAGTATTTTGTTATTTGATTAAGAGACAGCAGAGTGGGATACTATGTTCATTGGAAAAACAAAATTAGGCAGTTTGGTGGTAAATATGCTGGAGGCCACTGCCCAGTCCTTTAAATTTGTGATCGTGTCTTCCTTTTGAAATACGTGTAAATGCTGAGAGTAACTCGAAGTCCTGCGACACCAAATAGTGACTAGAGGCTATGGAGAATTTGATAAAACACAAACACGTGGCTTGCAAGAAATAAGACAGGGCACATGTGGGCACGGTGTCAATCCTGGGCCCTGTGAGAGGACAGCAATGATGTGAGAGCCTGATACTTAGGGGTAGAGATGGAAGAGACCTAAAGGTTGCCAACAATTAGAGATGTAGGGAGTGAAAGAAGACAGAGAAGGGCTGACTTTTATTCCTACACTAGGTCTCTTGATTTGGGTCACAGTGGGGATGGTAGATTTTATCTTCTGCTGTTTGAAAGCCATCTCTTGGGTTGGACAGATGCTGCTCATTTAATAGGAAACAAGAACTGCTCCTGGATGGAATAATCCTTAGGACAATTTTCAGTTGTGGCCTTTCAAGGAATGCTAGTGAGGGACAGGGCTGCAAGAGAAAGCAAGTGCTCACAGGATTCAGCCACTGTTGTATAATAATTTGCAGACTCTTTGTTTCTGGTTCCTAGAAGGGAGATTCTAAATCCCTGGAATTTCCAGAGTGCTAGGATTGTCCTTGTTATTCATAATGGACCCCTTAAATCATAGTTGACTTTATGCTAGTGAGTTTATGACTATACATGGTGGGCCCCTAGATAAAGGATGAGGGCTGGCCATGCCAGACAGACCAACCATGTCATTAGATGGTTGGGGCTTTAAGCCTGGTGATATCAGCCAGACCTGAAATCCAGAGGGAGAAGAGGAGCTAAAGATTGAGTTCGGTCATGTACCCAGTGATGAAATTAGTCTTGTCTATGTAATAGACTTTAATAGAGACGCGAAACCTCAAAGTTCATGTGTGCTTTCCTGGTTGATAATCATACACTGATGTGCTGGGAGGGTGACAATACTGAGGACATGGAAGCTCAATGTCTGGGATCCTCCAGACCTTGCATCATGCATCTCTTTCTTTGGCTGATCTTGATTTGTATCTGTGACGATAAAGCTGTAATCAGAAGTATAGTGCTTTCCTGAGTGCTGTGAGTCATTCTCGGAAATTATCAAACCTAAAGGGGTAGTGAAAATCCCCCAATTCTTAGCTAGTTGGTCAGAAATGTGTATGTCCTGGACCCTGGAGCTTATGAGCTTGAGAGAGAACTCTGCCCTTTACCTGTGAAATTTGACCTATCTACCAGTAGTTAGCATCAGAATTGTATTGCACCCATGAAGTAAAACACTCACTTCAGGATAAACTTGCATGGGTGAATCCATACTGTGGGAGGCCCTCTCGCATGGTGGTGAATATCTTTGCCTCTGGTGAGAGGTGGCCCATGTTCCATCCCAGCTCTGCCACTATCCAGCTCAGTGAGTTTGGACAAATAGCTAACCTTCTTTTCATAGCTTTGGCATCTATTAAATGAGAATAGTAGAAGTAACATTCTTCTAGGGTTATTAGGAAACTTAAAATAATTAGTATGTCTAAAGCACTTATAAGGTAATTGCCCAGTAGATTCTCCTTGTCTGCTGCCTAGATAGAGCGAATTTCTCAAGACAGGGGGATTGCAATAGAAAAAGAGTTTAATTCATGCAGAGCTGCTGTACAGGAGACTCAAATTTTATTATTATTCAAATTAATCTCCCTGATAATTTGGGGATCAGCATTTTTCAGGATAATTTGGTGGGTAGGGAGTCAGAAAGTGGAGAATGCTGATTAGTGAGGTTGGAGAAATCACAGGGGGTAAAAGTGAGTTTTTCTTGCCCTCTTCTGTTCCTGGATGGGATCACAGAACTGGATGAGCCAGATTATTGGTCCCAATGGCATCAGCTGGTGCATCGGAACCAGGGTCTGCCAGACGTCTCAAGCACTGATCTTACGTTTTACAACAGTGGTGTTTTTCCCAGGAGCACTTTGGGGGAGGTTCGAAATCTTGCAGCCAGTTGCTGCATGATTCCTAAACCACAATTTCTAATTTTTTTTCTTTTTTCTTTTTTTTAAGATAAGGTCTCACTTTGTCACCCAGGCTGGAGTGCAGTGGTGCGATCTCGGTTTACTACAGCCTGGACCTCCTGGGCTCAAGGGATCCTCCCACCTCAGCTCCCTACCCTCAAGTAGCTGGGACTACAGGCAAGAAGGGGGTTTATTTGGGGAAAGAACTGTTATCATCTGTGTTTCAAAGCTAAACTGTAATCCAAATTTTTCCCAGTTAGTTCAGCCTATGCTCAGGAATGAATAAGGACAGCTTAGAGGTTAGAAGCAAGATAGAGTTGGTTAGGTGAGAAATCTTTCACTGTTATAATTTCCTCAGTTACAGTTTTTGCAGAGGTGGCTTCAATAGCAGTGATTGGCACACACAAAGCCCTGCTATGACTACTTTAACATAGCATTTCATGGCTCTTTTTAGCAAAATAATAGAACATTTAGGAAGTATAAAGAGTAACTAGAGTATAAAGAGTATAAAACTAAAGTATAAAGAAAGCATAAAGAGAAACTGTATGAGTAACTTTTTAGTTTCTTAGTAAATTATCTTCTTCCAACGGGTAAGCCAGTTACAATGGAAATAATATAACAAATACACTATGCTATATTTATATAAACATATTTACATAGAGTCAAAAAATCTGCTAATTATTTAATAGATTTTATTATGTTACTAAAGTTTCAGATGCTGCCTCCACAATGATGTAAACTTTGGTCTTGAGTGTAACATGCCCTCTTTGCTCCAGGCTGCACTCAACATGGACGCACCCACTCCAGAGAAAATAGGATAAACAGGAGATGGGCAATCACATCTAATCTGGGATAGCTGTGCTAATTCATGTTCTGTGCTTATTTAATTGTATTGTTTGAATCAACATTGAGAAGGAAAAAGTTGAGATATTAATTACCCGTTTACTGCCAATGTAGCAGAAAATGTAATTTATAGCCTACTTGCGGGAAAAAAAATCTGCGTGCTTAATTTAAGAACTCAAATTATTCAAATAACATTTTCAATTTGATTATTCGTTTAATTGAAATGGTGCTCTTTCAGTCAGAATTGCTTTTGAGATTCCAATTTAGCAATAGTTAACTAAGAGCTCTCTGTGGAAAGGATCGGTGGACGGTTCACGGATAAAAATGCATGGGGAAATAAGCGTATTTGGTGAACTGCATTTACCTGCAAGTAGTAGTCAAATCCATTAGCAGTGTTTCTTTTTCAACTCAGTTGTTGTTTCAGTGTAAAAAAGAATCATGAAGTTAATCTGGGCCCATAGAGTACCTGAAAATGATAATTAAAAACAGAGCCCAGAAGCAAAGTTTGTCCAAGGAGTTATGAATAATCTGAGGGTTACACAGACAGAAGTCAGCCTTCAGATTCATATTTAGAAGAATAAAATTTTGGTACCCCAGAGACAGTAGGCTCTGTCTCAGAAAGAAAAGTCCCTCCCTTTTGCCATAGTGATGTTTCATGGCTGACTATCCAAGCCAGCCTTCTACACTGCAAAAAGACAGCAGATATATTCTGGCTGTCTCTAAGAGCTGCAATAATTTTTTTAAATGGCTGTCAGAATTTTTTTATTATTATTCAGGCACAATCTGCAAACAATAAAGTTTGCAGTGTTTAAGTATACACTTAATAAATTTTTGTAATTGTATACTATCGTGTCACCACCACAATCAAGATACAGAGCATTTTTCTCACCCTAGAGCTGCGTCTAGCTCTTTGTAGTTGATTCCCTCCCCTGCTGCCCAGGCATGGGCAACTAATAATCTACTTTGTGACATGGCAGTTCTGCCTTTCCTAGAATGTCATATAAGAGATCATACAATATGTTTGTCATGTGGACTTGATTTTTTTGACTCAGCATAATGTTCTTCAGATTCATCCATGAACAAATATTATGAACATACATATAAAAGTCATTCTGTAAAATTATGTTATCATTTTATTTGGGTAAATACTTAGGAGTCAGATTGCTGGGTCATATAAGTGGAGGTTTAACTTTATAAAATTCTGTCATATGGTTTTTCAAGTGGCTATACCATTTTGCAGGCCCACAGGCAACATTTGGGAGTTGCAATTTCTCTGTATCTTCACCAGTACTTGATATTGACAGACTTTTAAACTTTAACTATCCTAGTGAGTGCCTGATGGTATTTTATTGTAGATGTAATTTGTATAACCCTAATGACTAGTAATTTTGAATGTGTTTTTAGCTTTATTGTATTTTATATACATTATTTTGTGAAATATTTTCGCAAATAATTTGCCCACTTTTTAAGAAGACTTTATTTTATTATTTGGTTACAAGCGTTCTTTATAAATTCTTGATAAGAGTCCTCTGACAGATACATGCTTTGCAAGCATTTTCGCTGAGTTCATGGCTGGTTTCTATATTTGCTTCTTTTTTTCTTTTTTACTTTTTTTTTACTTTTATTTTAGATTCAGGGAGTGCATGTGCAGATTTGTTGCCTGCATCTGTTGCGTGTTGCTGATGTTTGAGTTACAATTGATCCCGCCACCCAGGTACTGATTGTAGTACCCAATAGTCCATTTCTGAACCCTTGCCTTCCTCCCTTCCTTCCCTAGTTTCTATTGTTGCCCTCTTTATGCTCATGAGTACCCAATGTTTAGCTCCCACTTATAAGTGAGAACATGCAGTATTTGATTTTCTGTTCCTGTGTAAATTAGCAAAGGATAATGGCTTCCAGCTCCATCTATGTTGCTGCAAAGGACGTGATTTCACTTTTTTATGACCGTATAGTATTCCATGCTGTATATGTACCACATTTTCTTTATCCAGTTTGTCATTGATGAGAATCTAGTTGATTCCATGCCATTGCTATTTGTAAATAGTGCTACAATGAACATATGAGTGTGTATGTCTTTTTGGTAGAATGATTTATTGTCTTTTGGATATATACCCAGTGATGAGATTGCTGGGTTGATTGGCAGTTCTGAGTTCTTTGGGAATTCTCCAAACTGCTTTCCACAGTGGCTGAACTGATTTACATTCCCACCAACAGTATATAAACATTCCCTTTTCTCTACAGCCTTGGCAGCATATGTTGTTGCTGTTGTTTTCTGACATTTTAGTAATAGCCATTCTGACTGGTGTGAGATGATATCTCATTGTGGTATTGATTTGGTGATTAGTGATGTTGACCATTTTTTCATATATTTGTTGGCCACTTGTATGTCTTCTTTTGAGAAGTGTCTGTTCATATCCTTTGCCCATTTTTTAATGGGGTTATTTGCTTATTGCTTGTTGATTTAGGTTTCTTATAGATTCTGGATTTTAGACCTCTGCTGGATGCATAGTTCGGACATTTTTTTCTCTGTTTCTGTAGATTGTTTACTCTGTTGGTAGTTTCTTTTGCTGGGCAGAATCTCTTTAGTTTGATTAGATCCCACTAGTCAATTTTTGTTTTTGTTGCAATTGACTTTGGAGGCTTAGCCATAAATTCTTTGCCAAGGTCAACGTCAAGAAGGGTATGTTTTCTTCTAGGGTTTTATAGTTTAAGGTCTTACATTTAAATCTTTAAATTTCTGATTTTGCTTATTTGGATCTTCTCTCTTTTTTCTTTGTTAATCTACCTAGCAGTCTGTCAGTCTTGATTATTCTTTCAGCAAACAAACTTTTGGGATTTTTTTGAGTCTTTGTATGAATTTTTAGGTCCCAATTTTCAAGAGTTTGGCTCTGATTTTAGTGTTTCTTTTCTTCTGCTAGCTTTGGGGTTACTTTGTATTTGTTTTTCTAGTTCCTCTAGCTGGGGTGCTAGTTCATTAATCTGAGCTCTTTCTAACTTCTTGAGATAGATGTTTAGCACTGTACACTTTCTTCTTGCCAGTGCTTTTGCTGTGTCCCAGAGATTTTGGTATGTTGTGTCTGTTTTCATTTATTTCAAATAATTTTTTGACCTTTGCCTTAATTTCACTGTTTACCCGAAAGTCATTCAGGAGAAAATTGTTTAATTTTCATGTAACTGTGTGGTTTTAAGAAATCTTCTTTATATTGAATTATATTTTTACTTTACTGTGGTTCAAGAGTATGGTTGATATGATTTGGATTTTTAAAAATTTTTTGAGACTCACTTTATGGCCAAACATGTGGTAGAACTTGAAGTATGTTCTATGTACAGAAGAGAAGAATGTATATTCTGTAGTTGATGAGTGGGCTATTCTGTAGATATCTATTTGGTCCAGTAGTCAAGTGTCAAGTTTAAGCCCAGAGGTTTTTTGTTAGTTTTCTGCCTCAGTGATCTATATGATTCTGTCAGTTGGGTGTTGAAGTCCACCACTGTTTTTGTGTGGCTAAGTCTTTTTGTAGGTCTAGAAGTACTTGTTTTATGAATCTAGGTGCCCCAATGTTGGGTGCATATATATTTAGGATAGTTAAGTCTTCTTGTTGAAATGAAATCTTTATCTTTATGTAATGCCCTTTTTGGTCTTTTTTTTTTTTGATGTTGTTGGGTTAAAGTCTGTTTTATTTGATATAACAATAGTGACTCCTGTTCTTTTTTGTTTTCCTTTTGTGTGGTAGATCTTTTGTGAACTCTTTACTTTGAACCTATGGGTGTCATTACATGTGTCATAAGTCCCTTGAAGACAGCACATGGATGACTCTTGTATATTTATCTAACTTGCCAATCTGTGACTTTTCAGTGGGACATTTAGACCATTTACATTCAAGGTTAATATTGATAATATGAGGTTTTGATCCTACTGTGAAGTTGTTAGCTGGTTGCTTTGTAGTTTCTATTGTGTGGTTGCTTCACAGGGTCTGTGGGCTATGTACCCTATGTATTCTGTGTATGTATGTATATATGTATGTGCACTATGTATATGTGTTATTGTGGTAGCAGGCATCATTCTCTTGTTTCTATATTTAGAACATTCTTAGGGATCTTTCACAAGGCTGGTCTAGTGGTAACAAATTCTCTTGGCACTTGCTTGTCTGGAAAATATTTCATTTATTCTTCACTTACGAAGCTTAGTTTGATAGAATATGGAATTATTGGTTGGGATTTCTTTTCTCTATAAATGCTGAAAATAGGCCCCCAATCTTTCCTAGCTTGTAAGGTTTCTGGTGAGAAGTCCACTTTTGGCCTGATGAGGTTCCCTTTGTACATAATCTGACTTTTGTCTCTAGTTGCCTTTAAGACACTTTCTTTAATATTGACTTTGGACAGTCTGGTGATATATCCAACATGGCTAAGCATATTCTTGATCTTTGTTTACTGACAGACGGTCTCTGTTGCCTCAGGCATTGGGGTGATTCATAGAATGCACAGTGGTCTGAGCTCCCTGATCTGTCTTGTTGTGGCAGGGACCATGATGGGCAGAGCCAGACCAGATAGGTCCCCCTACAGGTTCCCTGATGGCAGCCATGATCACCAGTACTGAGGGAGAATCCACTGGGTGGCCACCAAGCACCCAAAAGTGTGCCTAGGTGTGGAGCTGGGAATCTTCCTATCCCCAAGTTCTCTGCATAAGGATGGGAGACAGCCTAAACTCCTAATCCAGGAGAATGGGTGCTCCAAATGCCTGGAGATCTGCCTGGGCATGGTTGGGGAGGGCCTCTCTCCACACAAATCTCTGCACAGGAAGGGTGGGACTTACCAGGCTGTTTATCCAAGTGAGTGGGTGCTCTGAATGCCTGGAGATCTGCTTGAGCATGGAGCAGAAAGGACCCCTCTGCACCACGATCTCTGCACAGGAAGGTGGGCCAACTCAGGCTTTGGAACTAGACAAGCATGGGTTCTGAATGCCTGGAGATCTGCCTGCATGTGTAGCAGAAAGGGCCTCCCCTGCACCAGGATCTCTGCACAGGAAGGATGTGGGAGCTCAGGCTGCTAATACCAGTAAGCAGGTGCTCCAAATACTTGGAGATCTGCCTGTGCATGAAACACAGAAGGCCCCTCTGCATCACAGTTTATGTCTGTGAAGGATGAGATGACTCAGCCTGCTGGTCCAGGCAAACAAGTGTTCTAAATGTCTGGATGTCTGCCTGAGGCTAAAGTGGAGAGGACCCTGTGGCACTATGATCTCAGGGGAGCTGGCTGGAGCACCCAGCACATACAGTACCATGTCACCAAGCTGGTCCTGGCTGCAAGTCTTGCTACCCCAAAGAAACTGCAGCTGTGGCAGCTTTCCTCCAACTCCAGGCTTTTGGTGGGGGGCTGCACAATTCCATCTCCTTCTGCTGAGGTGCCTTCCACAGTTCTAGCTGCGAAGGCCCCTGATGCACTCCAGAGCAGGTGTTTTGATCTCTGACCCAAGACTAAAATGCCTGCATGGCCACACTACTGGGCCACCACAAGAATGACTGACTTTGTATGTACCTGGATTAAAATGGCATCCTGCTGCTGGCCCCGGGGTCTGAGAAAATATCTGCAGCTTTTCCTGGTGTCTTTTCCTCACAGTGTCTCCAAACCTCTCCACAAGTTAGCTCCGGGACTTGGGAGTAACAAAGTGCTCTCCCTTGGCCTGGATTGCTCAAATCCCCAGTGGAAAGTGAGTCACAGAGGGAGGCTCTTTGCCTTTCTCATGTACTGGGGCTTCACTTACTTTTATCAGTTGGATGGCATCACAGGATCTTTTTTGTTAGCAATCGCCTTCCTGGGATGTGGGGTCTCCTTTATGATTCCAGTGACTTCTGTCTTCTTGAATTAAAGCTTACAAACTTGATCTTTATGTAGTATTTTGCTATTTCCAAGTGGCTGAGGTATGCTAAAAGCGTCTAATCCACCTTCTTTGGTGATGTTCTCTCTCTCTTTTTGTTTACTTACCTTCATTTTTTAAAAAGAAAACATTCTTAGGGTTGTGGGTTTTTTTGTTTTTTGTTTTGTTTTGTTTTTGCCCTATTTGAGAAACCTTGACCTAATGCAATATTATAGGTTTAAAAAAATTTTTTTGTTATATATACACTAGCTTTAATCAGCCTCTAATCCACCATCTTTGATGATTTTTCTACCTCCTTTTTGTTTTCATCCCTTCATCTTCAAAAGAGAAAAAGTTTTAATTTTAAAGTCATTTTAATAATAATGATAATATTATTTTCATCATTTCGAGGGGTTGTGCTTTTTGTGTCCTATTTAAGAAGTCTTCACCTAAGCCAAGATTATAGGGTTTTTGTCTGTTTTTCTTTATATACTTACTAGCTTTATCATATATGATCCATTTTTGTTTGTGATGCAAGGGATGTCGAAATTGACTTTTTCTCATACAGATATTCATTTGTTTCAGCACCATTTCTTAGAAAACCATTTTTCCCCATGGAATTACCTTGGCATCTTTATCAAAAGTCAGTGTTCCAACTCTACTTTTCTGATTCATGAATCTTGTATATCTCTTTATTATTTTAAATCTTCTTTAACTTTATTTTGCAGCGTTTTACAGTTTTCTGTGTCCAAACTTGCATATCTTTTAAGTTATTACAATGTATTTTAATTTTTCAATTAAATTATGTGTAGACATTTTTAAAATTTCATTTTTAATTGGTCACTGCTAGTACACAGAAGTATAATTTAATTTTTGCTTTTGTTTGCTTATTTCTGTATATAGACCTTGTATCTTTTAACCTTATTAAATTAACTTTTATTTTAGCAGGGTTTTTGTTTTGTTTTAGATTTCTTAGGATTTTTTCTGCAAACTGTTAATGGCATTTTTGAATAAGGGCAGTTTGATTTTACCCTTTCAAACTGTATGCCCTTTATCTTACCTTAATTTTCTGGCTAAGGATGCAGGACAATGTTGACAGTAAGTAATGAGTAGACATTCTTGCCTTGTTTATTCATTCTAGGTAGAAAAGATTGATCCATTCACTGTTGAGTATAATTTAATGTTTATTTTCTCACATTTCTTTTTAGCTTGAGGAAGTTTTTTTCTATTTTTAGTTTGCTAAGGTTTTCTTTTATTCATGAACAAGTATCAGATTATGTCAGATGATGTTTTTTCTTCAACTAGTTCAATGGTCCTGTGGTTTTCTCTTTTTTTTCTATTAATTAGAGGAGCTATATTGATTGTTTTTTCAAGTGTTGAAGCAACATTGCATTGCTGGAATATATCCCACTTGGTTATAATGTATTATCCTCTTTATGTATTGTTGGATTTAATTTGCTAGTATTTGTTAAGGATTTTTCTGTTTATATTTGAAGCTAATGTCTTTGTCTCATTTTGGCATCACAGTTCTACAGTCCTACTAAAATGACATGAAAAGTATTCCTTCTCTATTCAGTAAAAGAGTTTTTATAGAATTAGTATTATTCATTTCTTAACTATTTAATAGTATTTATCAATACATATACCTAGACCTGGGGTTTTGTTAGTGAGTGTGTAATAAATAATTTGCCTATCCAAATAGGAGTCTATCTTTTGACCTAGGCTCCTGAGGAGTGATCTCTAAGCCTTGGAATGTCCTGCCTGATAAGAGTGTCATTATTTATCTGGAGGCTTTGGGCCACACCGGGTAGTCTGGTAGTCTAACAGGGTAATTTATGGTGGAGCTTTGAGCCACATGATATCCATTCTACCTGTATAAGTGCTAGAGCCTAAAGGTCAGCCACATGCGTAGTTAATGACATCTATATCTACATGGCTGAGTCACCCCAGAATTCTGGGTAACAAGGCTTGGATGAATTTTCCTGATTTGGCAATATTTTGTATATTTTGACAGGCATCATATCTGGATAAAATTAGCACCGTCTGTGACTTCATTGGCAGAGGACAACTTGAAGCTCTGCTCCTGGAAGTTTCTTGTAATCTGCCCCACTAGTCTCTTCCCGTGGCTCATTTTTAATCTGTGTACTTTTACTATAATAAACCACGATAACCATTAGTATAACAGCTTCCATGAGTTCTGTGAGAACTTCTAGCAAATTATCAAAACTGAGGGTGGGCTTGGAGACGATCAAATTTGCATTTAAAAAATTGATATAGAGATATTCGAGTTTTAGATTTTTTCTGAATCAGTTGGTAGTCTTTACCTTTAAAGGAATTTGTCTATTTCATGTAGATTGTCGAATTTATTGGCATAAAGTTGTTCATAGCATTTTCTTATCTTTTGACTATTTGCATAATCTGTAGCGATGTCCCTTCTTTTATTCCTAGTATTGATAATTTTATTTCTCCTTTTTCCCCCTAGATCATTTTTCTAAATATATAATTGCTTTAATCTCTGTAAATAACCAGTTTTTGGCTTCATAACTTTTCTATTATTTCTTCATTTTCTATTCCATTGACTTCTGCTCCTATAATTTATTTTTTATATACATTGTGGTTAATTAGTGTTTCTTGTAGTAATTTCTTAAGGTGGAATCTCAGATGATCAGATTTGTGTGTTTCTTCTTTATTAAGACAAATATTTAAAGCTATAAAATTTCCTCTAAGTACTGCATTATCTGCATCTCTCAAATTTTTATACACTGTATAATCATTCAAAATATTTTCTGATTTCTCTTAAAACTTTTTCTCTAGATTATAGATTATCATGTAATTTCTCCTTTTTAATAAATTACTAGAATTATGTTCCTTAATTTTCATATATTTGGTGTTTTTTCTGATTACTATGATTATCATTTTCTAGTGTAAATCTCAGTTTGTTGCACAGAGTATGTTTTCAGTACAGAGTATGTTTTCCGTCTTTTCTAAGGTATTGAGACTTGTTTTATGATCTATCATATGGTCTATTGGTAAATATACTATGTACCCTTGAAAGGAATGTGTATTCTGTATGTTTTTAATGTTCCATAAGTATTCAAGTCAAAGTATCTCATAGTGTTATTCAGCTCCTTTGTTGAGTTTGTATAGTTGTTTCATCAGTTGTTGAGAAAATGATGTTAAACTATGATTGTACATAATAGATTCTACAATCTATAGCTATGATTGTAGAATTGTCTTGTTTCTCTTTTTAAATTTGGTTAATTTTTACTTAACTGTTTTGAGTGATATTATAAGGTATAAATACATTTATAATTGTTGTGTCTTCTTGATTAATTGATTCTTTTATCATCATAAAATGTCCCTCTTATCCCTGATAATACTTTCTGTCTTGAAGTCTATTTTATCTGATATTAATAAAGCCACTTTGGCATTTTTATGCATATTGTTTTGCATGGTCTAGCTATCCATTTACTTTTGGTCTATCTATATCTTTATGCTTAAAGTGTGTCTTTTGTAGGTAGCTTATGTTTTGACCATGATTCTTTTATTTAATCATTTTTTCTCTCTAAAGTCAATTCTTACTATTTTCCATCTTTTTCACTTATAATGTGTATATATAATTTTACTTAAGTGAGAATAGTTACCTATGCTGCTTTCAAATCCTTGCCTGATTTTTGTAGTATCTGGGTCATCTTGAAATAAGTGACTTGATTTCTTTTCTCTTGAAAACAGTTTCTATTTTCCTGCTTCCTTATATGTCAGGTACTTTTAAATTGTGTTTTAGACATTATGAGTGTTAACATGTGGAGATTCTGGGTTCTTTATTTTTCTCTGATTAATGTTGTTTCCTTTGTTTCAGCAGGAAATTATCTTGGCTGGGCTTAAACTACAAACACCATTTTAGGCATTAGCTTGGGTCTCTGTTCAAATCTTTTGATTTTATCTGTGCTGCTTTCAGTCAGTTACACTGATGCATGGTTTAGAGTTATTCAGTGATGTGGATGGACAGACTTTGAACATTCTATTTCTGGCTCTTTTCATTCTGTGAGTTTCCCAATTTCTATTGTGGTCATGGATCCCCTGGTTTTAAGTTTTTGGTTCACCAAGTAGGAATCCCTTTTTTCTCATGTGTCCAGCAGTCGAAAAAAATGAGAACTAACTTCATTTGATTCCCCTGCTTGGAGTATGTATTCTCCACCAGAGTCTGCCTACTGCATTTGTCTTATATGAAGGTTTTTACTGATTTTCTGAACATGAGTCAGTCTGCAGGGTGCTTACTCTGGTATTACTGGAAATAGAATACAATAGCAGTAATTTTCATGTAACTGTTTCCTCACCCTCGTCTGAAGTTTAGGACTATGGAATCCAATGTTGTAACATTTTCTGTGTACAAAGGATTTTCCAATCCCTGCTTTTGGTGCTAATTTTTTCTTCTTTAGGTCTTTCATGGGGTTTTGTTCATCTATCTATTATAGAATTTAGAGCATAATGTTTCCTTACACACCTGCCTGTCCACACCAAATGTGACCAGTTTAGAAACAGTCCCTTTATGGGTTTCTTAAATTTGTCTACTTTGCATATATTGTGAGAAGATCCCTTTTTACAATAAATATGGTGATGGATACTTCTGCTTCTGCCAAAAAAAAAAAAAAAAAGATGTAAAAAGGCGGGTTGAATATTGTGCTGCTCAACTGAAAAGTTAATCTTTTCTACACCCATACTACCCCGAATGCACCCAATCTCGTTTGAATATTATACTGCCTCGTATTGACTCTAGATAACATGAAATTGATGACATTTCACCCTGACTCTTTTCTGCTTTGCTGCACCCATCATATAACCTCCATTCCCTCCTCCAGCCTCCGCCTGTGTACAACACCAGCCAATTAGGGCCTGGTTTATTGTGAGAAAGGTATGAACCCTTAAAAACCTACATTTAATCTACTTTAAAATGTTGTTTAGGGACCCATATTAATGGAGTGGTCCCTGAACTTATATTTTCTTGATTTTGGATAATAAGCATTTTCTGTACACACATACAAAAATGATGCCTGGTTATATTTGTTTTCATGAGTATATTTTGCCATGTAGAAGATGAGCTTAATAATCAAAACGAAATCCTGTCTTAAATTTAGGATGCTGTTATAAACAGTTGGATAATATTTCAGTTCCCTTTCTGTAATAAGATGACCAATTTGTTTATAATATTTTTCCCCGAAGGCTTGAACACAGGTTCCTGCAGAAATGAACACAAAGATCAAGTCATAAATGAAAAGAGACACACATACATGTAACACTAAATCACACAAAGGTTCATAATTTTTCTAATTCAACTTGTGAAATCAATTAAATTATTGTCAGTTTAGCATTTTAAATGGAACTCCAAAAAATGGAATTTTTATATATTTGCTTATATTGTATTTCTTGAACCTCTGCATATTGAGACCCACTAAGAAACCCTGTAAAATTAAGCAAATAACATCAATACTTCTTTTTACTTTTTGAGTTTACTTTTTACTGAATTACTTTTTTTACAAGTGAATTCTGTGAAGACGGACCTAAAGGGAACTTACTCTTTGTAGTTATCTAAGTTAGAAAACCCTCTAGGAAAAGGCTTTAGTCCTGGTTGCTGAAGACAGCAATTGTTACTATAACATTGGACATAATACTTTCATATATTTTTTTCTCTTTTAAGGATCCTAATTCATGTTTACATATGCGGCTTGCCCCGTTACTCATTTTAGATTCCCTTCTATACTAAGATAATTTTTTATCTTAATGCCCATTTTGACAGTGAAGGGTTAAAAAGTCCTGATTAAGTTGTAAATGGTTGACATTTAGCTATCAAGTATAAATCTGTGGTTAAAACATTCGTGCAAATGAGTTTCAGTGTCTGTTTTTCAACAGGAGCACCCCTGGTAGCTCTCCATCCCTCCCCTTTTTCTATCTTAGCACATCATTATAAAAGGGGACAAATTGCAGTACTTTTTCTTCTCCCTCTGTTCCAAGCCCACTGAGAATTAAGCTTTCAGAAGAGGTTCTCATTTTGATGCTAAACGGCCCTGATATTTTGCCTGACAAATTAAAGGTGGAATTATACAGAAGTGAGTGGCTTATCCATGAAGTGTTTCTACCTCCTGTATGTGTGGCCGGTGGCTGGAAGGCTGGAGAGGCAGAGGCAGCGCCCCTCCTGAGCCCCTCTTAATTTCAGCGTCTGAGTGGCAGCTGGAAACAAGGCGCTGACTGTTTGCCTGCTGTCCAGTCTTGCATTATTAGGTAAAATAAAAGTCCTTTTCTCTGAGAAACTTTTCACAATAAAACAATTCTCAGTCATTCACAAGTCAAAGGCAAAGAAAAAGGAGTCCAGTGTAAAATGCTGTAAACTAGCACATTGTCTTCTGTCATTTTCTCACTATTCACAGCTGAAAGGGAAAGAAGATGAGAAGGGAAGGGAAGGGGCAAGATAAGGCATCTTTTGACAGAAATGTCAGATCGCAGTCACTGAGGCCTCCAACCATGGCCCACACTTGAGCTGTGCAATCAGAGTGAACTCTCCAGTCCTCTCTCCAGCCCCAATTCTCTCCTTAGCTGCCTCAGCAACTTTTCTTTCCTTCAACTGCTTTTATTTTATCTGATAAGACAGTACAAATGTCTATTCCATTCTTCTGTTTAAGGCATTCTACCTAGTTCACAGTTTGGTCTTATAGATACCAAACAATGATATATCCTGTGACTCAACATGCTATTTTTTAAAAATCTAGCTTAATTCACTATCCTCATAATTTGCACGTAACATTATTTTGGTTTTGCCTATGGAGATGTGGAGGTCTAGAAAAGTTAAGAAAAAAAGTATCTAAATATAGGGTGAAACACACACACACAAAACATACAGATACCCCTTCCTACTATTGGTTTGTCTAAATTTCTGTCTTGGTCATGGCAAGATATATTTGGCCACAGCAATGTCCTCATTGTCAGGACCCCTCTATTCCAGGAGGGAGCTGGGTCAAAGAAGATGACCATGGTAAGTAGCCTAGGAACTTTCCCCTAGACCCTAGATTTGGGAGCTTCAAGTTTGACTTAGGTCCTGGCTATGGGCACCTGGGAGCCCTCTCACCAACTCAGAGCACCAGAACTTATCTTTTGAAGTGGGTGGGGGCTGGTGTTCGAGCACCAGTTTTTTTTGTTTGGTTTGGTTTTTCTTTTTCTTGAGACGGAGTCTCCCTTTGTCGCCAGGCTGGAGTACAGTGGCGCGATCTCAGCTCACTGCAACGTCCGCCTCCTGGGTTCAAGTGATTCTCCTGCCTCAGCCTCCCAAGTAGCTGGGACTACAGGCATGCACCACCACACCCAGCTAATTTTTGAATTTTCAGTAGAGACGGGGTTTCACCATATTGGCCAGGATGGCCTCGATCTCTTGACCTTGTGATCTGCCAGCCTCTGCCTCCCAAAGTGCTGGGATTACAGGCGTGAGCCACCACGCCCAGCCTTTGAGGACCAGTTTTTAATTATTTAGGAGATCTGTGAGTTGGTTGTTAAACCAGCCATGGTGAAAATATTTACAGCACAGAAATTGGCAAATGCTACAAGTCAGGCCTTTTATTTATTATAGTATTAATTTATTCTCCTTTTTCCAACAGGCTGATTTGCTATCACACCACTGCCTAAAGTATACCATCTGGAAGAAATCTGAGATTTTAGGGATGAGAAACTAGTTGTTTATCCCTGATACAGCAACTTATCTAGAAATTCTTTCAAATGCTGTCTGCTCAGCTTAAGAGACGAGTGAATCTCTTTGATCGCATGACTGACCCTAGGTTGTATATAGTTGTCACATGTCAGTAGCCTATGTGATCCCAAGCACGGCTCCCCAGCTGGCTGCCAGCTTGCAATATCCCTCCAGTTTTCCTATCTACCAGGTTAATTGCTCCCCAATCAAAATTAAAGATGCACTAAGTTCTTGCATTGAGAAAAGGACATCACCCAATTACATTTCCCTATTGTCAATTCTGTGCTATGCATAACAGACTTGAAATTGAACTGTGCTCATGGAATTGAGTACAAAAGAGGATTCAATTTAACAAACAGTTGTCGAGTACCTATTATGTATGGCATAATGAATACAAATAAAATAGTTTTAAAATCTCCAACAACTCAATTGAAGAGTAATGTAGATTTTTAATGAATATTTATTAGGGATATGGATGGAGTTCAGACCACATCTTGCAGCAAAACATCTTTAAGATAATTTTTAGATATTTTTTCCAACTACTTATTTTGTGCTAAATGCCCAAGTAATTATCACCTTCCTACTCTTTAACTTTCTGTGTCTTTTTGCACTCATCCTCATTCCCTGCCTTTCTCAAGCAATCCATCTTCCCTCTCTTGCCTGATTTTTCCATTTAGTTATGTGTCTCTCTCCCTCGTACTTGCCCATTTGGCATTATGAACTCCCTGGGCTTCCCCAGTGGTGCAAGTCTTTCCATTGTACCACTTAGGCCAAAGCCAGTGACCCATCAATGAGAACCTTCCTTTCCAGTAGCAGGAAGAAGGGTCATTGTAAATACTTACAATTGTGTTTCCAGAAATATAATTTTTTGTCTATAATTTTTAAAATCTGTTTTGCCTTTCATCATAATGATGTGTGTCACTCATAACAGCATTATGCATATGTTGGAATCCAAGGCAATTAATACCTCATCTTTACGGCCTGTGGTACATGTTTTTTGTATGGTATGCTTAATACATATTTGTTGAATGGAATGAATGCAGAAGTGTTTCAAAGCCAGCCACCTGTGTTGGATCTATTTAATAAATTCTATCATATTTATAACACGTCTAACTAAGATATATGTCCCAGGGACACAGATAACTATACTATATAGAGTTAGGATCTTAAAAAAAAAAATTCAAAAGAAAATATGGTCAGCTTTTGACGTTGGAAATAATGCAACGTTCTTATTACTAAAGCGAGAGCGATTATGCATATATGTCCAATATACCTAATGTAGGGAAGACAGAGAATATGTCTGGAAAATTGTTTACTGCAGGAAAGGATCATAACAAAATGCACTGCTATTGTGGGTCTGACTGGGTTATATGCCAGGTATTGTCCTGGTTAAGTGGCCATTGCTCAAGCCTGACTACTGCCTATAGGGTGAGTTGCTGTGAGATTTTAATTCACGAGAGGGAGGTTGTGGGTAGGAGTGATGCAGTTCCCGCGCAAGGAAGATTGATTGCATTCATTCAATCCCCACAGCCTGAAAAATACTTCCTATTTATTTTATTCAGAAGCTTGTTGTAACATATCCCAGAGTTGCCTAGTCATTTTTTTCCACTAGTGAAAAGTCTAATTTCTTTTTCCATTTTTTATTCTTCTATACAATTGACTCAATTGCAATAAGGGTGTAACATTCTGCTATATTTGCCTCTCTCTTATCTGGTTTCATCACCAATGCTTGTTTTATCCCAGAGAATGGCCAATAAAAGAGTTAATTCCATTGGGGTGCCTACCTGATTCATGTTTGTTCTTGATTGTTCAACCACTACTTAAACAGTAAAATAATAATAATAATAATAATAATAAATTAATTTACAAATGGTTTGTAATGAATCTGAGGTACCTCAGTTGTCAATTTACCAGTATATGTCAAGTACAGGGGGCACATTTTCCAAAGCTGTGCTTTACTGCTTGACTTTTCTTTAAGTCAGTTTCTGAATGAGAATTAAGGTTAATTAATAAAAATTATTCTCTATTTTGGCAGTTAGCTGAAACCAAATTGATAAACTGTAGTTCAGATATCATTCATTAAAGGCTTTATTTTGTTATATGTGTTTGTTTCATACATTGGTAAAAAAACATGTTGAATTTTTAAATGTGTGTATAACCATGTATGTCAGCATATGTGTATGGCACATTCACATGCATTCCTACTGTATAAGTCCATTCTCACACTGCTATAAAGAACCACCTGAGACTGGGTAATTTATGAAGAAAAGAGGTTTAATTGACTCACAGTTTCAGAGGCTTAACAGGAAGCATGAGTGGGAGACCTCAGGAAACTTACAATCATGACAGAGGATGAAAAGGAAGCAAGGCATTTCTCATTGTGACAGGAGAGAGAGAGAGAAGACAGCAAATGGGGAAGTGTCACACACTTTTAAACTATCAGATCTCATAAGAACTCTATCACAAGAAAAGCAAGGGGGAAGTCTGGCCCCCATGTTTCAATCACCTCCCACCAGGACTCTCCCCCAATATTGGGAATTACAATTCCACATGAAATTTGGGTGGGGACACAGAGCCAAACCATACCATCTATTAAAAGTTAGATATCCTTATCTTTTACATTTGAGGAATAGAATATCCCCAAGCCAGAGTCAAAGCTACCAAAGATTGCTTTCATATCAAGACTGCTTTATGGTTTCTTCTTTTTCCTCCTAAGTTCACATCAAAGGGTATTCAATATTAACTTTATTATCACTCTTTTAAAAATTGCTTTTTAGTTCAGTAGGTTACAGATAGCTTTAACCTTTGTCCCCCAAATTCATTTCTGTGGAATATTAATAAGTAGGTGCTTCTACTTATTAATAAGGGTAGGTGCTTCTAGCAAGTCTACCCTTGACAACATGCTAGACAACTTGCTAGAAGAACTCAAAGGACATAGAAAAAAATGTTATACTCATGGTTATAATTTATTACAGCAAAGAATACAAGTTAAAATCAGCAAAGGGATAAGGCTGGGATACAGTCCAGGAGAAACCAGAGGCAAGATTTCAGGTATCCCCTCCTCATAGATCCAAGAGGACCTGCTTAATGCCCTCAGCACTGGCAAGTGACCACATGTATGTGGTGCTAACCAAGGAAGCTTACTTGAGCTTTGCTATCCAAGGTTTTTATTGAGGGTCAATCATGTAGGCATGGAATGCCCTCAGGACTGACCTCAGCTACTCAGACTCCAGTCCCACCATAGAGTTCACCATAAGAAATGTTAGAATAAATAAAAATAGGTGTTTTCTGAAGGTCACATTGTTAGGATAAATTTATCTAGTCAAACTGATACAGCACAGTCCAAAGCCTGAGGCATACGAAAACAGACATTCGATATAAAAACAGCAACAACGACCTCAGGGATGTAAACTACTCTTATCAGGCAGAATATTCCAAGGGCTCAGAGCTTATCTTTCATAAGCCACTGGCTACGAGCCATTCCTGAAAATAGGCGTTTTTCTGGGATGTCCAGTGTTCGAGCAACCCAGGCCTCCTGAGTTAACCCTTTCCTGTCTAACAGGTGTTACTCAAAATTAAGTTCCCTTGGACAAATACTCAGGACGCACTGAAATAAAAACATTAAACAGCTTTCTCCTTTGCTCTTAACACACCAATAGCTGTATGACACTTCAAGTGTGTGAGTGTAAATGTTTATCTTCACTTAATGGATTTCAAAATCTTTCCCCCCGGAGATCTAATTTTGGGAAATGTTGCTCTAAATGAAATTTCATCCTTGAGCAAAGTATGTCTGTTCAATCAAAGAAAATGTTAGTTAAAAGGGCAAATGGAAAAACAACCTGAAGCATATGAGTTACTGGTAAAGGAGCCATAGTTCGGTATTTGACATGAAGAATTGTGATCGTCTCTTAGTATCTGGTGTCTTCATTGTGTTTTAATTGATAACTTTCTACCCAGTGTTTCACAAATCTTTATCTTCGGTGTTTTGATCAAAATCTATGTATTTTCTTAACCTTATCACTTTGGTCATGAAAAACCCAGATATTCTGGTTTCTATCATGTTTATTGGAATAACTCTCAGTTGTTAATAAGGAAAAAGTATTCAACTATCAAAAGTATAGCAAAATGTCCTTAAGACATCAGTTGATGTTAACTGACTTATAAATAAAAATGACCTCCTTGTTTCTGAAAAATGTTTCCCATATGATAACTCACAGATTATATTTGAAATTGCCCATATACCTGCTAGAATTGACTGAACTTACTACTGGGCAATTAAAATTCTTTTTATTGTAGTTGTTACTATTACTCTTATTCTGTGAATTTGCAGCAGAGTTACAAATGAGAAAAAAGGGTAATGTAAAAAGCAATTGGAAATTAGCAGGCAGTCATTTGAAAATTTGGTTTAAAAAAATCTTATGGTCTCATTAATGCAACGTGGTAAAAACACTCTCTCAAGCATTTTGTTTCAAATACAATCGTGAAATGAACACATGGATTTTGCAGAGACAAAAGGAAAGTGAAATCAAGCCAACTTTTTCACAGGAAGATGTCTTAGGGTCCAAGCATTATGAATCATTTATTTAGTTCTGAAATCTAATAAAACATCTTTATTAAAATGAAAGCATGTTTCACTACCAGAGATATTTTTGATCTGATAGCAAACAAGTTTTCTTTTATTTATTTAGCATATGCATCACATATGCTTTTGAAGTAAACATCAACGCATAACAAATAAATACTATACAACCAGACATATTTAATATGTACTGTGTTGTGCATGAGATGACAACATTTTAAACACACGGGAAGTGTATTGTAGTATTTTAGTATGAAATATATCTTAAGCTCTGTCTTACAGTATGTGTATCTTGTCCCATAAATGGTATTGATGAAGGTAAGTGCAGAAATATTTTTTAATGGGGAATTCATAGAATCATTGAATTTTCACACTTTTCATTTTGCAGAGTAGATTTGATGGTACTTCCTTGTTATAGGTAGCATGATATGTTTAATTAATGGATAAATCTTGATCCTCAGCAATCTCAGAGTCAGATATAAATGTCATCAGCAAAGACAAAAATCTATAGTGCAGACCAGTTATTAGGGTAAAACAAGATGTAATAGAAGTTTATGCATACAAATGAGCAAGGCATCCTATGAAGAAAAGCTGAAAGATGTATATTTCCCATACTAGACAAAATGGTTCAATAATGATCCTCAGACTGATCAAGACTCTCTGGGACCTTTGGCAGCTTATTCGGTTCCTCAAATATTTGAAGAAGCTCAAAAATTAGATCTTCTTTATCTTCAGAGTCCAGCTTGCCATAAGATTTAACCTCAAATTAAGTGTACTGAAGACCGAAGGGACCCATGAGGCTTTCTGCAAATAGCAACCAATGAGGACCTTGGGATTTCATCAGACAATGGTATGTGTGGAGGGCTCAAGCCAACGCTGGCAAGCAGGCAGTCTTTGGGCTGAAGTCAGTCTCTAACCAGCTTTATTTTTCTTTGGCCTGTATGATATCAATTTGAAAAATAAGAATATTTCCTATAAATATAATTTTAGCTTTTCTTGAAGAGATCAGTACCTTTGGCAGCAGTGGGCATAACAACATTGGTTCCTATTTGTGGAAGACCTCATGGGTCAATGTATGGAACTATCCTAATTGCATATGCTATCTGTCGAGTAATATACATAACTATGTGTGTATGTGAAGTACTTGTAGAGCATGCACACATACACAAACAATTTTGGGAAAATCGTAATTTCTGTTTTTTCATCATCCATATGGTATTATATAATTTTTTCAGCCCAAACTTTATTGACTGTAGTGGACAAAGTTTGTGTACTACATAAAGAACTTTTCACTGAAATCATAACCTATGGGTTGTTTGATGTGTGGCAAATTTCTACTCTTCTTGCATTTATAAAAGTTCTAATTTCTGACAGTACAGGGCCTTACGGCTACATAATTGGCCTCAAACTTTGACCCTTTCAGGATTTACAAGCTCCCTTTAGATTCTATAAGCTTATTGGATGAAGAGAATGCACCTAGAATATTTCTTGACATATGCTTTCATGATTATTTTTTTCCCTGGGAATTTTTGGTAGCTTGGATACTCTCATTCACTTGACCTAAATGCTGTAGTAATAAGGAGGAAGATTCCAAAAACTTTAGAATTATTTGTTCTTACTCCACTGGGAGGCTTCGTGGAACATTTCAGATATCTTAGTGCCATATTTTAATTTAATTTTTTTTTTTTTTTTTTGAGACAGAGTGTCATTCTGTCACCCAGGCTAGAGTGCAGCGGCCCAATCTTGGCTCACTGCAACTTCCGCCTCCCAGGTTCAAGGAATTCTCCTGCCTCAGATCCCTGAGTAGCTGGGACTACAGGCGTACACCACTATACTCGGCTAATTTTCTGTATTTGTAGTAGAGACAGGGTTTCACCATGTTGGCCAGGCTGGTCTCAAACTCCTGACCTTAAGAGATCCGCCTGCGTTGGCCTTCCAAAGTGCTGAGATTACAGATGTGAGTCACCATGCCCGGCCCTTAGTGCCATATTTTCAAATTCCTCTAAAATTCCTCAAAGATAAACTTTAATAAGGATTGGCACATTACACACTGGTTGGCACCATCCCAGCACTCCTATTTCTTGGTAAGTTTTTTCTACCCTTTTCTGTGAACTCCCGGAAGACCAGTTGGAGTTTGTCTCCTGTCTGAGTTAGGCTTTAAGCTTTTGCCAGCTTCAAGTTGTACAAACACACAAAAAGGAGATTATTTTCATGCATCCTAAGTTTTTTAGATGCCTTTTTGCTTGCAAAAGCTGGGGGGTTTTATAATGCCCCCAACTCCAGCATTAGGCAGAGAAACTTAGTGGCATGTTGAGTAAAATGCAATGCTGTGTTAACGGTTTTGAAAGAAATCAGGAAAGTTAATCATGTGTGGACACAGGGTTAAGAAGCAATGTAACAGACTATTAAGCTTAATATAGATATGTGATATAAGCATATGCAGACAGCCATTAGCATAAATTCATGTTACAGAAGAGCAGCACGGCATGCCACTTGGCGGATTTATAATGTATGTGAGAGGCAAGATGAAGATCAATAGGAGAAGGAAGTGGGTCAGAGAATCCATATACAGGTCCTGGATCAGGATGATAAAACCACTGCAAATTATTACTACATTATTTTTGAATGGTGTTATTGCCTGAGACTCTATTACATAGACATGTCAAGTGAAGGGACTGAAGACAGGGAAGTCTGCCATAGTTTCCAGCAGGTTCGGCATGAGAAATGTCCACCTCTGTTAGCTGGAGCTGGCTTTCTTTAATGCTGACAATCATTATGTTAATGATGAATCATGTTCAGAGACAGGAATATATAATATTTAGTTATGTTTTGGGGGAAACGTGCATACCTCAATAATTCTAGAGACAATTATATCTCAATAATTCTAATTCATGACAGTCATGACATAAAAATTTGAAATGGCCATCAAGCAAACATTCCAAATGCCATATTTGTAAGTAAATTATTCTGGGGGCTCTGCCTTTCAACTAAAAGAAGCAAATACATATATATTTTTCTCTGTCAGTTTCAATAAAAGCCCACTTATAAGATTTTCTGAGTTATTTGTAGGGACTTCTTTTTTTGGTAGGTGTTTTGATTTTCTAGTTTACACGGCCAAATGAATAATTTTGGCAAGAAAAGAAGGTGGTTTTTATAAATCTGGAAAATAAAAATACTTTCAGAAACAGAAGAAAGCAGTTATCATCCATGATCATGGTAGAAAATTTTACTTCAATTGGGTCTCAATCTATTTTAACCAATGCCCTTTTCTGTTTTCCCTAAGTTTTTAAAATTGAAAGTCTTTTGAGAAAAATTTTAGTTCAAACTTTCTAAGACCCAGACAATAAGAACACAATGCTTGCAAAATTTTAAAAACCATCAATTTGCTCTTTGTTTTTTCCAAGGAGGAAACAAAACTAGCAGTAGGTTCGGTGAGTGTGTCCTCTCTTCCTCTCTTATTTCCCTTTCCTTCCTTCCTTTCTTTCTTCCTTCCTTCTTTCTGTTTCTTTCGCTCTCTCTCTCTTTACTTTCTGAAACCAAACATCTCCAGAGCCTACTGGAGATGATCACTATTCTTTTTTTTTTTTTTTCTTTCAGAGAAGCGCCAAGGACATTAATATGTCCCAACTCTTTTCTCTCTTCTGACCAACTGCTATTAATATTTCACATTCTACAATCTGAACTCTGTCCCTTTAGCCTAAAGTTAGTATCTCTGTAAAATATCTATTTCCTTGAAAAGATCGTCACTCAAAGTTCTGATCAGGCTGGGTGTGGTGGCTTATGCCTGTAATCCCAGCACTCCGTGAGGCTGATGCAAGAGAATTGCATGAGCCCAGGAATTAGAGACCAGTCTGGGTAACATAGGGAGACCACATCTCTATCAAAATATTTAAAAATTAGCCAGATGTGGTAGTATGTGCCTGTAGTCCCAGTTACTTGGGTGGCTGAAGTGGGAGGATTGCTTGAACCTAGCAGGTCGAGGCTGCAGTGAGCCATGACTATATCACTGCACTTGAGGCTGGATGACAGAGTGAAACTTTATTTCAAAAAAAATTTTTTTAATTAAAAAATAATAGAAGTTCTCTTCAATATTTCATTTCTTAGGTTGAGGTGGGGCTATGAAAGAAGTGTAACAGGACTGGAGGGCCAGTGCGGCCACAGCAAGCATATGAGAGAGAGAAAGTCAATGAGAATCCATAGAGCAAGAAGAGAAAAGTATTGCAAAGATTGAACACCTTGATTGCTTCCCCATTTATGCCTAGTGTTCCAATATGCCTATCCTTACTTATCTTCTTCTTCAAGAAGAAATAGTAGCAGTACTGCTAATATTCATGATATTGACCACAGCTAGCATTTAATAAGAGACAGCTATAGGCCAAGCACTTTGCTGTGGGCTATCCCCGTGTTATATGACTTAGTCATCACCACAATTCATTATCCCCAATTTATTGATGACAAAATAACCACAAAGTTTAAGAAATATTCCTTGCTGGCGTGGTGGCTCACACCTGTAATCCCAGCACTTTGGGAGGCTGAGGTGGGCAGATCATAAGGTCAGGAGTTTGAGATCAGCTTGGCTAATATGGTGAAACCCCGTCTCTAGTAAAAATACAGAAATTAGCTGGGTGTGGTGGCTCGTGCCTGTAGTCCCAGCTACTTCGGAGGCTGAGGCAGAAGAATCACTTGAACCTGAGAGGCAGAGGTTGCAGTGAGCCAAGATCGTGCCACTGCACTCCAGCCTGGGCAACAGAGCAAGACTCAGTCTCAAAAAAATAAAAAGAAAAAGAAACATTCCTCCCTAAGACCTTATGTTTTTTCCTCCTTTCCACTTACTTCTAATCATGGATAAGGCAGTCCAAATCACAATCCTAGACCACATTTAAGTCTTCACTTCTCTGGCTGCAAGCAGAGAAGGATAACAGAGCAAGAAGAAAGGTAAGATGTCCATGAAAATAGGCTTCCAATGTAAAAGGGAAGCTGTGCAGAGAGAAGATGGGGTTGGCTTCTAGGTGAAGGGTAAAGTTCATCCATTTGGGGAGAGTTTTTAAGAAGTTTAAACGTTTAACATGAGTTTTTCATTGAGTTTTGGCAAAAGGAATTATAAAAGCAGCTGTCTTAGCCAAAAGACCTAGAGGGTAAAAACTTTAAGTCACTCTCTGATTTCAACCTAAATGGAAAATAAGCAATAGAGATTTAAACTATGCATAATATGGTTTTTCAACTGGAATGTGTGTTGGGAGGGGAGTTGGATGTCAGGAAGTTAGCTAATGGCAAAATGATAAGCTAGAACAAATTTAGTATGAATGCTTATGCCTATCCTTACTAAAATTTCAAATGGAACCAAAGTAGTGTCAAGATTTTTCCATAATCCTGGATATTTCTGCAGTAGGTTTCACAATTCTGAGAAGGTAGACAGAATTAGAGGAGAAAATGGCTATTTCTTCAATTTTTAAGTTTCTATAAGAAATTAAAATTGCTTCAGATTTGGACTACTGTGCTCCATGGCTCCCTCTCTTCATCACATATTTTTAATGTAAAGCTTTCAAATGGGTCTTTTTCTAACTCATGATAGGCAGGGCTGTAAACTGCCTGGCTGAAAGCCATTGGCTTCATGGAGCTGCACCCAGTTCAAGGGTAGGTAGTAAGTAAGGAAAAGTGTTAATTGAAAGTAGGTTTTTCAGTGTTTTGCTGCTGGGCAATGAGTGAGAAACTCACTTTGGGTGCCTCCTTCACAGTTATTGTTGAAATTCACCCTTTCACTTTCCTAGCATTCTGTTGGGCATCCTGGATTTCTTAAAGCTTTCTCCTGCTTTCTAATGGTTTTTCTTTTCTAAATAGTACTCATACTACACACCTCTGGCAAACTACATGCAACAAGACTAGGAGAGGCAATGAACATTGCTTTTAGCTGGTGAAAGGAATGCATCTCTCATCTTAAATGTGACCTCCTTTGAGGCAAATAAAAAAATGCTATGTAAATCTTGGGCATCACTGAGAACTCCACAGCTGTTCAGCTAACTCTGATAGTGAAAGATATTGGTGAGAGCCATCGGGCTGCACTGTAGCATGTGAGAGGCCAGTGGCAATCCCTAAGGGGCGCACAAGAACACTGTGACCTCAACTTTTGACATCCTCGTGACAGGCTGTTTGCCATAGCACTTACTGTAAGGGTTTTATGGGGAATATTAGAACATGATTTGAAGTCTAGAAGAGACTTGGTCCAAACAGGATCACTTCACAAGTGTCCCTCACACCCCTGGCCCCTTTTAATTCTCTCTTGAAAGGGAAATTCCTCAAGTCCCTTAAGAGGGGAAGCCAGGGAGTAGATCATCCATTCCCTGGTAAGATCACAGTAAAGAATACTGTCTGAAATCCTGAGGAAGAGCTGAAGCATCTGCATTAACCTATAGGCCTAACTAGAGAAAGCAGCAGCAAGTTTTTCTGAAGTTCAGAGCATAATAGTGCTGTAACCAAATATTGCATTTGCCTACTTCATTATATAAATTGCTCAATTAAAGTAGAGTAAACAAGAGAAATTGGGGGAGGAAGAGGAGAAGGGGAGATGGAAAGAGAGGGAGAGATTCTTTCTTATAGCAAAAATAGTCTTCATCTGTGGACAAAATTGGGTTTTTGAAGCTTTTTCTGTGATGTCAAACAGCAACATGTGTGACTTACATTGCTTTTGCATACAGGATCAACGTCCAAGAGGCTTTGGGGCCAGCCCCATGATGCCAAAGGTAATGTAATATGCTGTAGGCAGTCAGATCTCAACCTGGGGATGCTTCTTTGCAAAGAATAAGGTGAAATTTCTTGAGGGAGTCAGGAGAATATGAGAAGGTTAAGGTGTTGCTCAAATAAAAATGATGCTTTTAGTGACTATCCAATTACAGTCTACGGCAGCTCTTAACCATAACTATAGCCATAGTTGGATGAAAACAAAACAGGTAGATTCATAGGATAAACAGACATATAGAAATGTCCTAATAATACAGACCCTAATCTACAGCTGTCTTATTGCCATGATGTTCCCATTATTTTTTAGAGAAATTGCAAATATTTTTTAAAGGACCAAGAAAAAAAAAAGAGTTTGCTTTGGTGCTGTTTTGAAATTATTTGCCTGTTACAATTTAATCAAGTTCTGCTCTGGTCCTTTGTGGCCAGGCAATCAATGGGTTAAGTTAGATCACTAACGAGTGTTCCCTGACCCTGGAATGCTTCATCAAATGTACTCATTACTGATTGAGCAAGAGAATGAATAGTTGTGAGTCCCAGCTTAAGCACTGATGGGATTGTGTGTAAGCCCGAATGTGGTTGAGGTATTTAAATTTTGATTTTTGTAATGGGCTCTGACATGTTTCATTTCCTCCGAGGGAACACTCGAGACCTCTGAAAGTAAATGTTGCTAAAAAGTCATCAAGGCAGAATATTAAAATGCCATCAAAGGAAAATTTCACTAATGCAATCCGGCTAGAGCTCCAGGTACTGGAGCGAAAAGGGGGAGTGTCAAAGGTCCCGGTTCTTTTAGCTAAACATGATTTGTTCCTCTTCACTGACTGTTTCTCCAAATAAATTATTTAAAGTCTTATTTCTTCTTTCTCCTGGGCCTCTTAAAGTTTAACTATACTGAGAGGTGGTAGGAAGCAGTAAAGAGAGAAGGAGGTGGCACAGCTAGAAATTCAGGAAATGGTGTATGGTGAGGAGCTTCCCGTTGGCATCCTGTTTCCTTCATTCTGCAAGAGCTGTCCAGGCGCGTTGTCAGAAGAAAGGGTAAGAATACTCACTTACCACCTTAGGGCTGAAACTGCCCTAAGAAGACATCGTCAAAATTCTAATAACATAGCAGAGTGTTAGGAATGCATGAGATCATCAAAGAATGTTCATTCAGCCATGTGTGGAGAATAGTAGGGTTTGGGAGATGGCACCACTATTTTTATGAATGATTCTATCCAAACACCTTTGACATTTCCAAAATAATTTAAGTTTTAAGTAACTTTTATATTTATGGATTCGTGGGAGAGGAAAATAAAAATTAAACTCTCTGAATCTCTTTGTACAAAGGGTATTTAGTAAGAGATGATTGGCCTTATGAAATTGGTAATTCTCCATTGGACTTAATTAACAATGTTTTCTTGATCAGCATTGTGTTAAACAGTATATATTTTTCGTAATTTATTTTCTGATATATATTTGTATTCTGAGGAAACTATTTATGTTGGATATTTCCTGAAATGGAGAAATGTGGATCTCCCTAAACTTTGTTGATGACAGAACTTTCCCCAGGTGTAAGGGACTCTCGTCATTTATCTTTGGGCTAGTATCCCTATTGAACTCATAATTTCCTCATTTCTCCTGCTGGCTGGCAGAGTTTGTGCCAACCAACATCTGGTCTTCTATTAACTCAGTTTGACACCTACAGTTGTGTCTGTCTAACCCATAAGGACAAGTAAATTACTTTAGTGAACCTGTTTGTTAAATAGCAGGTCTACCTTTGGGAATCAAATTTCTACTCTACTGATGAAACAGCATAATCTTTCAGTGTGTAGAATCAGAACTGTTGGCATTCCCCAGGGAGAGAATCTTGAGTTGCTTTTCCAGTCCTCTTGGAAAATGGGACATAAATAATCCATGTTTTGCATCAAAAGATGGCGTATTCTTATGGTTAAGAGTGTAATTTTTTGGCCCCACTTTGTCTTGGTTAAATTCCCATCTCTTCGATTTTTAGCTGTGGGACCCTGAGCTAGCTGGTGAACCTTGCGTCCTGTAAAATGGAAAGTAATATCATTGATTCCATTGGTTTGCTCTGAGAATGAGAATTGTATGCAATGCTTAGCCTAGTTGCAGATATGTAGTGAACCACTTAATAAATGTCAGCTGTTAACAGAGTTCCTTTCATAGTGTCTGAAGAAAAATGGCACAGGTAAAGCTTCACATCTTTAGGAAGTTCTATTTAACATTCTGGGTAAAGACCAAAACTAAATTTTTACAATCCCTTTGCAGTGGGTTTTACAGAGAAGGAAGTGATTTCTGGGAGAGTACCAGATGTAAGTCTATTCATTATGAAGTCAGATGCAGTATGCAAAAAGAGCAAGAATTAAGAAGGCATTGGTGGCCAGTATTATTGAGATGGCACATTGCCAAGCTTGATGTTTCGTACCTAAGACAGAGATAATAGATGTCCTTATATGTGCTTCTTATTTGTCTCCAGATAAGAGGACTTTATCTTTGAGATAATTGTTCAGGCAACTAGGGCATAAAAATTATCAATCTTACAATAGCCAGGCAGCAGCATCTTTTCAACTAAATTTTGAGAAAATTTTCTCAAAACTTCAGTTTGAAAGTAAGTTACCAAATCTCATATCATTTTCAGATGCTTTGAGAAATTCTAAGAATATTATCATAGTACTGAATCTACACATATACTACTATAAAAATGGAAGCTCAAATAAAGCTATGTACACATTTATTTTCAAAAAAATTGTTTAATTATATATGGCTAAAAAATCATGTTAATTAGAAATCATTTCAGTGGATGCTTATTGAACACCTACCACATTCAAGGAATTCTGCATTGTCAAGGCTCAGTAGGATTTCTACTTCGTGTTCATTATATGTGCTTCAGAGTAACCGCTGCACCTCATGTCTACTCCTCAGTAACTCTGACTGGCCATTGCCTGCTAATAAGGATTCATTATATGTATAGATCAGTTTAGCACACATTAGGAAAATATATCACTAACTTAACATCTTCATTATCAGAGAGAATGAAGGTTTAAAAATATTTATTTGAATTTCATGGCAATCTATCTAGCTGTGCCTTCTCATAAGATTTCAAGATAGCATTTCTATTTCTCTAGTTACATTCAAAATGGAAGAGAAACAAGAGAGAACTGAAGCAGTGGCTGTAGCTTTTCTAGAGCCTTCTGGCCCCCACTCAGATAATATAAAAAATATTAAGTGCCATCTCATCAGTCACTTAATGGAAGTTCTTGAGGGCTAAATGAGATGTCTTGTAAGAATAGGTAATGAGCAGTAGTAAGTTCTAACTTAGTTGTATTTTATTTTACTTAATTTATGTTTTTGAGGCAGATTCTCACTCTGTCACCCATGCTGGAATGCAGAGGTGGAATCATAGCTCACTTCAGCCTCAAACTCCTGGGCTCAAGCAATCCTCCCACCTCAGCTTTTGGAGTATCTGGGACTACAGGCACAGGACACCATGCTCAGCTAATTTAAATAATTTTTTGTAGAGACGGGATCTTGCTATGTTGCCTGTATATTAGTCTGTTCTCACACTGCTGTAGAGATACTGCCTGAGACTGGGTAATTTATAAAGGAAAGGTTTAATTGACTCACAGTTCTGCATGGCTGAGGAGGCCTCAGGAAACTTACCATCATGGCAGAAATGGAAGCAGGCACCTTCTTCACAAGGTGACAGGAGAGAGAGAGGGAAGCACAGGGGAAACTGACACTTATAAAACCATCAGGTCATGAGAGAACTCACTCACTATCAGGAGAACAGCATGGGGAAACCGCCCCCATGATCCAATCACCTCCCACCAGGTTCCTCCCGCAACACCAGGGATTACAATTCAAGATGAGATTTGAGTGGGGACACAAAGCCAAACCATATCATCCTGCTGCTGGCCCCTCCCAGATCTCATGCCCCTTTCACATTTCAAAACCAATCATGCCTTCCCAATGAGTCCCCTAAGGTATTAACTCATTTCAGCATTAACTCAAAAGTCCGAACACAAAGTCTCATCTGAGACAAGGCAAGTCCCTTTCACCCAGAAGCCTGTAAACTCAAAAGCAAGTTAGTTACTTCCAAGATACAATGGGGGTATAGGCATTGAGTAAATGTTCCCATTTCAAAAGGGAGAAGTTGGCCAAAATGAAGGGGTTACAGGCCCCATGCAAGTCCGAAATCCAGCGGGGCAGTCAACTCTTAAAGCTCCAAAATAATCTCCGTTGACTCCATGTCTCTCATCCGGGCAGGCTGATGTAAGGGGTGGGCTCCCACAGCCTTAGGCAGCTCCCTCACAGACTACCATTGAGTGCCTGTGGCTTTTCCATGCCAATGGTGCAAGCTGTCAGTGGATCTACCCATCTGGGGTCTGGAGGACGGTGGTCCTTTCCTCAGCTCCACTAGGCAATGGCCCAGTGGGGACTCTGTGTGGGGGCTCCAATCCCACATTTTCCCCTCTGCATTGCCCTAATAGAGGTTCTCCATGAACATGTAGAGGTTTTTCCTGCAGCAGACTTCTGCCTGGACATCCAGGTATTTCCATACATCTTCTGAAATCTAGGTGGAGGTTCCTAATCCTCAATTCTTGACGTCTGTGTACCCGCAAGCCCAAAACCACATAGAAGTCACCAAGGCTTAGGGCTTGTACCCTCTGAAGCAATGGCCTAAGCTGTACCTTGTCCCCTTTTAGTCACAGCTAGACCTGGAACATCTAGGACACAGAGCACCAAGTCTGGAAGCTGCACAGAGCAGCAGCAGGGTTTTGGGCCTAGCCCAGGAAACCATTTTTCCCTCTTAGGCATCTGGGCCTGTGATGAGAGGGCCTGCCTAAAGACCTCTGACATGCCCTGGAGATATTTTCCCCATTGTCTTGGCTATTAACATTCAGCTTCTCATTACTTAATGCAAATTTCTGGAACAGGATTAAATTCTTCCCCAGAAAATGGGTTGTTCTTTTCTACTAAGTGGCTAGACTGCAAATTTTACAAACTTTTATGCTCTGCTTCCCTTTTAAACATAATTTCCATTTTCAGATCATGTCCCCCAAGTTTAAAGTTCCACAGGTCTCCAGGGCAGGAGCACAATGCTGCCAGTCTCTTTGCATAGCAAAAGTGACCTTTGCTCCGGTTCCCAGAAAGTTCCTCATCTCCACCTCAGCCTGGACTTCATTGTCCATATCACTATCAGCATTTTGGTCAAAATCATTTAACAAGTCTCTAGGAAGTTCCAAACATTCCCACATCTTCCTGTCTTCTTCTGAGCCCTGAAAACTGTTCCAATCTCTGCCTGTTACCCAGTTCCAAAGTTGCTTCCACATTTTCAGGTTATCTTATGGCAGTACCCCACTCTCTGCTCTACCAATTTCCTATATTAGTCTGTTATCACACTGCTATAAAGATACTGCCTGAGACTGGGTAATTTATAAAGGAAAGAAGTTTAATTGGCTCACAGTTCCACATGGCTGGGGAGGCCTCAGCAAACTTGCAGTTATGGCAGAAGGGGAAGCAGGCACCTTTTTCCCGTGGTGGCAGGAGAGAGAGAGAGGGAAGCTCTGGGAAACTGACATTATAAAACCATCAGATCTTGAGAGAACTCACTCACTATCACAAGAATGGCATGGGGGAAACTGCCTCCATGATCCAATCACCTGCCACCAGGTAGATTCCTCCCTCAACACCTGGGGATTACAATTCAAAATGAGATTTGAGTGGGGACACAAAGCCAAACCATATCACCCAGGCTGGTCTCAAACTCTTAGACTCAAGTTATCCTCCCACCCCCATTTCCCAAAGTGCTGGGATTGTATGTGTAAGCACTGCACCCAGCCTTAGTTACTTTTAAAGAGTCAGAATGTTGCCCAGGTTAAGATGTCATGGAAACTTGATTCTTAGTATTGACCTATCTGAAGAAAATCTGTCATTGAGGGTGTTGGTAGCCCTAAAAGCCAAGGGAAGAAGCAAGTTAGGGAAGCAATTGTTGGCTGTTTCTCTAGGCAATACTGAAGGAAGGGTACCTGGCTCTTGAAAACGTGTCAATACAGAGATACCAGCATATAAAATCACATGACACTAGCCATTTTGCTCAAACAGCTATCTCCTCTTATTCTAATCACATGATCTCTAAGCAGTAATTCTCTGATTAAAAGCTTATCATGTAAATCTCTCCACTGAGAGAGTATTTTCATTGTATTTTAGTTATGTCTTCCTAGAAATTAAAAAATTGACATTACGGCTTATCTATCAATCTTTTATGTATTTCTTTGCCATAGCTTAGTATCCTGAAGCTTAGATAATGCTGATTGTAGTAAGAAAATTGAATTGTCGTAACTACAAAACTGGCAACTAGACTTTGAATTAGGTAGCCATATTGAAACACTGTAACTGATTGCAACCCAATCACTGTCTCTCTGAAGGAAGACATGAAGTGAATTATCTAGTGAACTTCATTTGTAGCACATGGTATCAATATCAGCATTGGCATGTAGACAGCATCTAACAACCATGTGCACTTAAATTAGTATATATAGGGTAACATTTGGCCTTAATAATTATATAATTATTACTACTTTTATTGGGCATGGGGGTTAGGGAGAGTTAAATTTTCTGTCTATATCTATACTCGTGTGTAGTCATGGGCCATAAAACCGTTTCAGTCAATGACAGATCACATATGTGACAGTGGTCCTGTAAGATTTTAATACTGTATTTTCACTGTACCTTTTTGATATTTAGATATGTAAATCCATACCATTGTGCCACAATTTCCTACAGTTTTCAGTACAATAACATGCTGAAAGGTTTGTAGCCTAGGAGCAACAGGCTATATCATAAAGCCTAGGTGTATATAGTAGGCTATACCACTAGGTTTGTGTAAGTACACTCTGTGATGTTTGCACAGTGATGAAATTGCCTAACAACACATTTCTCAGAACATATCCTGCAAAGGAGTAGCTCAGATGGATATAGGACAAGTTAAATTTCTTAATGAGGGTAGTTTTTGTTGTTGGGTTTAACAGATTATTTTTCTTCCAATTTTATGATAACTGACTCCTCACTTCCAATATTAAACTTACAGAAAAAGCAGAAATAAATGCAACAAAAGCTTTAGCTTGTGAGAAATCATGTATTCTCTGACTTGGAAATTTTGCTATGCTGATTGTTCATAGCTATTGCGGATCTCATGAAATTTCTTGGGGGCAAAAGAAAGTAAACTGAGATAAGATTCATTTGTCTGATTAAATATCAAAATGTATAGACATCTAATATACTTTACTTGGCAGAAAGAAGTATAGTCCTGAGTCAGCAATAGTTGAGTAAGTGGAATTGCTGAAGAGAAAAATGTTTCTGAGTAGCAGGAAATAGAAACAGTATAGTAGGAGGTGTACTTCAGTAGTTCACAGGTTTCGTTTAGATAATCCCTCCAAAGTTCTCATTTGTATCTGAATTGTTTCAATTAGGAGTCTGGTGAGAGAGATTTTGTAAGACTTTCTGTATTTCCTTATTCTAAGAAAAAATATTAAAGCCCTATTTTCTGTTATATTCTAATATTTCCAATCTGTGTGAATCCAGGCAAATGTAATTCAGTATATCAACTATTAATACGTTTTGGAAAACATCTCTTTAAGATTCCTGTTCTTATTAAACTTAAATTGAGTGCTTACATTATGTCAGATTAAATCTGTTTTCTAAACAAACCAATTTTCTCGTAAATGCACATTTTAATTTTTTCCTAATAGGTAACCAATTTTTTGTCAGATATTTAAAATTTCTTAATTGTATCAAATATTTTAATAGACTTGATTAAATTTTATAGCATACATATTTATTCTTTAAAAATATGTTACTGATATTTTTATACCTATTTACTTATTTCAATATACTTTTGCTTAATGTATATGTCAAAATTCAGAGAAGTCATTTATCAATTTCATGAGTGTCACATTTACTTTAATTATGTACAGTACAGAAACATTAATGCTTAGGAACATTAACATTTTTCTGTAACACATGAGTTTATTAATCTACTGCTTTTTTTTCTGTCTTATTAGAGGAAATCTGTGACTAGGTGAATCCTCAAAATGCCAATAATGCCAGAGATGACATTCTTTAGGTAATTTAATCCACTGCTGCTTCTTTCCACCTTATTCATCCCTCTTGTCATTTGTGTCCTCTCCCAAACATGCATATATGGTCCAAAAGTACAATTTACTTCTGAGGCCCTGGATTAGTCAGAGGTCTCCAGAGAGGGACAGGACTAATACGATATATATATGTAAACTCCCTTTCATATATATATATATATATGGATATAATATATAATAATATATATTTCATATATATGAAAGGGAGTTTATTAAGAAGTATTGACTCACACAATCACAAGGTGAAGTCCCACAGTAGGCCATCTGCAAGCTGAGGAGCTAGGAAACCAGAGTCCAAAAACCTCAAAAGTAGCCTACAGTGCAGCTTTCAGTTTGTGGCCAAAGGCCTGAGAGCCCATGGAGAACCACTGGTGTAAGTCCAAGGGTCCAAAAGCTGATGAACTTGGAGTTCAATGTTCGAGGACAGGAAGCATCCAGCACAGGAGAAAGATGGAGACCAAAGACTTAGCCAGTCTAGCCCTTCCACCTTCCTCTGCCTGCTTTTATCCTAGCCTCACTGGCAGCTGATTAGATGGTGTCCACCCAGATTGAGAAGTTGGTCTGCATCTCCCGGTTCACTGACTCAAATGTTCATTTCCTTTATCGACATCCTCGCAGACACACCCAGGAACAATACTTTGCATCTTTCAATCCAGCCAAGTTGACACTCAATATTAACCATCACACACTCTCAATTTGTCTTCTCATATAATCTAATACTCTTTTGTTAAGTGTGTAAAAATTTATAAATGCAATGCCTTTTTTATGAGTTGACCACTTCATCATTTTGTAAAGTCTCTATCTTTCTTTATATTCCTTCTTCCACAGTCCACATCACCTGGTTGGTATTAATATTACTACTTCAACTTGTTTCTGATAAGTGTTTGCATGGTATATCTTTTTTCACCATGTTCCTCTTACCCTATCTGTGTTTTTGTAATTAAATGGGTACTTACAGACTATACATATTTTGATCTTGTATTTGTACGTAATAGAAAATCTTTCTGTTTTTTTAATTTAGGTGTTTAGACCACTCATATTTAATAAAATTATTCATATGGTTGATTTTAAATTTACCATTTGTTAGCTGTATTGTAGTTGTCTCATGTGTTCTTTGTTTCTTCTTTGTTCTTTTTTTTTTATTTTTTATTTTTTTTTTTTTTGAGATAGAGTCTTGCCCTGTCGGCCAGGCTGGAGGGCAGTGGCATGATCTCTGCTCACTGCAGCGTCTGTCTCCCAGGCTCAAGCAATTCTCCTGCCTCGGGCTGCTGAGTAGCTGGGATTATAGGCTTTGTTTTTTTTCCTTTTTTCTTTTTTTTTTTTTTTTTAGCTTGCATTGATTTTTTTTATTCCATTTTGTTTTTATATTGTCCTATTTGTTATACTTGTTTAATGATTATTTTAGTGGTTGCCCTGTTATATTCGATACACCAAACAATGTATTTTTACTATTTTTGCATTAAAGAGTGAATTGTCTTTTACGGTGATTTAGCATAAGAAAAAATATATTTTCTTTCTTCGTGTTTGTTTGCAGTGTTTTTATTTTTTGAAGATTATTTTTATTTTACATAAATCAGTAACATAGTCATTTCTTATCATTATCAAGTATTATGTACTATAAATAATTGTATAAGTTATACTTTTCTACAACTGACAGCACAGTAGGTTTGTTTATACCAGCATCACCGCAAACATATGAGTGATGCATTGTGTCAAACATTATGATGGCTACTATGACATCACTATGTGATAGAAATTCATCAGCTCTGTTATAATCTTGTGGAATCATCATCGTATATGCATTCCAATGTTGAAAGAAACATTTTGAAGCACAGGATTGTACATTGTTTTCCACTGTAGTTGAAAATACTTTAATATAATTTTTTTGCCCCTTTATATCTTTATGTGGGTTCAAACTTTTCCTCTGGCATCTTATTTCTTCTGCCTTAGGAACCTCCTTTAATATTTCTTGTAGCATAATAAATTGGCAACTAATTATCTAAGCTTTTTTTTAATGAAAACCATCTTCATTTAACCTTAATATTAAAAGACATTATTACTGAGTATAGAACTATGAGTTGACAGAATTATTTATCAGTACTTTAAAGATTCTATTTCATTGACCTCTAGCTTATGTCTATCAAAATAACTTGCAATTTCAGCTTTAATATGCAAAGAGGTTGTAAGTCATTATTCCTATCCTTATGCCAAAAAAAGCTAGGCAAACCAAAAATCAGTAACTTTACTTGGACCCATTGGAGAACTAGGACAAACTGTCATGCTGAAATCTGGAAAGACAGGCACACACAGAAAGACACAAAACCTCCTTACCACCTATAGAAGCCCCTGGAGTCATAAACAGGTAGGGACACTTAAATAGTTATTTTGATAAATTGCTCAATGCTTATTGTGAATTAAGAGGGAAAAATTCACTGGGGTGCAGCCTTAGGAGAATGAGAGGGATATAGCATTTTCATGAGCTTTACCTCCAAGAAGATCCAATAAAGATCTCCTTACAACCCTGGCATTGAAAGAGGAAGAGGCATTATTATGAAATACACTCAGAACCTTCAGGTGAAAATACTTTTCAGGGGCCTTATCCCAGCTGTGGAAAGGCAATTCCTCCCATGCCAACCCTCACCTTATTATTTATATTAAGAAATAGGATCAGATAACTGAACCCAGTTTTGATACTAATAGTGATAATTTAAGGAAATATATATAAATAGCTATTATTAGGATTATTATTGTTATTACTGTATTTTCAAAAATTATGAAGTTTTGTGGTAGCTAAGATTTGTGTATTCCTCTGGTTATCAGTAGGTCATCCTGTTGTTCACATGACCACTGAGAATATATAATTTAGTTAATTTGGTGAAGTCTTACATGGAGCGTGTATTGGGGTTCTTCAGAGCAACAGAAGCAATTATAAGATAATAATATATTACATATTATAATGCTATAATATTTATATATTCTAATTCTATATAATGAGGAATTATGAAGGCTGAAACATCCCAAAGTCTGCAGTCAGCAAGCTGGAGACTTAGAAGAACAGATGATGCAGTTTTAGTTCCAGTCAAAGACATGGGAACCAGGAGAGGTGATGGTGTACGTTTCAGTTCAACAGTCAAAAGACTTGAGATCCAGAACAGCCACTTCTTCAAGGCAGGGAAAGACCAATGCCTCCGCTCAAGTAGTCAAGCAGGAGAAGTTCCTTCTTACTCAGCCTTTTATTCTAATTGGCCTTTAATTGATAGGATGAGTTCCATCTACATTAGTCAGGGCTATCTTCATTACTCAGTCTACTGATTCAAATATTAATCTTATCCAGCAACACCCTCAAAGACCCACCCAAAATAATGCTTGATCAAATGTCTGGGCACCTTATGGTCCAATCAAGCTGACACATAAAATTAACCATCACAGAGAGAAACAATTACTAATTAATTACACAAAATATAATCATTTCAGATTCAGTTCAATTCAATAGGGGTGAAAATTAATGCCTCTTTTTGGACACTTTTATTTCTGGATTTGACAAAATCAATAGCAAATCCTTCCCTATCTGATTAAAAGTAACATGATCTATATTTAGCTTTCCGTAATTTTTTGTATTGGTCACACCAGTTACTGTGTATCTACACAAGATACATTGTTTTTACATATTTCAAGAATTTGGCTTTTGACAAAAATAAGAGAATGTTCGATATCTACTGCAATAAAAAAAGTAAAGTTTTAGATGATAGTTGTTATGTTTCAATAATCAAGTAGATAGAATTGAAATTGCCTTGAATTGTGTACCTCAATTAGGACTCATTTCTTCTGACTTGGAAATACAGAGATTCCCTGGGAAATGTTTATTCAGTTTATTTATTTATTTTATCATCTGCAAAATAGGGATAATGATAACTATATTGCAGGCTATTTTCTCTTAAGTAGTTTTAACTGACCAATAAAAGTTGTATATGTTTATCACGTACAACATTGTGGAATGGCTAAAGCAGGTACCATATGCATTGCCTCCCATACTTATCATTTGTGTGGTGAGAACACTTACAATCTTCTCTCTTAATAATTTTTAAAAACACAGTGCATTGGAATTAGCCATAGTTACCATATTGTACAATAGATCTCTTGTGCTTATTCCTCCTATCTAACTGAAATTTTATATGTTGAACAACATCTCCCCAACTCCCTTCCCTTCCCTGCACTTTTCACTTCTATGAGTTTAACTTTTTTGAATTCCACATACAAGTGAGGTAGTGGGGCATTTGTCTGTGTGTCTGGCTTATTTCACTTAACATAATGCCCTTCAGTTTCATCCATTTTCTCAAAAATGACAATCTTCTCCTCCTCCTCCTCCTCCTCCTCCTCCCCCCCCCCGCCCCCGCCCTGCCGCCCTCCACTCTCACTCTGTTGTGCCCAGCCTGGAGTGCAGTGGTATGATCATGATTCACTGCAGTCTTGACCTCTCAGCCTCCTGAGTAGCTGTGACTACAGGCATATGCCACTACACCTGGCAAATTTTTAAACTCCTTTTTTGTATTGACAGGGTTTCCCTATGTTGCCCAGTCTCGGGGCCTGAGTTGGGAAGATCACTTGAGCCTGGGAGGTGGAGAATGTATTGAGTCATGATCATAACCCTGCAGTCCAGCCTGGGCAACAGAGTAAGAGGAGGAGGAGGAGGAGGAGGAGGAGGAGGAGGAGGAGGAGGAAAGGGAGGAGGGGGTGGGGGGAGGTGAGAGGGGAAGGGTGGAGGGAAGGGGGGAGAGAGGAGGAGAAGGAGGAGGAGGTGAAGGAGGAGGAGAAGGAGGAGGAGGAGAAGAATGAGGAGAATGGAGGAGAAGGAGGAGGAGGAGAAGAATGAGGAGAATGGAGGAGAAGGAGGAGAATTATTTTTGACAACATGGATTAACAACATTCTCTGAAATGAATAGACCCAATAGATTTCTTGAACTCCCGGGCTCAAGACATCTCCCCACCTCAGCTTCCAAAAATTCTGGGATCACAGGCATGAGACACAATGCCTGGTCTTTTTTTAAGGATGAATTATATTATATTGTGTATGTAGATCATAGTTAAAACTTGTATTCATTCACTAATGGAAACCTAAGTTGATTCCATGTCATGGCTATTGTGAATAATGCTGCAATGAACGTAAGAGAACATATATATCTGTTTGACATACTGATATTATTTCAGTTGGATATATAACCAGTATTGGGATTTCTGAATCAGATGGTAGTTCTATTTTTAATTTTTTGAGGAACCTCCATGCTGCTATTTTTAGTGTCTCTACTAATTTACATTTCAATCAACAGTGCTAAAGGACTCCCTTTTCTCTACAGTTGAAGGCTTTTTTGTTAATGTTCCAATAAAATGATTTAAGACATCTATTATAGTTCTAGCCACATGGAGAGTCACTGAATAGCAGTGTTAGGCATTATTACTAAATTTTTAACTGCAAATGTTTCCATCAAAAAACTTGATTTTTTTATTCATGAGATTTCAGATAAGGTGGCCAAAAGGAGAGGCTTAACCCACACAGGAATATTCTACTTGGCACATTAGGAGACTTTTAGAGTCAAGGAATATCTAACCTAGTCTTTTCCCCAAAAAATCCAAATATCAAGGAACTTAACCTTGATTTGTCCAAAATTATCTATTGAAGACTCTTACTGTTTCTGAAATTTTTGTCATAAATAGGACATTAATAGGGTATATTTGCAGCCAGTGTACTATCTGGACTCCCATTCTGAGGCTCATGCCCTTGAAATGATGCTCTGAAACCAAGAGAATTCACCCTCTCTTCCAGGGTTCATGATGTCATAGAAAGTTGGAAAGAAAAGAGAATGGAAAAAATTTGTAATATTTTATTACAGTGTTTAGAAATTTAATATTTTTCACTAGTGCTGACAGCTTCAAAACTTTAAAAGACAATTAGATTTATAAATTGAAGAGAGTTTGGCCATTTAATGATGTATGCTTATTATTTGCTCTTTTTTATTGTGAGTATTACATTGAAATGCAAGAGCTTATATAAACAAATAAAATGCCTAATTAATAATATAACAAACACCCATGTATTTCCCAACCAGCTCAAGAAATAGACCATTTCATGCCTTTAGTAGCACTTTATTCTTTTTATGCCTCTCCCTAAGGAATCTCCTTTCTCTTGTCCTCTCTCTCTTCCAGTTGTCTTAAACTCCCACTTCCTGTGAAGAGTGCTTTTATAAGTATTGTATTTATCATTCATTTGATTATTTATTTATTTATTTTGAGATGGAGTCTCACTTTGTCCCCCAGGCTGCAGTGCAGTGGCACAATCTTGGCTCACTGCATTCTGTGCCTCCTGGATTCAAAGTGGTCCTCCCACCTCAGCCTCCCAAGTAGCTGGGATTACAAGCATGCACCACCACACCTGGCTAATTTTTGTATTTTTAGTAGAGACGGGGTTTTACCATGTTGGCCCAGCTGGTCTTGAACTCCTGACCTCAAGTGATCTGCCCACCTCGGCCTCTCAAAGTGCTGGGATTACAGGCATGAACCACCATGGTCAGCCTCCTTTGCTTTCTTAGAAAAAATCAATTTTGTTTTTGTAACAGCTATATTGATGTGTAAATAATATACAATACACTGTAGATATTTACTGTGTACACGTTGATGTTTTGACATCTCTGTACATGTATAGGCATACATGCAAATACACATGCACACACACACACAAAATTATCACAACAATAAAAATAACCATATCCGTCACACCCACATTTTCTCTTCTGCTTTTGTGATACTTCATCCTTCTGCAACCCTCATCACCCGACAAGAAGTACCCTGCTTTCTGTCACTTTAGACTGGATTTCCTTTCTAAAATTTTATATAAATGGAATTATTTAGTATGTAGTCTTGTTGTCCTGCTTCTTTCATTTGATATAATTATTCTGAGATCCTTTCATGTTGGTATATTTATCTCTTTTTATTGCAGAGTAACATTTCATCATATATACCACAATATTACTTATCCTTGATGGGTTATGGATTATTTCCCACTTTGGCTATTATAAATAAAGGTGCTATGAATATTTGAATACAAGTCTTTGAATTATTTTATACTATGTTGTGGATATCTTTGGGGCAAATACATAGAAATAGAATTGGTGAGTAATTTGGAAAGTGTGTGATTAATTTTTAGAAAACCACTAATCTTTTGAAAAGTGGTTGCAAATTTTTACATTCCCATGGGAACTTTACAAGAGTTCTAGTTGTGGCATAGACTTGACAAAACTTCTACGGTAAGCCTTTTTAATTTTAGGCACTCTGATAGGTGTATGGAGGTATCCCATTCTGGCTTTAATTTGTACTTTGCTAATGGCTAATGGTGTTGAGAATCTATTAAGGTGCTCGTTTGCCCATTAGGTATTGGATAGTTTGTTTTTCTTTATTAAATTGAGAGGGATTTTATAGAATCTATTCTGGATGCAAGTACTTTTTCAGATATAGGAAATATTTTTCTCCCGGTCTGTGCCTTGTCCTTTGATTCCTTTAACCATGCTTTTCAAAGATCAGAGGCTCTTAACTTTTATGAACTTCACATTATCAACTTTGATTTTTCTGGATTATGCTTTGTAAATTGTATATAAGAAATATTTCGGTGACTTAAAGCTGCCACAATTCTCTCTATGTTTTGTTCTAGAAGTTTTGTAGTTTTAGATTTTATATTTAGATCAATAATCCTTTTTTAGTTAAATTTTTATCAGTGTTATCTTGTCTGCATATTAATATCCAATATTTTCTAACAAAAATTTTTGAAACAATTATTCTTTCATTAATGAATTGTCTTTACACTTTTATAAGAAATCAATTGAGCATACGTGTGTAGAGGTGTTTCTGGAGTCTCTATTTTGTTCCATTTATTTAGTTGTTGATATTTGTGCCAACACACACTGTCTTGATTACTAAAACATGATAAACCTTGATCTCAAGAAGCGTAGGTCCTCCAACTTTGTTCTTTTCCAAAGCTTTGTTTATTTGTATTTTCACATGAACTTTAGAATTTATTTATTTATTTATTTGAGCCAAAGTCTCACTCTGTTGCCTAGTCTGGAGTGCGGTGGCCTGATCTCGGCTCACTGTAATCTCGCCTCCCGGTTTCAAGCGATTCTCCTGCCTCAGCCTCCTGAGTAGCTAGGATTAGAGGCACGCCACCATACCCAGCTAATTTTTTGTATTTTTAGTAGAGGTAGAATTTCACCATGTTGTCCAGGCTGGTCTCGAACCCCTGACCTCAAGTGATCCACCCACCTCGGACTCCCAAAGTGCTGGGATTACAGGCATGAGCCACTGGGCCTGGCCTCAACTTTAGAATTAACTTATTGATTTCTACAATGACTTCTGGAATCTTAATTGAAATTGGGTTGAATCTATAGATCAATTTGTGGATAATTTATATCTCAACAATATAGAGTCTCCTCAAACACAAATATGGTTATCTCACCTTTTATTTAACATTTAAAAAAATTTCTTTCAACAATGTCATATGCTTTGGATTATATGAATTTATCCATCTTTTGTCAAATTTATCCCTGATAATTTTATATTTTTATGTTACTGCAAATAACATTATTGTTTAAATTTTAATTTCAGATTGTGGCTAACATAAAATGCAATATAGTTTGTATATTAGTCCTGCATCTTGCAAACTTGATAATGTAACTTATTAGTCTAGTTGTTTTTTTTGACAGGCTCATTAAATTTTCTAAGTAGGCAATCATGCCTTCTATGAATGAAGAGAATTGTACTTTTCCTGTATAGTCTGTTTGCCTTTTATTTCTTTTTCTGCCTGAAATTCTGGCTAGATTCTCCAATATAATGTAAAATAGAAATGCTGAGAACAAGCATTCTTAATATTATGGGGCAAGTCATTCGTTGATTAACATTAAACACGATGTGATCAATACATTTTTCATGAATTCCTTTTATCAGCTTAGGGAAGATCCCTAATTTTCCAGGTTTAATGGCAGTGTTTTTTTTTTTTTTTTCAATTAGGATAGATGTTGAATTTTGTGAAAAGTTTTTTTCTTATTCTCTTCAGATGATTTTTTTTTCTTCAGTCTGTTATTATTTTGAGGTACACTGACTGATTCTAATGGTAAACAAACAAACAAACAAAAAACGCTTTCATTTCTGGCATAAAAACCCAACTTGGCCATTATGTATTTTCTATTTGTGTATTTTATTTATTTGTTATTCTTATTTTGAGACAGAGCCTTGTTCTTGTCGCCAGGCTGGAGTGCAATGGCGTGATCTCGGCTCACTGCAACCTCCGCCTCCCGGGTTCAAGTGATTCTCCTGCCTCAGGCTCCCAAGTAGCTGGGTTTACAGGCACCCGCCACCACACCCAGCTAATTTTTATATTTTTAGTAGAGACAGGGTTTTGCCATGTTGGCCAGGCTGGTCTCGAACTCCTGACCTCGTGATCCGCCCATCTCGGCCTCCCAAAGTGCTGGGATTACAGGCATAAGCCACCACGCCCGGGCTTTATTTTACTTATAAAAATTATAAGAATCTTTTCTTCCATGTTCATAAGGAATATTTTTCTATAGATTTAATTTCCTTTATAATACCTTTGACTGGTGGTGCAATCAGATTAATGCTGGTCTCATAAACTGAGTCAGTATGTAGCCCCTTCTTTCCAGTTTCTTGAATAGTTTGTACAGAATTAATGTTATTTCTTCTTTAAATGGCTGGTAGAAATCTTTTTTAAAACCTTAAGTAGAAAATTTTGTTAAAATAGGCCCAAATGACACTTACTAAAAATAAAATAAATCGTCCTATAATTTTTACAAACCATAGTCTACTATGTTTAATAATCTTTAATGTTGCAATCAGAACCAAGAACACTGTATTGTTGCCTATATCCTTCCTCATTGAAAATAGACAACTGTGACAATTATATAGCATCCAAACAATATTGTAAGTAACTATACAAACATTGTGTCAACTCAAAGCAACTTGTGTAATTTGTATTCTCTTTAAAACATGAACTAAATTCATATCCTTTCACATTTTCACAGCAGAAATATTTAACCTGAACTGTTTCTTTTTTTTTTTTTTAACTTTTATTTTAAGTTGAGGGGTACATTGCAGATTTGTTATATGGGCAAACTCATGTCATGGGGGTTTGTTGTGCAGATTATTTCATCACCCAGATATTAAGCCTAGCAGCTGTTAGTTATTTTTCCTTATCCTCTCCCTTCTCCTACCGTTCATCCTCTATTAAAGCTCAGTGTCTTTTGTTTCTTTCTGTGTGTCCATGTGTTCTCATCATTTAGCTCCCACTTACAAGTAAAAATGTGTAATATTTGGTTTTCTGTTCCTGCATTAGTTTGTTAATGATAATGGCCTCCAGCTCTGTGCGTGTTCCTGCAAAGGACATGATCTCATTCTTTTTTATGGCTGCATAGTATTCCATGGTATATATGTAATACATTTTCTTTACCTAGTTATTTGTATAATTGTTAATTGAAGCTATCTGAGACTGGAATTTTCCTTGTGGGAAGATTTTTACTATAAATAAATACCTATGTATTCTTGAGTGAACTTTAAGAGTTTAAGGAAATTTGTCCATTTATTTTAAGTTGTCACATTTATTAGCATAGGATGTCATTCACTTTTTATTCTTTTATTATTGAATCTGTAGTAATGTTACTTCTCTTATCCTTGACGTAAGTTATTCTGTCTTTTTTAACTTTTATTTTATTTTTATTTTTAAATTCTATTTAAAATTAATAAATATATACATTTACAAGGCACAATGTGATGTTTTGATACATGCATACATTGTGAAATGATAAAATCAGGGTAATCAAAATATTTATTACCTCACATATCTCTTTGTGGTGAGAATATTTAAAATCCACTCTATTAGCAATTCAGAAATGTACAATATATTATTATTAATTATAGTCACCAGAAGCTAAGGAATGGGGATGGTGGGTGGGGAAAGGGGAAATGTTGGTCAAAGGGTACAAAGTTTTAGTGAGACAGAAGGATACCTTCTGATTGTCTCTCTTCTCCCTTTTTTTCCGCCTGTGACTGGTCTGGAAAGAGAATTATGTCTTTTGTGGATTTTCCTCCAAGAATCACCTTATGGTTTTCTTGGTTTTCTCTATTTTTTCTTGCTTTCTCTATTCTTGACTTCCACTCTAAACTCTTATTTCCTTTCTCTTCCTTACATTGATGTAAATATACTCTTCATTTTCTGTTTCCTTAAAGCAGAAAAGAGATCATTGATTTGAGACATTTCTTTTCTAGTATATGTATTTAGTCCTATGAGTTATCCTCTAAGTACTGCTTTAGCTATATACTGAAAGTTTAGATATGCTGTATTTTTATTTTTATACAGTTCTAAATACTTTAATTTCTTTTTGATTCCTTTTTTCACCCAATGCTGCTTAATTTTCAAATATTTTCATATTTTCCAAAAATTTTTCCATTTTCAATTCCTAAAGTAATTACATTATGGTTACAAAATATAATATTTGCATTAATTTTAATTATTTTAGATTATTAATGTTTTATGATCCCCAATATGATCTGTTTTGGTAAATACTTTTTATGCACTTGAAGAAAGTACATATTTTGCTTTTTTTGGTTGTAATGATAAAAGTCAATTAGATCAAATTGTTTGTTTTTTTGAGACAGGGTCTCACTCTGTTGCCCAGGCTGGAGTACAGTGGTGTGATCTGAGCTCACTGCAACTTCCGCCTCCTGGGTTTAAGCAATCCTCCAGTGTCAGCCTCCTGAGTAGCTGGGACTACAGGCATATGCCACCACATCCAGCTAATTTTTGTATTTATTTTGGTAGGGACAGAATTTTGCCATGTTGCCCAGGCTGGTCTTGAACTCCTGGGCTCGAGCCATCTGCCAAGGTTTGGCCTCCTAAAGAGCTGGTATTATGGGTAGGAGCCATTGAATTGGCCTGTTTGATATTTTTATTCAAGGTTTCTATATGATCAATAATTTTCTGTTTATCAATAATTTTAGGAGAGGTGACAGAGTCTGTAACTCAGTAATGTAATTTCATTATCTGTGTCTTTTTAGGGGACCATTTCAATTGCTGAGTCTTTTCTCTTACCGTGCTTTGTATTTCTTTGTTTATTTGTGTGCCTGATAACTTTTTTTTTTTTTTTTTTTTTTTCTGAGACGGAGTCTCACTCTGTTGCCCAGGCTGGAGTACAGTGGCGTGATCTCGGCTCACTGCAACCTCCACCTCCCAGGCTCAAGCAATTCTCCTACCTCAGCCTTCCGAGTAGCTGGGAATACAGGCATGCACCAACACACCCAGATAATTTTTGTATTTTTAGTAGAGATGGTGTTTCACCGTGTTGGCCAGGCTGGTCACAAACGCCTGACCTCAGGTGATTCACCCACCTCAGCCTCCCAAAGTGCTGGGATTACAGGCGTGAGCCTCCTTGCCCGGTCACTTGATAACTTTTAATTTCATGGCTGATGTAAATTTTGTTGAGTCTTGAATAACTTTCTATTCCTATAAGTATTAGTAAGCTTTGTTCTGAAAACAGTTTAACACTTCTGAGTCCTGCTTTTAACCTTTATTAAGAGGTATTAGAGCAGCATTAGTCCTGGCTAAGTTTTCCTGACCGCTAAGGCAAAACCCTACTGAGTACTCTTCCCAGTGCCCTAAGAATTATAAATTTCTCCACTCTGGTTGGTGGGGATGGGTACTGTCCCTGGACCTCTGTGAGCTCCAATGGGTGCTTTCTTCAATCATTTTAGGTAGTCTTTTTCCCTGACCTTGAGTCATTTCCTCATATACATGTTCTTAGTGGTACTCAGCTGAGGTTTCAAGGAATAAGATATCTGGGATTTTTTTCTCTGGACTATATCTCCTATCCAGTACTCTGTCCTGTGAATTATACCTGACGCAGTCTCAACAAACTTTCTGCTTTATTTCTTTAACTCAGGTGGTTACCTGATTGACTGTGTTCCTCTTATTTGTGGTATAGCTGAGAAACTGTAGTCTGTACGTGGGAGAATTTGTAGGACTCACTGTGTTTGTACCATTATTTCAGAGATGTCCTTCATGACCTGTTCAATGTCCTAAAAACTGTTGGTTTATATATATTTTCCAGTTTTCCATCATTTCGGGCAGGAAGGCAAGCAGTCCTTGTTATTCCACCAGAATAACTTCCACCAGAAGTCCCTTTGTTGGTATTTTTTTCACATATATATTTATGGTAAAATATATAATGCTAAATACAATGCTATACTTTGTGTTTAACTTTATATAAAAATAGTATTTCAGTCAGTGTTGACTATGTTACTCTAAAATAGCAGATTAACTCCCGTATCTCAGTGCTTTAACATAACAAAGGTTTATGCTATGTGACCAACTAGGAGGGTGGCATAGTTCCCAGATTGCCAGAGGTTTCATCATCTGGAACATGTCTGCCAATTGTCAGGAAAAGGATCATATGGAGAACTTCTTCCCAGTCTGCTGTGCTCTGGCTCATATGTGATAGCCACCATTTCGTCTCATGTTCATAACCAGATCAACTTAACATTCTAAATGCAAATATAAGGGAGCAGGTACAATATTTGAAGAACATTAACCTTCTCCATGTTGAGATTCATTCATTTTGATGTCACAAGTTGTATTTCATTAATTTACATTATTTTACCTATTTTCTTTACTGACTATACCACATTATGTTTATACAGCCTTTTGTTTATGGGTATTTGGGCTGTTTTCAATCTATTGCCATCAACTAATGCTACTAAAACTATTATCATCTACATCTCATGATGCACATGTTTAAGACTTCTGGAATATGTTAGGTCATAAGATATATATATCTTCAGCCTTTTAGGGTAATGTTAACTTGTTTACCAATTTCAATTTTATCAATTTACAATACCCCAGTAATGTGCAAAAGTTTTTGGTTTTCTGCATTCTCATAAACATATGACAATTATAACAATATTTTTTATATGAAGAGTGGTTTTGATTTGCATTTCTCTCACCGGCTATTACCAATATTGAGCAATCTTTTTACATGTTTATTTTCTATTCCCACATTATTTTTATTACTCATTAAAAAATGAAGTTGTTATTGTTACTGTTGTTGTTCTTCTTCTTCTTCTTTTTCTTCTTTCCATTCATAGGAGTTTCATGCTCCTTTATGTATTTTTCGAGCACTAAGGCTTTGCCGTTTGTATGTATTTCAAATACCGTCCCCCAGTTTGTGGCTTGTTCCTTCTCCCATTTTTTGGTTTACTTTGACAATGTCTTTTTAGAAAGACATTTTACATTTTAAAAGAATACAATTTATCAATTGTTTCCTTTATAATTAGCAGTTTTTTGTGTTGTTTAAATATATTTTATCATAAGGTAGTAAAGACATTTTCTTATATTCTAGAATTTTTAAACTTTTATTCTTAACAACACATTTTTAATCCATTTGGGATTTATTTTTTTCACATACGAATGAGATTCAGTTTCATTTTTTTTTCTAATTTTTTATGTATTTTCCGTGGATCTTGTAACAAATAGTCCTGTAAGTAGAAGTCTCATTTATTATTTCTGATCTTTATTATTACTCTAACCTTAATAATTGCTTCATGAAATATTGCTTTATTCTATACATTTATGTAAATTATTAGTAATGCTTTCTATTTGATCAAATACTTGTTTAAATTTACTTATGTATTTTCCTATTTGTTACTTATTTTAACCCTATTTCTAGAATAATTTTGTCCTTCCTAAAGTACATGTTTTAGAATATTTTTTGGGAAGGATCTGCTGATGTTAAATCCTGTTTTATTTTAGCTCACAATGACTTTACGTTACCCTTGCTCTTGGAATACGCTTTTGTTAGGGCCACAATTCTAGGTTGATCATTATTGTCGAGCATTTTGAAGTACTTTTTCAGCATCTTCTTATTTTCATTATTGCTGTTGAAATGTCAGCTGTCAGTCTAAATATGAAATGATTAGTCTTTTCCCTTGCTGCCTTTAAGATCTTTTTACATTATTTTTCTGCATGTTTATGTAATATTCTGTCCAGGACTGGATTTCTTTTTATTTTATTTATTTCTTTTCATTTGTTTAAACATATCATGCTTTCCTTTTATTACTATTATTATTTATTCACTCTGTTGTATCTATTTTGGAAATTTCTTAGTCATTCTACTCTCCAATTTTTTCCTATTCTTGACCTTTTCTTTAGAAACTGCAATTAAACATATGACATGTATTCTCTTTCTATTCTTATTTTTGCCAAACTTTCATAATTTCCATGTTCTTAATTTTTGAGCTACATTTGAGTTTTTCATCTGTTTCAGTTCACTAGTTTTTTTCTTTATCTGTGCCTAATTTTCTGGCTTTTTTTTTTTTTTTTGAGACAGAGTCTCACTCTGTCGCCCAGGCTGGAGTACAGTGGCACGATCTCGGCTCACTGCAAGCTCCGTGTCTGGGGTTCACGCCATTCTCCTGCCTCAGCCTCCCAAGTAGCTGGGACTACAGGCACCCACCACCACGCCTGGCTAATTTTCTGTATTTTTAGTAGAGATGGGGTTTCACATGTTAGCCAGGATGGTCTTGATCGCCTGGCCTCCTGATCCTCCCTCCTCAGCCTCCCAAAGTGCTGGGATTACAGGCGTGAGCCACTGTGCCCAGCCAATTTTCTGTTTATTTCACCTGTAGTTTTGATTTTTAACAACTGCATTTTTATTTTCTAAAATTCTGTTGGACTTCTATTGCAATCTACATGATCACATTCATAGGTTTTTTAGCTATTTGCTGAATTTTTCAATAAAATTATGTTATTTAAAAATTATTTTACACATTTTCAAAATCTACATTTGGTAATTTTAAAATCTGAGGTCCTTTTAGAAACCCTAAATCTGTTGTTTTTTCAAATCCGTAATTTTTTTTTTAGTTTGCTAATTATTACATATGGTGCTTTGTTTCCTTACTTATTTGGCACATTTACTATTATTTTTTTTATATTTTACTGAGTCTAATCTATGGGTATTTTCAAGGTACTAACCTGACGATGATTTACTTGTTTATCAGTAGAGAATTGATATTTTTTTTTCTGCTGTTAGATACTATTCTTGACATTAAATAGGTATCATCTAGGCTTTGGGATCTGTGAAGCTTGGTGATAGTGAACAGTGCTGGTACCTTTCTAGTAAAAGCAGGCTTGTGATTATATATTTTCAAAGGAGACAATTTTTTCTTTCCATCTGAAGCAAAAGCACAGAAACAAATTAAATTTTCCCTGACTCTACTTTTCACTGCTGGTTTAACCCTATCAGATGTCCTTTCCTTATGTATAATCTTTGACTGAAATCTTCCTCTTCATGTGGGCCGAAGGGACAGTCTTTCATTTTGTGAGCAGCCATTAAACACCAAACTGTGTTTCTCAGGTATTGCTCTTTCAAAAGAATATTCCCTTCTCTGGTGTCAAGTTTGCCAACATGTGTTTGCAGTTCACCATGCAGTTCAGTTTTTCCTGTCAGTCCAGAAATACATTAAAAATTATATCAGTAAAAGTGTATTCAGCATCTTGGTATTTTGCATGTAGGAGGGCTAATCATAGTGACCACTTTGCCACGTTTCAGAACACATAGGTCCGATGACTACTTTTTTCATTTAAAAATATTTTTGGGGAACTCACACCTACTTTGTGCCCATCCCTGACTGGAGGTTATAAGCACAGTGGGTGATAAGGAAGTCTTTATCCCTGTTCTCATGGAGCTTGAATTCTAGTGAGGCAAAGGAGACAAACTATGCGTGTCTATGTTTGAAGTGGTTCTTTATGTTATGAGGGAAAATAGATAGTGTTAATAAATAGTGAAGAAGATGATGATGACGTGATGATAAATGAGTATGTGGTAAGGAGAGGGATATTTGGGTGTAATAGTCAACAAAGGCCTCTGCTAGAAAATTGCATTTAATCAGAGACCTGGATAAAGTGAAGAAGGAGTCATATGAAAGCCTGTGAAAAAAGATCTTTTTCCCCCCTTTTAATATGAACTAGCAAGAGTAAATTTTTAAAGATCCTACAGAGGGGAAAATGTGTACTGTTCCAGGGAAAGATAAAAAGGCAGTGTGGTTAAACCGAACAGAATAAGAGTGAGGATGATAGCAAACAAGGGTCTTGGTGACTTGGAGGAGAAGTTTGATTTTTGTTTTGATTATGATTAAATTTTGTGCAAATCAATAACATTATATGAATTTTTCTCATAAAAAATCAGCCCTGCTGCTAAATTGATATTCATAGGGGACCAATTATGTAACTTTTACATTAATTCAGGCAAGAGATAATGATTGGTTTGAACAGGATGGAGCGCTAGAAATGGAGAACAGTGGCAGGATTTGGAATAAGTCTTAAACCAGAGCTTACTTTATTAGCTGAATAGGGGCTTGAGGGAAGGAGAAGATCCATGATGACTTTTGGTTGCTTGGCCTGAGTAACTTTGTTTATGCTGAAGGCATGAAGCCATTATAGGGTAGTAGGGAGCATAAAGTTTGTTTTTTACTTGTTAACTGTGACATATCTATTAGGCATTCAACAGGAAGTTGAGAGTGACAGTGGGATACCTGATTTAGAAACTCGAGGGTTCTTGAATTCAGCAGATTTGCAGTGTATCTAGCGGTGCTGCTATATCCACAGGCTATGAATGAAGTAGCATAAGTGAAAGTATTTCAAACTACGAATAATGCAAATTATGATTTTAAAACTGTTACAATCACTTGAGTTTTTTTTGCCTACCAAATTTATAAAAGCTAAAAAAAATTCAGTGTAGTTGAGGTTAAGAGATTTTAAAAAATACTCTTATATACAACTTGTGGGAATATAGCTTTTTGAAATATGTTTAAATCCTACATATCTAAAGCCTTTAACAATACGTAAAGACAGGATAATTTTATTTATGCATAGTTACCCTAAGAAAACCATTATAAATATACAGAAATATTTCATTGCAGTCTATGTAATTAAAAATATATTTACAGGAAAATTGAAGAAGTCAAATACTATTAGAAAATAAAATACTATGAAACTATGAAAGGTTCTTCCAGAGATTCAACTATTTTTAGTTTTCAAACTTCAAGCATGGAGAAAGATTGTATTTGGTAAATTGGATGGACCTCGGTGACTAGTTCTGTTCAGTGAGTCTTGAAGGGCAGATGTATTTCATTCTAAAATAAAGCATGTTATCACAAATACAAGAACAGGTAGAGCAGAGATGTCAGTAAGATGGCCTATGAGTTGGCCTGGCAATCATACCCCCCAAAAAAGGAACCCAAACAGTAAATAAGCAACAATATTTTGACTGGAGTGACTAAAGTCCAATATGCTGGTGAGCAGCGAGGAATTGACAAAATCTCTGTGGAGCACAGAAGCTCAGCATAGCCGCATAGAGAGGAAAGCAGGGCATCCTTTCTGTGCTACGCTGTCTCCCTGCAGGATAACCTTGGAGTCAGGGAAACTTTTCTTTAAGGGAGAAATGTAAGCTAGAGACCTCCTTATTATCCCTACGGATGTCATCATTCCTTGCTACAGGAGAGTCTTTCAGTCCCCTTATGCCTTGAATCCTGTTTGGAGAGTTACTAGGAGTTCACACGGCTACACTGACTCAGAGTAGGAGCCACTCTTACACTCCCCACCCTTGTACCCTAAGCTACTACAAAATAGTACCATTTTGAAACTAAGCCCACTACTAGACTGTGTTCTGTCCTTGGGACCAGTGGCCACTGACTCTGAATTCATGAGGTCCCAATGTAATTCTACCACATTCACATACAAAACCATGACCCTGGTTGCATGGAGCCTAGGCCCAATGGAATGACCGAGACCTCCATGTCTCAACCTCCATAGCACCCAGCCTGCCTGGGGAACAGATGGACTTGCCCAGTGGGAAAGCTGCTGAACAGCCAGCCAGTCTACCTGGCTCACACACAACTGCACTTCATAGCTAGCTGTCCCACCAAACTCATGTATACCCACGTCCAGTTTACAACCTAGTCTTGTGGCCACTCTGCCTCTCCAGAGAGAATGCCACACAGCTAGCCAGCCACTGAGATTGTGTCTGGATTAACAGAGAGAATCAGAGTTCCTTCTTTTCAGAGAGACCACTGCACAGTTGCCTGGCTGCCACACCTGCACAAACTCACACCAGGCCTGACGGCCAGGTTGGCAAATCTGTGCCTTATCTCCTTAGAGAGACCAGGGCACAGCCCATTAGAATGGCATACCCACATGTGCGTAGTTCAGCAACCAGTCTGGTGCCCCCCTCCGCAAGCAAAATTGCTCCAGTACCACTGGTGCCCCCACCCCCAGCAAAATTGCTCCAATACCACTATAAACTCCCACAGCCTAGGCCACTGAGCAGATCACGGACATCACTAATGAGTATTACAGCTTAAGAAACTGCACATAGACCACAATTCTTAATCCATCAAAAATCAAAGTATATACACCATACCCAATCCTAAGACCCATGTACAGAAAAATGTCTCTTCCTACAAAAGCTACTGCATAAATTGGAAAAGGGGACTGTTGCATTAGGTGTGCAGATATCAACACAGAGACATAAGAAATATAAAAAGCAAGGAAACATGAATTCCCCAAAGAAACACAGTAAGTCTTCAATAACAGATCCCAAATAAAAGGATATTTATAAAATGCCTAAGAAGGAATTCAAAATAATGACCTTAGGGAACTAAGTGAGGTATAAAAAATACAGTCAATTCAATGAAATCATGAAAGCAATTCATAATCTGAATGAGAAATTCAACAAAGTGATAGATGTCATAAAATAGAACCAAACATAAGTTGTGGAGTTTTCTCATTGAATGAATAAATTAAAAATGCAATCAAAAGATTCAACAGTAGACTAAATAAAGAAGAATAAAGAATTTCTGAACTTGAAGACAATTCTTTTGACATAATCTAGCAAAAGGAAAAAATAATAAAAAAGAACGAAGAAAGACTATGGGACTCATGAGACACCATTAGGTGAACAGATTTTTGCATAATAGAATTACCAGAGGGAGAAGCTATAGAGAAAAGTACAGAAAACCTATGCAATGAAATGATAACTGAAAATATCCCCAATCATGAGAGATATATAAACATCCAGATCTCGGAAGGGGAAGAATTCCCAATTAGATTCAACACAAA